>NC_000001.11:196934587-198184587 GCF_000001405.40 Homo sapiens
CTCATTTCTTTGCTCAGTTAGTAGGTAAAAGTCAAGTCATTATCCATTAAAACTTATCAACTGATGGAACACAATGGGCACCGAAAACAGAGAACACAAAACAAATAAAAAAGATGAAAATAAAATGTGTTGAAGTTTGTAAAATTATGCAGGATTTTAGAAATAAATTAATGTTTGTACTTTATATGTGCATAAATAAATCAATTAAAAGTTTTTCAGTTTTTTTTGAGACAGGGTCTCACTCTGTGCTGATGTCAATTCCCTGGTCTCAGTTATTGTACTTGATAATACATGGGAGGGCATAATCTACTGAAATTACTTAAAATAAGAAACAGAAAAACAAAAGGAAAATCTAAGTTTCCAAATTAGAAGAATGGAAGAAATATTCAGCAAAAAAATTGGAAAATAATTGTTGAGTACTGCTTCAAAAAAGAATAGACAAGAGAAGATACTGTTAATTCAACTAAAAATTGGCACTAGCTCTGTGAAAATTAACTCTGTGCTCATAAATAAATGATAACATCCCCTAGATTCAGACAAGCCAGTATTTAAATGTCAGAGAGTTTAGAAGAAGCCATCAAAACATTGACATGGTGAAGCCTTTCAAATAGAAGAGAAACCAGGAGAATGTGTTGTTCCATAGACCATGTGAGGCAGGTATTTCAAAATGGAAGGATGGGAAACTCATGTGAATTTTTGCTGATTATTCAGTTTCAACCAATGGATTTGATTACAAAGAAGATATTGATGACTGTTACAAGAGAGGTTTAAGTGTAGTGGTGGGAATGAAAAAATGAAATGAGGCAGAAATTGTAGCTAATACATTGGAGTCATTGTATTATAAAATGAGAAGAGAATTGGGAGATTACTAGAAAGAGATTTGGTTCCACAAAAGATTTTTTGAGCTTTTTTTGTTGTTGTTGCTCTTTAAGATGGAAGATGTTTGGTATTTTTGCATATTGGCAGAAATAATTTGAAAAATGGAGAAATTAATGATACAGTTGAGAGGGAATAATTGAAAGAGCAAAATCGTTGCATAGGAAAGAGGGGATCAAATCTGGTAGAGACCATAACAGGATAGGAGTAAGGATCAACATCCAGTGAAACAGGAGACAATGCAGAAAAGTATGTGTGTGAACAGCAGGTAGTTTTCTTCTGATTGCTTCTATATCTAGATGAAAAAAATAAATAAAGTCATTAGCAAAGTACAAGGTGCGGACTGATGGTTAAGGAGGGAGATAATAAAACAGAGGAGGAGAAAGGAAGTGTCAAAATCATTTAGGCCCATGATCATTAATTTAAAGCAAGGCAAGTCAGCACCGTTGCATTTGGTTTTTTTTTTCAACTTTTCATAATGTAAACCTTTATTTATTTATTTATCTTTATTATTATGCTTTAAGTTCTAGGGTACATGTGCACAATGTGCAAGTTTGCTACGTAGGTATAAATGTGCCATGTTGGTTTGCTGCACCCATCAACTCGTCATTTACATTAGGTATTTATCCTAATGCTATCACTCCCCCTGCCCCCCACCCCATGATAGGCCCTGGTGTGTGATGTCCCCCGCCCTGTGTCTAAGTGTTCTCATTGTTCAATTCCCACCTATGAATGAGAACATGCGGTGTTTGGTTTTCTGTCCTTGTGATAGTTTGCTGGGAATGATGGTTTCCAGTTTCATCCATGTCCCTTCAAAGGACATGAACTCATCCTTTTTATGGCTGCATAGTATTCCATGGTGTATATGTGCCACAGTTTCTTAATCCAGTCTACCACTGATGGACATTTGGGCTAGTTCCAAGCCTTTGCAATTGAGAATAGTGCCACGATAAACATACGTGTGCATGTGTCTTTATAGTAGCATGATTTATAATCCCTTGGGTATATATACCCAGTAATGGGATGGCTGGGTCAAATGGTATTTCTAGTTCTAGATCCTTGAGGAATTGCCACACTGTCTTCCACAATGGTTGAACTAATTTACACTCCTAGCAACAGTGTAAAAGTGTTCCTATTTGTCCACATCCTCTCCAGCATTTGGTGTTTCCTGACTTATTAATGGTCGCCATTCTAAATGGTGTGAGATGGTATCTCATTGCCGTTTTGATTTGCATTTCTCTGATGACCAGTGATGATGAGCATTTTTTCATGTGTCTGTTGGCTGAATAAATATCTTCTTTTGAGAAGAGTCTGTTCTTATCCTTTGCCCACTTTTTGATGGGTTTGTTTTTTTCTTCTAAATTTGTTAAGTTCTTTGTAGATTCTGGCTATCAGCCGTTTATCAGATGGGTAGATTGCAAAAAATTTTCTCCCATTCTGTAGGTTGCCCGTTCACCCTGATGGTAGTTTCTTTTGCTGTGCACAAGTTCTTTAGTGTAATTAGATCCCATTTGTCTATTTTGGCTTTTGTTGCCATTGCTTTTGGTGTTTTAGTGATGAAGTCCTTGCCCGTGCCTATGTCCTGAATGGTATGGCTTAGGTTTTCTTTTTGGGTTTTTATGGTTTTGGGTCTAACATTTAAGTCTTTAATCCATCTTGAATTAATTTTTGTATAAGGTGTAAGGAAGGGATCCAGTTTCAGCTTTCTATATATGGCTAGCCAGTTTTCCCAACACCATTTAAGAAATAGGAAATCCTTTCTCCATTTCTTGTTTTTCTCAGGTTTGTCAAAGATCAGATGGTTGTAGATGTGTGGTGTTATTTCTGAGGCCTCTGTTCTGGTCCATTGGTCTATATCTCTGTTTTGGTACCGGTACCATGCTGTACCATGCTGTTTTGGTTACTGTAGCATAGTTTGAAGTCAGGTAGCGTGAAGCTTCCAGCTTTGTTCTTTTTGCTTAGGATTGCTTTGGTAATGAGGGCTCTTTTTTGGTTCCATATGAACTTTAAAGTAGTTTTGTCCAATTCTGTGAAGAAAGACATTGGTAGCTTGATGGGAATGGCATTGAATCTATAAATCACCTTGGGCAGTATGGCCATTTTCACAATATTGATTCTTCCTATCCATGAGCATGAAATGTTCTTCCATTTGTTTGTGTCCTTTTTTATTTCGTTGAGCAGTGGATCATAGTTCTCCATGAAGAGGTCCTTCACATCCCTTGTAAGTTGGATTCCTAGGTATTTTATTCTCCTTGTAGCAATTGTGAGTGAGAGTTCACTCATGATTTGGCTTTCTGCTTGTCTGTTATTGGTGTGTAGGAAAGCTTGTGATTTTTGCACATTGACTTTGTATCCTGAGACTTTGCTGAAGTTGCTTACCAGCCTAAGGAGATTTTGGGCTGAGACGATGGGGTTTTCTAAATATACAATCATGTCATCTGCAAACAGAGACAATTTGACTTCCTCTTTTCCTAATTGAATACCCTTTGTTTCTTTCTCTTGACGGAAATCCCTGGCCAGAACTTCCAAAACTATGTTGAATAGGAGTGGTGAGAGAGGACATCCCTGTCGTGTGTCAGTTTTCAAAGGTAATGCTTCCAGTTTTTGCCCATTTAGAATGATATTCGCTGAGGATTTGTCATAAATAGCTCTTATTATTTTGAGATGTATTCCATCAATACCTAGTTCCCTGAGAGTTTTTAGCATGAAGGCTGTTGAATTTTGTTGAAGGCCTTTTCTGCATCTATTGAGATAATCATGTGGTTTTTGTCTTTGGTTCTGTTTATGTGGTGAAGTATGTTTATTGATTTGCATATGTTTAACCAGCCTTGCATCCTAGAGATGAGGCCGACTTGATCGTGGTGGATAAGCTTTTTGATGTGCTGCTGGATTCCGTTTGCCAGTATTTTATTGAGGATTTTTGCATCAATGTTCATCAGGGATATTGGTCTAAAATTCTATTTTTTTGTTGCGTCTCTGCCAGGTTTTGGTGTCAGGGTGATGTTGACCTCATAAAATGAGTTAGGGAGGAGTCCCGCTTTTTCTATTGATTGGAATAGTTTCAGAAGGAATGGTACCAGCTCCTCTTTGTACCTTTGGTAGAATTCAGCTGTAAATCCATCTGCTCCTGGACTTTTTTTGGTTGGTAGGACATTAATTATTGCCTCAATTTCAGAACCTGTTATTGGTCTATTCAGACATTCAAATTCTTCCTGGTTTAGTCTTGGGAGGATGTATGTGTTCAGGAATTTATCCATTTCTTCTAGATTGTCTAGTTTATTTGCGTAGAGGTGTTTATAGTATTCTCTGATGGTAGTTTGTATTTCTGTGGGATCGGTGGTGATATCCCCTTTATCATTTTTTATTGCGTCTATTTGATTCCTTTCTCTTTTCTTCTTTATTAGTATTGCTAGGGGTATGTTAATTTTGTTGATTCTTTCAAAAAACCAGTTCCTGGATTCCTTGATTTTTTGAAGGGTTTTTTGTGTGTCTATGTCCTTCAGTTCTGCTCTGATCTTAGTTATTTCTTGCCTTCTGCTAGCTTTTGAATTTGTTTGCTCTTGCTTGTCTACTTCTTTTAATTGTGAGGTTAAGGTGTCGATTTTAGATCTTTCCTGCTTTCTCTTGTGGGCATTTGATGCTATAAATTTCCCTCTCTATACTGCTTTAAATGTGTCCCAGAGATTCTGGTAAGTTGTGTCTTTGTTCTTCTTGGTTTCAAAGAACGTATTTATTTCTGCCTTCATTTCATTATTTGCCCAGTAGTCATTCAGGAGCAGGTTGTTCAGTTTCCTTGTAGTTGTGTGGTTTTGAGTGAGTTTCTTAATCCTGAGTTCTAATTTGATTGCACTGTGGTCTGAGAGACAGTTTGTTGTGATTTCTGTTCTTTTACGTTTGCTGAGGAGTGCTTTACTTCCAACTATGTGGTCAATTTTAGAATAAGTACGATGTGGTGCTGAGAAGAATGTATATTCTGTTGATTTGGGGTGGAGAGTTCTGTAGATTTCTATTAGGTCTGCTTGGTGTAGAGCTGAGTTCAAGTCCTGGATATCCTTCTCAACCATCTATCTCATTAATCTGTCTGATATTGACAGTGGGGTGTTAAAATCTCCCATTATTATTGTGTGGGAGTCTAAGCCTCTTTGTAGGTCTCTAAGGACTTGCTTAGAATCTGGGTGCTCCTGTATTGGGTGCATATATATTTAGGATAGTTAGCTCTTCTTGTTGAATTGATCCCTTTGCCATTATGTAATAGCCTTCTTTGTCTCTTTTGATCTTTGTTGGTTGAAAGTCTGTTTTATCAGAGACTAGGATTGCAACCCCTGCTTTTTTTTTGCTCTCCATTTGCTTGGTAGATATTCCTCCATCCTTTTATTCTGAGCCATGTGTGTCTCTGCACGTGAGATGGGTCTCCTGAATACAGCACGCTGATGGGTCTTGACTCTTTATCCAATTTGCCAGTCTGTGTCTTTTAATTGGGGCATTTAGCCCATTTACCTTTTAGGTTAATATTGTTATGTATGAATTTGATCCTGTCATTATGATGTTAGCTGGTTATTTTGCCCATTAATTGATGCAGTTTCTTCATAGCATCAATGGTCTTTACAATTTGGCATGTTTTTGCAGTGGCTGGTGTCAGTTGTTCCTTTCCATGTTTAGTGCTTCCTTCAGGAGCACTTGTAAGGCAGGCCTGGTGGTGACAAAATCTCTCAGCATTTGCTTGTCTGTAAAGGATTTTATTTCTCCTTCACTTATGAAGCTTAGTTTGGCTGGATATGAAATTCTGGGTTGAAAATTCTTTTAAGATTGTTGCGTATTGGCCCCCACTGTCTTCTGGCTTATAGATTTTCTGCTGAGAGATCCGCTGTTAGTCTGATGGGCTTCCCCTTGTGGGTAACCTGGCCTTTCTCTCTGGCTGCCCTTAACATTTTTTCCTTCATTTCACCCTTAGTGAATCTGACAGTTATGTGTCTTAGGGTTGCTCTTCTCAAGGAGTATCTTTGTGATGTTCTCTGTATTTCCTGAATTTGAATGTTGGCCTGCCATGCTAGGTTGGAGAAGTTCTCCTGGATGATATCCTGAAGAGTATTTTCCAACTTGGTTCCATTCTCCCCGTCACTTTCAGGTACACCAATCAAACGTAGATTTTGTCTTTTCACATAGTCCCATATTTCTTGGAGGCTTTGTTCATTCATTTTTACTCTTTTTTCTCTAAACTTCTCTTCTCACTTTATTTCATTAATTTGATCTTCAATCACTGATATCCTTTCTTCCACTTGATTGCATCAGCTATTGAAGCTTGTGCATGTGTCACGAAGTTCTCGTGCCATGGTGTTTAGCTCCATCAGGTCATTTAAGGTCTTCTCTATGCTGTTTATTCTAGTTAGCCATTCATCTAATCTTTTCTGAAGATTTTTAGCTTCCTTGCAATGGGCTCAAACATCCTCCTTTAGCTCGGAGAAGTTTGTTATTATTGACCTTCTGAAGCCTACTTCTGTCAACTCGTCAAAGTCATTTTCTGTCCAGCTTTGTCCCACGATCTTTGGAGGAGAAGAGGTGCTCTGGTTTTTCAAATTTTCAGCTTTTCTGCTCTAGTTTCTCCCCATCTTTGTGGTTTTTATCTACCTTTGGTCTTTGATGTTGGTGACCTACAGATGGGGTTTTGGTGTGGATGTCCTTTTTGTTGTTGTTGATGCTATTCCTTTCTGTTTGTTAGTTTTCCTTCTAACAGTCAGGTCCCTCAGCTGCAGGTCTGTTGGATTTTGCTGGAGGTCCACTCCAGACCCTGTTTGCCTGGGTATCACCAGCAGAGGCTGCAGAATAGCAAATATTGCAGAACAGCAAATATTGCTGCCTGATCCTTCCTCTGGAAGCTTTGTCCCAGAGGGGCACTCACCTGTATGAAGTGTAAGTTGTCCCCTACTGGAAGGTTGTCTCCCAGTTAGGCTACATGGGGGTCAGGGACCCACTTGAGAAGGCAGTCTGTCTGTTCTCAGAGCTCAAATGCCATGCTGGGAGAATCACCTCTCTCTTCAGAGCTGTCAGACAGGGACATTTAAAGTCTGCAGAAGTTTCTGCTCCCTTTTGTTTAGCTATGCCCTGCCCCCAGAGGTGGGGTCTACAGAGGCAGCAGGCCTAGCTGTGCTGCAGTGGGCTCCACCCAGTTCAAGCTTCCAGGCCACTTTGTTTACCTACTCAAGCCTCAGCAATAGCGAATGCCCCTCCCCCCACCAGGCTGTTGCCTCACAGGTTGATCTCAGACTGCTGCACTAGCAGTCAGCAAGGCTCCGTGGGTGTGGGACCCGCCGAGCCAGGAGCAGGAGAGTGTCTCCTGGTCTGTCGTTTACTAAGACCCTCGGAAAAGTGCAGTATTTGGGCAGGAATGTCCCATTTTTCCCAGGTGCAGTCTGCCATGGCTTCCCTTGGCTAGGAAAGGGAAATCCCCTGACCCCTTGCACTTCCAGGGTGAGGTGATGCCCCGCCCAGTTTCGGCTCCCCCTCCATGTGCTGCACCCACTGTCCAACCAGTCCCAGTGAGATGAACCAGGTACCTCAGTTGGAAATGCAGAAATCTCCCATCTTCTGCAGCTGGGAGCTGCAGACCAGAGCTGTTCCTATTCAGCCATCTTGGAGCGGTGACCGCATTTGTTTTTCTTGTAGACACACTCTGCTGCTTCAGTTCAGAGACAGGGCAGGCAGAGAATTTATTTGCAAAGGATTGAGGTTTTCTAAGACTTGGATTACAGAAAGAAAGAAAGGAATGGGCAGGAGAGTGTGTGCAAGGGATTGACTTACAGGGATGAACCATTGAATCTAATTTGGGTATGGTGGGAAGAGAGAAAGTGAAGGGAAAAGAATAGTGAAAAAGCATCAGTGTCATTGAATGATTGGAACAAATTTAGTAGAGTAAGTGAGCTAAAAAGATTGTGGAAATGGTCTAGAGTGTGACACCTAATATTTAGATAATTTAGGTAGTTTAATTGGAAATGATAAGGTTTAGATAGACTAGATTCAATAGTGGAGACTACTAATAGCTCACAGAGACTTCTCTGGTTTCTTGACTGAACATAGCTATATGCATTCCCATTGATTTCTGAACCACCATCAGTAAGTTTCATCTTAGTGGAAGTCCTTAGGCTGTCCCTTTCTCCAAATTTTGCCATTAAATTTTTGGCTGACTGGCCACTTTGTTGCTTGCCCCAGCTAATATCTTCTACACATATTAATCTTCTCTACTTGCTTCCCACTGTAACCTCTTTATATTCAACAGGATCCTTGGGCAGGGAATTTTCCACGCTATAAAGTCACTCCCCTCCAGTGGGGCAGCAGAGCTTCCAGTCCTCACAGCCTGCTTGCCTACCCAGGGTTCAACTTCTGAGCCACAGAACTGGGCTGTGAGACAAAGGTGGATAAAAGCAGCCACTCTTTTTTACTGAGATTTATGTGGACTTTCTGGAATAAATATTTCCCAACAGTATGCTCTTTGGCCAATTTCTAGAGATTATTTTTATAATTTTATCCAGTTTTATTGCTGCCTTTTGGTGGTGAGTGAATATACCAAGACCCAGAAATACCCATTCTCAAAGTCCCATCGGAACAAAATTATTCTGAAGTAAAATTGGTTCAACAATTTTGGGAACCATTACATACCAAAAATTATTCTTGATTTGACTTTTTATAGTCTACAAAATATGAAAACTATTAAGAAGTTACCTCATTCTTTTTTTTTTTTTTTTTTTGAGATGGAGTCTCGCTCTGTCACCCTGGCTGGAGGGGAGTGGTGCGATCTCAGCTCACTGTGAACTCCGCCTCCCGAGTTCACGCCATTCTCCTGCCTCAGCCTCCCAAGTAGCTGGGACTACAGGCACCTACCACCACGCCCAGCTAATTTTTGTATTTTCAGTAGAGATGGGGTTTCACCAGGTTAGCCAGGATGGTCTGAAGTTACCTCATTCTTAATACCAGTTTTAAGTGGAATTTATAACTAGAACAGTGATGCTGTTATGTTAAGATGAGGACTGATCACCTTCACTTGCTTGCCTACTGATGTAGCTGAACTCTTGGCTAGAAAAAAGAAGGGGCTTCCTCTTTCCTCTTCAATGGCCCATTTCTGAATATTCCAAACTCAGAGACTCAGGGACCACAACAAGGAAATTGAACAGCTTTTATTTTGCTCAAGTTAATATTACATGATAAACTCAGAGTATTATTGTGAAAACACTGATTAGACACTATTTGCTTATTTTGCACAACCCTCCATGAACTTTGATGTTTACCACAAAGGACTTTACTAAACTAGCTTCCAGTTAGTACACTGAAATTCAAAGTCATGCTCATAACTGTTAATGAAAGCAGATTCAAAGCAACACCACCACCACTGAAGTATTTTTAGTTATATAAGATTGGAACTACCAAGCATGTGGCTCCTGGTCAGTGTAATTCTAATCTCACGGATATCCTCTGTTGGGGGAGAAGGTAAGTTCAAAACAGACCTGAATATTTAGTTCCTTTTTCAGATACATTTATCGGTTTTTGTGTGTATGCTTACATATTTTTAAATGAATAAATGGATGAAAATATTTTAAATGAGTTATAATATTAATCTATTTTATGGAAATACTTTCTAACATGCAATTAGCAGGAAAATAGAATAAAATTAGTTATCTCCATCCTCTAAGTTGCAAAGGTAAATGGCCACCAAATAGAGAATGTAAAGAGGAATTAAATGAGGGAAAACCTGCTATACTAACGGTGGCAAGGTGAAGTATTAGTGTAATTCTGCATACACTCTGCAATGCCACTAACTAGAACAATCAATCTCAAAAAGATTTGGCCACCTTCAAAATGCTTTTTGGATTTTAGTTTCCTAGATTTGATCATTTAAATTTTAAAGGTCATTAAAATGGAGGAATTCCCATTTCAATCGAATTATCCTTCAACAGAGGGAAATATATTTTACTGAAACAATAGAAAATATCATTTATATATAAACCAGTGAACTGTCAAGAAATTGCTTCTTCTGAGCTCTTAAATGTTGAGAATGAAGTAATGTATCACCTCTTTATTAATACTACAAACGGCTTCTTATGATATTTTATAAATGGTCCCATTTTATTTCATGTTGAAATTAAGGCCACCATATCAAAGGAATTGCAAACAAAATCTCTACCAAGGTCTAGGATACTAATTAAACTATGTCTGTACTTGGAGTTTCGATCATTATGCTTTACCCTTTGATTTCCAAAAAGTTTTTACTTTACTGTTTTGCTGTTTCCTAATGTTTCCAGACCTTTGAACTTTTATTTGAACAGTTTCTCATCAGTCCTGACATAACAGAACAACATGAACAATAACATGCTTTCCTTTAAATATTTGCCCTTAGAAATGTTGCAAAATATTATTTCTATTGCTTGAAATTCATTTTTTTTTTGAGATGGACTTTCACTCTTGTTTCCCAGGCTGGAGTGCAATGGTGTGATTTCGGCTCACCACAACTTCCATCTCCTGGGTTCAAGCAATTCTCCTGCGTCAGCCTCCCAAGTGGCTAGGATTACAGGCATGCACCACCACGCCTGGCTAATTTTGTATTTTTAGTAGAGATGGGGTTTCTCCATGTTGGTCAGGCTGGTCTCGAACTCCCGACCTCAGGTGATCTGCCTGCCTCGGCCTCCCACAGTGTTGGGATTGCAGGCATAAGCCACCACGCCTAGCCCTTGAAATTCGTTTTATTTTGTTTTCACTTTTAGTGCTGAGTTGTAATCACAGGAGTGCGATTGTATGAGTGTATTTGATTTTTCTTAAGTCTGTGTTTATGGTATTTATTAAGTGGCTTATACACCTATTACACATGGCATTACATGAGGATTTCTAAATAGGGGGGTAGCAGAGGAAAATAAGTGAAAAATATGAGAGAAATATGTAGAATTTTGACAATTCCTAACCCTCCTCCCACCAAAAAAAAGTTCAAGCTTCAATCCAGTCTCTGGGAGAAACTTCAGTGAAATTCTATCTAAAGGTTGCCTAGATGTTAAATGATCTGTAAGTGTGTGTTACACTGTCATTTAGGTGTCTACTGAGAGACCTGCCAAACAGCAAAAACAACACACTGAAGCAACACATTTGTATACATAGAAAGCTGCATGCTTCCAGTAGCAAAATATTTATCAAGCACTATGTTGTGCTTCATGTAGCAAAGAAGCTGGAAGAAAATGACAACCCTAACCACACCTCACTGCAACTTACAGTGTCCTAAAGAAAAGCAAAATGTAAATAGGCAAATAAATTGCAAGGCTATATATAGGTGACTGTGAGTGAGTGTGTGTGTGTGTGTGTGTGTGTGTGTATAAACAGTCATGCATCACTTAATGATAGGGACACGTTCTGAGAAGTGCGTCCTTAGGCGATTTCCTTCTTATTCAAACATTATAGAGTGGACTTACACAAACCTAGGTTTTATAGCCTACTAGGTAACTAGGCCATATGGTATAGCCTGTCGCTCCTAGGCTGCAAACCTGTACAGCATGTTACTGTACTGAATACTGTGGGCAACTGTAGCACAATTGTAAGTATATGTTTATCTCAATATAGCAAAGTACAATAAAAATACAGTATAAAATATTAAAAACGGCAGACTTGTATAGGGCTTTTACCATGAATAGGGTGTGTAGGACTGAAAGTTGCTCTCAGTAAGTCATTACATGAGTGGTGAGTGAATGTGATGGCTTAGAACATCACCATACACGACTAGAGGTGGTATAAACACTGTATACTTAGGCTAAACTAATTTATTTTATTTATTTATTTACTTCAATAGTTTTGGGGGAGCAGGTGGTTTTTGGTTACATGGATAAGTTCTTCAGTGCTAATTACTGAGCTTTTGATGCACCCAGGATAGACTAAATTTATTTTAAACTTTTCTTCGATAATAAATTAACCTTAGTTTATGTTGACCTTTTTACTTCATCAACTTTAATTTTTATGTCTTTCGAGATAATATTTAGCTTAAAAAACATTGTAGAGATGTACAAAAGATTTTTTCTTTCTGTTCTTGTGCTATAAGCTTTTATCTTTTAAATATTTTACTTATTTATTTACTTTTTAAACCTTTTTGTTAAAAACAGACACAAACACACATATTAACCTCAGCCTACAAAGGGTTAGGATCATCAGTATCACTGTCTTCTTCCTCCGCTCTTGTCCCACTAGAAGATCTTCAGGGCAGTAACAGGCATGGAGCTGTCCTCTCCTATGATAACAAAGGTTTCTTCTGGAATAGTTCCTGAAGGATCTGCCTCAGGAAACATTAACCGTTTTACAGTTAATTTTTTTAACCAGTAGAAGAAGTTAACTATAAAATACTGATAACAATTATACTATATGAAATACATTAACCAGTAACACTTCTATATTGTCATCATCAAGTATTATGTACTGTACAAAATTGTGTGTGGCATATTTTTATGTGACTGGCAATGCTGTAGGTTTATTTACACCGGCATTGCCACAAACATGTGAGTAATATATTACACTGCTATGTTATGATGGCTATTAGGTGATAGGAATTTTTCAGCTACACTATAATCTTATGGGTCCACTGTCACATGAGCGATCAGTCATTGACCAAAATGTCATTATGTGGTGAATATCTGTACAACTGTATATATGTATGTGTGTGTGTGTGTGTGTGTGTGTATCCCAGAAGAAATATATTCATAATATTCTATCAGAATGTTGAGACAAGAAAAATTATTTTCTACTTTTGAAGTGGGTGGTTGTGTAAAGGAGGCTTGCAAGAAGACATTAACACTCCTAGCTAGCACCATTGCAGATATGCACAATGAATACTTGATGAATGTCATAGAGTTAATTCTGAAGCATAGGTACAATATAACTGGGTGATGAAAACCAAGTTATTCTGGATAGCAAAGAATATGTAAGTACAAATGTATGAAAATAAACTACTATAATTTTGGAGGAGTGAAGGATAACTAAAAGAGTTATGGTAGGTTAATACTATCAAGATGGGAGTCTTTCCCTCAATACCTTTACCAAAACTATCTAATGTCAAATTTTAAACAGTTAGATAATCAGTTTCACGTTTCACAAAGTGAAAATATTTCAAATATTGTGCAACATTAAACATTACTTCTAGACAGATGAAAAAGAGAAATTTCTGTTGATTTGTCAGCTTAATTTCTGCACACATCTTCCAAATAAGGTGAAAAATAAAATTATTTCTTATGCAACAGTACTATATTGCAACAATATCTTGACATAAAAACAAAGAGCAGTAATATATGAGGAACTATCTTGAGCTAAATACATACTCAAAGATAAAGTATATCAAACCCATGGAATGTACAACATCAAGAGTGAACCCCAACATAAACTATGAACTTTGGGTGATAATTATATTGACGGTGAGGGAGGTTATGCATGTGGTAGGGAAGAGGAAGTGGTATATAGAAATCTCTACCTTCCACTCAATTTTGCTGTGAAAAACTTGTTAATAAAATATAAAGTCTTATAAAAATATGTGTGTATATATATGAATGTGTACACAAAGAAAGAGTCAAAAAGTATGAAGATTTCACCCATTTTCTACATTGTTTTAATTTTTCCTGCACCATCGTGTATATGGATGTATATATACATATATACACTAGTCCTTTAGTATCCTCAAGGAATTGGTTCCAGGACTCTACCCACCCCCAGTAGATACCAAAATCCAAGGATATGCAAGTCTCTAAGACAGAATGATGTAGTATTTGTATATAACCTGTGTATATCCTCCCAAACAATTTATTTTATTTTATTTTAATTTTTTTTGAGGTAGAGTCTTGCTCTGTCGCCCCCAGGATGGTGTTTAGTGGCATGATCTCGGCTCACTGCAACATACCCCTCCTGGGTTCAAGTGATTCTTCTGCCTCAGCCTCCCAAGTAGCTGGGATTACAGGTGTGCACCACCACACCTGGCTAATTTTTGTATTTTTAGTAGAGATGGGCTTTCGCCATGTTGGCCAGGCTGGTCTCAAACTCCTGACCTCAAGTGATCCACCTACCTCAGCCTCCCAAAGTGCTGGGATTACAGGTATGAGCTACCACACCCAACCCTCTCATACAATTTAAAGAATCTCTAGATTATTTATAATACCTAATACAATGTAAATGCTATACAAATAGTTGTTATATTGTATTTTTAATTGCATTATTTTTATTGTTTTATTGTCTTTTTATTGTTTTTTTCCGAATATTTTTGATCTGCAGTTGGTTGAATCAGAGGATGTGAAACCAGTGGGGCTGACCGTATATATATGTGTGTATACAAGTATAAATATATAAATACAAATATACAATACATATTTGTATATACAACATTAACCAGAATTTAGCTCTAACTTTATCTTGAGTTGTTCTTAGTGATTTTCTTATATTCTCTCAATTATTTCCACTGAAACTATATTAACTTTGTAACCAGAAAGTATTCAAAATGATATTAATAAACAAACAACAAAACTAACTACCCAACATCTTTTCTGCACCAGAAAAAAAATAGGACAGAGTTTCTGGTGGAGATACCTATGACAGTCAATGAGAATAGAGAAAATAAGTAAATTGAGAGCTAAGAACAACCCTGTCACTCCTCTACTGTATACTAAGTAGATCAGGAAGATTTGCTAGTCTTACACTCTGCCTTCATTCTTAAATTGTTGTGTGAGGGTTTTCTTCTTGAAGACATTGCAGGAGAGTTCATATTTCATATCACTCCAAAATATAGATTTTATATTCATTAACAATTACCTCCTCAAATACTCGTGTACTCTTAGTTAGTGATGTCTTTTCATTCCTAATTTGGACACTGGAGAGCATTTAAGCTAAAGGCATTTAAGCTAAATGAAAGAAAAAAACTAAATGAGATGATTAAAATATAGTCTAGTGATTTATTTATGTAGCTTATTATGTAATTCTTCAGTTTTGTGTTATTTTCCCAGCAATGTTCTGTGATTTTCCAAAAATAAACCATGGAATTCTATATGATGAAGAAAAATATAAGCCATTTTCCCAAGTTCCTACAGGGGAAGTTTTCTATTACTCCTGTGAATATAATTTTGTGTCTCCTTCAAAATCCTTTTGGACTCGCATAACGTGCGCAGAAGAAGGATGGTCACCAACACCAAAGTGTCTCAGTGAGTAAATGCCCTGTTCATTAAATGGATGTCATTCAATGAACAGAGAAGGATATGCCAGACAAGATCATAAACACTTGATAATCACAGGAGCAGTGACCAGAGGAGCTGGAAAGATGGGAGATGTAGTCCTTCTATTTTGAGATGGCTCCTATGAGAATCAATGAAGAATAAATATGTCAACTGTCTTGCATTACCCGGAAATTCTCTACATGTTGAAATATATCAATTTTTTTAAACTGATGATTAATATATTTGACTGCTAATATTTCTTTACTAATATTCATTTGGCAGCAGCCTGATCATAGTTTTCCTTTTAAATGTCATTTTATACATATTCTGTTTTGAATTTAACATTCTTTTGCATATTACAAGGAGGTTTAGCATTTTCACTTTTATATTTCAATAAATAATTTCTTTGGTCCTTCAAAGTGTAGCTATATTAACCCTCCAATAAATGTAGAGAGCAGACTCCAATGATAACAGGTATATTAAAAGAGAAAACAACTGGGAGACAGATAGATGAGGCAACAAAGGAGATAGCAATGATCTTTCTCCTAAGAAACATTTATGAGAGTTAAGAGAGAAATAGATATATGTAGATGTTCTTTTGTCCCTAAAAGAGTTGATAAACATAAAATATTTTATTATAAAAAACATAGAGTAACAACATGAAATATTTTCTTCTATATGTACATATAAAGGAACCAAAAATATATTTCATCATATATATAGTAGCAAGACTTAACTTCTTTTGAAAATGTTTATATTTGATTTCAGCTTTGAAAGCTTTCCTTTTTGGTTTTTTGTTTGTTTGTTTTGTTTTGTTTTGTTTTGTTTTTGAGACAGAGTCTCATTCTGTCACCCAGGCTGAAGTGCAGTGGTGCCATCTCGACTCACTGCTACCTCTGCCTTCTGGGTTCAAGTGATTCTCCTGTCTCAGCCTCCAGAGTAGCTGGAATTACAAGTGCACACCACTATGCCCGCTAATTTTTGTATTTTTAGTAGAAACAGGGTTTCACCATGTTGACCAGGCTGGCCTCGAACTCATGGCCTCAAATGATCCACTCACCTCAGCCTCCCAAAGTGCAGGGATTACCAGCTTGAGCCACTTCACCCTATTTATTAAAATATTTTAAAATGCAGTTGTACTTTTTCTTTGCTACTTCCATCTTGTCTATTAATCTGTTTTTGGTCTTTAGGACTGTGTTTCTTTCCTTTTGTGGAAAATGGTCATTCTGAATCTTCAGGACAAACACATCTGGAAGGTGATACTGTACAAATTATTTGCAACACAGGATACAGACTTCAAAACAATGAGAACAACATTTCATGTGTAGAACGGGGCTGGTCCACTCCTCCCAAATGCAGGTCCACTAGTAAGTGCAATGTTGTTCTCTCAGATGCTGTTATATTATAAAGTGTAAAAGAAATAAATCTTTTTTTACAGATTAAATATAGGTTAAATATAGGTTTTGCCACATACTTCTATCATTATTCATTTGATTCTCAGTTCCAATTGTGTCTAAGTGGATGTGCAATAATATAGTTTGCCTACCTATATAAATCAAATATATGTGATAAGTAAAAATATTAGACAAGAATACACCTTGAAGATAATCCCTTGAAGTTTAAGTAATACCTGTGTGTGGTTTATAGTATCGGGTTAGTTGACAAGAAATGGTTACAAAACTGATGTATTGAAGTGAAAATAAGTCCAATTCTAGTTAAAATGTCTTATAAGTAAGACAGCATTTAATATTTATCTTTATTTAAATTCATATGCTCTATTCAATAAATCATCAATTCTTAAGTTTTAGAAAGTCCATACTTCTGAGAGGTATGTTTATTTGTGAGTAGCTTAGCATTTGGAAAACGATTCTTTTGGAAACCTGTGGTATAAATGATGGCACCTCCCAGTCCTGTGTGAACTCTTGCAATTCTTCGTCTTTATAGCTCCTCAGTAATTGTTTTTTGCCCAGCCCAATAAGATTCCGTCCTATGCTTGCACAGCTCTGTATTCAACTAAAAACAAAAGGAGCCCGATGGAAACTTCTATAGCTCTTTCTCTTCATACCACTTTCTCTCTGCTACTATGCCCAGTAACTTCTGGCCACCATAGTCTCCAAGACTGACATTATTAGTCTCAACTAAAGAAGACCATTGAGTTCTTGCTGGGTTCTCCCTCACAGCACAGAGTCTAGAAAAGGCCTGTCAGCAAACAGATGGGGCTGTGTGCTGTGGTAGTTTGGGGTTTCAAGTTTTTTTCATTTTCTTAGTCATCACGGTCATGTGCTGGGTGATTTCCAGTGTTCTTGAAATATATTTTGTACAGTTTTCTAATTTTTTTCCAGTGGGAGGTTATGTTGATACCAGCTATTCCATCCAATAGGAAATAGAATCCGTGGTATGCCTTTCAAAAGATGTTATGTTATCAAATATTATTCCACACCTTTAATTCTTAATTTTAAACCTCTAGAGCAGGGCACAGTGGTGTGTGCCTCTAGTCTCAGCCACTGGTAAGTCTGAAGTAGGAGGATCACTTGAGCCCAGGTGTTCAAGGCTGCAGTGAGCTATGACTGCACCAGTGCACTTCAACCTGGGCAACAGAGTGAGACCCTGTCTTCACTAAATTTACACTTCTAGAAAATTGAGTCTTCTTAAAACAGCTGAAACTGTGACAGTTTTTCAGTAAACAGTTAAGTCATAGCCTCTTTCTATTACTAGGGGATTAAACATTATTAATATTTGCAAAAAACAAAAAAAAAGAACAAATGTTATGAATACCAGAAAATTGCAGTGATTGAATAGGGTTTAGGATTTATAGCCTTCAGTGATGGCATAAATATTTCCATGCTCTATGTCATGAACAAGCTCTCTTCATTTCGTGGGATGATGGCTATTGTCAGCCCAACAATTATAATTTAGAAGCTTGACAAATTAAGTTTGACCAGCTGTATCCCATACAAGCTGGCTCTTGTGTACAGTCTGTAAGACTTTGTTAGGCTTTGATTAAGTCTGTTGCTTTGTGACACAAAAAATATCCCGGGTTTAATTCATGTTTTCCCTGTCTGAGAACTAGAATCAACCATACCTCCAATAAGTTCTGGTTCCATTCAGTGGGTAATGACATTTAGAAACTAAGTTGCCAAAATAAACTTGCTTCAAAACTTAGCACATTTTATTTAAGCTGACAAAGAACACATCTTTTTGTTCAAGTTCTCACAATATTGCTACCTTTCCCTCTTTGCCTGTCCCTTATTCCAAAAGCATAAGGCAACATATTGAGGTTATCAGAGTAGATGGAGGAAGTCAGAATCTCCAAAGTGGAAGAATTTAGCGGAACACTCTATGTCCAAGGTTGAATGGTAGCTCAAGAACGCTGTGGAGAGTTAATAAAGTTTCAGGGCAACTAGACTCCTAATGATAGCTGCACAGTCTGTTTTTTCATGTAAGGTAACATTTTGCAAGTTATGGTAATCCATGTTGCAGGGATTAGTACAGTGCAATCTCTGGGGGCTGTTATTCCGTTTACAACACCATGCAATAACCTTATATGAATAAAGCAGCTGGGAAACCCTACATCAGCCAAGATTATTTATTTATTTATTTATTTATTTATTTACTTACTTATTTACTTATTTATTTTTTGAGACAGAGTCTCACTGTGTTGCCCAGGCTGGAGTACAATGGTGGGATCTTGGCTCCCTGCAAATTCTACCTTCAAAGTTCAAGCAATTCTTGTGCCTCAGCCTCCTGAGTAGTTGGGATTACAGGCATGTGTCACCACACCCAGCTAATTTTTGTATTCTTAGTAGAGCCAGGGTTTCACCAAATTGGCCAGGCTGGTCTCCAACTCCCAACCTCAGGCGATCCACCAACCTTGGTATCCCAAAGTGCTGACGTAACAGTCATGAGCCACTGTACCCAGACAGATCAATTGTTTTCAATGGCATTTTGTTTTTACAATTAGATTTTTTAAAAGATGATAATCAATAAAGAATTGCCATCCAAATATTGGAATAAAATACAGAGATTTAGGGATACAAGTTTTATATAAGTGAAATGAGTCATATTCTAGTGGGATTTGCTTGAGTAAACTGCAATCAAACCATTAAAGTGCCTATAACAGTACATAAAACTAGTTACTTTAAATATTTATGAGATTATTAGAAAATATTTCAATTTTTTGTGTATACTTGATTTATTTGGATTATTTACTTTGTCTTGAATGTCAATTATGTAGTTTACATAAGAATTAATATATACTTTTATGAACTAACCATTAATGAAAGATGATTAAATAAGAAAAATAAACACATATTCATATACATAACTATTTCTAATTGAATCAGAAGATATTCATAATGAGTTAGTTTTTATAAACATACTAGTGATGGAGTTGAGAATAATGGAAAGGTTCAAAAAACCTAGAAGATGGGTTTTTTAAAAAGTCTTTGATATTTAGTTACCCATTTGGTAAAATTGGGAATAATTTGCTTTATAATTTCCCTCCAACTTTCTGCCCATATGGGCGAAATTGGCCAAAAGAAAGGGGCTACAGTCCCCACACAAGTTCAAAACCCAGCAGGGCACTCCTTAAATCTTAAATCTCCATAAAAGGTCTCATTTGACTCCTCGTCTCACATCCAGGACACACTGATGCAAGGGGTAGGCTTCCAAGGCCTTGGGTAGCTCCACTTCTGTGGCTTTGCAGGGTTCAGCCCCCAGGGCTGCTCTCATGGGCTAGCATTGAGTGCCTGCAGCCTTTCCAGGTGCATAGTACAAGCTGTTGGTGTATCTACCATTCTGTGGTCTGGAGGAGAGTAGCCCCCTACTCATAGCTCCACTAGGCAGTGCCTCAGTGGTGACTCTGTGTGGGGGTTCCAACCCTACATTTCCCTTCCACTCTGCCCTAGCAGAGGTTCTCCATGAACCTGCAGACTCCACCCCTGCAGACTTCTGCCTGAACATGCAGAAGTTTCCATACAACCTCAGAAATCCAGGAAGAGGTTCCCACCTGGAACCAAAAAAAAACCTCAAATCTTGTCTTCTGTGCACCCACAGGCACAACACCATGTGGAAGCTGCCAAAGTTCGAGGTTTGCACCTTCTGAAAAAATGACCTGAGCTATATGTTGGCCCCATTTAGCCACGGCTGGAGCTGGAGCAGCTAGGACTCAGCAGGGTACCAGGTCGTGAGGCTGCACACAGCAGCAGGGCCCAGGCCCATGAAAATATTTTTCCCTGCTAGGCCTTTGGGCCTGTGATTGGGAAAGCCTCAAAGATCTCTGACATGTCCTGGAGTCATTTTCCCCATTGTCTTAGGCTATTAACATTTGGCTTCTTGTAACTTATGCAAATTTCTGCAGCAGGATTGAATTACTCCCCAGAATATGAGTTTTCTCTTCTACCACATGGTCAGGCAGCAAATTTTGCAAACTTTTATACTCTGTCACTCTTGAACATTTTGCTGCTTAGAAATTTCCTACTCCAGTTACCCTAAATCATCTCTCTCAACTTCAAAGTTCCACACATCTTCAGGGCAGGGGCAAATTGACACTAGTCTCTTTGCTACAGCATAGCAAGAGTGACCTTTGCTCCAGTTCCTAATAAGTTTCTCATCTCCATCTAAGACCGCTTCAGCCTGGACTTCATTGTCCATATCTCTATAAGCATTTTGGTCAAAACCATTGAACAAGTCTCAAGGGGGTTCCAAACTTTCCCTCATCTTCCTATCTTCTTCTGAGCCCCCTAAGCTGTTCCAACCTCTGCCTGTTACCCAGTTCCAAAGTCACTTCCACATTTTCAGGTATCTTTATAGCAGTGCCCCCTGTACCAATCTACTGTATTAGTCCACTGTCACACTGCTATAAAGAACTTCTCCAACCTGGGTAATATATCAGTAAAATAGGTTTGGCCAGACATGGTGGCTCACACCTGTAATCCTAGCACTTTGGGAGACAGGGGCAGGTGAATCACTTGAGGTCAGGAATTTGGGACTAGCCTGACCCACATCGTGAAACTCTGTCTTTGATAAAATATAAAAATTAGCTGGGCATGGTGGTGACTCCTGTAATCTCGGCTATTTGGGAGGCTGAGGCAGGAGAATCACTTGAGCTGGGGAAGCAGAGGCTGCAGTGAGCCGAGATAGTGCCACTGTACTGCAGTCTGGGTGACAGAGCGAGACTCTGTCTCAAAAAAATAATAATAATAAATAAATAAAATAGGTTTAATTGACTCACAGTTCCACATGGCTGTGGCTTCAGAAAACTTACAATAATGGCAGAAGCGGGGGCAGGCACTTCTTCACAAGGCAGCAGGAGAGAGACAAGTGGATGAAGGAGGAACTTCCAAACACTTATAAAACCATCAGATCTCATGTGAACTCACTCACTATCATGAGAACAGCATGGGGGAAGCCATCCCCATGATCCAACCACCCCCCACCAGGTCTCTGCCTCAATATCTGGGGATTACAATTCAAGATAAGATGTGAATGGTGTGAGTGGAGACACAAAGCCTAACTATATCAGGTGGCAAGTATGTGCAATAAATGATGTGAATGCAAAACAGAGCAATCTCAAGTGCTCCAGCTACCAATATCTCCTCAGTCTTCTGATATCATTCCCTTCTTGTATTTTTGATAGATTTGGAATAGTTTAATGTAATTAAGTCAAAATAGATGTATATTTTTTCAAGTTATGAGAAAAATATTGTATAGTATTCGTTAGTTCTACATGTCACTATTAGTTTATGCCTTATGGTCAGTCTGGGAAGTGTTCAGTCATTTTTTTGTTTTCAGCTCAATACTTTTTCTCTTCTCTTTCTGGATTGCCTCTCCTTATTTGTTGTTGTTTGTCTTATTCTAAAGTTCTCTAAGCTCAGTTCAGCTTTCTGTTTTCAGTCTATTTTCAGACTGGGTAATTAATATTGCTCTGTATTGAAGTTCATGAATTTATTCATCTGTCATCTCCCAGTGTGTTATTAAGCCTATCCAGAGGATTTTTTTAATTATTGTTTTACTATTTGGGTTTATAATTCCTATTGGATTTTTTAAAGCATCATCAATTTCAACATCTGTGTCTTCTTAGTGTTGTCTTTTGTTATTAATAATTGTCTTTTCCCTTTTGAGAGTTTCCTGGTCCTTAATATGAAGAGTAATTTTTAAATTTATTCTAGATATTTTAGGTGTTATATTTTGAGTACTCGATTGCAAAAATCTTATTTGGCAGGTTCCATTGCTGCCATGGTGGGTATAAGCCCAGGTTTCCCATTTGGCTTCTGCTGACATCAATCATGGGAAAAGGGAGCGGTGTCTTGTTACTTGACCATGTGGGTAGAAGTCTAGGTTCCTCAGTTGACCTCTGTTTATCTAGAAGTGTGGAGGGTGGTCATTGGCTTCTTAGGATCTTTCCTACAGTATGTAAGTTATTGTTAAAAATGATTTTTGTCTTGTAAGGCTGCTCTTTTCCTGGGCTTTTGGGTATAGAAAGTAGGCTCTTCTGGGGATTTTCTTTTTCTGTCTGAACCTCATATCAATACTGGGTTGCAGTCTTCTCCAGTGTCCTATCCAGGATACAAAGGAGTCCAAAAGAAAACCCACATGACACCCTGCTGTGTCATTCCTTGAGTCCTGAAGTCTCCAGCAACTTCAAATTCTCTACATCTTTCAGAGTCTTTTTATGTTCTTTTCCTTTTTTTTTTTTTTTACTTTGTGTTCAAAATTTGAGTTGTACTTAGCATAAGGAAAAGGTAGAAAAGTTTGTTCCTCATTTTGCCAATACCAAGAATCCAGCAATTCCCTTTTAGTTTCTATTAATTTGTATTCTTTAAATTTTTCCAGGAGTTAATGTTTCTTTTGTAAGGCAAATGAAAATAAAGAATGAAATGACTACAGACCCAATAAACTCCAAAGAATGTTGAATTTAAAATAAGAAACTTTCTGTGTTTTGTCATAGCTTTCTATCTGTTTAGCATGTATTCATTTAGAAAAACATTTCTTAATCCTGGAATACTACAAAGTGTCATCTTTGTTAATGCTGTATGTGTTCATTCAGTGAGGAGAAAAGAACTGAAAATTTAACTTTCAGTTTGTAGGATAAATTTTACTCCGGGAATCATTTCATTCAGCACAAATCACAAAAGCCCTGATAGACTATAAAGTGCCTTGTTTGCATTTGCCTTATTTGAACTTGTATTTTTATTTACTCTCCCAGTAAATCAAATGATGTTTTTTTAGTTTCTGCAGAAAAATGTGGGCCCCCTCCACCTATTGACAATGGAGACATTACTTCATTCCTGTTGTCAGTATATGCTCCAGGTTCATCAGTTGAGTACCAGTGCCAGAACTTGTATCAACTTGAGGGTAACAATCAAATAACATGTAGAAACGGACAATGGTCAGAACCACCAAAATGCTTAGGTAAGTACTTTAATATTCTCATGGATTCTGGAAAAATCAGTGTGATGAGTCTGATATTTCACTGTTTGTAATAGAATTTTCACAGATTAACAAACAAGCATTCTGCTGAATGCTTGCCTACCAAATGTCTATATGATAGAATGTAAAGTTTAGAAATTTTTCTCTTTATATTTATATTTTATTTAAAAACATTTAGTTGATAAATAAAAAGAATACATATTTATTTTCTACAACATGTTGATTTGATATATTTATAAAGCAATGATTACTATAAATTAATTAACACATTCATCACCACCTATGGTTACCATTGTGTGTAAGTGTGTGTGTGTGTGTGTGTGTGAGAGAGAGAGAGAGAGAGAGATGAGGACTCTTAAAATCTGCTCTCTTTTCAAATTTCAAGTAAATAATACCATATTATTAGCTATTAATGTCATTACATTTCTCTATTTGATTCCCAGTTCTTGTTCATCTTATTACTGAAAGTTTGGATTCTTTCACCAATATCATAATCAAACAAAAACAGCAATGATAGGTTCTAAAATGCAACTATCTTAATATGACAATTGATGTTATGAATCTTCAGTGATAACATCTAATTATCATCCATTAAACATAGTACCTCATTTTTACATCATTTACCATTTTAAATTTACTTAAATCTATATTTTGTTTTTACAGCATTAGTTTGGAAAGGATTTTGAGAAGTAATTCCTCAACCATCATATAACATTCTACTTGAAAACCTGAGTCTATGAAGATTTGCATACTACTTAATGTTTTATGTTCATTTTTTTCTACTTTCAGATCCATGTGTAATATCACAAGAAATTATGGAAAAATATAACATAAAATTAAAGTGGACAAACCAACAAAAGCTTTATTCAAGAACAGGTGACATAGTTGAATTTGTTTGTAAATCTGGATATCATCCAACAAAATCTCATTCATTTCGAGCAATGTGTCAGAATGGGAAACTGGTATATCCCAGTTGTGAAGAAAAATAGAATCAATGGCATTACTATTAGTAAAATGCACACCTTTTTCTGAATTTACTATTATATTTGTTTTCAATTTCATTTTTCAAGTACTGTTTTACTCATTTTTATTCATAAATAAAGTTTTGTGTTGATTTGTGAAAATGCAATTACAATCTGAGATGTGTCACAATGGTGAGGACTATCTTCACCAAATCTAAGTAACAACCTAGGAATTGTCTTTTTTTTTCTTTTTAAAAAAATTGACAATAACTGTATATATTCATGGAGTACATAGTAATGTTTCCATATATATAATGTATAATGGTCAGTTAGGGTAATTAGTATATCCATTATCTCAAACATTTTTCATTTCTTTGGGTTAGGAGCATTAAATATTCTCCTTCCAGCTATTTGGTACTTCATAGTATATTACTGGTAACTGAAGGAATTATATCTAGACGTTACCCCAGGTATCTTGAAATGTCAATTCCTAACAGTCACAGCCTGGGAGCTCATGTTTGCCTTCTTTCAGAGCTTGTAACTATGTATATCCACATAAATAATCAAAATAATTTGTGTTTTGGTGAGAATTAGCAACTGCAATGGCTAGTTTTATGTGTCAACTTGGCTAAGCTATCAAGCCTAGTTATTTAATCAAATGTTAATCTAAGTGTTGCTGTGAAGAAGGTATTTTATAGATGGAGTTAATAACATCTACAATAAGTTGACTTTAAGTAAAGATTACCCTTGATAATGTGGGTGGGTCACATTCAGTCAATTGAAGCAGTTAGAGTCAAAACTTAGGCTTCCCAAAGAAGAAGTTCTACCTCAAGACTGTAACATCAACCCTTGTCTGAGCTTCTACTCCATTAGCCTATGAATTTTGGACTTGCATATACCCACAAATTAAGTAAACCAATAGCATAAAAATATCTCTCTCTATCTCATCTATCTACATACATCTCACACTGTACATTCTGTTTCTCTGGGAAACACTAATACATCATCTTACCACTTAATTTTTTTAACCAATTAAAATCTGTCACTATCTTCCTAGGATTTGTATCACTTAATATTCACTAGAGAGGTTAGTTTAATCAATTATAAAATTCTCATTTAACAAGAACAACTAAGACCTGGTGAAGAGAGAACTTTTCCAAAGTCTGACTATAAGCTGGTAATTGAATTCACCATCAAATTACAAATCATTTATTTTAAAGAATCTGGGGTTAAAATTAACCTGGCAGGCACCAATATTTTTCTGTTTTGCAAAACAGACCACATATTTAATGTTATTTCTCTAATATTTATGGTCATCTGATCTCTAAAACCTGGCGCTTGGAAGGTAGGATCTGTTGATGAAGGGTCAGAGCGAAGGAGTGCCATGATTTAAACTGTATCTTCCCAAATCTCCATCAGAACCTTTGACACACATTTTTCGTTCAAATATTTCTCTCAATATTGCTGGGTTAAATTGTTCATTTTCTTTACTTTCCACCATGAGATGTTTTAATTTCACCAAACTTGTTAGCAGCAACCAAGAAATTGTATGTCTACTAATTTCTCCATCATATTGTATCTTATTCTAAATACATTTTTTCACAAATTCTGGAGTCAAAGTCATATAATCCAAACTCCACTCCTACTATTCATCCCAGATAATCTTCCTCAGAGGATTTTCCCTTCAAAGAAAAAGTGGATTGGTAACACCCTGGCAATAGAAGTTTGTCAGACCCTCCATCCTACCCTTTTTTTAATTTCATGGTGCCTTTACCATTTCATGAAGAGGGTGGGAAGCTGAGTGTCCATTTCTGATACCACTCTGCAACTCCTACACTGCAGTGATCACAGCTAACAGCAGTGATCTTGCTTTCAGAACTAACAATTCACACTTTTACCTATCATTACATCCACTTTTAAAAGTTATTTTAAACAGCAATAATGTCAAGAGCATAGTGAGAATTGTAACTCCCACGTGTGGCTTCTGACTGTCCAAATCTGTCCTCAGAATGCACGTGGCTAAGAGAGACAATAGTTGATGAGTGTCTGTCATCTCTTAAGTTCCTCCATCTCTTGTACTTTATGAGTCGATGAGCTCCCTCAGCTGCATCTTATGAAATCCAGTTTTTATTATACTTATTTTAGATGAACAACCTAAAAAGCATGATTTGAGCACCTTAACCCAGATTCTTATTTATCTTGGATCTGGTGTACAAGTTTCTCTTGCAAGAATTTTAACAAGGGTCACATTATCAGTCTTCTATGAAATTAGAGAAAACATCAGACTTGTTTTTAAACCTTTTCTTAAAGAAACATGCAGAAAACCCAAAAACATGGGTGAGCACTACGTAGGTAAAGAAATAAAACATTACTATTTCATCAGAAATACAATTTGACTTTGAAAACTTAAATTTAAATATGATTTCTAAAATAGTTAAGACTTGGTTATATTTGACGTCACCAACAAAGACGAACTAGATAAGTAATCATAATGGAGTATATTCTTAATTACAATCATTTTTATGACACGTATGTACCTCAGAGTGGAGATAATTAAAATATTAGCATGTAATGCAGCATAGTTACATTATACAGATCAAAGATGTCCACAAATAATTTGAAAATCCTCTGATTTAGTGACCTATTTCCCCATCATCTTGAACTTGTGCTAACCCATGACTGCTTTGACTAATAGGATACAGTATAAGTATCTCTACGTCAATTATGGATAAAAGCTTTTAAAAAAATAGCAGCTTGGTCTCTCGTAGCTTCTAACCAGTATGCGAGAATTCTTACTACCCTGTAGAGAGGCCCTGAGAGTGACAGGAGTCACCCGAACCCCAAATTTCACCCATTGTTGGCAAAGCACCAAATATATGACTGAAGACATATTAAACCCTCAATTCCAGAATATGTGCCAGATAAATAACATTGAATGTCTTTATTAATGCCCCAAAAAACAAAAGAATTATCCGTCTGAATCCCACCAAAATTACTGTCCCATAGAATTGTGAGATGTCATTAAATGGTGTATTAGAAAAGAATTAACATCTCAAAACACTAAACTAAGCTTACAATATAAGAAAGCAGGAAACAATTAATATTAGTGCAGAAATCAATGAAGCAAATTCAATTTAGAAAAAAATCTATTTTAGTAATCTTCTCAAAGAACAAATGAAATGAACCAATGCTAATTCTTTCAGAAGAATAATAAATTTATTTTTAGCAAGAATAACGAAGGGAAAAAAAGCAGACACAAATTACCTGCCATTTGAGATGGTATAGGGCATTAATTAAAATTCCTCTAATAACTTAAGGGTATAAAATTATTTTAATTTTTGAAGTGTCCAAATGGTTTTATCTGAAAAACATACCAAAAGAGGAGAGAATGCACAAAGTAGTTCCATCATTAAATAAGCATTGTATACGAAAGAAAATTCTACAAGAGGGTACAGTAGCAGCCCTGGTCATATTCATAAGTAAATAGCTTCTCTTCTTCTGGGACTCACTGCAGAGACTGTTGAGGCTCTGTCTTAGGCTATAGAAGTAAGAATTTAAACAAGGGATCTTTCACTAGACCATCTGCTGCAGGAGGCTAAATGATCAGCCTATCTCTCTGATGGCCATTCATAAAAGAATGGTCACTTCTCTACCCGGAAAGTTGTGGCAGATCCTCATGGGAAAATATAAGACTAAACCAGCCCAGTGGGCTAAACTTTAATCTCTATTCCTAGCTATTATGGAAGATTTTAGATTTTGAGTACATAAAAAACGCAATCACATGGGTTGATACCAATCCACTGTCAGGGATTAATTCATAGGAAAGCAGTTGATTCAAATACTTCTTGCCTGATACACTACCTTTATGGGAATTCAAATTGGGACATGTAGATACCTACCAAAATAAAAACTCCACCAGGACTGGAAAGGAATTGGAGTCAACAAATAGATATTTTGGGTCTTTACCTAGAAGTGGCTACTTAGGTACATGAAATGAATGGTCACAGAAGGACCCAAACCAACACCAGCACCAGAAAAGGCACAAATTGTTAATCATAATTGCCCAGTTTCTTAGTAAGAGATGTAAGATTAAAAAATGCATTGGGACATATCCACAGGAATGATGGACCAGCATAGAGCTAATAAATAGATTTTATTACGTGGTTGTTTTTTGTTTTTGTTTGTTTGTTTGTTTGTTTTTTGAGACGGAGTCTTGCTCTGTCGCCTTGGCTGGAGTGCAGTGGCATGATCTCAGCTCACTGCAATCTCTGCCTCCCGGGTTCAAGCGATTATTCTGCCTCAGCCTCCCAAGTAGCTGGGACTACAAGCTCGCGCCACCAAATCCGGCCAATTTTTGTATTTTTAGTGGAGACGGGTTTTCACCATATTGTTTGTTTTTAACAACAGGAAGATTAAGCAAGATTTGAAGGCCATTGACACTTGGTTTTTTCATGGAAGTTAAATCTAATACATGACAATTAAAGAATTGAAATTATTAGCCGGGCGCGATGGCTCACGCCTGTAATCCCAGCACTTTGGAAGGCGGAGGCAGACGGATCATGAGGTCAGGAGATCGTCACCATCCTGGCTAACACGGTAAAAACCCCGTCTCTACTAAAAATACAAAAACAAAAAATTAGTTGGGCATGCTGGCTGGTGCCTGTAGTCTCCGCTACTCGGGAGGCTGAGGCAGGAGAATGGCGAGAACCCCGGAGGCAGAGCTTGTAGTGAGCCGAGATTACGCCACTGCACTGCAGCCTGGGCGAAAGAGCAAGAATCCGTCTCAAAAAAAAAAAAAAAAAAAGAATTGAAACTATTTTTGCCTAGCAAGTTACATTCTTCTGATGAAGGATACTATATTACAGCACATGGTATACAACAGTGGTCAAAGAAACACCACATCAAATGAACATATAGTATCCTTTATCATCTGCAGAGTAGTGGAAATATTTGGAATCATTAATTGAAATATCTGCTTAAAAAAACTAAAGTCAGGGTAGTGCAGTGATAAAGGACGAAAAGGCTCATTTACTAAGTTGTGCATTAAAATTAAGCATGAGACGATCATGTGGTTTTTGTCATTTGTTCTGTTTATGTGGTGAATAACATTTATTGATTTACGTATGTTGAACCAACATTGCATCCCATGGATAAAGCCTACTTGATTGCAGTGTATTAGCTTTTTGATGTGCTGCTGGATACATCGTGATTGTTTTGTTTTGTTTTGTTTTGTTTTTTAGGATTTTTGTGTCTATATTCATCAGGATACTGGCCTGCAGTTTTCTTTTTTGTTGTATCTCTGCTAGGTTTTGGTATCAGGATAATGCTGGTCTCATAAAATGAATTAGCAAGGAGTCCCTCCTCCTCAATTTTTTGGAATGGTTTCAGTAGGAATGGTACCTGCTCTTCCTTACATATCTAGTAGAATTCAGCTGAGAACCTGGCTGGTGCTGGGCTTTTTCTGGTTGGTAGGATTTTATTACTGATTCATTTTTGGAATTCACCATTGGTCTGTACAGAGATTCAATCTAAATGCCCATCAATGGTAGACTGGATTTTAAAAATGTGGTACACATACACCATGGAATACTATGTAGCCACAAAAAAGAATGAGATTTTGTCCTTTGAAGGAACATGGATGGAGCTGGAGGCCATTATCTAAGCAAACTAACACAGGAACAGAAAACCCAAAACCCCATGTTCTCACTTATAAGTGGAAGCTAAACATCAAATACATATGGACACAAAGAAGAGAACAACAAATATTGGGGCCTTCTTGAGGGTGGAGGATGGGAGGGTGAAGACAGAAAAACCATCTTTCAGGTGCTATGCTTATTACCTGGGTGACAAAATAATTTGTACATCAAACCCCCCCATGACATGCAATTTACCTACGTAGCAAACCCGCACATATACTCCTGAATCTAAAACAAAAGTAAAACATAAAAATAAAAAGGTAAACATGAGATAAATCAAAGATGGCTTACTATTAGATAAATTTCCTAGATACAGAGGTAGAGGAAACAACGATTTGGGGATGAAACCAGCACGTATCTACAAGTCTTTCCAAACACATCACAATTTTCTTCTTTTCTGCCTTACGCTATAATTTCTGAGTCCAGTTTAAAATGAACAGATCTTGAAGCATCACTCATATTTAAACAGGAGTTACTGTCTATAGTTTTTAATTTAACTGAATTCAGAAGGGGTTGCTGGACCAGATGGAGGACTGGCAAATGACAGTCATGGGGAACTGTGGCCTGCTGCCTATTTTTGTAGGGCTCTGACTACAATAGATTTTATATTTTGACATCTTTTTAAATTTAAAATAAGAATAACATTTTTATAATTAAAATTATATTCATAAAATTTATATGAAATTCACATTTGTGTCCATAAAGTTTTATTGGAACACAACCATGTTCACTAGTTTACATATTCCCCATGGCTGTTTTCACACTATCAGGGTACAACAGAGTAGTTGCAACAGAAACCACAGAAGCTAGAATGTCCCGTCCTCTCACCTGGCCTAACTGGGCCTTCAGGTACAAATGCTTTGTTACCAAGTAGAAGTAGCAGGCCAGTAAGTGTGTACATTTCTAATCCTACCCCATATGAATGAAAATAAATCATGAGAGAGGCACTGGCACGATTCTTATTTCCAGTGAATGGATTAGCTCGATGGTCAAGCCTGATGTTTCTTTTTGGAGAGGAAAGTTTGGGTTAAAATAAGTGATAGATAAAAAGAAAGTGGCATAATTACCTAAATAAGATATCTCACAAATATACTATTAAAAGGGAATAGTTATTAAAAGGGAATAGTTATGTATTAACTATTAAAAGGGAATAGTTATGTAACTATTAAAAGGGAAAATCAAACATAGCTTTGTTTACGACAGCCTTAGAGCAAGAAAATAATTTTCTCTCTTACCTTTTATTCAGACACCTGTAAGAGTGAAATAAATTGTCTCTCTAAGACCCTACCATTTCTAGAGCAAAATGCCACGGATCTGGGAGGCAGCAGGCTTGAGCAACATCGTTACTGGAGTGATGTACAGCATATGCTTCAGTGAAACAAAGGAAATTCAGGTTTCACACACACACATGCTGATGTGGTTTGTATCTGGAGATAAAATGCATCCTGTATGACCCAGTGGTGGTAGGACAAAGAAGTCTGTGTGTGAGTTCCATGGATGGATCCCTCAACAAACAACCCTCTCCTACTGTTGCTGTGCCCTTTGCCTGTGATACAGCCCTTTTTTGAGTATAAGCTGCTTGAGTCCTGTGAATTTCTTCAGCAATCCAACACCAACATTCTTACCACCTGGTAAGACTAAACAACTTAATATATATAAAAGCAAATAAAATACTTCTACGTGAAAACTATCTCAATAAATGTCTATGTCTTTCATTAAATACTGCTTCACTGATTAAATAATGTATAGGTATAGGAAGCATGTCCCTATCTCTGAGTTTCATCTGCAAAATGGAGATAACATCTTTGAAATCAGATTTTAATTCATAAATGTATGTAAATAGTTTTCAGTGTAGTGGGTATTCAACAATATCTATAACCATATAGTAAGTATGCAGTAAATCAATGAAGCTGTTATTATCATTAATATTACTCAAAGGAAAAATAAAGCATGATTAGTAGAAACCTGCTTCTTCATTTTGTATCAGTCTGTGTAACAAAAATCTTTTCTCCAGCACATTGATCACACAGGTAAGCAGCAGTGAGATGAAGGAGCTTATAGATACAGCAGATACAAAACCCCACAGGGTAGACATATAAAAATTATAGCAATATAATAAGCACATTAATAGTAAAGGATGGAAGACACTATACTAATGTAGAGAAGAAATAAACACTTTCTTGGAGGCCAGGAAATAGATCTGAAAGGAAATGACATTTCATGTGAGATTCAAACTTGAATATAACTTTGGTAGGTAGACATGGACAAAATCAACACTTAGGAGAAACAGAATGTGAAAGACCAACAAGAAAAAGAAAAAGCATAACTGCGAAGCTTCAAAAAATCAGCATGACTAGAACTCAGAAAATTCATTGTGATGGGTGATGTGAGGTAGGGAGGAATCAGAAAAGATTTTATAGACCTGACAAGGAGACTGAACTTTACTCAGAGAGTGATCAGCGAGCCACTGATGGATTTTAAGCAAGTGAGATGCATAGACAGACGGACCATGGTTTCATGAGTGTGGATCCTGGATTACAGTCGGGAGTTAACAATATATAATGTTCAGGTAGAAGAGCTATTTCAGACATCAGTTTCTACTGTGTTTAATTTTTGTAATATCTAGTACAATAGCCATATGAAATGAATTTCACATTTATCAACACATAAGAAATACTTAAAGTATCAGGTTTGTTACTTCACAAAGGTGAAATACTAAAATATTTGAGAATACAAAAATGGGCTTTGTAGCCCAAATAAACATCAAATTCAAGAAAAAATTATCTGAAAATTTCATGCAAATCATGTATGATAGAAAAATTATAACGTTAAAAACTGATTCAATTATTGAGAAAAGCAATGATGTTCCAGTAGAAAAGTACAAGCATAAATAATTCACACAGTTAAAGCACAATAGTCAACAAGTAAATGGAAAGTGTTCAAATTAATTTAAGTAATTTTGAAAAGAACAGTAGAATGTTTAATTATAAAATTAGTAAGATTAAATATTTAAGCCTATACAGTTATGGTAAAATCAGTTTACATATACATAGTTTGAGTCAGCATAAACAGATACGTATGGATTTATAAACAAAATGCTGAGGTTTAGCCAGAACCCTAAAAATGCACTAATATTTTGTCATTTCCTTTTTACTACTTAAAATTTATGTAATAAATTTTTAAAATATCATGTACAATTAATTTTCCTGCAACTCCATTACAACAAGAAAAACTGAGAGAAGTTTCACTATCCAAAAAGATAATAAATTATATTATAGAAGTTATAAGTAAGCATACATTAAAATAATCAAAATAATATTAATGATTTCAAATATAATATGAAATGTAAAATCTTCTATACAGTTCTTAAATGATTTTTAAAACTATCCACAAATATTCAAGAAAATAGAAAACTATTGAAAGTGATTGAGAGACAAAGAAAGGAGAAAGCGTAAAGCTGGACTGTTTTGGAAACAAAAAGTTATCCTGATTGAGTTGAAAAAAGGCTGAAGAAGGTAATGAAGGTGTTTTCCATTAGCAACCATTTGTAAATTAGTTTCAGGGCACAAAACGTGATATAAAACATCTGAGAGCATTTTTAGTTAACTTGCACAGTTCTGCTATAAGACATATTTCTAAAATGGTTTGGTCCTGAGTGTCGGTAGGAAGAATATGTTCTGTAAGTAAAGATGGGATGTATGGCAGGGACTTTATGGAGTACAGCTGGAGAACCCTGGAGCTCTCAGCAAGGGAGAAGGCTATGTATTAAGTAAACTCTTGCATGATCATCTTACGTGATCCCTGGAGGAAAATAGTGGGAGTAGGACATCACAACCTGTTCTCATTTCTTTGCTCAGTTAGGAGATTAAAAGTCAAATAATTATCCATTAAAACTTATCACCTGCGATGGCTCAAGTCTGTACTTGAGGTGGCTCAAGTACAAGTACAAGTCTGTACTGCGGTGGCTCAAGTCAAACCCAGCACTTGGGGAGGCTGAGGCAGGCAGATCATGAGGTCAGGAGATCAAGACCATCCTGGCCAACATGGTGAAGCCGTGTCTCTACTAAAAATACAAAAATTAGCTGGGCATGGTGGTGCGTGCCTGTAGTCCCAGCTACTCAGGAGGCTGAGGCAGGAGAATCACTTGAACCTTGGAGGCAGAGGCTGCAGTGAGCCAAAATCACACCACTACTGCACTTCAGCTTGGGCAACAGAACAAGACTCTGCCTCAAAAAAAACAAAAAACAAAAAACAAAACAAAAAAAACCTTATTAACTGATGAAACACAATGGGCACCAAAAACAGAGAACACAAAACAAACAAAAAAGATGAAAATAAAATGTGTTGTAGTTAGTAACATTATATAGAATTTTAGAAATAATTTAATGTTTGTACTTAATATGTGCATAAATTAATTAATTAAAAGTTTCTGAAGGTTTTTTCTTTTAGACAGGGCCTCATTCTGTTGCCCAGGCTGGAGTGCAGCGGCACGGTCTTGGTTCACTGCAGCCTCCACCTCCCGGGTCCAAGAGATTCTCGTGCCTCAGCATCCTAAGTAGATGGGATTACAGGAGTGCGCTACCAGTCCCGGCTAATTTTTTTATATTTTTAGTAGAGACAGGGACTCGCCATGTTAACCAAGCTGGTCTCAGACTCCTGGCCTCAAGTATTCTGCCCACTTCGGCCTCCCAAAGTATTGAGATTACAGGTGTGAGCCACTGCAACTGGCCTAATTAAAAGTTTAATAGGATTTAGCTTCAGGTCTTTGAAGATTGGTTTTTCTCTTTACTTAAGTAAATATTTCAGATTTGGTCTTTTTATTAGGAAACTTGTTGAAAAAAATTTTCATCCTATCAAATGATATCTTAAAACTGTGATAAACATTAATTGTGGAGTAATGTACATAAACTATGTGTTGACATACAAATTATTTATAGTTCTTTACCATATATTACATTTTTATTTATATATTAATATTTATTTATATGTTGCTTATATGATGTGTTATATCCACACAGATCTATTTTTCTAGAGACAATGCCAATTCTAAATTATTTTCATATTTTGCCATCACAATATATACAAATGTATACACATGTACATACCTATTTTCTATTCATCATAATCCAGTTGTAATTATATCTCGGATTTTTTATTTGGGGTGAGCTTTTGCTTCCTTGTTTTATGATTCTTTGTTCATTCTAAATTTTCTTCACTGAAAGTACATTATGTTTACAGTCAGAAAAATGATAGTATAAAAAACTTACCCAGGCAGTATCTTAGCTGAACTAGCAGGGGCAGACACGGCTCGGCTTTCTGCTAAAAGATTTCATGACAGGCAAAGAAAAGAAAGGAGAACGGAATTGAATAGAGATTTAAAATCTGTACTCTTATCCCAACCTACGTAAATCTTAGGCATGAGAGGACTGCAGTATAAAGCTACTCAGATCCTCTACCTTGATTTTTGTGTTGTTCTGTATTGTTATCTTCTTGGAGACACTTCAAAAGAGTTTACACTTGATTTGACTCCAAAAATGTTATAGTGTCTTCTTTAACAATGATGTTATTAAATACTTTTGCATTCTGGGTTACATATAGTTCTCTGTTTCTTAATCACTAACGACAAGTGGTAATGAGTTAAATGAATAAAATGCATCAATGACATCATTGAAATATAAGCTGTATATTCTTTAATTCAGGATATTTATTTGTTTTTTTCTCCCAAGAGAAATTTGTAGATATGCAGAAATAAAACAAGGACAATTATATGACCAAGATAAATATAAACCAACTTTACCAGTTCACAAGAAAAAAAAACTGTTCTATTACTCCTGTGAATATAGCTTTGTATCTCCTTCAAATCCCCTATAGACTCACGTAACATGCACAGAGAAAGAATGGGTATCAACAGTGAAGTGTCTTAGTAAGTAAATGCCCTGATCATTATCTGCATAAATCATTCGGTGAGTAGAGAGGGATGCCTCAAAAGGGATCTGTGTCTTGACAGGGGCAAGGTCTAAAAGAGCCTGAAGAGATGACAGATGTAGCCCTTATATTATTTGGGAGCATTTTATGAAAATCAAGTGAGAAGGAAAGACGTAAAGCTTTGGGGACTATCTATTCCCCAAATATAATATTTCTATTCATAGAAATATTTGAATTATTTCTAAAATGGACAAAAGCCTTGATACTTGATACCTATTTTCTAATATGTATTTTTGTCAATATGAAAATAAGTATTTCCTAGGAAAATCAAGGAAGAATTAAGTAGAGAGCAATACCATGTTCTTGGGCTAGAATACTCAACAGGATAAATAAATAAATTTTTCTCAAATTGTACTATAGGCTTAACATAATTACTTATTAAAATTTCAAGAGAATTCTTTGTAAATATAGATCATTTCATACTAAATTTATATTAAAATGCACAGGAGTTAGAATGGCTGAAACATTTTTTTAAAATAATAAAGTTGAAAGGATCACACAAATCAAATTTGAGGCCTCAAAATATAGCTACCATATTAAAAACAGTATAGTATTGATGGAGGGATAGACATAAATCAATAGAACAGATACAGAATCCAGAAAAGGTCATATAATTGTCCTTGTTTTATTTCTGCATATCCACAAATTTCTCTTGGGAGAAAAAACAAATAAATATAATATTTCTATTCATAGAAATATTTGTATTATTTCTAAAATGGACAAAAGCCTTGATAGTTGATACCTATTTTCTAATATGTATTTTTGTCAATATGAAAAGAAGTATTCCCTAGGAAAATCAAGGAAGAATTAAATAGAGAGCAATACCATGTTCTTGGGCTAGAATACTCAACAGGATAAATAAATAAATTTTTCTCAAATTGTACTATAGGCTTAACATAATTACTTATTAAAATTTCAACAGAATTCTTTGTAAATATAGATCATTCCATACTAAATTTATATTAAAATGCACAGGAGTTAGAATGGCTGAAACATTTTTTTAAAATAATAAAGTTGAAAGGATCACAAAAATCAAATTTGAGGCCTCAAAATATAGCTACCATATTAGAAACAATATAGTATTGATGGAGGGATAGACATAAATCAATAGAACAGATACAGAATCCAGAAATAGACCCACACAAATATGCTCAAGTAACTTTTAACAAAGATGCACAAATAATTCAATACAGAAAAGATCCTTTTTTTTTTTTTAGTTCAGGGCTACCTGTGCAGGTTTGTTACATAGGTAAACTTGTTTCATGGGAGTTAGTTTTACAGAGTATTCTGTCACCCAGGTATTCAGCCTGGTAGCCATTAGTTATTTTTCCTATTCCTTTCCCTCTTCCCACCCTTCACCGTCCATTAGGCCCCAGTGTGTGTTGTTCCCCTCTATGTGTTCATGTTTTCTCATGATTGAGCTCATACTTAGAAGTGAGAATGTGTGGCATGTGGTTGAGAAAAGTTTCTTTTCAACAAATTGTGTTGGGGACTAGCACTTTCTTAGCCAAAAAATTAATTTTGATTTAATCTCACATATTTTACAAAACCTAACTCCAAATGGTTCCTATATCTAAATGCATAATGTAAAACAATCAAACTTGTAGAGGAAGAGAAAATCTTTGTGATCTGGGGTTTGATGGAATTGTTCTTAAACAGGACACCTAAAGGATGACCCATAAAAGAGTGAAATAATAATAATACTTTATCAACATTAAACACTTTTTATCCATGAAAGACATTCTATGAGAGTGAAAAGATAAGCTACTTATTAGCAAAAAATATTTGCAAATAACGTATCTGACAGAGGACTTATACATGGAATATATAAAGAATGCTCTAAACACAGGTAAAACAATCCAATCAATAAAGGTGCCAAAGCCTTGAACAGATCTAACAAAAAAGATATTCAGATGGAAAATAAACATGTGAAAAGTTATTCAATGTCATTAACCATTAGGGAATACACATTAAAACCACAATGAGATTTACTATGTATCTAATAAAATGCTTTAAAAAAATTAAATGAAACACATTGGTAATAGTAAGTGCAAGTGAAAATGCAATACAATGGATCTCTCATACATTGCTTGTGGAAATGTAAAATGTCATAGCCACTATGGAAAACAGACAATTTCTTATAGAGTTCAATAGCACTTTTCATAAAACCCAGTAATCTCACCCCTGACTGTTTACCATAGGGCAGGAGATGGCAAACTATATCTTAGGAACTAGCTATCTATTTTCTTAATAAAGATGTATTGGATGTGAGCCACACCTTTTTATTTATGTATTGTCTATCATTATTTTGGCTCTATAACTACAAAGTTAGGTAGTTGTGGCAGAGGCCATATGGTTCACAACCTTAAAATACTAAACATATGACCCTTCGAGAACAAGTTTGCTGTTCAAGTAAAACATTGCACAAAATTGTCCATCATAGCTTTATGTGTAATAGCCAAAAAGTAGAAGCAACTCAAATGTCCTCAGATGAGCGAAAGAATAAACAAACATGTTACATCCATACAATGGAGTACTTCACAGCAATTAAAAGAAATGAATTACTTATAATACAACAGCTTGGCTACATTTCAAGGACATTACCCTGTGTGAAAAATATCCAAATCAAAAAGTTGACTTACTGTATAATCCAATTTATATAACACTCAAAATGACTAAATTACAGTTATGTAGAACATACTAGTGATGACTAGCAATGAGGGGTGGGGGAATGTGGGGACCATAAAAGGACAGCACACGGGAGTTTTCTGGAGGTGATAGAATAGTTCTGTATACGACTGAGTAGTTCTACATATGACTGATTGTGGTGATGGTTACATGAGTGCATACATGTTGCAAAATTAATATACCACACAAACACAAACGCAAGTTCATGGGAGAGACCATGAAATTCAGTAAGGTTGGTAGCTGAGTTAGTAGTAGAGCACTAATGTCAATTTCCTGGTCTCAATTATTGTACTATAGATATAAGAGATGCAGGAAGTTATAGTTATTGGAGGAAACTGGGTAAAGGGTACATGGGCATTCTCTGTACTATTTTTATGACTTATTATATGAATCTAAGATTATTTCAAAACAAAAATTATTTGGATTATATAGGCTGGGATGTTTTACTTTTATAGCACTTTTGGGGAAGAGAATTTTCAATATTCAAGAGTTATAACCAATTTCAGCAATTTTTCTTTGAGATACTTAAATCTATCTCAAATTTTATCAGTAATAACTTCTACAAGCCAGTTTCATATGTATTTGAATGCTATAATTTGCCTTTTAACCCTTTCATATTTTTTGTAACAACAAACAGTTTCAGACTTAATTTACTTTCCCTGCACTAAACCTGGAATCCACAAAAAAAAGAGGTCCCAGTTTCCTAGATTTATAATGCTGTGTAAGAAACTTATTGGCATAAAACAGCAATCATTTTATTATACTTAAAGATACTGTTAGGAATTGACGCAGGGCACTGAGGTGATGACTTATAACTGTTCCACAATATTTGAGCCTCAGGTGAAAAGATTTAAATGGGTTAGGACTCAAATAACTGAGATTTGGAATCTGCAAATGTCACTCACCTGTATGACACCTGGGCTATTGCCTGGGCCAACTGGGACTATCAACCAGAAGATTTACATATGGCTTCTGCATACAGATTGAACTTCTTGCCAAATGGCAAAAGGCTTCCAAGATAGTGTCAGAGAGATAGTCTTCCAAAATATAAACCCATAACTCTCTAATATCTAGCAGAGTCACTACCACTGTATTGTATCAACAAAAGCATGCCACTAAAAAGTACAGATTTTCAAAATGAGGGAAATGTGATTCCAAATCTTGATAGGATCATGGCAAAATCACATGGCAGAAGAACAAGTGAGATGAGACACAGTGGAGTGAGCATCTTTCAAAATAAAATTGGCCACAAAATTGAAGACAAAGTTATTTTCTAAACTGCCCTTTTATTTCTTATCAAGTATAGTTTCCTTCTCCTTTTATTTGTTGCTAATGTTTGCAGGAGGGCATAATCTCCTGAAATTACTCAGAACAAGAAACAAACAAAAAAGGGCAATCTAAGTTTCTGAATTAGGAGAAATATTCAGCAAATAAAAAGGAGAATAATTGTTGAGTACTGGGCTTCAAAAAAAATAGACAAGAGAAGATAGTGTTAATTCAACTAAAAATCGGCACTAGCTCTGTGAAAATTAACTCTGTGCTTACAAATAAATAACATCCCCTGGATTCAGACAAACCAATGTTTAAAGGTCACAGAGATTAGAAGAAGCCAACAAAAGACTGAGATGGTGAAGCCTTTGAGACAGAAGAGAAACCAGGAGAATGTGGTGTTCCATAGACCATGTGAAGCAGGTATTTCCAAATGGAAGGGGAAAGTCATGAAATTTTTCTGAGTATTCAGTTTTGACCAATGGATTTGATTAGATTGAAGAAGGCATTGGTGACTGTTACAAGAGGGGTTTAAGCGTAGTGTTGGGAATGAAAAAATGAATTAAAGTAGAGATTGTAGATAACATTGGAGTCATCGTATTATAAAATGAGAAGTGAATTAGATTACTAGAAAGAGATTTGGGTTCTATGAACAATTTTTGAGCTTTTGTTGTTGCTCTTCATGATGAAAGATGTTTGGTATGTTTGCATATTGGTGGAAATAATTTGGAAAATGGAGAAATTAATGATACAGGTGAGAAGGAATAATTGAAAGAGCAAAATCCTTGCACAGAAAAGATGGGATCAAATCTGGTAGAGACCATAACAAGATAGGAGTAAAGATCAACATCCAGTGAAGCAAGAGACAATGCAGAAAAGGATGCGTGTGAACAGCAGGTAGTTTTCTTCTGATTGATTCTATATCTAGATGAAAAAATAAATGAAGTCATTAGCAAAGCACAAAGTGAGGATTGGTGGTTAAGGAGGGAGATAATGAAAACAGGAGAGGGGAAAAGCAGTGTGGAAATTATTTAGGACCGTGTTCATTAATTTAAAGCAAGGCAAGTCAGCACAGTTGCCTTTGTTTTTCTTGTAGACACACTCTGCTGCTTCAATTCAGGCACAGGGCAGGTAGAGAATTTATTTGCAAAGGATTGAGGTTTTCTAAGACTTGGATTACAGATAGAAAGGAACGAATGGGCAGGAGAGTGTGTGCAAGGGACTGACTGACAGTGATGAGCCATGGAATCTAATTTAGATGTGGTGGGAAGAGAGAAAATGAAGGGAAGAGAATAGTGAAAAAGTGTCAGGGTCATTGAATGTTTGGAACAAATTTAGTAGAGTAAGTGAGCTAAAAAGATTGTTGAAATGGTCTAGAGTGTGATGCTTAATATTTAGATACTTTAGGTAGTGTAGTAATTGGAAATGACAAGGTTTAGATAGACTAGAATCAATAGTGGAGACTACTAATAGCTCACAGGGACTTCTCTGGTTTCTTGATTGGACATAGCTATGTGCATTCCCATTGACTTCTGAACCACCATAAGTAAGTTTCCTCTTAGTGAGATCATTAGGCTGTTTCTGTAAATTTCCCCATTAAATGTTAAATTTCTCTCAGGCTGGGCACTTTGTTGCTTGCTTCAGCTAGTATCCTCTAGTCTTCTCTGATTGTTTCCCACTGTAATCTCTTTGTATTCAATAGGATCCTCGGGCATGGACCTTTCCAAGCTATAAAGTCACTCTTCTCCAGCAGGGGAGCAGAGCTTCCAGTCCACATAGCCTGCCTGCCCATCCAGGGTTCAACTTCTGAGCCACGGAATTGGGCTGCGAGACAGAGGTGGATGAAAGCATCCGCTCTCTTTTACTGAATTTTATGGAGACTTTCTGGAAAAAATATTTCCCAACATTATGCTGTTTGGCCAATTTCCAGAGACAACCAATGGTTACTTTTAAATTTTTATCCAGTTTTATTGCTGCCTTTTGGTTGGGAGTGAATATACCAAGACCCTCACATAGCCATTCTCGAAGTCCCACCTGAACAAAATGATTTTGAATTATAATTCTGTTCTTCAAACATTTCAGGAAACGTTACTTGGCAAAAATTATTCTTTTTTTTTTTTTTTTTTTTTTTGAGACAGAGTCTCGCTCTGTCGCCCAGGCTGGAGTGCAGTGGCGCGATCTCCACTCACGGCAAGCTCTGCCTCCCGGTTTTACGCCATTCTCCTGCCTCAGCCTCCCGAGTAGCTGGGACTACAGGCGCCCGCCACCACGCCTGGCTAAATTTTTTTTGTATTTTTCAGTAGAGACGGGTTTCACCGTGTTAGCCAGGATGGTCTCGATCTCCTGACCTTGTGATCCACCCGCCTCGGCCTCCCAAAGTGCTGGGATTACAGGCTTGAGCCATTGCGCCCGGCCAGCAAAAATAATTCTTGATTAGACCTTTTATAGTTTATGAAATATTAAAACTGTTAAGAAGGTACCTAATTCTTAGTGCCAGTTTTAAAAGGGAATTTACAACTACAAAAGTGATATTGTTGTATTAAGATGAGGACTGATGACTTGCACTTGCTTGCCTTTTGAAACAGCTGAACCCTTGGCTAGAAAAAAAAAAAAAACCCAGGGGGCCGGCGGTGGGGAGCTTCCTCTCTCCTCTAAACAGTCCATTTCTGATTGTTCCAAACTCAGAGACTCGGTGACTACAACAAGGAAATTGAACAGCAGTTATTTTGCTTAAATAAATATTACATAACGAGCTGAGAATATTATTGTGAAGACACTGATTAGATACTATTTGCTTATTTCACACAACCCTCCATGAACTTTGATGTTTTCCACAAAGGGCTTTACTAAACTAGCTTCCCCTTAGTACATTGAAATTCAAAGTCATGCTTGTAACTGTTAATGAAAGCAGATTTAAAGCAACACCACCATCACTGGAGTATTTTTAGTTATATACGATTGAGACTACCAAGCATGTTGCTCTTATTCAGTGTAATCCTAATCTCATGGGTATCCACTGTTGGGGGAGAAGGTAAGTTGAAAACAGATCCGAATATTTTAGTTCCTTTTCAAATGTATTTATTGATTGTGTGTGTGTATGCATACAAATATTTTTAAATGAATAAATAGCTGAGGATAATTTGAAGGGGTATCACAATATTCATCTATTTTCTGGAAATATTTTCCAACATGCAATTAGCAGGAAAATTGAATGAAATTAATTCTCTCCGTTCTCTAGTTTGCTAAGGGTAAATGGTCACCAAATAGATAATGTAAAGAGAAATCAAAGGAGAGAAAATCTGCTATAATAAAGATGACAAGGTGAAATATTAGTGTAATTCTGCATAAACTCTGCAATGCCACTGACTAGAAAAATCAACCCCAAAAGATTTGGCCACCTTCATTATGTTTTGAGAATTTTATTTTCATAGATTTGATAATTTACATTTTAAATGTTATTAAAATGAAGGAATTCTCATTTCAGCCTAATTATCATTCAACAGGGAAATATATTTTAATGAAACAATAGAAAATATTATTTTTATATATAAACCAGTGAACTGCCAAAAAATTGTTTCTTCTGAGCTCTTCCACAAATTTCAAAAGTGAAATAATATATCACTTCTTTATTAATACTATAAACTGATTCTTATAACATTATAAACTATCCCATTTTATTTCATGTGGAAATTAAAGCCACTATATCAAAAGGATTGCAAACAAAATCTCTAACAAGGTCTAGGATACTGATTAAACTATGTGTGTACGTGAAGTTTCAATCATTGTGCTATATACTCTTTGATTTCCAGAAAGTTTTTATTTTACTGCTTTACTGCTTTCTAATGTTTACAGATCTTTAAATTTTTTGAACACTTTCTTCTCAGTCCTGACATAAGAGAAAAATATGAACCATAAAATGCTTTCTTTTTAAGATATGCCCTTACAAATGTTGCAAAACATTATTTCTATGGGCCTAAAATTCATTTTATTTTGTTTTCACTTTTAGTACTGAGCTATAATCACAAGAGTGCGATTGCATGAGTGTATTTGATTTTTCTTAAGTCTGTGTTTATGATATTTATTAAGTGGCTTAAACATCTGTTACAAATGGCATTACACAAGGATTTCTAAAGGGGGGTGGAAGCAGAGGAAGATAAGTGAAAATTATGAGGATAATATGTAGAATTTTGACAATTCCTAACCCCACAAAACTTTCAAGCTTCAGTCCAGTCCCAGGATAAACTTTAGTGAAATTCTATTAAAAGTTGTCTAGGTGTTAAATGACCTGTAAGTGTGCATTACACTTTTGTTTTGGTGTCTATTTAGAAACTGGCCAAACAGCAGAAATAACAGACGAAAGCAACACTTTTGTACAAATAGAAAACTGCATGCTTCCAGTAGCAAAACATGAATCAAGCAATATATTGTGCTTCATGCTGTAGCAAAGAAGCTGGAAAGAATATGACAACGCCACCCACCCCTCACTACTACTTAGAGTGTCCTAAAAGAAAAGCAAAATGTAAATAGGCAAATAAATTGCAAGGTTTTATATATAGGTAATTGTCTGTGTGTGTGTGTGTGTGTGTGTGTGTGTGTACACTCATACATCACTTAATGATAGGAAAACGTTCTGAGAAGTGTGTCTATAGGCAATTTCGTCCTCCTGCAAACATCATAGAGTGTACTTACACAAACCTAGATTGTATAGCCTACTACCTAACTAAGCTATACGGCCTGTCACTCCTAGACTGCAAACCTGTACAGCATGTTACTGTACTGAATACTGTGGGCAACTGTAGCACAAATGTAAGAATGTGTTTACCTAAACATATAAAAGGTACAATAAAAATACAATATAAAATATTAAGAATGGCAGACTTGTATAGGGCTCTTACCGTCAATAGGGTTTGCAGGACTGAAAGTTGTTCTGGGTAAGTCACTGAGTGAGTGGTGTGCAAATATGAAGGCTTAGCACATTACCATACACTACTGTAAACTTCATGAACACTGAATACTTGAGCTAGGTAAATTTATTTTATTTATATATTTATTTCAATATTTTGGGGGGAGCAGGTGGTTTTTGGTTACATGGATAAGTTCTTTAGTGCTAATTACTGAGCTTCTGGTGCACCCAGGATAGACTAAATTTATTTTTAAAACTTTTCTTCAATAATAAATTAATTTATGATAAGCTTTCTACTTTATCAACTGAAAATCTTTTAACTTGTAACTCTTTTGTTTTAGCTTAAAACACACCTTGTATAGATGTACAAAATATTTTTTCTTTCTATCCTTATTCTGTAAGATTTTTATCTTTTAAATTATTTATTTATTTACCTTCTACACCTTTTTGTTAAAAGCAGACACAAACACACACATTAACCTCGGCCTACGGAGGGTCAGGATCATCAGTATCACTGTCTTCCTCCTCACTCTTGTTCCACTAGAAGGTCTTTAGGGCAGTAACATGCATGGAGCTGTCCTCTCCTATGATAACAAAGCCTTCTTCTGGAATAGTTCCTGAAGGACCCGCCTGAGGATGTTTTACAGTTATTTTTTTTTAATAAGTAGAAGAAGTGAACTATAAAATAATGATAACAACTATAGTACATTAAATACATTAACCAGTACCATGGTCATTTATTATCATTATCAAGTATTGTGTACTATACATAATTGTGTGTGCTATTGTTTATATGACTGGCAATGCTGTAAGTTTGTTTATACCAGCACTGCCACAAACATGTGAGTAATACATTGGATTATGATGTTGTGGTGGTCATCAGTTGATAGGAATTTTTCAGCTACATTATAATCTTATGGGACCACTGTGATATAAGTGATCAGTCATTGACCAAAACGTCATTATGTGGTAAATGACTGTATGTCTGTATATATACGTGTGTGTGTGTGTGTGTGTGTGTGTGTGTGTGTGTGTATCCCAGAAGAAATATATTCACAGTATTCTATCAGAATGTCGAGACAAGGAAAATTATTTTCTGCTTTTGGAGTGGGTTGTTGTGTAACGGCAGGCTTGCCAAAGGACGATAACACTCCTAGCACCATTGCGGATGTGCACAATGGTTATACGATGAATGTTGTAGAGCAAGTTCTAAAGGATAGGTAGAATACAACTGGATGGTGAGAACTAAGTTATTCTGGATAGCGAAGAATATGTAAGTACATATGCATGAAAATCAAGTACTATAATTTTGCAATTTTCAAAAAGTAAATGATATTTAAAAGGAGTTATGATAGGTTAATACTATCAAGACACGAGGGAGTCTTTCCCTCAGTATCTTCTCCAAAACTATCTAATGTCAATTTTTAAACAGTTAGGTAATAAATTTAAGGTTTCACAAGGTTAAATACCACAAGAATTATTTCAAATATTGTGCAACATTAAATATTACTTCTAGGTAGTTAAAAAAGAGAAATTTCCCTTGATTTGTCAGCTGAATTTCTGCATGCTTTTTCTAAATAAGGTGAAAAACAAAACAATTTCTTATGCAGCAATGCTATATTCAGGAAATATCTTGAGCTAAAAAATGAGCACACTATATTGAGGAAATATCTCGAGCTAAAACAGCATTCAAAGATAAAGTACATCAAATCCATAGAATGTACAATATCAAGAGTAAACCCTAATGTAAACTATGGGCTTTAATGACAATAATACTGATAGTGAAGGGGGCTATTCATGTGGCAGGGAAGAGGAAGTGGTATATAGGAAATCTCTGTACCTTCCACTCAATTTTACAGTAAAAAAACTGTAAATAAAAAATTAAGTCTAATAAAAAATATGTGTATATATAAATATATATATACACAAGAAAAAATAGAGTCAAAACATGAATATTTCACCCATTTTCTACATTGTTTTACCATATCTTGCACCATAGTGCATATGGATGTATGTGTGAGTGTCTATATAAATATATCCAGTAGTATCCTCAGTATCATTAGTATCCTTAAGGAATTGTTCCAGGACTCTTTTCACCCCCAGCAGATACCAAAATCCACAGATGCTCAAGTCTCTAAGAGAGAATGGCGTAGTATTTGCATATAACATATGCACATCCTCTCATATAATTTAAATCATCTCTAGATTATTTATAATATCTAACATAATGTAAATACTATATAAATAATTGTTATATTGTATTTTTAATTGCATTGTTTTTATTGTTTTATTATCTTTTTATTGTTTTTTCTTTTTCAGATATTTTGGACTTGCAGTATAATAAACATTTATGTATACAGCATTTACCAGAATTTAGCTCTAATTTTATCTCGGTTGAGTTGTTCTTAGTGATTTTCTTATACTCTTTAAATTATTTCCACTGAAACCACATAAACTTTGTAACCAGAAAGTAATCAGAATATTAATAAACAAAAAATCAAATTACCTACCCAACATTTTTACTGCACCAGAAAAAAAAATAGGACAGATTTTTCTGGTGGAAATACCTATGACAGTTGATGAGAATAGAAAAAGAAATAAATCTGAGAGCTGAGAACAATCCTATCACTCCTCTACTGTACACTACATAGACCAGGGAGATTTGCTACTCTTACAGTCTGCCTTCATTCTTAAATTGTTGTGTGAGGATATTGTTCTTGAAGACATTGCAGAAGAGTTCATATTTCATATCATTCCAAAATATAAATTTTATATTCATTAACAATGACCTCGTCGGTCCGGCATGGTGGTTCATGCCTGTAATCCCGGCAGTTTGGGAGGCCGAGGCGCATGGATCACCTGAGGTCAGGAGTTTGACACCAGTCTGGCCAATATGGTGAAACCTTGTCTCTACCAAAAATACAAAAAATTAGTCAGGTGTGGTGGCAGGCACCTGTAATCTCAGGTACTCAGGAGGCTGAGGCAGGAGAATCACTTGAACCCAGTGGAGGCTGCAGTGAGCCAAGATTTGCGTGATTGTACTTCAGCCTGGGCAACAAGAGTAAAACCTGAAACTCCCTCTCAAAAAAAAAAAGATCTCCTCAAATACTCTTCTATTCTTATTTAGGGATCTTTCTTCATTCCAAATTAGTACACTGGAAAGCATTTAAGCTAAAGGCATTTAAGCTGAATGAAAAACAAAACTATAAATGAGATGACTAAAATATAATCTAGTGATTCATCGATGTAGCTCTTTATTTAATTCTTCAGTTTTGTGTTATTTTTCCCAGGAACACTTTGTGATTTTCCAAAAATACACCATGGATTTCTGTATGATGAAGAAGATTATAACCCTTTTTCCCAAGTTCCTACAGGGGAAGTTTTCTATTACTCCTGTGAATATAATTTTGTGTCTCCTTCAAAATCCTTTTGGACTCGCATAACATGCACAGAAGAAGGATGGTCACCAACACCGAAGTGTCTCAGTGAGTAAATGCCCTGTTCATTAAATGGATGTCATTCAGTGAATAGAGAAGGATGTGCCGGACAAGATCATAAGGTCTTGATAATCACAAGGGCAATGACCAGAGGAGCTGGAAAAATGGGAGATGTAGTCCTCCTATTTTGAGACCCCTCCTATGAGAATCAATGAAGAATAAATATATCAACTGTCTTGCATTACCTGGAAATGCCCTACATGTTGAAATACATTAATTTTTTTAAACTGATGATTAATATATTTGACTGCTAATAGTTCTTTACTAATATTCATTCGGTAGCAGCCTGATCATAGTTTTCCTTTAAAATAAGTCATTTTATATAGATATTCTGTTTTGAATTTACCGTTCTCTTGCATATTGCGAGGTAAGGTTTGGTATTTTAACTTTTATATTTTCAATAAATCATTTATTTGGTCCTTCAAAGTGTAGCTATATTAATCCTCCAATAAATGTAGAGACCAGACTCCAATGATAACAGGTGCATTAAAAAAGAAAAACAATGGGAGAGAGAATAGATGAGGCAACAAAGGAGATAGTAATGGTCTTTCTCCTTTTGTAAGAAACATTTATGAGAATTGCGAGAAATATTTATATGAAGATATTGTTTTGGTGCTAGAAGAGTTTATAAACACAAGATTTTTATTATAAAAACCATACAGCAACAACATGAAATATTAACTTTCGTATATATATATATAGGAACAAAAAATATATTTCATCATTTATACGGTAGCATGACCCAAATTCTTTTGAAAATATTTACACATGATGTCAGTTTTCAAAGTTTTCCTTTCTTAATGAAATATTTTTAAATGCACTTTTTTTGCTACTTCCATCTTGTACATTAATCAATTTTTGTTCCTTAGGAATGTGTTCCTTTCCTTTTGTGAAAAATGGTCATTCTGAATCTTCAGGACTAATACATCTGGAAGGTGATACTGTACAAATTATTTGCAACACAGGATACAGCCTTCAAAACAATGAGAAAAACATTTCGTGTGTAGAACGGGGCTGGTCCACTCCTCCCATATGCAGCTTCACTAGTAAGCAAAATACCACTCTCTCAGTTTTGCTAATTATTTAAAGAAATAAATCTATAGTTTATAGATTAAATATAGGTTAAATATAGGTTTCACCACTACTTCTATCATTATTTATTTGATTTTCGGTTCCAATTGTGTCTAAGTAGATGTGCAATAACATAGTTTGCCTACCTATATAAATCAAATGTACGTAATAAGAAGAAATATTAGAGAAGAATACACTTTGAAGATAATCCATTAATGTAACAACTGTTTGTTGTTTATATTGTCAGGTTAGTTGACAATAAATGGTTACAAAACTGAGGTATTAAAGTGCAAATTAGTCCAATTACAGTTAAAATGTCTTATAAGGAAGTTTTTAATATTTATCTTTATTTAAATTAATATGCTTGAGTCAATAAATCATTTTCTAAGTTGTAAAAAGTCCATACTTCTGAGAGGTATGTGTATTTGTGAGCGGCTTAGAATTTGGAAAACGATTCTTTTGGAAGCCTGTGGTATAAATGATGGCACCTCACAGTCCTGTGTGAACTCTTGTAATTCTTCATCTTTATAGCTCTTCAGTAATTGTTCTTTGCCCAGCCCAATGCGATTCCATCCTATGCTTACACACCTCAGTATTCAACCAAACACTCAAGGAAACTTCCATAGTCTTTCTCTTCATACCACTTTCTCTCTGCTACTATGTCCAGTAACTTCTGGCCACCATAGTCACCAAGACTGACCTTACTAGTCTCAACTAAAGAAGACCACTGAGTTCTTCCTGGGTTCTCCCTCCTTGCACAGTCTAGAAAAGGCTTCCCAATAAACAGCTGGGCTTTCATTGACTTTGCTTTATTATTTTGAAGTATTGAGGGTTTTTTCCTTTTTTCAGTCATCACAGTTCTGTACTGGGTGATTTCCAGCATTCTGAAAATAAATTTTGTAAAATTTTCTAAATTTTTTTTCAGTGGGATGCTATGTTGATAGCAGCTACTCCATCCTATCAAGAAATAGAATCTGTGGTAGGTTTTTCAAAAGATGTTATGTTATCAAATATTATTCCACATCTTCAACTCTTAATTTAAACCTCTAGAGCCAGGCACAGTGATGTGCACCTGTAGTCCCCGCCACTGGCAAGGCTGAAATAGGAGTTCAAAGCTTCAGTGAGTTATGACTGCACCAGTGCACTCCAACCCAGGCAACAAAGTGAGACCCTTCCCCACTAGAAAAACAAAACAAAGTAAAGCAAAATGAAATTTAAACCTCTAGAAATGGAGTCTTTTTAAAACAGCTGGAACTGCGATAGTTTTTCAGTAAACAGTTACGTCATGGTCTCTTTCAATTACAAGGGGTTAAAACATTATTAACATTTGCAAAAAAAAAAAATAACAAATGTTACTAACACTAGAAAATTCCAGTGATTGAAAAGGGTTCAAAATGTATAGGCTTCAGTTATGGTATAAATATTTCCATGCTTTCTCTTATCCATACCTGTTCATGTCATGAACAAGCTCTCTTCATTTTGAGAGATGATGGCTATTGTCAGACCAACAATTATATTTTAGAAGCTTGACAAATTAAGTTTGGCCAGCGTAACCCATACAAGCTGGCTCTGTGTACAGTCTGTAAGATTTTGTTAGTCTTTGAACAATTCGGTTGCTTTGTGACACAAAAAATATCCCAGGCTTAACTCATGTTTCCACTGCCCCAGAACTAGAATCAGCCATACCTCCAATAAGTCCTGGTTCCATTTAGTGGGCAATGACATTTAGAAACTAAGTTGTCAAAATAAACTTGTTTCAAAATTTAGCACATTTTATTTAATCAGAAAAAGCACATATCTTATTGTTCAAGTTCTCAGAATATTGCTGCCTTTCCCTTTCTGCCCGTTGCTTATTCCAAAAGCACAAGACAACATATTGAGGTTATCAGAGTAGATGGACAGATGGACCAAGTCAGAGTCTCCAAAGTGAAAGAATTCAGCAGAACACTCTGTGCCTAAGGTTGAATGGTAGCTCACGAACACTGTGGAAAGTTAATAAAGTTTCAGGGCAACTAGACTCCTAATGATAGCGGCACAGTCTGTTTATTCATGTAAGGTAACATCTTGCAAGTTATGGTAATCCATGTTGCAGGGATTAGTATGGCGTCATCTCTGGGGGCCGTTATTCCATTTACAACACCATGCAATAACCATATATGAATAAAGCAGCTGGAAAACCCTACATTGGCCAAGATCGATTATTTTCTTTTTATATATATATATATACTTTAAGTTCTAGGGTACATGCGCACAACATGCAGGTTTGTTACATAGGTATACATGTGTCATATTGGTTTGCTGCACCCATTAACTCGTGATTTACATTATGTATTTTGCCTAATGCTACCCCTCCCCTACCTCCCACCCTACAACAGGCCCCAGTGTGTGATGTTCCCCACCCTGTGTCCAAGTGTTCCCATTGTTCAATTCCCACCTGTGAGTGAGAACATGCAGTGTTTGGTTTTCTGTCCTTGTGATAGTTTTCTCAGAATGATGGTTTCCAGGTTCATCCATGACCCTGCAAAGGACAAGAACTCATCCTTTTTTATGGCTGCATAGTATTCCATGGTGTATGTGTGCCGCATTTTCTTAATCCAGTCTATCACTTACGGACATTTGGGCTAGTTCCAGGTCTTTGCTATTGTGAATACTGCCACAATAAACCTATGTGTGCATGTATCTTTATAGCAGCATGATTTATAATCTTATGGGTATATACCCAGTAATGAGATCACTGGGTCAAATGGTATTTCTGGTTCTAGATCCTTGAGGAATTGCCACACTGTCTACCACAATGGTTGAACTAGTTTACACTCCCAACAACAGTGTAAAAGAGTTCCTATTTCTCCACATCCTCTCTAGAATCTGTTGTTCCCTGACTTTTTAATGATCGCCATTCTAACTGGTGTGAGATGGTATCTCATTGTGGTTTTGATTTGCATTTCTCTGATGACCAGTGATGATCAGCATTTTTTCATGTGTCTGTTGGCTGAATAAATGTCTTCTTTTAAGAAGTGTCTGTTCATATCCTTTGCCCACTTTTTGATGGGGTTTTTTCTTGTAGATTTGTTTAAGTTCTTTGTAGATTCTGGCTATCAGCCCTTTATCAGATGGGTAGATTGCAAAGATTTTCTCCCATTCTGTACGTTGCCTGTTCACTCTGATGGTAGTTTCTTTTGCTGTGCAGAAGCTCTTTAGTTTAATTAGATTCCATTTGTCTATTTTGGCTTTTGTTGCCATTGCTTTTTGTGTTTTAGTCATGAAGTACTTGCCCATGCCTTTGTCCTGAATGCTAAGGCCTAGGTTTTCTTCTAGGGTTTTTATGGTTTTTAGGTCTAACATTTAAGTCTTTAATCCATCTTGAATTAATTTTTGTATAAGGTGTAAGTAAGGGATCCAGTTTCAGCTTTCTACATATGGCCAGGCAGTTTTCCCAGCACCATTTATTAAATAGGGAATCCTTTCCCCATTTCTTGTTTTTCTCAGGTTTGTCAAAGATCAAATGGTTGTAGATGTGTGGTGTTATTTCTGAGGCCTCTGTTCTGTTCCATTGGTCTATATCTCTGTTTTGGTACCAGTACCATGCTGTTTTGGTTACTTGTAGTATAGCCTTGTAGTATAGTTTGAAGTTAGGTAGCCTGATGCCTCCAGCTTTGTTCTTTTTGCTTAGGATTGTCTTGGCAATGCAGCCCCTTTTTTGATTCCATATGAACTTTAAAGTAGTTTTGTCCTATTCTGTGAAGAAAGTTAGTGGTAACTTGATGCGGATGGCATTGACTCTATAAATTACCTTGGGCAGTATGGCCATTTTCACGATATTGATTCTTCCTCTCCATGAGCATGGAAAGTTCTTCCATTTGTTTGTGTCCTCTTTTATTTCGCTGAGCAGTGGTTTGTAGTTCTCCTTGAAGAGATTCTTCACATCCCTTGTAAATAGGATTCCTAGGTATTTTATTCTCTTTGAAGTAATTGAGAAGGGGAGTTCACTCATGATTTGGCTCTCTGTCTGTCTGTTATTGGTGTATAGGAATGCTTGTGATTTTTGCACATTGATTTTGTATCCTGAGACTTTGCTGAAGTTGCTTATCAGCTTAAGGAGATTTTGGGCTGAGACGATGGGGTTTTCTAAATATACAATCATGTCATCTGCAAACAGCAACAATTTGACTTCCTCTTTTCCTAATTGAATACCCTTGATTTCTTTCTCCTGCCTGATTGCCCTGGCCAGAACTTCCAACACTATGTTGAATAGGAGTGGTAAGAGAGGGCATCCCTGTCTTGTGCTGATTTTCAAAGGGAATGCTTCCAGTTTTTGCCCATTCAGTATGATATTGGCTGTGGGTTTGTCATGAGTAGCTCTTATTATTTTGCCATATGTTCCATCAATACCTAGTTTACTGAGAGTTTTTAGCATGAAGCGCTGTTGAATTTTGTCAAAGGCCTTTTCTGCATCTATTGAGATAATCACGTGTTTTTGTCATTGGTTCTGTTTATGTGATGGATTACATTTATTAGTTTGTATATGTTGAACCAGCCTTGCATCCCAAGGATGAAGCCAACTTGATTGTGGTGGATAAGCTTTTTGATGTGCTGCTGGATTTGGTTTGCCAGTATTTTATTGAGGATTTTCACATCGATGTTCATCAGGGATATGGGTCTAAAATTCTCTTTTTTTTGTTGTGTCTCTGCCAGTCTTTGGTACCAGGATGATGCTGGCCTCATAAAATGAGTTAGGGAGTATTCACTCTTTTTCTATTGATTGGAATAGTTTCAGAAGGAATGTGACCAGCTCCTCTTTGAACCTCTGGTAGAATTCTGCTGTGAATCTGTCTGGTCCTGAACTTTTTTGGGTGGTAGGCAATTAATTATTGCCTCAATTTCAGAGCCTGTTATTGGTCTATTCAGAGATTCAACTTCTTCTTGGTTTAGTCTTGGGAGGATGTATGTGTCGAGGAATTTATCCATTTCTTCTAGATTTTCTAGTTTATTTGCGTAGAGGTGTTTATAGTATTCTCTGATGGTAGTTTGTATTTCTGTGGGATCGGTGGTGATATCCCCTTTATCATTTTTTATTGCATCTGCTTGATTCATCTCTCTTTTCTTCTTTATTAGTCTTGCTAGCAGTCTGTCTATTTTGTTAATCTTTTCAAAAAACCAGCTCCTGGATTCATTGATTTTCTGAAGGGCTTTTGTTGTCTCTATCTCCTTCAGTTCTGTTCTGATCTTAGTTATTTCTTGCCTTCTGCTAGCTTTTGAATGTGTTTGCTCTTGCTTCTCTAGTTCTTTCAATTGTGATCTTAGAGTGTTGACTTTAGATCTTTCCTTCTTTCTCTTGTGGTCATTTAGTACTATAAATTTCCCTCTACACACTGCTTTAAATGTGTCCCAGAGATTCTGGTAAGTTGTGGCTTTGTTCTCCTTGGTTTCAAAGAACATCGTTATTTCTGCCTTCATTTTGTTATTTACCTGGTAGTCATTCAGGAGCAGGGTGTTCAGTTTCCATGTAGTGGTGCGGTTTTGAGTGAGTTTCTTAATCCTGGGTTCTAACTTGCTTGCACTGTGGTATGAGAGACAGTTTGTTGTGATTTCTGTTCTTTTACATTTGCTGAGGAGTGCTTTACTTCCAACTATGTGGTCAATTTTGGGATAAGTGCTATGTGATGCTGAGAAGAATGTATATTCTGTTGATTTGAAGTGGAGAGTTCTGTAGATGTCTATTAGGTCCGCTTGGTGCAGAGCTGATTTCAAGTCCTGGATAACCTTGTTAACCTTTTGTCTCATTAATCTGTCTAATAATGACAGTGGGGTGTTAAAGTCTCCCATTATTATTGTGCAGGAGTCTAAGTCTCTTCGTAGGTCTCTAAGGACTGGCTTTATTAATCTGGGTTCTCCTGTTGGGTGCATATATATTTCGGATAGTTAGCTCTTCTTGTTGAATTGATCCCTTTACCATTATGTAATGGCCTTCTTTGTCTCTTTTCATCCTTGTTGGTTTAAATTCTGTTTTATCAGAGGCTAGGATTACAACCCCTGCTTTTTTTTTTCCTTTCCATTTGCTTGGTAGATATTCCTCCATCCCTTTATTTTGAGCCTATGTGTGTCTCTGCACGTGAGATAGGTCTCCGGAATACAGCACACTGATGGGTCTTGACTCTTTATACAATTTGCCAGTCTGTGTCTTTTAATTGGAGCACTTAGCCCATTTACATTTAAGGTTAATATTGTTATGTGTGAATTTGATCCTGTTATTGTGATGTTAGCTAGTTATTTTGCCCGTTAGTTGATGCAGTTTCTACCTAGCATAGATGGTCTTTACAATTTGGCATGTTTTTGCAGGGGCTGGTACCGGTTGTTCTTTTTCATGTTTAGTGCTTCCTTCAGGAGCTCTTGTAAGGCAGACCTGGTGGTGACAAAATCTCTCAGCATTTGCTTGTCTGTAAAGGATTTTAATTCTTCTTCACTTATGAAGCTTAGTTTGGCTGGATATGAGATTCTGGGTTGAAAATTCTTGTCTTTAGGAATGTCGAATATTGGCCCCCACTCTCTTCTGGCTTGTAGAGTTTCTGCCGAGAGATCCACTATTAGTCTGATGGGCTTCCCTTTGTGGGTAACCCAACCTTTCTCTCTGGCTGCCATTAACATATTTTCCTTCATTTCAACCTTGGTGAATCTGACAATTATGTGTCCTGCTCTTCTCGAGGAGTATTTTTTTGGTGTTCTCTGCATTTCTTGAAATTGAATGTTGACCTGCCTTGCTAGGTTAAGGAAGTTCCCCTGGATAATATCCTGAAGAGTGTTTTCCAACTTGATTCCATTATCGCCCTCACTTTCAGGTACAGCAATCAAACGTAGATTTGGTTTTTCACATAGTCCCATATTTCTCGGAGGCTTTGTTCATTTCTTTTTACTCTTTTTTCTCTAAACTTTCTTCTCTCTTTATTTCATTAATTTGATCTTCAATCACTGATACCATTTCTTCCACATGATCAAATCGGCTATTGAAGCTTGTACATGCATCACGTAGTTCTCGTGCCATGGTTTTCAGCTCCATCAGGTCATTTAAGGTCTTCTCTACACTGTTTATTCTAGTTAGCCATCCATCTAATCTTTTTTCAAGGTTTTTAGCTTCCTTGCGATGGGTTCAAACATCCTCCTTTAGCTTGGAGAAGTTTGTTATTACCAATCTTCTGAAGCCTACTTCCGTCAGCTTATCAAAGTCATTCTCTGTCCAGCTTTCTTCTATTGCTGGTGAGGAGCTATGATCCTTTGGAGGAGAAGAGACACTCTGGTTTTTAGAATTTTCAGTTTTTCTGCTCTGGTTTCTCCCCATCTTTGTGGTTTTATCTACCTTTGGTCTTTGATGTTGGTGACCTACAGATGGGGTTTTGTTGTGGATGTCCTTTTTGTGGATGTTGATGCTATTTCTTTCGTTTTTTAGTTTTCCTTCTAACAATCAGGTCCCTCAGCTGCAGGTCTGTTGGATTTTGCTGGAGGTCCAGTCCAGACCCTGTTTGCCTGGGTATCACCAGCAGAGGCTGCAGAACAGCAAATATTGCAGAACAGCAAATATTGCTGCCTGCTCCTTCCTCTGGAAGCTTCATCCCAGCGGGGCACCCACCTGTATGAGGTGTCAGTTTTCCCCCTACTGGGAGGTGTCTCCCAGTTAGGCTACACGTGGGACGGGGACCCACTTGAGGAGGCAATCTGTCCGTTCTCAGAGCTCAAACACCATGCTGGGAGAACCACTGCTCTCTTCAGAGCTGTCAGACAGGGACATTTATGTCTACAGAAGTTTCTGCTGCCTTTTGTTCAGCTATGCCCTGCCCCCAGAGGTGGAGTTTACAGAAGCAGCAGGCCTTGCTGAGCTGCAGTGGTCTCTGCCCAGTTCAAGCTTTTCCAGCTGCTTTGTTTACCTACTCAAGCCTCAGCATTGGCGGACGCCCCTCCCCCTGCCAGGCTGCTGCCTCACAGGTCGATCTCAGACTGCCACACTAGCAGTGAGCAAGGCTCTGTGGGCGTGGTAACTGCCAAGCCAGGCACAGGATACAGTCTCCTGGTGTGTCCTGGAGACTGGACACACCACTAAGACCACTGGAAAAGTGCAGTATTTGTGTGTGAGTGTCCCGATTTTCCAGGTACAGTCTGTCACGGGTTTCCTTGGCTAGGAAAGGGAAATCCCCCAACCCCTTGCACTTCTATTTTTTCTAAGACCACTGGAAAAGTGCAGTATTTGTGTGTGAGTGTCCCGATTTTCCAGGTACAGTCTGTCAGGGCCTCCCTTGGCTAGGAAAGGAAAATCCCCCAACCCCTTGCACTTCCCAGGGAGGCAATGCCCTGCTTTGCTTTGGCTCCCCCTCCATGGACTGCACCCGCTGTCCAACCAGTCCCAGTGAGATGAACCAGATACCTCAGTTGGAAATGTAGAAATCACCCATCTTCTGCATCGATCACGCTGGGAGCTGCAGACCAGAGCTGTTCCTATTCGGCCATCTTGGAACAGAATCAAGATCAATTATTTTCAATGGCATTTTGTTTTTAACAATTAGTTAAAAAAAGACTATAAACAACCAATAAAGAACTGTCATGCAAAATACTGGAATAACAAACAGAGATTTAGAGATACACATTTTATTTTAGTGAATTAAGACACATTCTCTTGGGATTTGCTCAAGTAAACTGTGATCAATACATTAAAGTGCCAATAACAGTATATAAAACTAGCTAGTTTGAAAATATTTATGAGATTATTAGTTAGAACATATTTCAATTTTATTTTTGTGTATGCTTGATTTATTCAGATTATTTTTGTCTTGAATGTCAATTATTTATTTTACACAAGAATTAATATATAATTTTATAAACTAACCATTAATGAAAGATTATTAAATGAGAAAAACACACATATTCATATACATATCTATTTCTAATTGAATCAGAATATATTCATAATGAGTTAGTTTTTACAAACATATTAGTGATAGAGTTGAGTATAAGGGAAAGATTCAAAAAACCTAGATGGGTTTTTTAAAAGTCTTTGATATTTAGTTACCCTTTTGTAAAACTGGGAATAATCTGCTTTTAAATATTCCCTTCAACTTAACATTTATTAGTTGTATCCTGTTTGGGTGTTTCACATATCTACTGTTTTTTGAGACAGTGTCTCACTCTGTCACCCAGGCTGGAGTGTAGTGGTGCGATCTCGGCTCACTGCAACCTCCGCCTCCTGGGTTCAAGTGATTCACCTGCCTCAGCCTCCCTAGTAGTTGGGACTATAGGCGCCCACCACCCCATGCCTGGCTAATTTTTGTATTTTCAGTAGAGGCAGGGTTTCACCATGTTGGCCAGGCTAGTCTTGAACTCCTGACCTCAGGTGATCTGCCCACCTTGGCCTCCCAAAGTGCTGGGATTACAGACATGACCCACCATGTCAGGCCCACATATCTACTTTTTATACATCATTTTTTTTATTTGACAAAAAGTAATTAAATATGTTGCAATTTTATTTTGTTACTTGAAGGAATTTTTTGTGATTTAGTGAGAAAAAAATATTCCTATTCTGTATTATAAACAAATAATGTTATTAAACTTATTTATTAAACAATAAAATTAGAACTAATATTGCTAATTAAACAAATTAAATAATTTACTGTATGAGTAACTTCACAGGACATTCTTACTACAATCCTGAAAAGATTCTCATAGAAAATGTTACCTTGCTATATACAGTTTCCCAATTTGCCTGAGGGGTCTTAGATATATTTATTGGGTATAAATAATTAGTCTATATGTTTTCTCGAAGGCAAGAATATATTTTATACTCTGTATATGAAGCCCCTTGCATCTTATTTTTATATAGCACACATTAAATTTGTTTCTGCAATGAAAATTCACATATGTTCATTTAATTTTATTTTTAGAAGGAGAATGTCATGTTCCAATTTTAGAAGCCAATGTAGATGCTCAGCCAAAAAAAGAAAGCTACAAAGTTGGAGACGTGTTGAAATTCTCCTGCAGAAAAAATCTTATAAGAGTTGGATCAGACTCAGTTCAATGTTACCAATTTGGGTGGTCACCTAACTTTCCAACATGCAAAGGTCAGTATTTATTTTAGAAGTGATGAAACAAGAATTTGATTTTTATAATAATGCCCATATATTTTTATTGGAGCTTATATTACATCTATAATCTGACAAAGTGGTAAAATGGCAAAGGAGAAAGGATGCAGTTCTATAGTAATTGAGCTGCATAGATTATTTAGGTGTCCGTAATCAAGGAGTAATTCTACTTCTGTGTTTTACAATACATAATAGGATTTTATAGGTCAAAATATAGTAGCTGGAATTGAGACGTCTTAGGATTTTTCCATCTAGCTCAATAAAAAATTTATACTTTTTAGAAATATTGTACGAACAATGTTATATTTTATTAAGTAATTAAGAAAATAAGTCATTGCATATACGAATTATTCATTAGAAAACAGTGATGATTTATACCTGCTTCAGATGGCACTATTTTTATCAAAAATGGCTTATCACATTATTTGAAGTATGTATTAGTCCCTTTTCACAATGCTGATAAACACATACCCAAGACTGGGCAATTTACAAAAGAAAGAGTTTTAATGGACTCACAGTTTCACGTGGCTGGGGAGACCTCACAATCATGGCAGAAGGTGAAAGGCACATCTCGAATGATGGCAGACAAGAGAAGAGAGTTTGTGCAGGGAAACCTCCCTTTATAAAACCATCAGAGCTCGTGAGACTTATTCACTATCATGAGAATAGCACAGGAAAGATCCGCCCCATAATTCAATTACCTCCCACCAGGTTCTTCCCACAACACATAGGAATTGTGGGAGCTACAATTCAAGATGAGATTTGGGTGAGGACACAGCCAATCCATATCAAAGTATTTATAGATATTAATAAAAGTTATAACTATACATTGCATATGTATATTATATCACATATTTGATAACTATTTACTTTTATATAACTTTCAGATTATTGACCTACTTAAAAATCTTCAAGGGTACAACTTAATATCCTGATTATAATAAACAGCCTACAAAATATTGGGAAAGATGGACAATCAGGATGTTTAAATATAGAGAGGATATAAGATTGTACTAAGAAAATATTATTAATTTGGTGAAATGTAAAAGATATTTTGTATATGTAGGCAAATGTCTTTATGAGATAGCATTCTGAAGAATTTAGGACTAAAATTTCACTGTCATTTACTTTCAATTACTTCACAAAAAATAAGTAAATAGGGCAAAGTGTAACATTTTTATATCTAGGTAATCAGTTTATAAGTGTTCATTATGCATTCTTTCTCCTTTCATTTGCTCAAAATTGTTCATCATGAAAAGTGTCAATATTTGAGGAAACGAATGCAGTCAATACACTATGTACACTGCAAAAAACACATGTCCCCAAAAATAGAAGTGCAATATAAAGGCAATTAATTTCTAAGTCAAAAATTTAGTAACTCCACATTTTTCTATACTTATAAGACCATTTAAGCATTATTTATGGTTTCTTTATAATAGGACAAGTACGATCATGTGGTCCACCTCCTCAACTCTCCAATGGTGAAGTTAAGGAGATAAGAAAAGAGGAATATGGACACAATGAAGTAGTGGAATATGATTGCAATCCTAATTTTATAATAAACGGGCCTAAGAAAATACAATGTGTGGATGGAGAATGGACAACTTTACCCACTTGTGTTGGTAAATAAATATTAACATTTAAACAGGACAGTTACTATTACTTTGCACTTATATATAAATACACATGTAAACAGATTTAAAATATTTTCAGAGTAAGCACTCATTTTATTACATTTTCTTAGAACAAGTGAAAACATGTGGATACATACCTGAACTCGAGTACGGTTATGTTCAGCCGTCTGTCCCTCCCTATCAACATGGAGTTTCAGTCGAGGTGAATTGCAGAAATGAATATGCAATGATTGGAAATAACATGATTACCTGTATTAATGGAATATGGACAGAGCTTCCTATGTGTGTTGGTGAGAAAACATTCCTAAACTTTATATTTGATTATTTATCATTTTGATTGGGATTGTATAAAGTGTATAAATCTGGCTAGAATTACAATTTTATTGATACTGACTCTTCCTTCCACAAGTAAAATATGTCAATCCATTTATTCAGGTCTTACATTAAACTTTACCATATGGTTTTATGAATTTCTTGTTATTACTGCACAGATTTCTTCACCAATTTATTTGGGATTTTTCTGGCATGATGAATGGAAACTTTTATTAATGTATATGCTTGAATAGTTATACTTTCTATATGCAAGAATGTGATTTAATTGCATACATTATTTTTGTTTCCAGTAACCTTGTTGAATTTCTGTATTAGTTCTAATATTTAATTGGGATATTGTATTTCTACAAATGATGGCGATTTAATTTCTTTTATTTCATTGCTTTAACTTAGTCTTTACCTCAGCATGTTCCAGATAGAACAACCTAAAAAATAGCAATGTAGCTTGAGTTCTATTAAATTCCAGAGTGTTTGGAATCCCTTCATAGAAGAAGAGTAGGGGACTAGGACCCAGGAACTAGGCATGATCCTTGCTCTTTCTGGTCCCATAATTCTCTTATTTCTATTCCTAATTATCTACTTAGTTTGTCGGTTTCCTCCACAGAAGTAGTAAGTAGTAAGTAGTAAGTAAGTAGTAAGTAGTAAGTAGTAGTAGTCTATCAGCCTGTGTGCTCTACTCTTACCTTGCAGCCTCAGGACTTCCAGCCTTGACACTTAAGTACTTGCAGGTATTTTTTTTCCCGACACCCTCAGATCCTGGCCTCTTTTGTCCTATCTCTAGCAACCTCAATACATTAAAGCCTCTAATTTTGAACTTTAAAGACAAGCAGACTTTCCGCCGCTGTTCTCCTCCTTACAGAAACTGAAACAGAACCGCCTCTCTCTCCATCTCCTGGACTTTTGGATAATCAACTGGCCCACTCATTGCTGGGAAAAATTACTGTAGGTGTTGCCAGCCGTTGTCCCAGCAAATACCTGGTCAGTGGCCATCCGTGATGACCTATTGTGAGGGAATGTTTTCCACTACCAGGAGCCAGAACGCTGTTATGGGAAGATGTAGATCATATATCTTCATGGTCATCAACTTTTATGCAAGGAGTACATAAATATCAACCTCTAGCCCCATATGGGGTGAATTAAAAATAGAAACTATTGCAGAAAACACCTGTAAGCATAGAAGTAGCAGAGCACACTCCATGTCTCATTATCCCATCCTTTTACACACTAAGGAAAAGGCTCCATAACTATCTACATGTTTATGGGAAACGGGAAAAAAATGTAACAATGAGAACTACTTAGACAAGCAAGAGGCTTAGTAGGAATTTATGTTCTGAAGCTCAGTTGTGTTATTATCAGTGAGTTCTTCCCCTGAGAATACTCTGACTTACTGAGTCAGAGTTTTTGCTGAGCTTTTGAAATGTGAGTCATTGAACCTCAAGGGGGACCCAGATCTATCTCTTACTGATGCTTTGCTTCCTGCAGACTTACCCATGTATTGCCTCTTTTTATTATTTAAATGTTTTGAAGATATTTAAGATAGTTTAGTGCAAAACAATCATACATGTGTACATTTTCAGAGCCTCTAACAATTCATTTGTAGCTTCCTAAGAACTATCTTTCAGTCAAAACTCCCACTAGGAAAACCTATCTTGCACTTTCATTTCCCAGAAAACTTTCTGACCTACTTTCCTGTCATTCAAAGATGGGATACAGTTTTTTGTTTTATTTTTTCTTTTTCCAACAGCATTGTCTATTTTGTGCAATGAGATTAAGAATAAGTTTTGTGATGTTGCTTAAAAGCATCAAACATAATTATGCTATTAATATTGCAGATATTTTATTGACATAATTGTTTAGTTTCTATTTAATATTATTTTTTATAGCAACACACCAACTTAAGAGGTGCAAAATAGCAGGAGTTAATATAAAAACATTACTCAAGCTATCTGGGAAAGAATTTAATCATAATTCTAGAATACGTTACAGATGTTCAGACATCTTCAGATACAGGCACTCAGTCTGTATAAACGGGAAATGGAATCCTGAAGTAGACTGCACAGGTAAGATTTGTTTAAAACATTTTGTTGATCTTGTTGCTTCTTTACAAGAAAAATTATTTTGAAATTAGAATGTTTTTAAATTAAATATTTATTGTGGCATATAATTTCTATGCTAATAGTAAAGTAGAAACTAGTTATAATACTCTTTCCAGACAAATGTTATTCTTTAAAAGCCTTGGCTTTCTGGTAAAGATGAGAGAGTAAAGCTGTTTTTACTCTATTACAGTCTCACAAAACCTTGAAAGAAAAAAAGAAATAAAGAACTGTAAAAAAAGAACAAAACTTAATCTTCAATGACATTAAGAAACAATTAAAACCCCAATTATGCACTGTGAAACAAAACTAACAGATATTGCCAATTCTGGACCAGACAGTAGGCTGAGTAAAAAGTAGGCTGAGAAAGAAAATATATTTGAGTAATCAATTATTTCCCTAAGAAAAAGTCTCACATTCCTCGAAGGCTTATATTCAAATCATTTACTTTGAGTAATAGGATTATAAATTACAAGTAATTATAAAATGGGGCACCATATTAGATTAAAATAAACCAGAACTAGAGAAAACAAAGTGCTTATAAAGGAATGACAATAAAAGAGAGAAGATAGACTGCAGACTTCTCATCAGCAACGTCAAAAGCCGAAGAAAATAAGGTAATCTCTTCAAAGTGCTTAGTGAAAGTAACTGGCAACCAGTCATTCTATGTACCAATATAATTCACTAATGATTCCAAAATAAAGAAATTTGCAACCACAGGAAGGATAGGAGTTTACACACAAGGTCATAGTTTGAAAGAAATCATATAAAATACACATTAATGATATAAAATACTAATTTATAGCAAAAAGTGTGATGTCATTAGAAATTGTGAGGAAAAATACTGGAATATATTCTTAAACTTAAATACATAAGGATTTCAAAAAGATAAGATAACTACAATTTGTTTAAAGCAACTGGAACATTTTTATGTTTATAAAATATTTGATTTCATTATATATTTTTTCTATTTGAGGAAGAGAAATATTCTGATAGTTGAAAGAAGTTTGAAGCCTTTTATGTGTCCATGAAATGTTTACTTAAATTGGCCAGTCATTCTGCCCAAAATAATTCTCACAACTTCAAATATTAAAGCCCTATAGATGACTTTTTGTAACCACAAACAAATAACATTAAAAGTGTATAAAAAGTTATCCACTTCCTTACCTTTCATTTTGGGTAAGCAAATAATTTACTTCCAAATAACCTAGTGATGTAATGTTTAAAATATTAAGAACTATGTTATAATTACAAGGATACGTAGTAAAACCTATGAGATGCAACCTAAGCAAAATTTAGAATGATGTGGCATTCATAGTCTTAAACTTATCTATTTTGGGAAAAAGTATATATATATATATATATATATATATATATATATATATACACACACACACATATATATACACACACATATGTATATACACACACACATATATGTATATATGTATATATGTGTGTATATATATGTGTGTGTGTGTGTGTGTGTGTATATATATAATATATATGTATATCCTAAAAAGCTAGGGGGAAAATGAATTCAGATATTAGGAGGAAAAGGAAATAATAAAAGTAAAAGCAGAAGAAAATGAAATAGAACCTTGTATTTCCAACTAATCCAAGATATGAAACTAATGTTTTGAAAAGATTAATAAGCAGAGCTGTCTAAATGAGTTGACTCTAATCAAGAATGGTGTGCATACACAAATAAACATTTCTACAACCAAAGAGTAGATGAAAACTGAAATACAGGGAATAATAATATGAGTTCAATTTTTTAAATAAATAAATTACAAGCATAAAGAGAAGGAAAATACTATGAGTCATAGGTATCAAAATAAGGAAGAAGCCTTATTTAAAGTTTTGAGAAGAGCTGGTAGCTAGTAGTCTGGAAATTAGGTAAGAACGTTATTAGGTGGCAAATATTTGTTACACACCTTGCTTGTTCTTGAGAAAAATAATAAAATTTCTCATTTTATGCATCAGAAATACATGGCTTCAAGAAGTTATTTGGTCAAAATCAAGACTGGAACTTGTTTCCAGATTTTTATATCAGTGCTGTTTCAACTAGACTCTGTCTTTACTAGACAGAAATTTCTAAACAGATGTCCAATTCTAAAAGGAAAGTAAGGTGGGCAACTGAGATCATTATGTGTAATGTTCTTTTTACCTAAAATATAAAAACAATAGTATATGTGTGATATTTGAATATCTAACTCACTTAGTTGGGACTTTGTTGATGAAATTCTCATTATTATTTGTACATTTGAGATTACAGACACCTTCAGCTTCCCTATTTCCTGGCACTGGGACATCTAGGAGGCTCATAGCAGGTAACTGCTGAGTCCCTAGATTGGCAGCACAGGCCTTGAGGCTCATTCAAAAGAGTCTTGATGATACTCAATAAGTATTCATCTTTGTGACTATGTATTTAAATAAAAATACTTAAACCACCAAACAGAAATTCATAAACAACAAAAATGTTTAGTTTCCAAAATGTTTACAAAATACCTAAACAAAGAGGTAATAAGACATTAAGTAGAAGAGCTTCTAAATAATAAATAATATTGAAAACTGACCCATCTATCTATCAAATGTGCCTGATATCCTCTTTTCATGTGCTTCTCATAGACTTTCTTCAAACTCATGACCAAACTTTGCTAATCAAAAATGTATACTAACAATAATAATATCAGGCTAATTTTATTTTCTTTTGCAGTTAATTACTGAAACAACACTGATCACAAAAGACTGGTCTTGTTAATGGTTGACTAGAATAAGATGCATCTGGAACTAAGTACTTTAAGTTCACGCTTTTCTTAAACCAGTAAATAAGTAGGACGAGTCATATAAAACATAAAATACGCATCAGTGGGCCCCAGTCCCAGATATCTATCTAGATTTCCACAGGAACAGTTTCTGTTTAGATTTGCACTATTTTGCCTTTCTGACCTTGAAAAAATAAGGAAAAATCCAGTATAAAATTCCTATTTTAGACAATATGTATGTTTTGGCTTATTTTATACTGACCTCAGGTTCTGTTCAAATAATTTATTAAAGATCTGTTGTATATAATTATTATATTTTTTAATCTAGCTAAACCAGGAAAGAGTAGATATGCACTCTTCTGTCTTGATTTTTAAATGAAAATAGTATAGCGAGGAAAAAAAATAGCACTTTCAATGCAATAATTTTTTTTTTCACTGAATATGTTTTTTTTAATTATTGTTATACTTTAAGTTTTAGGGTACATGTGCACAACGTGCAGGTTTGTTACAAATGTATACATGTGTCATGTTGGTGTGCTGCACCCATTAACTCGTCATTTAGCATTAGATATATCTCCTAATGCTATCCCTCCCCCCTCCCCCCACCCCACAACAGCCCCCGGTGTGTGATGTTCCCCTTCCTGTGTCCATGTGTTCTCATTGTTCAATTCCCACCATTTTGAAGGGAAGTGTTAGTAGACAGTAGCCACCACTCTGGAAAAACATGAGATGAAGGAGATCACTGTAAGGGCATGAGCCCAGGTCAGGAGGTTTAGAAAACGCTTTGGCATCCAAGTTGACCATTTAAAACTTTTCCCTAAGAATAAGCCAAGCAACCAAAAAAGAATTTAATTCCTAGTCCAACGGAGGCATTCCAGTTATGTTCATTACCAGCCATTCTCATGTTTACAAGAAAATGCAAGTCATGGAAATCCTTTATTGAGATCTAGGGTTCAGTTATTAGGGGAAGTCATAGTTATTTCTGATTGTTGTCATTTTTATTTTTAAATTGTTTAAATTCAATGTACATAACTTTTTGAATCATATGGGTTAGTTAGAAAAAAATTAAAGAAATTTATTTGTAAATTATACAAGAGAATTGACAGGAATAATGAATAGGAGATACAAGAGAGCATCTGAAAAATTTTAAACTAATGGTTATAACAAAAAGAATCGCTTTTTAAACTGTAAACTATAGTGACACAAAAAATATTTGTTATTATAACATTTATATATAGGGAGAGAGAAAGAGAAAGTGATAGAGAGACATAGTGTGTGTGTGTCATTGAATCTTCCATTTTCCTGAAACACTACCCTATTGAGCTGTTTTTACTTAACTTTTATTAATCATATAATTTAATTCCAATATTTTGTAGAAAAAAGGGAACAATTCTGCCCACCGCCACCTCAGATACCTAATGCTCAGAATATGACAACCACAGTGAATTATCAGGATGGAGAAAAAGTAGCTGTTCTCTGTAAAGAAAACTATCTACTTCCAGAAGCAAAAGAAATTGTATGTAAAGATGGACGATGGCAATCATTACCACGCTGTGTTGGTTAGTAGTTTATTTCTAAGTAATTTCACTTAAAAAGAGGTTATTAATCCCCTTTGCTTTATCTAAAGAAAGAAACAAGAACTTATGACTAATCTGTTGCACTGTACCCCAAAGCCTTAAATTGCTAAGTAACCAATTCTGTCATTTAAAAAAGTTTCTCTAAGAGTTATCTCCAACAGTGTTCATAGAAGAAACAAGTTTGAAATTTCTACATCTTCTTAAAAATCTTTTCTATCATATTTTTACTGTACCTTTTCTATGTTTAAATATGTTTAGATATGCAAATACTTACCATCATGTCACAATGGCCTATAGTATTCAGTATGGTAGCATGCTGTACAGGTTTGTGGCCTAGGACAGCAATACCCAACCTTTTTAGCATCAGGGACATGTTTTGTGGAAGACAATTTTTCCATGGACTGAGGAGGTTGGGGGATGGTTTCAGGATGAAACTCCTGTGCCTCAGATCATCAGGCATTAGATTCTCATAAGGAGCATGCAACCTAGGTCCCTTGCATGTGCAGTTCACAATAGGGTTCAAGATCCTATGAGAATCTAGTGCCCTGGTTGATCTGACAGGAGGTAGTAATGCTGGCAGTAATGCTCATTCGCCTGCCTCTCACTTCCTGTCATGCAGCCCGGTTCCTAAGAGGCCACAGAGGGTACTGGTCTGCAGCCAGGGGTTTGGGGACAATAGGAGCAATAGGCTGCACCATATAGCCTAGGTGTGTAGTAGGCAACATTATCTAGGTTTGTGTAGGCTCACTCCATGATGCTCACACAAGGAAAAAAGAGCCTAATGACACATTTCTCAGAATATCTTCTTGTCATTAAGTGCTACATGGCTGCATTTCAAAAGCACATATTTCAAAATATTACTTGACAAAACATCAGATATGGCAAAGAGTGCTTAGAGCTGGACAAGATGCCTGATAATTGAACAATCTATTTATCTAAATAAAAACCATTGGTAATTTTGCCTAGAGATATTTCCATAGGGGGTAAGTAATTGCAGTGTGTTCAAGAAAGAATGTGGGGTGATAAAGTAAGATCATGGAGGATGAGAAACAAGTAAATGTGTTCAAAAGGGAATAGAGAAATGAGGCAGTTACCGGATAGAAGATATGGAGAAAGTGAAATTTTACCTTATTGAATTGTGACATTTTCAGCATGTTTGTAGGTTGGTGAATGATTAAGTGGAAAGGGAGACATTGATGTTACAGAAGAAAGGAGATAATTCATGAAGAAGGATCTTTTACAAGTTTAAAGGTGAAAGAATCTAGTGTCATCATGAAGAAGTCAATCTGAGAAAGCAAGGACAGTAACTCAATGAAACTAGAGGATGTACAAGCAATTTGGGATAGGATTACTTAGTGATTTCATATTTATGTTCTTGGTGATATATAAAGGGAGATCAGTCAGTACAATTGAACGTATTCCAGCCAATCTTAGCATGAAGTTGTTACTTTTTTTAGTTTTCCCCAAAATCTCTTCATTAGCATGAAGTTGAAACATTTATTGATAGGGAAAGATGCCTACAATATTATTTGGTATCAAAAAAGTAAATGCAGAAGAGTGTGTCTGCAATTCATTTTCAGTAAAACTACAAGTTTATGATCATATACTAGTTGGTATATGCTATTTGCATAAAGTAATAATTACCCTGAGACTAGAAACAGTAAGAAAGTTATTTACTTTTACCTTTCCTCTTTAAGTGACAATTGAATATTAAGGGGTGGAGGAGGAACCTAGACCAGAAGTTTACTCACCTGTCTCTCCTGCCTTCAATAAAAAGTATTCCCGGTATTTTATATGAATTTCACTTTAACATGAAAGGAGCTACAATATGTTTTGAATCAGACTTTATGACAGAAATACTGTAATTAATTATTTGAATTTCCAGACACCTTATATTAAAGATATGATACATGATGCTTCATTATATTATTTTGTTTAAACTAACATAATGTCTCAACAAATAAATGCTGTTTTCCAGAGTCTACTGCATATTGTGGGCCCCCTCCATCTATTAACAATGGAGATACCACCTCATTCCCATTATCAGTATATCCTCCAGGGTCAACAGTGACGTACCGTTGCCAGTCCTTCTATAAACTCCAGGGCTCTGTAACTGTAACATGCAGAAATAAACAGTGGTCAGAACCACCAAGATGCCTAGGTGAGTTCTTAATATTCTCTTGGAATCTGAGATTTAATATTTATAGTGTAATTTTTTTGGACTAATTTCATAGAATAACCCTTACTTAAGTTTCATTCAGTCAAAATCTTTCCTGTCAAATGTAAATACATACAAGGAAACATTTGAAAAATTTGCTTTATGCAAAGTGAGAAAAATTTATTTAAAAACTATAAATAAAATTTTAAAGACCTACATGTGATAAGGTGCATTATGAAATTCTGTAGAGTCCAGAGCTATTTATGGGGCCTATTCGCACTCCATTAAATTGTTTCATGTTATAAGCATCTACCTGAGAACTTCTCACAGAGACCCTTTGAAAAACACTGGTCTAGGAAAACTGTCATTTAATACTATATAAGGTTCTACTTGTAAACCTGAAAGCTTTCCCTAGTAGAACACCTAGTTGACTAATACTGACATGGCTTTTTACTTGCATGTTGGCAGAATTTCTAGCAGGAGAGATAGAAAATCTGGAAGAGTTACTGAGCCACTTTCTAAATCTTCACTATCCCTTCTTTTCACCCTATTTTTTTCTACTACAAAATAATGCCAATATACATATTAAGTTTCCACAAATTCATGTGCACTTTGTGGCATTAAAAAAATTAACATCGTAGACTCCTTATGAAAATTTGGAGATTCACTTTTAGGGCTTAAAAGGAGATTCTTTTATCGGTCATGACAAACTAAAAGGGACAAAATACAAAGATATGGGGCGAATTAATAACACCAATTATGGGAAAAGCATGAACGTCAGTTTACTCTATAATAAGTGGAAGAAAACTGGAATTTCCATAAACCCCTCTGTTTTCTGGTGTCCAAAAGAGACACCATGGTAATAAGGATCTGTTCCTGCAACAGTTCTCACTGTTGCCCAATACCTCACAGGGCTAGACCAGAAGTTTGTTATAGTCTTGAAAATTCATCCTTCTGACGATGTCTCTTTCTTCCACCTTCTGTAGTAACAAATTACCCCAATGCCACTATGGCCTATACAGTGCTTCAAACCACTACTCTGTGTGAGCCCCTCTCCCAGGATATCATTAAAATTGTGTGGGAACTGAACTCAGAAAGTGTTGAGTTAGTATAAGGCAGAAGTATCATCTGAACAATTTTGCTAGAATGAAGAAAAACTAGGTTTCAAAGATAACTTCTAGGATTTAACTTGGAGTGATTGATGGATAGACAAAAATGCCATTATCTAATATTTTAAGTACAGCCAAGTTTTAGATGGTCCAATAATTTAAAATTCGCAGAAATTATCATGGCCAGTGATCATAAAATAAATTTCCAAAAGAAAAGTAAGAACAAAATTTGTAACCTAAAAAGTGTGTACCATGTTGACAATCAGAGTTTGTGGGAAGGGCATTCTAGCAAAAAGAAACAGTATTTTGAACAATAACAAACACAAACACACAATCACGAAAACAAACAAGCAAAAAAACCCATCATAGATATCTGGAAAATTCAAGGAAACATGATCTAACTATGAAATGTAAAATAATTTTATTTCCCATGAGATAGGAGATTAAGATTAGACAGCTCTGAAGAAATAATTTTTTCCAGCCAGGCATGGTGGCTCACGCCTGTATTCCCAGCACTTTGGGAGGCCAAGGCAGGAAGAATCACCTGAGGTCGGGAGTTCGAGACTAGCCTGACCAATATGGAGAAACCCCATCTCTACTAAAAATACAAAATTAGACAGGCATGGGTGGCACGTGCCTGTAATCTCAGCTACTCGGGAGGCTGAGGCAGGAGAATCATTTGAACCTGGGAGGTGGAGGTTGCAGTGAGCCGAGATTGCACCATTGCACTCCAGCCTGGGCAACAAGAGTGAAACTCCGTCAAAAAAAAAAAAAGATATAATTTTTTCCAAAACCAGACATAAATTTATTTGGATGGTTCATGGGTATTGAATGAAGTAGGGAGCCATTACATATTTTTAATAGCAGTTTTTTGACATAGCATCTTTTTTTATTTTTATTTTTTCAAGACAAAGTCTTGCTCTGTCACCCAGGCTGGAGCGCAGTGGCGTGATCTCGGCTCATTGCAACCTCCGCCTCCTGGGTTCAAGCGATTCTCCTGCCTCAGCCTCCCGAGTAGTTGGGATTACAGGCACATGCCACCATGCCCGGCTAATTTTTGTATTCTTAGTAGAGACAGGGTTTCACCCTGTTGGCCAGGCTGGTCTTGAACTCTTGACCTCATGATCCACCCGCCTCGGCCTCCCAAAGTGCTGTGATTACAGGCGTGAGCCACCACGCCCGGCCCAATGTAGTATTTTTAAATTATCAGTTGACTAAGAACATGTGGTTATTTTACACCGAGAAAACATGCAATATGGGGAAATTGTTTAAGGCCCTGGCAGAGATAGATTAGAGTCTTGACTAGTAGGTAAAAAACAGGAACCAAATGAAAGAGGGGTTAAAGATAACTTCAAAATTTCTCGATTTATGGAGAATATTCTCAGGTGCTTAACACATAAGAATTTTTACAAATCAATCAAAATTCAGTATAAAAATTATGTAAGGTACATAAACAGAAAATGAAAAACATATGGCAAACATGAAAGAATGCTTGTCTACACGAACATAAAATTTCAGTGAAGTGTCAATGTTCAACTAGGAGATCGGCAAAAAGAAAAAAGTATATAACATAAAGACTTGGCAAGGATGTGGAGAGTTAAGCACTCTAATATACATACAAGTGTATAATTACATATACATGTGTGTATATGTAATATAAATATATTACATATTACATATATTTTTAACATATATGTATACACATATACATATGTAACATATCTAAATATACATAAGTATGTATGTATAATATATGTATACTTATATACACATGATACATATACATACAATATATGTATACATATAATATACATATAATATGTTATGTATAATATATTATATTATACATTATATATAATCCATATATTATACATAATATACCGATATATATTTATACATTAGATATAAATTGATTACATTACATTAGATATAAATTGTATGTAACATGTATACAATTAACGTACATATATTACAATTAACATACATATAAATGTATGTTATATATACACATTATATTATGTATTATGTATTATATATTATATATAAGATATATATAAATATATATATAAAGTGCTGATTTTAAGAAAGAGTGAGTGATATCTGGGGTCAGGGAAGAAGATAACATTGTTTTTTCTACAGAAATCAAGGTTTCACAAAGTTAAGATTCACAAATAATTACATTATAAAAAGGGATATCTAAACAAACAACATTCATGCTGGTAGAATTTTTAGTAAAGTATAGCAATTAAGAGCTCAGGTTCTGAACTCATACTGGCAGGATGCATATTCTGGCTCAAAACACTCACTAAACTGTGTAGCCTTGAGAAAATCTCTTAGCATTTATTTCCTCATATGTAGCCCATACACAGTGCTAAGAACAGTACCAAGAATAACTCAATAAATATTATTTTTTAAATAAATATTAATATTTTTCATCATTTTAATTCCAAAATATTCTTAAATGCAATTTCACTATTCTATGAAAGGTAAAGATGTATTATTATTTATTTATTTTATTTTACCATTTCTTCTTTCAGATCCATGTGTGGTATCTGAAGAAAACATGAACAAAAATAACATACAGTTAAAATGGAGAAACGATGGAAAACTCTATGCAAAAACAGGGGATGCTGTTGAATTCCAGTGTAAATTCCCACATAAAGCGATGATATCATCACCACCATTTCGAGCAATCTGTCAGGAAGGGAAATTTGAATATCCTATATGTGAATGAAGCAAGCATAATTTTCCTGAATATATTCTTCAAACATCCATCTATGCTAAAAGTAGCCATTATGTAGCCAATTCTGTAGTTACTTCTTTTATTCTTTCAGGTGTTGTTTAACTCAGTTTTATTTAGAACTCTGGATTTTTAGAGCTTTAGAAATTTGTAAGCTGAGAGAACAATGTTTCACTTAATAGGAGGGTGTCTTAGTCCATATTACATTGTTATAACAGAGTATCACAGACTGGATAACTTCTAACCAATAGTTTATTTGTTTCATAAATCTAAAAGCTGAGAAGTCCAAGATGGTGGGGCTGCCTCTGGTGAGGGTCTTCTCGAAGCATCATAATATGCTGGAAGGCATCACAACATGGTGGAAGGGATCACGTGGCAAAAGAGCATGTACATGGGAGTGAGAGAAAAAGAGAGAGAGAGACAGAGTGGCGGGGGCGGGGAGGAGCGCAAACTCATCCTTTATAAAGACACCACTCCTGAGATAACAATCCAATCCCATGATAATGACATTAATCCATTCAAGAAGATAGAGCTCTCGTGACTTAATCACCTTCTAAAGATCTCACCTGACAACACTGTTGCATTGGCAGTTAAGTTTCCACGTAAACTTTCGGGGACACATTCAAACCACAGGAGAAACTCAAATTGTTCCTGGGCAAATCACAACATGGGGAATTTTATTCATAAATGTCCACAGAAACAGTAAATGTTCTCGCTTCAGTACTTAATTCATCTAATCCCTCCTGTTTGTCTCAAATTATAGGATAACTTTGAAACTTTCTGAATTAACGTTATTTAAAAGGAAATGTAGATGTTATTTTAGTCTCTATCTTCATGTTATTATCACTTAAAAACCTGCGAAAGCTGTCAACTTTTGTGGTTGTAGCAAGTATTAATAAATATTTATAAATCCTCTAATGTAAGTCTAGCTACCTATCCAATACTAAATACCCCTTAAAGTATTAAATGCACTATCTGCTGTAAAAGAATAGACTTTGAAATGGGTTTTTTTTGTTTTTTTTTTTTTGAGACGGAGTCTCCCTCTCGCCCAGGCTGGAGTGCAGTGGCGCGATCTCGGCTCACTGCAAGCTCCGCCTCCCAAGTTCACGCCATTCTCCTGCCTCGGCCTCCCGAGTAGCTGGGACTACAGGCACCCGCTACCATGCCCGGCTAATTTTTTTGTATTTTTAGTAGAGACGGGGTTTCATCATGTTAGCCAGGATGGTCTCGATCTCCTGACCTTGTGATCCGCCCACCTCGGCCTCCCAAAGTGCTGGGATTACAGGCGTGAGCCACCGCGCCCAGCCAAAAGAATAGACTTTGAAGTTTTAACCAGTCTTTCTGTGGAGTTTCTAATCTAGTCAAGAGGTGATGTACATATACAAAAAGGTGAAAATTATTAGGTTACAAAATTGCATATATAGAATTATCTGGATGTGTATAAATGGTTATAGAAGAAAGAGTGAGAGAAAAAAAATGATGGCTTTAATAATTCTATGTGGTTTAGGTTTAAAAAATTAAAATAGTCTGGGCACAGTGGCTCAAACCTGTAATCCTAGAACTTTAGAAGGCCAAGGCAGGTGGATTGCTTGAGGCCAGGAGTTCAAGACCAGCCTGTCCAACATGGCAAAACCTTGTCTCTAATATAATACAAAAAAATAGCCAGACAGGGTAGTGCACACCCGCGATTCCACCTACTTGGGAGGCTGAGGCATGAGAACCACTTGAACCTGGGAAGCAAAGGTTGCAGCGTGCCGAGATCATGCCACTGCACTCTATCCTGGGTGACAGAGCAAGACTCTGTCCCAGAGAAACAAAGAAAGGAAGGGAAAGAGAGAGAGAGAAGAAGAAAAAGAAAGAGAGAGGAAGGAAGGAAGGAGGGAAGGAAGGAAGCAGGGAAAGAAGGATGGGAGGGAAGGAGGAAGGGAGGGAGGGAGGAATATTTTCAAATTCTTCACGTTGTCCCAAATTTCATATTTTTCATTTTGAACATATATTACTTTCATATTCAGAAGAGAGTGATCAAAACTGTCACTAACGAACAAGGCAATAGAAGATGGGTATAAAGACCATGTTGGTCATGATGCTGATTTCATGCAACAACTTTATTATTTTTTTATGTACCATAGTTTGGGAAAATACTACACAGGAAGTATTAGAAATATACTTTAGATATTCCTGTATTTCACACAGCATTTCTTAGTTAAAATATTTTTGGTCAGAAGGTTTTTTTAAGTAGCCTGGGACGGAGGTTGCAGTGAGCCAAGATGGTGCCACTGCACTCCAGCCTGGGCAACACAGTGAGACTCTGTCTCAAAAAACAAAAAAGGTTTTTTTAAAGTATCTATTAAAAATATGACTACTAATACAGGTAAAAATTAAGACTTAAAATATTCATCACCACAGATTTGACAATGGATTCTTAGATATCACACCAAAACCACAAATAAGAAAATACAAAGTACAGAAATTGGATTTTCTCAAAATTTAAAATGTCATGCTTCAAAGGATACTATTAAAAAAGGAAAATAGAACTCACACAATGGGAAAAAATATTTGCAAAATTGCATATGTCATAAAGGACTTGTATCTAGAATATATGTAAGGAACTTTTACAACACAGAAAAAAAGAGAAATAAGACAATTTCAAAATAAGCAAAGGATTCAAATAGATATTTCTCTAAAGAAGATATATAAATTGCCATTAGGCACATGAAAAGATGTATAACATCATTAATTATTAAGTAAATATGAATCAAAACCACAGTGAGATAACACTTCACACCCTCAAAGATGGGTGTCATCAAGAAGTCAGATAATAACAAATGATGTCAAGGAAGTTGGAAGCAACATACACTTCTGGTGGGGATATTAAATGGTTTGGTCAATTTGGAAAACAACCTGCAGTTTTTAAAAAAGTTAAACAATAGGATTGCCATTAACTCAGCAGTCTACTCCTAGATACATACCCAAGATAAATTTTTAAAAATGTGTCCACGAAAACACTTGTACACATATGTTTATGGCAGCATTATTTGTGTTAGCCAAAAGGAGGAAACAATCTAAATGCTCATCAATTGATGAATGGGTAAACAAAATGTGGTATATCTAAACAATGGAATATTATTTGGGCATGAAAAGGGAATGAAGTAATAATAGATGCTATAACATGGATGAACCTTGAAAATATTCTGCTAAGTGTAGGAAGCCAGTCACAAATGACCACATATTATGATTCCATTTTTATGGCATGTCCAGACTAGGCAAACCTATAGAGATAGAAGGTAGACCTGTGGTTGGTTAGGGTTGGAGCTGAGGAAGAGAGGTTAGAAGCTGATAGCCAAAGTGTACAGAGTTTCTTTTTTGAGGCGATATTCTAAAGTTGATTGTGGTAATTGTTGTAATACTCTGTGATTACACTAAAAAAAACATTAAATTATACCCATTAAGTGGGTGAATTGTATGTTATGTAAATTATATCTCAAAGACATTACAAAAAATAGTAGTCAATGTTTAAAATTCATGAGGATACATTGGAAATTTAAAAACTAAAAATGATTTTAAAATTTAGGCTTAGTAGCAGAATGTAGAAAAAATTATCTGGGGTTGAATAAAAAAATAAGAATTTGTTACTTACACTTTCTATCTATCTGAAACAGCTGGCTTCATGTCTAGGAAGAAGGCAGGTAACAGTTTTCAATTCTGAGGGGGAAATCTTGAATACAAATATTACCAAAAACTTAAAAAAAGCATAAAAGTGTTTTATTCCAAGTACAATCTTAACCTTATTTTATTTTATTTTATTTTACTTTATTTTATTTTTTATTTTTGTAGTGATGAGGCCTTACTATGTTACCCAGGGTGGTCTCAAAGTCCTGGCCTCAAGCCATCCTCCCACCTCAGTCTCCCAAAGTGTTGGGATTACAGGCAAGTGCACCACACTGTTCCTGTAACAGTATTTTAAACTTGAACATTCCCTCTCAGTTCCTGAGAATTTTTCTAAGTTTTTCAAGCTATTCTGTGACACATTCCAAATCAAGGTGTTTGAACAACAATATAGGGCTTGTTGATAATGTTTGCTACCTTTACCTTACTACTTCCCTGTATAAAGGATAAAGGAAGCCAAACAAGCAAAAGGACTAAAATTAGAAGTTACAGAAAATATTTTCTTGCAGATATTTGTCAGGCATTGTGAGTACCACAACCACTTTTCTTGGGGAAGATGGGTAGAGCTTCATTCCCCATTCCCTCCAGTCTAATAAGAAGGGCTTCAAAGAGATTACTTGGGTGGATTAATCAAGAAAAGATTGACAAAGTACCCCTACTTGGCTCACCCCCCTACTGGAAATCTAAATCCTTTTTTTACAAGAGAGTAAAATGGTATGCAGGTGAAAAAAATGAATTCCTGGAACCAAAACATAAAATGCAAAGGTTGATAGGACTATAAAATGAAAGTTGAAATGTTTAAGCAGGTTTTATGTAAAGTAGTTGTGTATCCTTTAACTAAATGTTTCGTGGAAATGGATATTATGCCTGACTGAGGAATGTTTCCCCTACCTAGTACTGTAAAACAGGACATATAAATCCACCCTATGAGCAATATTAACTGAACATGCTAAGTGGGAGCTAGTAAGATTGTCCAAGGCTAGAGTTTAGGGTGAAAGCTGAGAGTGCTGGTAGGGATGAATCCTCCACTTGATAGCCCTTTGTGGAATGTTCACTAGGACTGATGGCAAAAGCCTGTGAGTGCCTCCCAACAGCGACTACTAGCGCTTTGGAGGAGAGAATTTCCACTTTAGGGGCATTTACGGCATTGCTATGGGAAAATACCCCTCTGCAAGTGAAAACAGCAGTGCACAGAAGACTTCCATGATAAAATGGAAATGATTCTTATAGGATCTTGCTACTTGGGGAGCACAAGGAGGAGATTCTAAGAATCAGGGAGCTATTTTTTCCTCTAGGACTGACTTTTTCCCCTGTGATTCAATTCCCACTTGACTTATGGATGACAATTTAAAGGTGAACAAACGACATCCTGTTTAGAAGCTGCTACTCTGTTTGAAAAAGCGTCAAGAAAACCTTTCTCTTTTGAGCTATTTATAGCTTACCAAGCTTGAGTACAGTATTTTTTGCGAGCAAAATTTACCTTCTCTCTATCCAAGATCTCCAAAACTTGGAAACTATTCATAAGTATTCTTCTTTTAGAGAAATATAATTATTTCCATAAGTTCAGTAAGAATCTGTTTTATTTTGTAACAGGATATAACTGGAGACACTAGTTATTTTATCAAGACTTTGACTTAAATGGCATATTTTCAGATATGACCAGACTGAGGAATTGAGGCCAACTTTATAGAGCCAATAAAAAGCCCCTTGGAAAGGCTGGCCTAGTACCTTGTCTAAGTGATTCCCATGCAAGGTTTCTGACTTGTAGTAAGTAAAAACAATGTCACTTTCAAAAAGGCCCAGGAGCCTCAGGATATTTGGGGACCCCAAGAGGCATGGAATTTGTACATGTATAAGAAGCACAGTCTAATGGTGAGTCCTTGGCTTAGCTTCTGGCCTTGAGGCTTTTAAAAAGTCAAATCTAGGCCAGGCGCGGTGGCTCATGCCTGTAATCCCAGCACTTTGGGAGGCCGAGGCGAGCAGATGACAAGGTCAGGAGATCGAGACCAACCTGGCTAACACAGTGAAACCCTGTCTCTACTAAATATACAAAAAAATTAGCTGGGCATGGTGGCGGGCACCTGTAGTCCCAGCTACTCGGGAGGCTGAGGCAGGAGAATGGTATGAACCCAGGAGGCAGAGCATGCAGTGAGCTGAGATTGTGCCACTGCACTCCAGCCTGGGCAACAGAGCGAGACTCCATCTCACACACACACAAAAGAAGTCAAATCTAAAACTCCTTACAAAAGTTCCAGCCAAACCAACTTAAAAGACTTCTAAATGGCTGATCGCTATTCTTGCTGTACTTCATGCAAATGACCAGGGCAAATATAATGAGACCAAAATTTATTTTGCAAATAAATTGGCCTGCTTTCATTTATTATTGGTAGAAATGGGAAAACTGGAGAGAGAAAAATTTAGATTCTAGCCCTGGCAACTGTTTCTGAATTTTTATTATCTGTCTACAATCTGGGCTAAATCCTGAATTATTTCCTGGCTGCAACAAGTCTCAAGAAGAACCAGGTTTTAATTTTCCTTGTGATGCTTTAAGTTGACTCCTTTATGGAATGGGTTCTTTTTTGTTGTTATTCTGGCATACAAATTCTCTCTTTATTGTAATCCTCTGTGCATAGTATTTCTACCATTCAAATTATTATTGTTATGTATCTCTCATTGTTTTACTTCTTTCAAGAAAATGGAAGTCATGGTATCCTAGAGATGATTCAACAGAGCCTGTGAATCTCACCCATTTGAAATCTTACTGGGCCCCGACTCGTTTTTCACTGCCAATACACTGCTGCTAAAGCTATATAGTATCAAGCACCTTCCCTAAAGTTTCAGGGATCATCTTAGAAGAGGAGGGCGCTTGAGATTGTAAGAGCTGGACTAGATGAGTGGAATGTGGAGGCCAAAGTAACTCCGTCTTAGAAGCTAAACTGCCTTGTTGGCTTCTGATTAACTTCAGAAGCAACTTCTGTTGCTCCTTGTGTAAGAGCAGGTACTTACCATCAATCCTGTCCTTAGGTAAAACAACCTTGAAGTTATTGTACTTCAATTGTCCTACACATCCCTTCTGAACCACCCCTCCTGTGGGGTATGTAAGCCCTGAGACTGAGGGATAATGGCTCAGAGATCCACCATCTTGTCTCTCTGCCACTTCTGACACAGACATGGCTCTGTTCATTAAATCTGTATTAAATGTTTCTTTCTAAGAAAAAAAAAAGAGATTACATGGAAGCCTTGATATTTATTTCACCAGACCTGTCTGGCTTATGACTGAGAGAAATTAAAGAAAAACATAAAGAGAAACAGGCAGAGAAAATAGTCAGAGACAAAGGAGAGATAAATTGTCTTGAAGCCAACTTAAAAGTACATTGTCCAAAAGGCAGCATATTCTAATTAGAAAAAGAAGAGTCAGCAAGGCATTGGAATGCAGTGAAAGCACCAGGTTCCAAAGGGCTGAGTTGTTTTAATAACTATCCACAAATGTATCACCCTAACTTTTCTTCTTCTACTATGGCCCCGAAGGAGTTGAAGGCCATAATAAGTTGGAGGGGACAGTGAGTGGGAAAAACTTCCAGGGATAAAAGAAGAGTCCACCATATCCCCTATTCCCACTACATCTTCCATTTCAGGAGATCAGTGTTGGAGGGAAAGAGAAACTTTACCTTGAACCAAACTCAGATGTCTGATTATTATATTGAATTGGACTTACAAATATTTTTTGTCATAAAGGTCTAATAGACAATGTTGCAGATTTCCTATGGTATCACACCACAAATTTCTGATGCAAAGATTGAGCCTGAATAAGGTTGAGGAAGGACTGAGTTGTACAGTCATGTTTTTTCTTCTGTCTATAAAAAAATAAACTGTGTGCTGTTGCAAGTGAACAGAGCAAATGTCCAGTTCCTGTGATATATTTATGTATTAACCCACATTGAGTTCTAAAGAACAGCAACATGGTAAAGCCTACTTTTCTGTCTATTATACATTTTCCCACCAACATTCTGTTATGATAAGTATTCATATAGAATATTTGAACAAACATCCCCACTTAACAATTGTTGAATCATCTAAATTCATCAATCATTAATGTTTTACCCTATTTGCTTTTTCAATGGCTTCAGTTATCTATCCAGTAATAGAAATCTGTCTATACTTTCATTGAACCAAATCAAACTAAGTTGCTGACATTCTGACAATTCATCGTATCATATTCCACATTTTCAAAAATGCATTATTTAAAATCATAAGAATAGGAGTTCCTCCATCAGTGGTGCACTGCATTATTTTGGCTTAACCCTCTTGTTGGCCGCACTACAAATATTTGAAAAATATTTGTAAAATTTGTTGGAAGTCAGCAGTGCACTACTGAGACATTTAAGCATTACAGGGCCAAGACATAATAGAGAAATTACCTCAGCATTTAGGGGGCACTTTTTCTCTCATAGCAATTGCTGATTTGAAAGTAGCAGTATAAAGACTAAGAAGATTAACATCTATTTTTCCAAAATAGAGATCTTCTGCATGAATCTTAAGCCATGGTATTTACAGAAGATGGAGTGGAATGCCAGTTTAGCAGGATTATGGCTCCCTCTGCCTTTGTGGCCTAAACCGATGCCATTGGGATTGCCTTTCCTTTTCCAGGAAGAGCTTCCTTCCTTCCTTTGGTCAAAGACAGAAACTTTTAAAATGTAGCCTTTCAACATCCTCATAGTTTAGGTATTCTTTTGGAACTCAGATATTTTAGTTTAATTTAAAATTTCTAACATGGATTTATTTTCTCTCTTCTTTCCTCCTAGTGATTGTCTTCTCTCTACCAACAAAGGTTTTTCCGAGGTATTCCTTCAAACTCCGCGCCATTACCTAGTCCACTGTTATCAACAAAATCACAGTAATTTACTAGGGGCTGTGTCATTTCTGCACAATAATTTTTTTTCACAGAATCACAGTATTTCCTCAAGATGTATTGTCAAAAATTAGTCAATAATGAATCTCATCCCTCAATTTCAATGTATAAGTAATGCAGTTTCTCTTATAGAATTTTATTTACATCCTAAATCCTTATTCTTTTGAGAGAGAAACTAAATCTCAATCAAGTTGGGATTAACTACTATTTCAGAAGCTGCTAAAAATAATTCCCCAATATTTGCTCTCTATTTCTTCCTTTTATAAATAAAACCCTCCAAGTTTCTCTGCCTAGGTATATGACACAATAGTGGAACACTGCAGTTTCCTCCTTTTTTCTAGGTCCACACTGGTTTGAGTTCTGGCCAATGCCATATGAGTGGAAATAATTTGTTCCCTTGTTTGTCACAGCATTAAAAGGAATCTCGTTGCTTGTCACTTCCTCTTTCCTTTTTCCGAAGGGGTAGAACACAGATGTACTGGCGGTGAGCCATCTCGGATCATGTTGATAAAGCAGCCCGCTGAAGAATAGTAAAGCAATAAGACAGAAGATACTTGAATCCCTAGCTGGTATGATCCAAGCTTGTATGATCCAAACTATGCCATGTCAGTTTCTGGACCCAAATCTTAAAGACTGTGGCCGCTTCCACTTCCTGTCTCTTGGAATACTTCCTATCAGAGAAAGTCCAAACAGCCCTGTTGAGAGGCTCATGTGCAGTGGAACTGCAGCTCCTACTGTACAGCCTCAGCTGATCTTCCAGCCAACAGCCAGCACCATCTTGCTAGCCATGTGAGTCAGCCATCTTAAAAATAGATATTCCGGTCCTAGTCACGTCACCTCAACTGAAAGCTTGTGGATTAGAGAAGCACCATCCTGTCAATCCCTGCCCAAATTTCAGGTTTGTGAGTAAATTTGCTTTTTGTTTTAAGCCAATCTTATAAGTTTGCAGCGGTTTGTTATGCAGTAATAGATAGCTAGAATGCCATTAAATACATTATTAAATGAAAAATGCATTGAATAATTCCCTGTAAATGTTAAGAATAATGAATACATACTTGACAAAGAGCATCGGTAGCTACTTTTTAATCAAAGGACAGCTTACCCTTAGAATGATGAGAATTAAGAAAAATAAGGTTTAGTAACGTCAGTTACTTACGAATAATTGCAAACTCCATTTATGACATACAAGGCCCTTCTTGTTTGACTTCAAATTACTTATCCAACTCTACCTTCCATTAGTCTCCAAAAATATGCCATAAAATAATTAATATTGTTCTGCCAGTTCTCTATGCTTTTTCACTTTGATCATGTTATTCTCTCTCAAGGCTCCTCCTAAATTCCCACATGCAGACTGAATAATTCCTGTTGACATATGTTACACTGACAGTATAACTAAATCCAAACCTGATTAAATCCCAGGAATTGATGTTATCTCCCCTCGCAATCAGAAAAAAATATCTGTTTAGTTGCATACCAAGCAGAAGACGTGGTGATTATTTATTTGGTAATGATGATCTGAGAAAAATCAAATGATTGCTTTAGCCTTGGTTTTTGTTTTATACCCATTTATTAATATTTTCTTTTGCTTTCGAGACTAATGTATAGTTTAAAAGTCTTAGAGCAAAAATTATGTATCAAAAAAATTTATCAAATAAAACTGTTGCAAGTATGCTTCTTTGCAGAGCAAATGGTAACCTGTAATTTCAGGATATTGTTCATATCCATCAGTTTGGATTTTTGTTGGTGTTTTATAAAAGGCACTTGATTTTTGTCATTCTTTTTTTTTTTTTTTTTTTTTCTGCAAGACAAGAGTCTCACTCTGTCGCCCAGGCTTGAGTGCAATGGCACGATCTTGGCTCACTGCAACCTCCACCTCCCACGTTCAAGCAATTCTTCTGTCTCAGCCTCCTGAGCAGCTGGAACCACAGGCATGCACCACCACACCTGGCTAAGTTTTTGTATTTTTAGTAGAGAAGGGGGTTTCACCATGTTGGCCAGGCTAGTCTTGAACTCCTGACCTCAGGTGATCTGCCCATGTCTGCCTCCCAAAATGCTAGGACTACAGGTGTGAGCCACAGTGCCTGGCCCAGTTGTTGTCATTCTTTATTCCCTAAGAAATATTTCTTTTTAAAAGACATAGAAATAAAATGAGATAAAATACAAAACTTAAGTTGGTATTAGACAGAGATAATAATCTACCTTAAATATCCCTTGATTTAATTTTTTTAGATTTTTACATATATAATACAAAAGAGGAGACAAGATATTTTAGACTAGAAAGAACAAGATGACATATGATAAGTTATAAAGTATTTTATGTGGGGAAATATTATTGAATTTTATTAATTAGTAAAATACATATTTTTTCTCTCAATTATTTTATTGGCAGTGACTTAACCTCTTTTAACATTTGAACCTTTACTATAAACAAAGATGAAGGCAATACGTAAAATAAATTAAGATGTACTTGCTGAAGCTGGTGGGGAGGTGGTTGAAAGGAAAAAAGCAAGGAAGAGGGAAGACAGGGCCTACTGACTTTCTTCCTGCAGTGTCATCCAAGGGGAGGCATGATATGCAATTGTATGTCATTGCTTTGCAATCAGGTCTTTCTAAAACTACAGTGTAAAAGTTAGGAATTATGAGTTCAGGCCAAATAATTATTCTTTGTTCTCAAAAAAAAGAGTTTCTGCCATGCTGATTTCTTCAAAGCAGTGCCTCTACTAATTTCGAACTAGAACTGGAAAGCTTTGAAAATTATCATAAGAATATTATTTATTTGATTTACTATCTTCTCTATGTCCTAGCTAAGCTAGAATTGAACTGGACTTTAAAGCAATTTAAGAATAATAGAGTGTGTCATCATTCTAAATGTAAATTTTAGGTGTTATGTTATCTAGCAGACTTATTTCTTCAGAAAATAAGAAGAATATGACCACAGAGTACTTGAGTACCAAAAGGACTTTCAGGTTATAACTGTTAAATTAGCAGTTCTAGCACTAATGGCATAATTATAAAATTGGGCATTCAGCATTTACTAATGTACTTTTGTCATTAGAAAGTCAAAAATGGTTGGATTCTGGTCACATTTATTCCTAATTGGATCTTATGGGAATTAACATTTATTGATTTATGTCTAGATTTATCATTTCAGCTGAATTGCAAATACATCAAAGAAAGCACACTAGGTTTATATTGTAGACATCCTACATGAGGCCTTGAAACAATATTCGTAGATCCATTATCTACTAGACATATAATACGAAAAAGTCATACATGATGACTGAATCAAGTCTGAAAAATGATTTAATTACTAATTACCTAAGTGAAAATTCTTTTAACACAATGTATAACATTTTTCTTCTTTATGAACAAACTTTGCTATCTGATTCTCACGCCACCCTTGCCAAACTAGTGGAATCCAACACCCAATCTAGCCAATCGCCTCATCAAGTCAGCCCTCACCCTTCCCCCTTCAAGCCATGGGGTTTCTGATAAGTAGAGTTCTACTATACTCCTACGTAGTCTACTATTTCTTTGCCTTAAATCTGAAGCCTGGCAGAAGAGTTGTTTGGAGCTCCTGCTACAACTATTATCCAATAGATAGCAGAACATTGCATTCAGTCACCTATACTCCTGCCACCACCCCTGAGCCTAGAGGGCTACATTGCCAGACCCAAGATTCCACTCTAACACTTGACATTATTGGACCAACATCATTTGTGTAACATTTCCCTGGTGATTTCAGTCACTAAAGGAAGTCCAAGATCTACTAGATCATACATTTCCAAGCTCTCATCCAATAATGCTTTATTTTATTTACTATTACTATTATTATTACTTTGTGGCAAGGTCTCAATCTGTTACCCAGACTGGAGAGCAGTGGTGTGATCATGGCTCACTTCAGCCTCAACCTCCCACGTTCAGGTGATCCTCTCACCTCCTCCTCCCAAGTAGCTAGGACTACAGCCACAAGCCACCATACCCAGCTAATTTTTGCACTTTTTGTAGAGATGGGGTCTCACTGTGTTGCCCAGGCTGGTCTCAAACTCCTGGGATCAAGTGACCTGCCCACCTCAGCCTCCCAAAGTGCTGGGATTACAGGCATGAGCTACTGCGCCCAGCAATAATGCTTAATCTTATTTCTCTATGAGATTCTTCCTTCTGTCTCAAAATCTCTGGAACCCATGGTCATTGAGCAACAAACTTTCTTATGTCTTCATCCTCTTCTCAAGAAATTACAAGCTCCTTCACATAAGGCAAACTTTGCTCTCTCCTTTGTGGACACTGCTTTCTCTATATTCCTCTCAAACTGAGATTGTCTGTTAACATGCACCCACTCTTCTTGGGACATGGAATCAATGTCCTTACTGATCTTCGTATTTTCTCTCAAATTATTATTCTGTTTCTTTCCTTCCTTTAAAATCCCCTTCTTGAAAACTCATTCTTTTCAACGTTACCACTTGCCAGAATGTTTGCTGCTGTTATGGTTTGCCTCCGTGTCCCCATCCAAATCTCATCTTGAATTGTAAACCCCGCATGTCAAAGGAGGGACCTGGTGGGAGTTGATTGCATCATGGGGGCAGTTTAACCCATGCTGTTCTTGTGATACTGAGTGAGTTCTCTTGAGAGCTGATGGTTTTAAAGTGTTGCATTTCCTCTCTCTCTCTCCCTCTCTCTCTCTCTCCCTCCTGCCACCATGTGAAAAAAGTCCTTGCTTCCTCTTCACCTTCTGCGATGATTGTACATTTCCTGAGGCCTCCTTAGCCATGCAGAACTGTGAGTCAATTAAACTTCTCTCCTTTATAAATTACCCAGTCTCCAGTAGTTCTTTATAGCTGTGTAAAAACAAACTAATACAGAAAATTGGTGCTGGGAGTGGGGCACTGCGATAGAGATACCTAAAAATGTGGAAAAGACTGGAACTGGGTAAAGGGCAGAGGCTGGAATAGTTGGGAGGGCTCAGAAGAAGAAAGAAAGGTGTGGAAAATTTGGAACTTCCTGGGGACTGGTTGAATGGTTTTGACCAAAATGCTGATAGTGATATGGACAATGAAGGTGGTCTCAGATGTAGATGAGGAACTTACTGGGAATTGGAAAAAAGGTCACTCTTGCTATGCTTTAGCAAAGAAACTGGCAGCATTTTGCCCCTGCCCTAGAGATCTGTGGAACTTCAAACTTGAGAGAGATGACTTAGGGTATCTGGTGGAAGAAATTTCTAAGCAGCAAAGTATTCAAGATATAACCTGGCTTTTTCTGAAAGCACACAGTCGTATGTGTTCACAAAGAGATTATTTGAAATTGGGACTTATGTTTAAAAGGGAAGCAGACCATAAAATTTGGAAAATTTGCAGCCTGACCATGCAATAGGAAAGAAAAATCCATTTTCTGGGGAGAAATTCAAGCCTGCTGCAGAAATTTGCATAACAAACAGCCAAATGTTAATAATCAAGACAAGGGAGAAAATGTCTCCTGAGCATTTCGGAGATCTTCACGGCAGCCCCTCCCATCACAAGCCTGGAAGCCCAGGAGGGAAAAATGGTTTTGTGGGCTGGGCCCAGGGCCCTGCTACTCTGTGCAGCCTTGGGACATGGCCCCTTGTGTCCCAGTCACTCCAGCTCCAGCAGTGGCTAAAACGGATCGAGGTACATCTTGGGCTGTTTCTTCAGAGGATGCAAGCCCCAAGCCTTGGTGGCTTCCAAGTGTTGGGGCTGCAGGTGTGCAGAAGATAAGAGTTGAGCTTTGAGAGCCTCTGCCTAAATTTCAGAGGATGTATGGAAATGCCTTGATGACCAGCCAGAAGTCTGCTGCAGGAGCAGAGCCCTCATGGAGAATCTCTACTAGGGCAATGCAGAAGGGAAACATGGGGTTGGAGCTTCCACACAGAGTCCCCACTGGGAGACTGCCTAGTGGAGCTGTGAGAATACGGTTACCACCCTCTAGATCCCAGAATGGTATATCCACCAACAGCTTGCATTGTGCACCAGAAAAGTCGCAGGCACTCAACACCAGCCTGTGAAATAAGCTGCGGGGGCTGTACCCTGCAAAGCCACAGGGGCAGAGCAGCCCAAGGCCTTGGGAGCCCACCTCTTGCATCATTGTGTTTTGGATGTGAGACACGGAATCAAAGGAGTTTATTTTGGTGCTTTAAGATTTAATAAGTGCCCTGCCAGTTTTCAGATTTGCATGGGGCCTGCAGCCCCTTTGGTTTGGCCAAGTTCTTCCATTTGGAATGAGAACATTTACCCAGTGCCTGTACCCCCATTGTATCTTGGAAGTAACTAACTTGTTTGATTTTAACAGCTCATGGTCAGAAGGGACTTGCTTTGTCAGATGAGACTTTGGAATTGGACTTTTGAGTTAATGCTGGAATGTGTTAAGACTTTGGGCGACTGTTGGGAAGGCATGATTGGTTCTGAAATGTGAAAAGGACATGAGATTTGGAAGAGACCAGGGGTGGAATGATATCGTTTGATTCTGTGTCCCCACCCAAATCTCATCTGAAATTGTAATCCCTACATGTCAAGAGAGGGACCTGGTGAGAGGTGATTGGACCATGGGGGTGGTTTCCCACATGCTGTTCTCATGATAGTGAGTGAGTTCTCATGAGAGCTAATGGTTTTATAGTGTGGTACTTCCTTGCTGTCTCTCTCTCTCTCTCTCTCTCTCTCCCCTGCTGCTATATGAAAAGGCCCTTGCTTCCCCTTTACCTTCTGCCATGATTGTAAGTTCTGAGGCCTCCCCACCCATGCAGAATTGTGAATCAATTAAATCTTTTTCCTTTATAAATTACTCAGTCTCCAGTAGCTCTTTATAGCAGTGTGAAAAAAGGCTAATACTGGTGTCATCGGTAAATGTTCTGAACTTTCCCCCTCAATCACTAATTACTAGTACCTCCTGGCTCAGTTTTCTTCCTCACTCCAAATCCTTTCATCTCTGTTAGCATTAATATCTGCTTTGTTGTACCACTCAACAAATTTGCTTCTCAATCCTTTATTGCCTCATCTCTGTTGCCACTTTTCTCGACTTTATGTTCCTATTGCCAAAGTACAGTCTTTCCCATCATCTGAAACTCCTCAATTTCCAAAGTCACAAATTCATATATTCTGCTCATTAATTACCATATTTATTTCTTCTGACTAGCTTACTCACACTTCCATGGAAATACTGTTTTAACACATTGATACTTTTAACTTAATGCCCCTACTACTTTCTCACATCCTTTAGTAGTCTCCAGTATTTACTCTTTCTTCATGTCTCTCTTCAAATTAAATAGCTCACATTCCAAATAATTCTTTTGCAAGCAACCTTAAATCTCTTGCCCCACTTTCCTTTTGATTGCACAGTCTAGCAAATACTCATGGCTGAATAAACTTACACATCCATCTTCTCCATTTATGTACATAAGCAGCCAAGTGTTGTAAAGAAAGGCAAAAAAAAAAAAAAGATTAGTATCTCTAAAAATTCATGACTCAGCACTGCTAAACAATCCTACTCTATCTTGTTTTTGTCTGCTTAGTACCCCACCACTTTGTTGTGATTAAGGCTCTACCCCCTTGGCAAAAGTACTGAACATGTCACGTAACTGTCCTGGGGATATTAACTGAGCACGCCCATTACTGTATCTTAATACCCCAGACTCTACTTTCATTTGGTGTGTTTGTGTACATTGAAAACTAAGAATCTGACAGAGTAGGGACTTTCATGATTTCTTTTTTTTTAATTTCAACTTTTATTTTAGGTTTAGGGGGTACATGTGCAGATTTGTTACATGGGCGTATTGTGTGATGCTGAAGTTTGCCATATGAATGATTCCGTCACCCAGGTAGTGAACATAGAACCCAATAGGTAGTTTTTCAGCCCTTTCCCTCTTCCCTTTCTCCCCTCCCTAGTAATCTGCAGTATTTATTGTTGCTCTCTGTGTGTCCGTAAGTACTCGATATTTAGCTCCCACTTATAAGTAAGAATATATAGTATTTGGTTTTCTGTTCCTGTGTTAATTCACTTAGGATAATGGCCTCTAGCTGCATCCATGTTGCTGCAAAGGACACAGTTTTTTTTCTTTTTGTGGCTGCATAATATTCCATGGTGTGTATGTACCACATTTTCTTTATCCAATCCACCATGGATGGGCACCTACATTGATTCCATATCTTTGCTATTGTGAATAATGCTTTGATGAACATATGCATGCATTTGTCTTTATGGTAGGATGATTTATAGCTCTTCAAGTATATATCCAGTAATGAGATTGCTGGGTCGAATGGTAGTCCTATTTTAAGTTCTTTGAGAAATTGCCAAACTGCTTTCCACAGTGGCTAAAGTAATTTACACTCCCACCAACAGGATATAAGTGTTCCCTTTTCTCCACAGACTCACCAGCATCTGTTATTTTTTTACTTTTTAATAATAAGCATTCTTACTCATGTGAGATGGCATCTCATTGTGATTTTGATTTGCATTTCTCTGATGATTAGTAATGTTGGGAGTTTTTTCATGTTTATGACTGATTGTGTATATTCTTTTGAGAAGTATCTGTTCATGTCCTTTGCCCATTTTATAATGGGGTTACTTTGTTTGTTGAATTAAGTTTCTTACAGATTCTGATGTTAAAACTTTGGCACATGCATAGCTTGTGAATAGTTTCTTCCATTCTGTAGGTTGTCTGTTTACCCTGTTGATGTGTTTGCTGTTGTTGCTGTTTTGCTGTGAAGGAAGCTTTTCAGTTTAACTAGGCCCCACTTGTCCATTTTTGGTATTGTTGCAATTGCTTTTGAGGACTTAGTCATAAATTATTTGCCAAGGTTGATGTCCAAAATAGTATTTCCTAGGTTTTCTTCTAAGGTTTTTATAGTTTGAGGTCTTACATTTAAATCTTTACTCCATCTTGAGTTAATTTTTGTATATAGGGTAAGATTAGGGGTCTAGTTTCATTCTTCTGCATAGCTAGCCAGGTATCTCAGCACCATTTATTAAATAGGGCATCCTTTCCCCCATTGTTTATTTTTGTGAACTTTTTCAAAGATCAAATGGTTTGTAGGTGTACAGCTTCAGCTTCATTTCTGGGATCCTTCTGTTCCATTGGTGTATATGTCTGTCTTTGTACCAGTGACATGCAGTTTTGATTAATGTAGCCTTATAGTGTGGTTTGGAGTCAGGTAATGTGATGCCTTTTGTTTTGTTTTTTGTTTGTTTGTTTTCTGTTTTGTTTTTTTTTTTCTCAGCATTGCTTTGGCTATTTGGGCTTTTTTTTTTGTTTCTATAACTAAAATAATATAACCAGAAATATAAGCAAATGTATGTTTAAAAATGAATGTAGTTAAAAGTTTAAATTGTGATTTAGAAATCTGTTAATTTTTCTTACTAAAATAGAGCTCCGAATATGTAATAAAACAAGTACTACTCATAGTAACACTAAAATTATATTAATAAAACTTAAAGGCTCATCTTTCAAATGTACATTTTTATGCAGACAAAAGCTAATGATAGATTAATAATAAATATAGGTTAAACAGAAGTATAAAGTAGTGGAGGGAAAATTGTCTAAATAGATGTTTGACAAATTATTTTGAACTCCTTTTCTTTTTATAAAGTTTGCAGATGGTTGTATCTCAGCATGTCATGGGTCACATGTGGATTTCAACAGCACTTTGAACAAAATTACTTCTAATAATATATGGAAAAGTGGGAAAATATTTAGATTTCATTCTTTGAAATATCATGAATTTTTAGGAAAATTAAGAGTATATACATTCAATCACAAAAGGGAGAATTTATAAAGAAGTAAGTCTGGAGTACAGAAACACTTCTAATAAAAGGTTTTGATCAAATGTTAAATAAAGCTCTTATCTCAGCAATATTTGCTTATTTTTATTGAAGCAAAGAGTGATTTAGTATATACCCTCACATAAGGTGGCAGTGTTCATTTTCCAAAAAGGAAATACATTTTTTTTTCTTTTTTCTTTTTTCTTTTTCTTTTTCTTTCTTTCTTTTCTTTTCTTTTTTTTTTTTTTTGAGAAGGAGTCTCCCTCTGTCACCCAGGCTAAAGTACAGTGACACCATCTCTGCTCACTGCAACTTCCACCTCCTGGGTTCAAGTGATTCTTGTGCCTCAGTCTCCTGAGTAGCTGGAATTATAGGCACACACCACCGCGCCTGGCTAATTTTTTGTATTTTTATTAGAGGTAGGGTTTTACCATGTTGGCCGGGCTGGTCTGAAACTCCTCAAGTGATCCGCCCATCTCGGCCTCCCAAAGTGTTGGGATTACAGGCATGAGTCACTGTGTCCAGACAGAAATCAATTTTTTTTATCCTCTCGAGGTGCTGATGTTTACTCTGACAACTCTGGTGCTACAAGTTTACTGTGCACAATATATATTGAGGTAACCACAACTACTAGCACAAACAATATTAAATTATTAACAGGCCTGATTGTTCAGTACATGCAATCAAGTACTACTCTTTTCTTCAGCTTTATTGATACATAACTGACAAATAAAATTAAATATATTCAAGATGTACAACGTGATGTTTTGATCTATGTGCACATGGTGAAATGACTACCACAATCAAGCTAACTAATATACCTGTTACCTCACATACTTACCTTTCGTTTGTGGTGAGAATATTTAGGATCTACTCTCTTGGTAAATATCAGGTATGCAATATATTATTATTAACTGTAGTCATCATGCTGTACAAAAGGTCTCTGAATTTAGTCATCTTATAACTGTAAGTTTATACAGTTTGACCAACAGCTTCCCTTTTCTCCCACTTCTGACTCCTGGTAACTACTCTTCAACTCTTGGTTTCTATGAGTTCATGTTTTCAAAATTCCACATATAAGTGACATCATACAGTATTTTTCTTTCTGTTTTTTTTTCACTTTTTTTCTGTTTATTTCACTTAACATAATATTAATATCCTCTAGAATCTTCAAATCATCATGTTGCAACCAACGGGATTTCCTTCTTTTTTAAGGCTGAATAATATTTAATTGTATGTATATGTTACATTTTTCTTTCTCTTTTATTTTATTTATTTTTTTTTTTTTGGAGACTCGGTTTCACTCTGTTGCAGTGTAGTCGTATGATCTTAGCTCACTGCAGCCTTGAACTCCCAGGCTCAATCAATCCTCCCTCCTCAGCCTCCTGAGTAGCTGGGACTACAGATGAGCACCACCATGCCCAGCTAATTTTTTTATTTTTTGTAGAGATGAGGTCTCACGATGTTGCCCAAGCTAGCCTCGAACTCCTGGCTTCACGCAACCCTCCTCCCTCGGACTCCCAAAGTGCTGGGATTACAGGTGTGGGCCACCAGACTGGCCACATTTTCTTTCTTCATTTATGGACAGACACTTAGGTTGTTTCTATATCTTGGCTATTGGGAGTAATGCTTAATATCAGTATTGTAAAGAATTATTATGTATATATTCCTTGTTTTCTTTCCTTAAATATGGGTAAATAAAAAAGAAAAACTGGCCCACATGGTAGCTTATGCTTGTAATCCCAGCACTTTGGGAGGCTAAGGCAGACAGATTGCTTGAGCTCAGGAATTCAAGACCAGCTTGGGCAACAGGGCAAAACCCCATCTTTACAAAAAACACAAAAATTAACCAGGTGTGGTGGCACACACGTGTGGTTCCAGCTACTAGGGAGGCTGAAGTGGGAGTATTAGTTAAGCTCAGGAGATTGAGGCTGCTGTGAGTTGCGATGGCACCACTGCACTCCAGTCTGAGTGACAGAGCAAGACTTTGTCAAAAAAAAAGAAATGCAAAAGGCAGAGTAAGGAGGCAACAGAGAAAGGAAAATGTTAGGTATCTAGTTAATAGAGAAAATGTTTAGTGACTATATAATTAGTGTTATAATTACATTAAAAGTTTTAAATAGAAATACTTTTAAATAGAAATTTTAAGCGATTGTGATGATTTTCAGTTTTACTCAGGAAACAATGTAGCTAGCATATGCAACGGACTGCATCAGCATTAGAGGATGAAAATGTAAAACACGCTTTCCTCTTTCAAGGCACTAAGGTGCTTGTGGAGATAGTCATAAGCAGAACTTTTCAATACACTGTGAGACACAGAAAGACAAATACTGCATGATTACACTTACATGAGGTAACTAATATAGTCAAAATCACAGAATCAAAAAGTAGAATGGTGGTTACTGGGGGAGGAAGAGGGGAAAATGAGGAGTTACTAGTCAATAGGCATAAAGTTTGAGATAAACTGGATTAATAAGCTCTAGAGATCTGCTGTACAACATTGTACCTATAGTCAAAAATACTATATTGTGCACTTAAAATTTTTTATAGGGTGGATCTCATATAAGTTTTCTTACCACAATAACGTTTTTGAAAAACCCAAGTTAAAAACAAAAAAAAAGATTTTGTTCAAACAACTATATATATATGTGTGTGTTTTATATATACATAGTACAAATATATATTAATATATGCATTATTAATTAATATGCATTATTAAATACACAATTAAAAGGCATTATTAATTGAATAGTAATTAATATATGCATATATAATATATATGCATGCATGTTATACACAACTGCATATATAATATATATAATGAGAAATGACACAATGTAAATGTGTTCAAGGAGGGTTGATGAGCATATCATCCAATCTGGAGGAAGGAGAGTCAGGAATGGTTTCCTGAAAGAGATGACTGTGATCTGACTCTCAGTAGCTGAGTGAGAGTTGTTGGGGATGAGTATAACATTCTTGGCAGAAGAAATCAAACTACCAATATGCAGAGATGAAAAAGCACATTTTGTATGAAGAGAAATATTAAGTAAGCTTATATTGTTGAGGATAAAGAGCACACTGTAATAAGAGCAATGTGATAGAAAAGAGACAATTTACAGAGGACCTGCATGCTAGAATAAAAAGTAGGCTTGTCCTAAAGAGAATGCAGAGATTTTGTAGGGTTTTAGATAGAATAGAGATGAAGAAAGTTTGCATTTAGTAGATAATTCTGAAAGTCATGTGAAATATGATTCAGAGAAGAAGCAAGACTAGAGGCAGATAGATAAATTTGGAGTAGGCTAATTTCATTAGTCCAAGAGTAAGACTATGAGAACCTGAACCACAGTCATGATAGCAAAAATGAAAGAAACTGTAAATTCAAGAATTATTTCAGAGGTAAAATTAGCTGGATTTAGTGATTGAATAAAAGTGGTATAGGAACCAAGTGGATAAAGGAATCAGGACAAAAGCCAGGTTTATAACCTTCATGATTAGATGAATGATTATATCCATAGCAAGAGGAGGAAGAGAGAGAGAGAGACAGAGAGAGAAAGAAACCAAGACAGAGAGGGAGAGAGGCGGGGGATGCGGGGGAGTGGTAACATAAATTCAATTTTTATTACTTCACTTTCATGAAGTTACATATGAGTCTGAACCTGTGAGAAGAGTTTTGGGAAAAGATGTGGATTGAGAAGGGCAAAAAGCAGATGATGAAACCCTAAGTAGTGCAAACTTTATTTAATGGGCAGAAGTAGGAGTAAAAAGACTACGTACAAGGTCAAGAATAGTAATCAGAAACGTAGAAGCATAACCAGGAGAAAGTGGAATGATAGAAGCCAAGAAAAAGCAGTTTTCCAAGAAGGAGGGAATAGTGAATATTCACTGCCACAGAGGCACCTAGTAAAATAAAGGCTGAAACATACATGTGTTCCCAATACATGTTCCCAAACATATATGCATTTCAGATTAAAAAAAATGAATAATAAGTATAGAAGACAATTTTCAGTTAGTTGAGAAGTTATTTACTCCGTATTATTTCTTGTTATTTATATTTGTTTCATCTGTATCTTTCTATTGTATCGTTTTTAAAAATTCAGACTTTTATATACTACTTTTGTATTTCCTAGTTCATTAAGGTTTATATTTAGTTGTATTAATTTCTTCCTTTTTCTCTTTGGCTTTCTTTGTTGTTCTTTCTCTAGTTTACAGATTTATTTGTTTAGAATTATTTATTCTCATTTTTATATTGATTGATATATTTGAAGCTAATATTTTACTCTGATTACTGCTTTAGTTAATATCCTATAAATTCTGATATGTGATGTTTTCTTTATTGTTTTCTAGAAATTCTGTCATTTTAGTTTATATTTATTTTTTGACCCCAGAGTTGCTTAATAGAAAGTTTGTACATTTCCAGGGAAAATAGCCTTTCTATTTTGCTTAAGTTTTAAATGTGTTGCACTATGATCAGAGAATGTGACCTATATTAATTTATTTGGAATTTAATTAGATTTTCTTTATGACCTAACATATATGGCAAGTATTTATGACTGTTTTATGTGTGCCTAAAAATAAGTGTATTCTTTATTATTAGGGAACAGTGTTGATATAGATCCATAAGGTATAAAGTATTGATTGTTAGAATCTTCTATATCTTTGACTAATATTTTGTTCACTTGAAATCTTTTAGATAATAAATTTTATTAAATTTTCTTCCTATTTCCTGTCTTATAAAGTTTCTGCTTTATGAAATTTACCATTACATTAATTTATTATGGATACTTATAACTGAATTGTGTCTCCTTTTGCAATTAAGGTTTTATAAAAGGTCCTTCTTTGATTAATTTATTGTTTATGGCAGGATTTTCACTTTGTCAAGCCCAGTATCCTTGATATTTTCTGTTGTTTAAATTGGTTGTACTTTTAAATAATGTACTTTTTTTAAAAAGTACACTTATGGTACAGTACACTTAATTAAAATTTACCATCCTAACCATTTTTAAGTGTATAGTTTAGTGGCATTAACTACATTCGCGCTGTTGTACAACTGTAACCAGCATCCATCTCCAAAATTCTTTTCCTCTTGTAAGACTAAAGCTCCGAACCCATTAAACAACTTAGCATTTCCCTCTCCTTCCAATTCTTGGCAACCACCATTCTACTTTCTGTCCCTATAAATTTGTCAATGCTAGCTATCTCATATGAGTAAAATAATACTTTTAATGCAATACTATATAATATAGTAATATTTTCTTATTGTAACTGGCTTATATAATTTAACATGATGACCTCAAGTTGATGTCTTACTGTGGTTTTGATATACATTTCCCTAATGATTAGTGTTGGGCATCTTTTCATGTGTTTGTTGGCCATTTATTTATCTTGACTGAAGAAATACCTATTTATATTCTTCACTGTTTGTTTGTTTGTTTGTTTTTGAGATGGAGTTTCGCTCTTGTTTCCCAAGCTGGAGTGCAATGACACGATCTCAGGTCACTGCAACCTCCACCTCCCAGGTTCAAGCCATTCCACTGCCTCAGCCTCCCAAGTAGCTGGTATTACAGGCATGTGCCACCATGCCCAGCTAATTTTTGTATTTTTAGTAGTGACGAGGTTTTGCCACGTTGGTCAGGCTGGTCTCAAACTCCTGACCTCAGGTGATCCAAGTGCCTTGGCCTCCCAAAGTGCTGGGACTGCAGGCGTGAGCCACCGTGCCTGGCCCCTCACTAATTTTTATATTCTGTTATTTGCCTTCTTATTTTGAGTTATGAGAGTTTTTTATATATTCTGGATAAAAATCACTTATGAAATATATGATTTTTAAATATTTTCTCCGCTTTTGTGGGTGGCTTTCTCACTTTGCTGATTCTGTCCTTTGATCTTTACTCCATGTACTTTTTTCTACCCCTTCTTTTCTTTTTAACTATTTTGAAGAAGTTAGTTTTAGTTGTGCCTTTTGCACACAACATTGAGCTGGGTTTTGCTTTGGAACCAAATAAGAAAATGTTTTTCTCTTCTAATAGAAGATTTAAGTTCTTTATAAGAATTTTATAGGTTTTTTAAATATCTATAGTGTGTGCAGATACAGCTTTTTAAAACTTTTCACTATATGGTCTGCTTTCGTTGCTCATTATATTGCTGCTATTGCTGCTGTTGCAGTAGTTTTTACATTTATTTTGCTATTTAGGAAGAAGGGTATTTTTAGGTAGTTTATTTATGCTATTATTTTAAAATAATATCCTACTTCCACAGGTTTTGGGCAATGTCTATTTGTTATCATAAAAAATAAAATAAAATTGGCTTACAACTTCTTTCTTTCGTCTCCTTCTTTCCAACTCCTCCATCATCTAAGTTTATTCAATGTTAAGATCTTTCTTGGTGTTTATATTGGTTCTTTTAAATATGTTTAGAATTCTACTATTCTATTTCAGCTTTAAATTTTATTATTTGACTCCCACCTATAACCTATGAAGGAAGAAATGAAGGGAAGGAAGGACAGAAAAAAGAAAAGTAAAAGAAAGAATATAAGGAAGATAAAACCATTGAAAAGTCCATCAGTGAAAGAATAATTAAATAAATTATGTTACCCCCAGCTTATAAAATGCTATTCAGTTATTATAAAGTCAACCTGTATATGTTAACATTACAATTGCTTATTTTATTTTGGGTGAAAATATAAGTCCTACAACAATATATACACTATGATACATAATATATAGCCCACTTATATATAAAAACCAATGTGTATATAAATACATATTTAAGTGTGTATATTTACATCTGGGAAGAAACAGAGCAAACTCTTTACAGTGCTAATCTCAGGACCAAGGAAGTAGATCTGAGGTATTTGAGAGAATAAGGGAAATTATATCACTAATGTTATTTACATTTGTATTGTTTGGATTGTCTTACAATGTCAAAGAGCTGCTCCTTTATTTTAGGAAAATAATAAATTACTTTAAAATTGTAATTTTAAAAATATCTTGTCATAGAGTAATTTACTTGATGCTAAGTATACACATTAACTGAATTTGTATTTTCTCATAAATTGTTTCTAAAGTACATAATGACAAAATGCCTGTCAAATTGAAACCTTGCATATTGTCTAAAAACTAGTCTTTCATTTAAATTTGAGAAGTGTATTAGGCAAACTGCTTCTCAGTTTTGGTTAGACTTTTTACGCTTCCCATTGCCTCCATTTTTTCTCAAAGGAATCAGGCTCGGTTTCCCTGAATTTGGGTTTAATGTGTAATGTTCTCTAGCATTTTGATCTTTCTTTTTCTTGAAGAAAAAGACAGATATCAATAAATTCTTAACTTCTCTTTGAGAAATTAAAGTTTCTCTGGGCAGAACCAGGTAGCATCCTTCTAAGCTTTGGAATACCCTGGGGCAATCACCATGTTAGTGATTCTTTGATCTTTGACTTAGTGTCCTATGCTACAAGGATGGCACATCTTCTAAGCAAAGTTTGCTTTCATATTCATCAGAATAAAATTTATCTCACAAAATAAAACTATTTAAAAAGCAAAATGGTAATTATTGTAACATTATTTTCAACATCTCACAAATCTAATTGAAGTGATAATTCAATGAAGCTATTACAATTTGCCAAATCACCTGGCTAGATTGTGCCTTTTCATCAAGCTATCTTTTACTTCTGCCATCATCTCACTTTCTACATGACTTTTTCAAACTTTCTCCCCTCTCCTCAGTCCTTCAACTTGTCTCCCACGATAGCCCTCCACAGGGGAAATAAAAAACACATGACATGAATGTGCTTATTCCTGCCACAAATTCACTTTTCCTAGCCAAGGGCCATCCCTTTACTTATGGCACTGGTCCCATCTCTTCTTATTTTTTCAAGAATCTTCTACAATCTGTTATGCAATATTTTCTCAACATCTTCCACCTGGTTCTTCATTCTAATGTAATGTAAACATGCTCAAACTGTTCAAATTTCTCCCATTTTATTAAAACAAAAATCTTCTTTATGTATTTCTTTTTTCTTTCTTTTTTTTTTTTTTTTTTTTTTTGAGATGGAATCTTGCTCTGTCGCCCAGGCTGGAATGCAGTGACTCAATCTCGGCTCACTGCAACCTCTGCCTCCTAAGCTCAAGCAATTCTTCTGTCTCAGCTTCCTGAGTAACTGGGATTACAGGCTCATACTACCACGCCCAATTTTTGTATTTTTAGTAGAGACAGGGTTTCACCATATTGGTCAGGCTGGTCTTGAACTCCTGACCTCAGATGACCCACCTGCCTCAGCCTCCCAAAGTGCTGGGATTATAGGCTTGAGCCACAGCGCCCGGCAGACCTCCTTTATTTCTATCCCTCCATTCACTGTCACACATATTGGCAAGCTCACTACATTCATATTTCTGATTTTTTGTACCTTACATTTATTCCTCATCCTACTCTCGTCTCAATTTCCTACTGGATGCTCTTTCTTTCAAGGTAATCAATAATAACCAAACAGCATTTTTAGTCCCCATCTCTTCTGCTTTTCATTCAAATAGTTTGGCCATTTCTTATCAGTTTCCTTTGTTGTATCTTGTCCTATTCCCAAACACTAAACTTTGGTGCCTCAAAGCCCTGAAGTAGGCCTACATCTATCTTCACCCTGAAAAACTCGTCTATTACCTTAGTTTTATTAAACACCTACTGACTTATGACTCCAAATTATGCCTAGTGCTCTGTTCTGATACCCAGGCTTATGTAACTGTTACAGATTGAGCTACCCAGGGAAGTCAGCCTTGAGATGGAAATTAGCAGACAAGAGGACTTTCAGGGAGTATTCTTGGGCTTCACACCTGGGGAAGGGAAACGAAGGAAGTCAAAAGGGAGAAGTTGAGTTGCAATGTCATTTCAACCAGAGGCCCCAGTCAATACTATGAGGAACTCAGAAGCTGAAATTACTCTTTAGAACTGTCCTGAGTTTGGGTGAGGAGCCTTTTCTTTATAAGTCCTGTTGATCAATCATTAGTGTAGGCCAACCTGGGAAGAAGCTATGACCTTAGGGAAAGAGGCTCCCTTAAGCTGAGGCAACCCCTTTTAGGGAACTGATAAGTGAGAGCTCCCAGTAGCTGGAAAAGTAAGTCTTTGTGTTTCTGAAGGAAATCTAGGTGGTTCATCAAAGCATCAACCATAAGAATCAAGTGCTTCCTCAAGAATCACTTGAACCTGGGAAGAGAAGGTTACAGTGAGCTGAGACGGTGCCACTGCACTCCAGCTCTGTCTGGGTGACAGAGCGAGACTCTGACTACAAAAAAAAAAAAAAAAAAAAAAAAATCAAGTGCTTACTTAGTCTTTTCACTTTCCTATCTCACAGATACCTCAAAAGCACATTTCCAAAATTATTAATAAAACTCTTCATGCTAATCCCCACTCCCTCCCATTGCTTCTCCTTGCCATTCTTCCTATCATATTTAGATAGCCACTTAGTCAAGCCAAAACCTAGGAGTCCTCCTGAACTCTTTTCTCTGCCTCACTGTCCCCCACATCTAATCAATTATCATTATAATGATGTCACATCCTAAATATCTTATTTCAGCCTATTTTGTACCATCCTGCTGCTGCCACCGGTGTAAGTGACTACCTTATCTTTGCCAGATGACTGCCTCGTTTTCCTCAGTGATTTCTCTTTGCCCACACTTTTTGCCCTTCAGATCAGTCTCTCCATATTACAGTCAGTGATGTCTTTTAAAAATTCCCAGTAAGCATCGCATTCTATTTAGTGACTTCCAAAATCTTTAATTTGACCTACAAAGGCCTTCACAATCAGGGCTCCAACCTCTCCAAGTTTCGCATACTCCTCTCTGTCCTTCACTCCTTTCCACTCAATCCATACTGGGTTTTTATTAGCTTCTTGGAAATGTCATGTTCTTTGCTGTATTTCATGTTCTTTCTCTACATGAATTCTTATCATTTCTCCCATCCAATCTCAGCCTATATGTCACTTATATATCACTTCCTCACTGAAGACTTTTTAAACACCCAGTACTAGGCAGTATCATCTGGTGTTTACTGACAAAGATGGTGTCTTTGCTGCCATGCCTTATTTTGTAAGGATTTGCTTATATCTTTCTTCCGCTCCGAGAGACAAGCTCCACAAGAGCAGAAACAGTCTGTGTCTTATTCATTGTTTTATTTTCAGTGCTCGGTGTAATGCCTAGCATAGAGTATGAGCTTTGACTTTGCAAATGCCATTCCTTCTACTTGAAGTGTGTTTTCTAGTTTTGTAAACCTCAGATTTACTTTAACTTTTTTCCAAGAAGCTTCCTATACCACATTCATACAAAAAAAAAAAAAGGTTAAATACTACCTACTTTGTGCCACCACTTTACTTCGTACATGCTTCCACTGTTGCACTTTTCAAAATTTTTATTTCTTTAGCATGTGGAGTTTACTTTGAGCTGCACTGCCTAAATAATTTTTTATCTCCTCGCAACATATAAAAATCAGTGCATTTCACAATTAACAAATCAGAACATATGGCAATACTGGATACAATATTCCCCCATGACAATTATTCACCTTGAGCGAAGTAGTTGTCCAGGTTAAACAGTGCATGCCATCTCCAGTTCACTAGAAATATCACTAGATAAGCCACAATCATCACCCATTTTGAGTCTGCAATCACTAGTACAAGTTTATCTCTTTTACTAAGTAAGTAGTTTTTTACTTTGTGAGTTCTTTGAAATAACGAGGTGAATTTTAATCATTTTGAATCCTGTACTACCCAGCATGTTCCCTGGGATATAGCAGGTGCTCAATAATGTTATTTAATTGATAGATTGGGAAATTTATTTAAAAAGATTAATGCTTTTCTGTTGATATTTAATTTTAATTAAATTTCCATTTTTATGAGATCCACTGTGGGAACCTACTACAGGAGATTAATTAAAATAATGAATATGAACTCAAGGACAGTTCTGAAATATACATGTTTAACATTGAATGAATTAATACTTATTTAATCCACAGAGTTAGGTCAGCTGTGGCATCATTTCCAAAAGAAGCTATTTCATACCCAGCAGTAGAGAATTGTACATTGGGCATTTGAGAATATCATCGTAATGAGAAACTAAGATCTTGAGTTAGAAAAACTGAGTAGTTTCTAGAAAGGAAAACTCGTTCTAATACCAACAACCAATCCTAATCGGGGTCCTAGTATCTGGGTACTAGTGCTATTACATATGCTTATGAATGAGCTGAAATAATTAGAAGTATAACTCTCACTTCAAATGAAAAAGTGACAGTGTTGCTGTTTCATGTCTCTAACAGACCTTGATAATACTGACACTCATTTTTTGATGCTTGTAGAACTCTCTTATTTCAGATTTTGTAGTCTGCATAATTCCAAAAATTATTTGATATAAAAAAAGACTTGAAAGTGTAAAATGTAAAAATGCCAAGAGTCCTGGGAGGCCAAGGCGGGTGGATCACATGAGGTCAGGAGTTCGAGGCCAGCCTGGTCAACATGGTGAAACCTTGTCTCTACTAAAAATACAAAAAAAAAAAAAAAACCGTAGCGGGCGTGGTGGTACACGCCTGTAATCCCAGCTACTTGGAAGGCTGAGGAAGGAGAATTGCTTGAACACGGGAGGCAAAAATTGCAGTGAGCCAAGATCATGCCATTGCACTCTAGCCTGGGCGACAGAGCAAGACTCTGTCTCTAAATAAATAAATAAATAAATAAATAAAATTAAATAAAATTCCAAGGGTCATTCTTTCTTTAATTGTGTCTCTTTAACAATATTTGAGCACATGTTCAAATATGGTAGTACACCACCTCATAAACAATTTGGTTATTAACGTTGTAGCAAATATTACAGTTAATTTTAAAAGTTTTTTACATTTAGAAAGTCTGAAGGGCAGTCTCTTCTGCCTTTAATAAGGCAGATCCTCTAATACAGCATATAGTTTCTTATCTCTAGTGTGTTTGGCCCTTTAATAGTGACATAAACTTTGAATTAAGGGTAACAAAAGCCTTAATATTAATAAAGATGATGACGAATGTGAATGTGAAATTTTTGCACATACAGTATATTGAAAACAACTATATAGTCTAGTCAATGGGCATTAGGAAATGAAAATATGATGTGTAGATTAATTTGTAACAGATGGAAGACATACAAAAGAGATTAAGTTCTACATCAAATCATACAAACTAAAAATTAGACATTTATTGGTTTTCATTTATAAATAACGAAATGTTCAGCACAAATAATTTAGATTCAAATATTTAAGCAAGGAAAAACTCCGAAGTTTTTAACTTATTTCCTCAAAATTATATTTTATAAGGAATTTCATGATGTATTGAAATATGACTCCTCTTTCTGCCATTCATTTCTATGTTCTTAAGGGTTCTTGATAAGACAGAGTGCTTGAGGGGAAAAAGAGAGATTTTTGAAATAAGCATCAATTGCAGTCAGGTGTTAATTACAATCTCAGCCTTTCAATTTTTCATATAATGAGTCATTGTTTTTATTAAGTACTAATAAGAATAAATGATCTTACTTAGTAAATAATACCACCAGTTCCCTTTTAAAAATGCAATATTATTTACTACACTACTCATGATTTTTTAAATATTTTCTACGTGTTTACCTTTTTCTCTTAAAAGTGAGAAATTCATACTGTACCAAAACATTTAAATAGCATATAAAATTTTTTCCACCCTGATGCTACCACAATTAGAAATAAAAATAAAAATTTTTCCCACTATTGTGTGTCTTTTAAATATTTTTTTACTAGAGTGGTCAAAGCATCTAAAAAACTGACTTTATGTAGTTCATACAGTTCATTGTTTGCATTTTTTAAAACAGGACCACATGCACTTTGCCACTACTTATATTTTTAATATTCTTAGTTGAACAAAAAATATAATTTCCATTTTTTATATATAGTGTCTTCAAAAAGGGTTAAAATTGTGATCCTACAAAATGGTTTACATCATTTTATTATACTTTTTTAACATTTCTCTAAGAAAATTGTTAAATTATTTCCTGTAAGTAGCAGAGGATATATTTTTTAAACTGTCATATGAGGAAACACTTTAGTATGTAATTTCCAAAAGTTACACAAAAATGTGGTCCTGAAAATAAATACCACATTTTCCAACCTTTATTAGTAGTGCTTGAACTTATATTGAGAAGTAGGAGAAAGTGTGATTTTTGTCCTTATCACAGAACATATAGGTTAATTTTTGCACATTGAAATATTGCACGTATAAATTGGTTTATTTTTCCATTTGCCAAAGTGTCACAAATATCAAATGGCAAACGTTGCTTTCACTTCAGACAATTCAGAAGGCCTGTTGAATTGATTACCACTTCCAGTTGTTTGTTTGGTGTAAAAAAAATGAAGAAAATATTATTATTTTTTCTTTGCAATTGCCATAAAGTATGAGTGGTATAGAACATAACATTTCTGAAATGTTGAATAACAATCTGACCAAAAAAAATAATCTGACCAAAAAAAAAAAACTTCTTACCTTTGTCTTGGAATACATCTTGGATATTTTAACTGCCCTCTGTCACATTGCATTCTAAGTATAGATCCAGTAATATATAATTCAGCTGGATAAGTATCTCCTCTACAAATAAACTCAATATATTCACCATGCAAAATGTGTGGTCTATTGTCAAAATCCCATTTCAGAAGTAAATTATTCTTTTCCATTTCAGTAAAAGATAATGTGCATGGCTCTGGGAACAACAATTTAAAAAAAAAGAAAGAAAAAGAAGAAAACTATCTTGTTACATCTTGGTAAGAACAGGAATCGTTGTGTTGCCTACTCATGAGGACCTTAAAATTCTCAGGCCTAAGAGCAGCAAGTCAGTTAATCAGAATTAATATTTGAGTCAGAAAATATGTTCAAATCTCACAGAAAACAGTGAGCCATTTCTCTCTGTGGTCCTGGATTTGGAGAAAAGGTATTTTCTTCCAGTTTTAAAAACTAAAAGGTATTTTAGTTTTATGTCATTAGCTTTTTCAAAGATAGCAAACAAACAAAAAGGTATTTGGGGGGAAGCATTGACAGTTACTAATGGTCATTGATATCATGCTCTTTTCCCTTTTCCTTCTTCAGAAAGTTCAAATAAAATTCTCATGAGACAAATTATTAATTGCTGTATAAATAACATTTTATGGAAATGTAGATTCTCAACACTGACCCAAGCTTTATAACCTCATGCCATCCAAAATGGTTGACAGTTACTTCTCTTTCAAATTTCTAGTTAAGAAATATCAAGACTGGATTAAGACGTTTTAAATTCTAAGCATACAAAGTATAGTTGTGTCCTTTCCCATGTATCGTAAACCAAAGAGAATGGTAAAGTATGTATTAAAATACACAAAAAAACCTCTTCGATTTTTTTTACAGAATAAAAACATTAATATTTCTAAAATATCAAATATCAAATTATTTCAGAAAATGGGATTTCTTATGTCCTTATTTGTCTCCTGGATGACCTAGCATTAAGGAATAACTTCTGAGACAGGTAAAAAGGTCCAGAGTTGCTAATATGGCATATCAATCATATACCTGTAGTACATTAACAAACTTACTTACAGTATGCCCCTCCCTGATTGCCTACAGGGGATACATTTCAAGAGCCCCAGTGCATGCCTGAAACCGCAGATAATGCTAAACCCTGTTGTCATTCTTTTGGAACATGTTTCTGTTCATGTCTTCTGCCCACAAATTTAATGCCTCTTCCACCTCAACTAAACATTTATTATACACTGTGGCTTGTAACTTTTGCAGTTTGAGGTGCAACAACGAAACTAGCATGGATTTCTTTTTCCTTCTTCACACTTTCATAGACAGAAGACTCATTGTTACCATGGATCTTAGCAACCTCAGCATACATTTATTTTTCCTTTCTTTTTAAGTTAAGAATTTCCGCCCTTTCACTTAAAGGAAGCACTTTACAGCTTCTTTTTAGCATATCTGGGGCAGGAAGGATGGAATGGCATGAAATTTTATTATACTACTAAGTGCATAATTTAAAATTTATAAGTTGTTTATTTCTGAAATTTTCAATTTAACGTTTTCAGACTGCAGTTTATAGCAGGTAACTGAAACCACAGAAAGTGAAACCGCAGCTGAGAGCACTGTGTTCAGTTACTTTCTTCAACAACTACTTATTAAATGCCTATGTGTCAAACATTATGCTGGAAGTGCTACAGGTGATGAAAATGAACAAGAATTATTACACTCATTACAAAATAGTTGTGAAAATGAAGTCGAATAGCACTATAATTTACGATGTCACTGTTCTACAGAACATGAGATTTAAATTAAAATAAATTTAAAAGTTGATTCATGGACCTTTAACTTTCAGCTATGACAGAGGAGATTATATCAAACCAGCACTTCTATTAAGAACCAGAAAATCTGAAAAACAGGAAGCATTTCGAGGTATCAGAAAACCTCCAAGGAACTTAGTCAAGGAAGTAAGGTTCTGGAAAAAATGTATTCAGGTGAGTTCAACATCTATGTGAGGCTGGGCGTGGTGACTCACACCTGTAATCCCAGCACTTTGGGAGGCCAAGGCGGGCGGATCATCTGAGGTCAGGAGTTTGAGACCAGCCTGGCCAACATGGTGAAACCCCATCTCTACAAAAAAAAAAAAAAAATAGCCGGGCATGGTGGCATGCACCTGTAATCCCAGCTACTCGGGAAAGCTGAGGCAGAAGAATCTCTTGAACCTAGAAGGTGGAGGTTGCAGTGAGCAGGGATCGCACCACTGCACTCCAGCCTGGGCAACAAAAGGAGACTGTCTAAAAAAAAAAAAAAATTCTATGTGCCATTTTTTTCTCTTGAGGTGTTTGTTGACTCTAAGTCTGACCTGAGAGGTTAGATGATAGAGAATGGTAAGCTTAGGCATACAGCCAGCAGAACTTCTGAAAATCTCATGGAGTTGAAGATAGAAAAATGAGAATTTCGGTAAACCAAAGCAGCCAGGACTTGAAGAATAAAGAATTTAGAAGGATAGGAAGTGTAGAGATATGAGTTTGAGGCTCTGCACTAGCTTTTCCCTAAGGTACTGCTTATCCTTGACTTGTATAGAGGCATAGGATGAGAAGCCAAGCAGAAAGTAAATAAAAAGTTACAGTGGGCATTTGGCAGTCTCCCAGTAATATCAGAGACAGTCAAGGAGAAAAAGCTTTAATACACACAACAAACCCTCTGTAAAGAGCCCTGGAGAGTTACAGTCTGTGAGAAAAGGCAAACAGAGGTCTGAAAACAAACATAGAGAAAGCTTTATTTCTAATTGTATTAAAACCAACTGCCTCTACACTAATCATCAGCCAGAGGATGAGATGAGTCTTCTTTGGAGTAAGCTGACATCATCCAAACATCCTGAAATTTTCCACGTATAATATTTGGAATTCAATCAACTGTTAACAAAAATATCAAGAATTTGGGGCTAAAAAATAGATCCAGATATTGGAGTTTGCAGACAAGCCTTAATAAAAAGTATGAATTATATGTTCAAGAAGTTGATGTTAAGCTAGGATCTTTCATCAGATAACTCAAATCTACAAAAAGAAAATATAAAATAGAAATGCAAAGATGATAACTGAAATTGAGAACTCAAAAGATGAGTTTAAAGCAGATTGGATACATCTAAAGAGAGGATTGTTAAACTAGAAGAAAATTACCAAATAGAAACAAAGAAATGATACAATGAGAAAATTACCAAAAAATTACTACAGTGAAACAAGAAGAAAATGAGAGAAAATATAGATTTAAAGAGACAATGGCATAGCAAAAAGATGTAATATATGTAATATGGCATCACAGAAGAGGTGAGAAATGTACATTTTAAAAGATATTAGCCAAACATTTCTAAAACCCATGAAGGATATCAAGTACATCAAGGTTCAAGGAATGCTACTAACTTGAAGAACAAAATGTACAAAGAGAGTCTCATTGTGTTGCACTGATCTCCCTGGGAGCTGCAGACCGGAGCTGTTCCTATTCGGCCATCTTGGAACTAACTCATATATATATATATTTATATATATATAGAGAGAGAGAGAGAAAGAGAGAGAGGGAGAGATTTGTTTCTGATTTGTTTCTAAGGAACTCCAGCCTGGGCAGCACAGTGAGAAATGGTACACTCCTGACCAAATACTGTGCTTTTCCCAAGGTCTTAGCCACCGACAGACCAGGAGATACCCTCCCTTGCCTGGCTCAGCAGTTTCCACGCCCATGGAGCCTTGCTCACTGCTAGCTCAGCAGTCTGAGATCAACCTGTGACACGACAGCGTTATGGGGGGAGGGTCGTCTACTATTGCTGAGCAGGGGTTACAATCCTAGTCTCTGATAAAACAGACTTTAAACCAACAAAGATCAAAAGAGACAAAGAAGGCCATTACATAATGGTAAAGGGATCAATTCAACAAGAAGAACTAACTATTCTAAATATATATGCACCCAATTCAGGAGCACCCAGGTTAATAAAGCAAGTCCTTAGAGACCTGCAAAGAGATTTAGACTCCCACACAATAATAATGGGAGACTTTAACACCCCACTGTCAATACTAGACAGATCAACGAGACAGAAGGTAAATAAGAATATCCAGGACTTGAACTCAGCTCTGGACCAAGCAGACCTAATGGACATCTGCATAACTCTCCACTCCAAATCAAAAGAATATACATTCTTCTCAGCACCACACTGCACTTATTCCAAAATTGACCACATAACTGCAAGTAAAACACTCTTTGGCAAATGAAAAAGAACAGAAATCACAACAAACTGTCTCTCAGACCACAGTGCAATCAAATTAGAACTCAGGATTAAGAAACTCACTCAAAACTGCACAACTACATGGAAACTGAACAGCCTACTCCTGAATGACTACTAGATAAATAACGAAATGAAGGCAGAAATAAAGATGTTCTTTGAACCCAGTAAGGACAAAGACACTACGTACCAGAATCTCTGGGACACATTTAAAGCAGTGTGTAGTGGGAAATTTATAGCACTAAATGCCCACAAGAGAATGCAGGAAAGATCTAAAATCGACACCCTAACATCACAATGAAAGAACTAGAGAAGCAAGAGCAAACACATTCAAACGCTAGCAGAAGGCAAGAAATAACTAAGATCAGAGCAGAACTGAAGGAAATAGAGACACAAAAAATCCCTTCAAAAAAATCAATGAATCCAGGAACTGTTTTTTTAAAAAAGATAAACAAACTACATAGACTGAGAGCAAGACTAATAAAGAAGAAAAGAGAGAAGAATCAAATAGATGCAATAAAATATAATAAAGGGAATATCACCACCAATCCCACAGAAATACAAACTACCATCAGAGAATACTATAAACACTCTATGCAAATAAACTAGAAAATCTAGAAGAAATGGACAAATTCCTGGACACATACACCCTTCCAAGACTAAACCAGAAAGAAGTTGAATGTCTGAATAGACCAATAACAGGGTCTGAAATTGAGGCAATAATTAATAGCCTACAAATCAAAAAAAGCCCAGGACCAGATGGATTCACAGCCGAATTCTACCAAAGGTACAAAGAGGAGCTGGTACCATTCCTTCTGAAACTATTCCAATCAATAGAAAAAGAGGGAATCCTCCCTAATTCATTTAATGAAGTCAGCATCATCCTGATATCAAAGCCTGGCAGAGACACAACAACAACAAAAAACAGAATTTAGACCAATATTCCTGATGAACATCGATGTGAAAATCCTCAATAAAATACTGGCAAACCAAATCCAGCAGCACATCAAAAAGCTTATCCACCACGATCAAGATGGCTTCATCCCTGGGATGCAATGCTGGTTCAACATACACAAATCAATAAACATAATCCATGACATAAACAGGACCAATGACAAAAACCACATGATTATCTCAATAGATTCAGAAAAAGCCTTCGACAAAATTCAACAGCCCTTCATGCTAAAAACTCTCAATAAACAAGGTATTGAGGGAATGTACCTCAAAATAATATGAGCTGTTCATGACAAACCCACCACCAATATCTTACTGAATGGGCAAAAAGTGGAAGCATTTGCTTTGAAAACTGGCACAAGACAGGGATGCCCTCTCTCACCACTCCTATTCAACATAGTGTTGGAAGTTCTGGCCAGGGCAATCTGTCAAGAGAAAGAAATAAATGGTATTAAATTAGGAAAAGAGGAATTCAAATTGTCCCTGTTTGCAGATAACATGATTATATATTTAGAAAACCCCATCGTCTCAGCCCAAAATCTCCTTAAGCTGATAAACAATTTCAGGAAAGTCTCAGGATACAAAATCAATGGCAAAAATCACAAGCATTCCTATACATCAATAATAGACAAACAGAGAGCCAAATTATGAGTGAACCCCCATTCACAATTACTTCAAAGAGAATAAAATACCTAGGAATCCAACTTACAAGGGATGTGAAGGACCTCTTCAAGAACTACTAACCACTGCCCAACGAAATAAAAGATGACACAAACAAATGGAAGAACATTCCATGCTCATGGATAGGAAGAATCAATATCGTGAAAATGGCCATGCTGCCTAAGGTAATTTATAGATTCAATGCCATCCCCATCAAACTACCATTGACTTTCTTCACAGAATTGGACAAAACTACTTTAAAATTCATATGGAACCAAAAAAGAGCCCGCATTGCCAAGACAATCCTAAGCAAAAAGAACAAAGCTGGAGGCATCAGGCTACCTGACTTCAAACTATAATACAAGGCTACAGTAACCAAAACAGCATGATACTGGTACCAAAACAGATATATAGACCAATGGAACAGAACAGAGGCCTCAGAAATAATGCACACACATACAACCATCTGATGTTTGACAAACCTGACAAAAACAAGAAATGGGAAATGATTTCCTATTTCATAAATGGTGTTGGGAAAACTGGCTAGCCATATGTAGAAAGCTGAAACTGGATCACTTCCTTATACCTTATACAAAAATTAACTCAAGATGCATTAAAAATTTAAATGTAAGACCTAACACCATACAAACCCTAGAAGAAAACCTAGGCAATATCATTCAGGACATAGGCATTGGCAAGTACTTCATGACTAAAACACCAAAAGTAATGGCAACAAAAGCCAAAATAGACAAATGGAATTTAATTGAACTAAAGAGCTTCTGCACAGCAAAAGAAACGATCATCAGAGTGAACAGGCAACCTACAGAATGGGAGAAAATTTTTGCAATCTATCCATCTGACAAAGAGCTACCATCCAGAATCTACAAAGAGCTTAAAAAGTTTACGAGAAAAAAACAACCCCATCAAAAAGTGGGCAAAGGATACGAACAGACACTTCTCAAAAGAAGACATTTATGCAGCCAACAGACATATGAAAAAATGCTCATCATCACTGGTCATCAGAACCACAATGAGAGACCATCTCACTCCAGTTACAATGGCGATCATTAAAATGTCAGGAAACAGCAGATGCTGGAAAGGATGTGGAGAAATAGGAGCGCTTTTACACTGTTGGTGGGAGTATGAACTAGTTCAATCATTGTGGAAGACAGTGTGGCGACTCCTCAAGGATCTAGAACTAGAAATACCATTTGACCTAGTGATCTCATTACTGGGTATATACCCAAAGGATTATAAGTCATTCTGCTATAAAGACAAATGCACAGATATGTTTTTTGCAGAACTATTCACAATAGCAAAACTTGGAACCAACCCAAATGTCTATCAATGATAGACTGGATTAAGAAAATGTGGCACATACACACCATGGAATACTATGCAGCCATTAAAAAGGATGAGTTCATGCCCTTTGCAGGGACATGGATGAAGCTGGAAGCCATCATTGTAAGCAAACTATTACAAGGACAGAAAACCAAACACTGCATGTTCTCACTCATAGGTGAGTGTTGAAGAATGAGAACACATGGACACAGGGCAGGGAATATCAAACACCAGGGCCTGTCTGTGGGGGTCTGGGGGAGGGATAGCTTTAGGAGAAATACCTAATGTAAATGAAGAGTTGATGGGTGCAGCAAACCAACATGGCACATGTATACCTATGTAACAAACCTGCACATTGTGCATATGTACCCTAGAACTTAAAATATTATATATATATATGTGTATATATATATACACACACACCTATATGGAGAGAGAGAGAGAAAGAGGGAGATGACCAATGGGATATACATGGAGTATAGTAACATACACCTAGTATAGAAAGTTGGTAGGGTTGGTAGGTATAAACAGAAATATATTAGTAATTACATGAATATGTAAATAGACTATTCCATTACAAGGGAAAAAATTATAAACTGCATAAGTATATTTTAAAATAAGGTATATATTGCTTATAAGAGAGGCACACTAAAAGTAAAAACCCAGAAGGTTGAAAGTTAAGGGATGGAAAAATGTGTACTACATGAATGCTTGTCAAAAGCCCCTTGGTGCAGCTAAAGGAGACCTCAAGGCAAAAAAAAAGGCAAAGCATTACTATATATGAAGGAGGTCTTTTAAAATTAGACAATGCCAATACACCAAGATACGAAGATTTAGTGTCTCAATTTGTGTGTGTACCTAATGAAATAGTATCAAAATACAAAAGCAAAAATGGACAGAACTAAAATTAGTAATGTTTTAAAATGCCAAGTGAGACTTTAACATGCTTCTCTCCGTGATTGATAGAAAACAAACACACACAAATCAGTACAGCTTTGGATTAACTTAAACATCAAAAACAAAACTCAATCCAATTCACATATATAAAACAGTGAACCCAACAATGACAAAGTTAACTTTTTTCAAGTATGAAAAGAACGTTTACCTAAAGCAAATACATGCTTGTTATAAAGCAAATATCAACAAATTTTAAAGTGCAGATATAATTCAAAGTATGTCTTAATTGAATTAAACTAGAAATCAGTAACCAAAAGAAAACTAGAAAATCCCCTAAATATTCAGAACTTTAAAAAGAAACTTCTAAATGATTCAGAGCACAGAGAATATATCAAAATGAATACTATAAAATTTTTGAGCTGAATGACAGTAAAAATCCAAGATATAAAAATGGTTTGGATGAAGTTAAAGTTGTGCTCAGAGAGAAATTTCTATTTTTAAATTCATGTATTAGAAAAAATATAAATGCTGAAAATTAGTAATCTATGTATTCATCTAAACAAGCCAGAAAAAGAGTAACAAAAGAAATCCAAGAACATAGAAGAAAGGAAATAATAAAGATAATAGCATAATTAATAAAATAGAAAGCAAAATTTGATGAATCAACAAATGCAAATGTTGGTTTTTTGAAAACACTAATAAAATGTATAGACCCTTAGCAAGGCATGTCAAGACAGATACATATTAATAGAAGTAATAACAAAAGATACATCAATAAAAACATCAAAAAGAGGATAGGAAGATGTCATAACTACTTTATGTTAGTAGATTTGACAATGTAGTTGTAATGAACCATCAAGAAACCACTCCCTACCAAAACTGACAGAAGAAGAAATAATTACCATTATTTGTTAAACAAATCGAAGCTGTCAATTTGTCTTTTCACGGAAAAACTCAAGTCCCAGATGGCTTCTCTGGTTAACTCTTAAAATTATAAAGGAAGAAATAGCATCAATCCAGAGAACCAGAAAAGACGGAACACTTCCCATTCATGGGATGAGGTCAGCACAGACTTGATATCAAACCAGAAAGGAAAATAACCAACCAGTCTTTCTCATGAAAATAGATGAGTAAAATATTGATAAATAAAAATATAACATATAATATGCATAATTTATCACAACCTTGTGGAATTTCTTATGGGAATAGAATCATGCTTTAACATTCAAAAGAAGCAATATAATTCATTAAATTTGCAGGGGAAAAAACAAAAGTAATAATTATGTAATTATTTCAACAGATATTGCTAAAAATTAAACACAGATTGAAGATTCTTTAAAAATACTTTCGGCAAAATAGAAAGAAAGGTTTTTATACCTTTAACTTGATTTTTAAAAAAATATTTATAACAACACATAGAGGTGAATTATCAAAGGTTTTACTTATGAGAATGGGAAGCAAATAAAGATATCCACTACCTCTTCCATTCAACATTGTACTGAAGTCCTAGCCAGTGAAAGAAGATAAGAGAAGTAAATAAAAGTCAGAATTGGAAATAAAAAATATTTTCTTATTATTTACAGATGTGCTATTTCATGCCTCTGAGGGCCTTAGTAAATGTTGTTACTCTTACTAGGATGCCTTGCTAATAAAACATTAACTTGCTTCATCTTTCCATATTGAGTTGTCCATTTCTTTATTTCCGCATTGTTTTCTATTATACATGTTTCCCTAATGTTTTCTATTATAGTACCAATCACAATGAATGATAATTGTTAAAGTTTACTCACACCACTATGGCTTATTCAACTTATAGCCCATACCAACCTGATGTGTGGTTTGTCTTTAAAAAAATATGTATTACAACAAACTGAACTATAGGTATTTATGATCTAGAGGAAAGAATAGAAAGCAGTGATAAAATAAGCACATGAATAAAATAACACAAATGTAGCAAATATAGCATTATATTAGTGTTATGTTAACTCAAAAATGACAGCAAATTAAAAATATATAGTTTTACTTTGTTAGAGGCATATTTAGTAGTACATACCTAAACACAATGGTGGTGTAGTCCACATTCCATCTAAACAATAGGCCTCCCTAGATCCTTCTAGGAAATGGTGATCAAAACATCTGTATTCTACTGAAGAGCCATTTTCATAGGTGTCTACTGTTGAACTAATAATGACTCCATGTTTAATAAGAGGAGGAGATGTGCACATTCCTTTAGATTCTGCAAAAATAAGTTTTAAAGTATACAATGAATTGCTATAATGAACATCCAGTACTTTATAAGTGCTACAGAGACAGAGTCTCCCTCTGTCACCCAGGCTGGAGTATGGTGGCATGATCATGACTCACTGCAACCTCTGCCTCCCAGGCTCAAGTGATCCTCCTGTCTTAGCCTCCCAACTAGTTGGGACTACAGGTGCATTTTTCTTTTGTAGAGACAGGGTCTCACTATGTTGCTCAGGTTGGTCTTGAATTCCTGGGCTCAAGAAATCTGCCCACCTTGGCCTCCCAAAGTGCTGGGATTACAGGCGTGAGCCACTGCACCTAGCCATAAAGCCATTTTTTAGGCAGTTCTCAAATATTTTTAAAATATTGAAGATGTTTTTGCAATAATATTATACCATACAATGTATTTTTATAATTAGAATCCCACGTTATAGTGTTTACATGCATATTTAAAACTATGAGAGTATTAACAATCATGATTTTATTTCTCCCTAAGTGTATATGGGATTTTTCTAGAAGCCATGATTTCTGTATATATTATTTTCCTTTTCTTCCTTATTAAAAGTAATAGTCCCTATAGCCAGTGAGTACTGAGACAATGGGTCCCCAGAAAGCCCTAAGTAGAGCAATGCTTTACAGTGTTTGTTGTTGAGTGCTCACAAGAAGGTGATCAATTCTCTGATAGTCTGGCAACATTTATAAAACCTCTTGATTTTTTCCCTTCATAAAATTGACTTATTGGAATTAAAAGATGTCAGCATGGCCATCCTATATAGGTATATATGCTGATTGAAGTTTGGAAGTTGGATCACTCCTCTCAACTTTATAGATTAGAATATGATGGTGGTGAATTGGGGTCATAGGTATAAATTTTCTCTAAAGATCAGCGATGTTGAGCTTTTTCCTCATATGTTTGTTGGCCACATAAATGTCTTCTTTTGAGAAGTGACTGTTTATATCCTTTGCCTACTTTTTGATGGTGTTGTTCGTTTTTTTCTTGTAAATTTGTGTTAAGTTCCATGTAGATTCTGGATATTAGACCTTTGTCACATGGGCAGATTGCAAAAATTTTCTCCCATTCTGTAAGTTTCCTGTTCACTCTGATGATAGTTTCTTTTGCTGTGCAGAAGCTCTTTAGGTTAATTAGATCTCATTTGTCAGTTTTGGCTCTCATCGCAATTGCTTTTGGCATTTTCGTCATTAAGTATTTGCCCATGCCTATGTCCTGAATGGTATTGCCTAGGTTTTCTTCTAGAGTTTTTATGGTTTGGGGTTTTTACATTTAAATCTTTAATCCATCTTGAGTTAATTTTTGTATAAGGTGTAATCACAATGAGACACCATTTCACACCAGTCAGAATGGCAATTACTAAAAAGCCAAGAAACAATAGATGCTGGTAAGGCTGGGGAGAAATAGGAATGCTTTTACACTGCTGATGGGAATGTAAATTAGTTCAACCATTGTGGAAGACAGTGTGGTGATTCCTCAAGGACCTAGAACCAGAAATGAAATTCGACGCAGCAATTCCATTACTGGAATTGCAAACCACCATGGCACACGTATACCCATGTAACAAACCTGCACATTCTGCACTTGTGTCTCAGAACTCAAAGTAAAATAAAATAAAATAAAACAAAATTAAAAAGAATAATAATAAGAAAAATAGCAACAAACTATAAATAAATTTTCAACCGAGGTAGCAGATATTGGTCAAGTAAAGATACTTGCAGAGAACATTATTATTTTACCTTTTCTAGTACATAAAGGATATTTCACTTCTCCTCTGTTGCACTGCACAGATAATTCAGACAATGGGGTTAATGGAGATAAGTCATATCCCTGTTTACATACAAAATCTATTAAATCTCCATGTAAGACTTTCCCTTCATATTTCCACTTCATTTCTATGTTATTTCTGTTCATGTAATCCACATTAACAGTACATGGTTCTGTAAAACAAAATGCTCTTTTAAATTCTTTACTTGTCTGACAAATATAAAAGTGATATTTTTTAAAACAAAAATTATGACAAGTTTCAAAAGCAATATTTTATAATTGAAATCATAATTAAGGCTTCTCTCACACACATATATATATAAGAAAATATATACTTTATTACTATCAAATGAATCTATACATTATTGTCATAAACTAAAACCACTTAATTTAAAACATCAAAAATACTATTTAAGGGCATCAATCAGTTAGATTAATAATAATTTTCTTTCTATAAAATAAAAACCTTTAACTACCATGTAGAAAATAATAGAAAACCTGCTAATGAATAAAACCAAGACTCCTGCTCCCATGGAGCTTACCTTCTAACTGGGAGAAACACCTACAATACATAATAAATATAATAAAGACATGAATTGTATAATTTGTGGCTGATATGGTTTGGCTGTGTGCCTACCCAAATCTCATCTTGAATTGTAGCTCCCATAATTCCCATATGTCATGGGAGGAACCTGGTTGGAGGTAATTGAATCCTGGGGTGGGTCTTTCCCATGCTGTTCTCATTACAGTGAATAAGTCTCATGAGATCTGATGGTTTTATAAAGGGGAGTTTCCCTGCACATGCTCTCTTGCTTGCCACCTTGTAAGACGTTCCATGCTTCTCCTTTGTCTTCTACCATGATTGTGAGGCCTCCCCAGCCATGTGGAACTGTGAGTGCATTAAATCTCTTTCCTTTATAAATTACCCAGTCTCAGGTATGTCTTTATTAGCAGCATGAGAACAGACTAACACAGTGGCCATCTTTAAACTACAGCATAAGATAAATTAGATGAAAAAAAGAGTACTGGAGCAGGAGGGGGTAACAAAAGAGCTAGGTGAAGAGAAGTTGCACTTTTCAGTAAGGTGATTAGGGTAGGCCTAAATAAGAAGTAAAAAAGCTTGAAGGGGACTTTGCACAAAAGCTTGAAGGAGACTGAGTGAACCATGTCATTTTCTTATGAAAGAGTGTCCCAAGCAAAGGGAACAACCAGTGCAAAGGCCCTGAAGTGAGAGCATTCTTGGCTTGTTTGTGGAAGAGTAAGGAGACCAGAAAGACTGGAGTGATTAGAGCAGGGAAGAGAGTATGGAGAGGTTAGAGAGACTCTTAATGTCTGGAATAATAATTCCTACAGAGAAAATTCTATGCTTTATCATACTGTTGTGAATTTGTACTGATAGCCTTTCCAGTTTCAATAGTTACCAAGATATACAAAGCCCCTTTCTCTTGCCCTGATAACAATGATTAATCTTCATTTGGTATTTGCTTTGATTCATTAGGACCAAACCTAACTCTCTTGAGGCAGTTGTTCCAGATATAGAATGATGTATTTCCTTAAATGTTGTTATTTCCTTATGAGCTTGTTTCATTACCAGCTTTGCCATAAATATTTTAATCTAGTCTTTGTCCTTAGAGATTACTATATCTCCACTCAATGCAATATCAACCAAAGCATCAAAAACTTAATATCAAAAACATTTATAAAAATATGAGACCAATAGCAAAATTCTATGTGAATATGTATCTGTATCTGAATTTGAATGGGAATCGACTCCTAAGAATTACTTGAAAGGTGGAAACTACTAACAAAAGGTTGAAAGAGCTCAAGACTTAAAACATACACTTATATATACTTAAAAACACTATAAATAAAAATAAATTAAAAATAATTGCAATAAACATGATTCTCAATTGGATAAAATAATTTATATATAGATTTATAAGTATGAAAAAATGGCTAAACTATGAATAATTAATTCATGTAAAAAAACCTGTGGCTACTAGAAAGTTAAAAAATTCCAAATTAATTAATTCTTAAATAAATCAAATTAAAATAATTGTGCTTGCCTGCTTAACAAAAAATGTCAAGATTAAAATATTCAAAGTTAACAAAGATTAGGATGATTACTACTTTAATTCACTTATGGTAGGGTTAACAAAGCAGAACAAACTTTCTGATAGACAATTTGCCAATTAATAGAAAAAGAATTAAAATTCCTGATCTCATGATAATTATTTTTAACAAAAATAAATATGTTTAACATGTACAAAGATTTACTTGAAAGTGTACTGTTTGGAATATAAAAATGTTGAACACTAAACATCCATCAATAAACTGGTTAAATTACATATGTATATCTGCATTATGGAATACTATGCAGCCATTAAAGTATATATTGTAGAAGTATGACAAACCATGTTTACAATATATTTTGAGTGAAAAAATCTAAGATATATACCTCTGCATCATATCATAGCATTTTGTGGAGTGTGTGCTTGTGTGTGTAAAACATTTAGAAGACCATTTATTATCTAAGTCATTAGCAAACACTTTTATATAATCAACAAGATGTAACAAACGTGTCCATTCAGATGAGGATGCGGTGGTAAAATTTAGCAATATACTCTATATAATATACTCTATAATATATTAGCAATATACTCTACCAAGGAAAGAATAGGACTAATTATTCTTCTTGAAATGACATTCTGAGGGCAATACAAGCAGAGATATTGAGGGCTGTATACCAGGGAGGGAATTTCAGCTAGGAGAAAGACAACCCAAAAGCTAATTGGTCACAAAAATGTTAATATACTTAATGCCACTGAATTGTACACTTAAAAATAGCTACGGTGGTAAATTTTATGTTATGTATATTTTACCACAATAGAAAAAATACACTAATATTTTAGGGACTTTCTACTTAAAGAAATGAGAGAGAAAACACTTGTGAAAAAAGATTTGTACAAAATCATCATTTTCATGATATAAAACACTGTAAGAAAATCACATAAAAGTACAAACGTAGACATTCCATGTGTTCTCTTTCTTACCCAAGCAAACAGGTGGGGATGACCATTTTCCTTGTTCGCAACGAGATATTTTTGATCCCCTCAGTAAGTAATATTCATTGCATCTATATTCCACTGAGGATCCTGTTGCATAGCTTGCCAATATCCCGTCTGCAACAGCCCCATTCATTACAACAGGAGGATGCTTACAATTCTCATTATTTTCTAAGAAAAGAGGTTGTTTTAAAATTAATATGAGCTCATAACAATATACTATAGTAACTCATACTATAGTGTCTCGATATTTGTATTATATAATTTAGGACAATTGTTTTATAAATTCATTACAAATATGAAAAATTTTTTCAGCTCAAATATTTTTAAAATTTGCTAAGCAAGAGTTGACAGCAAATATGTTACCTAAAAACAACTATACGTATTTTTCTCTTTTCTCAATTGTGAAGGAATTATGATATACACATTTCTTAAACCTATAGAATGAGAAACTGTTCTTCAACCTAAAGATTATGGTCAATTCTAAAATTGCTCTTTGGCATTACCCCACTTTTATTTTCTTCTTTTTCATTCCTCTTCATCTCAGGTCTCAATAGACCCATGAAGGAAATATCAATTTTTTTCCTCTTTTTGGTATCTTTCTCTCACTTTATCTATTTCTTTAGCATCCTTCATTGCTTTTGTCTTATTTAATAAATATCCTAGATAAACATGTGTGTGGAGATGTTGCTCTGATCTGATTAAGAAATGAGATAGATGACAGGAAGAGTAGTCTCCAGGAATGATAGTGTAGCCTGGTGGTGCCTTTCAGTAAAATGAAAGACCAGGGACATGTCTCAGAAGGGCATAAGGTTCAGAATGGCCAGATGCAAAATATCAGCAGGACTTACCCAAGGTCAAGAACAGAATGCACTACCCTAACTTTGCAGGACATATGGGGAGAAGAAGTAGATAATGCTCATGGCCCGTCACTCAATCCACCATGCCCTTATTTACTTATCTAATGAAGCACATCGTCATTTATGTGTTGTCATTTAGAACTTACAGGTAATGGCATGACACAGATCAGATAACCGTGCTTAGCACTAGCGTTCAAAAAAAACTTTTGTTTAAGAATTCTTTACATTGACTTAAATTCTACAGATAGCTACACATACAGGCACACACACATGCACACATGCAAAGCAGAAGAGTAGGTGCTGTAGCAATGTGTTTCTAATTTGCCTAAGCAGTGGTCTTTTCCTAGGAATATTCAGATTAAAGTAACAGAATGGAAAATTTTACACCATAAGTTTAGCTACTGATGGTAAATGTAGCATACATACCAACACACTCAGGAGGAAGTGTCCATTTTCCACGATTACAAGTTATCTCATTCGATCCATGGAGAAGGTAGCCGCTTTTACATGCATATGTCACTTTATCCCCATTGTAATAAATCTTAGAGTGTAAATTTGCTGCACCATTTTCAATGAAGGGTGGTTCCTCACAGGCTACCTTCTCCTGTCCTTCTGAAAAGGTACAGTTGAAAGAGAACTGACCATTTAGCTACACATGCAGATTTCATTTTAGCAAAGCTTCTTCAAGGTGTTACTAACCAATGCATTTTGGAGGTTCTGTCCATTTTCCATCTTCACAACGTATTTCTGCTGACCCATGGATCTCAAAATTAAGTTCACATTCTATATGAACTATTTCTCCATGACGATAAGTTGTTGAATGTGTTTGAATTTTGGAGTTTATGGGCAGAGGTGGAGGAGGACATCTGTTTCTTCTTCCTTATGGAAAAAATTAATCAGCACCTTTAGTCATATAATTACAAAAAATAATAAAGATTAAATTAAAATATTCATCATGTCAAGCATCATAGAGAGAATGGCAGACTGATTCTAGGAGCATTCCTTTGATCCTCACCTCCTGATGTTAACTTCCTTGTGTGATACCCCTTTCCATGAGTAGGACCTGTGACTTGCTTCTAGCCCACAAAATACAGCAAAGGTGATGGATTAGTACGTGATTATGCACACATAATTATGTAACATCAGTTTTTAACGCCATTCTTGCCAAGAGACTCTCTATCCTTGCTGGTTTTGAAGAAACAAGAGGCTACATCATGAGCTTCCAAAGCAGAACGGCTGCAAGGCAAGGGGCAGAGGGCTGCCTTCAGTTAACAGCCACAAGAAACAGAGGCTCTCAGTTCAGCAGTCTGCAAAGCACTGAATGCTGCCAATAACTACAGTGAGTTTGGAAGAAGTCTTGCCCAGTCAAGCCTCAGATGAGACTGCAGTCCAGCTAACATCTTGATTGCAGCTTTGATAGCCATCGATGCAAGGAGTCGGTTAAGCCGCACCCAGACCCCCAACCTACACCCAATGGGAAATAATTTCTTTGTGTTGTTTTAACCTGCTGAGTTTGTGGTGACATTGTTACGCACCAATAGAATACTAACACAGCAGGCATTTTACATTCATTACCTCTTTTAGTCCTAAAATAACTTTATTAAGTAGGAACTATTATTTCTCCCATGTTATAGACAAACTAAAACTTATGAAGTAAATAAATTAATAGCATGTAGCAGATCTGTTCTTGAACCCACGTCTGTCTAAATTAAAGTCTCCTGCTCTAAAATACTGACCACACTACTTTCCTATTGCTGCTTTGATGAATTACAATTTAGTGGCTTAAAACAGCACAGATTTATCCTCCTACAGTCCTAGAGGCCAGAAGTCCAGAGTCAGTTTCACTGGACTAAAATCGAGATATCAGGAGAGCCACATTCCTGCTGGAGACTTTGGAGGAGAATCAGCTACTTTGCCTTTTCTAGCTTCTTGAAATCACCTGTATTCCTTGGCTCACAACCCCTTCCTCAAAACATTTCAACCTGTGGCTTCCATTGTCACATCTCCTGCTTCCTCTTCTGCAGTCAATCTCCCTCTGCCTCCCTTTTATAAAAGCATTTGTGATTATATTTAGAGTCTGGATAGATAGTTCCAGATAATATTCCTACCTTAAGATTGTTAACCTCAAAGTGTCTTGTACCGTGTAAGGTAACGTTTAATGGTTCTCAGTATTAGAATGTGGCTATATTTTGGGAGGAGTAAGAGAGATATAATTCAGCCCACAACTGAATTATATTGTTGTGGGCTGAATTATATTAGCCATTGTATGCCTAATGACTGTTTACCGGAAAAAACAGGCATGTTGTCATGCTGGCTAATTTGGAAGAGGAGAAGGGTATAAAAGGCCTTAAGTAGGTCTGCCATTTATTTTTGAAGTAGCACTTTGAGAGGCTGAGGCAGGCTGATCACCTGAGGTCAGGAGTTCAAGACCAGCCTGACCAACGTGGCAAAACCCTGTCTCTACTAAAAACACAAAAAAATTAGCTGGGCATGGTGGCCGACACCTGTAGTCCCAGCTACTCAGGAGGCTGAGGCAGGAGAATCACTTGAACCTGGGAGGTGGAGGTTGCAGTGAGCTGAGATCGTGCCACTGCACTCTAGCTTAGGCGACACAGCAGGACTCCATCTCAAAAAAATAAAAAATAAATAAGGAATAATAGACTTTAAAAAAATTTGCTTAAAAAATCTACTTCTCTACTACTATACCAAGGATGTCGAGCACAAATGAAAAATCATAAAATCTTTAAAGTTACTGTACAGTGCATTTAGGGAATTATGATAGTTCTGGCAATCCCACTGCATACCCATGGTCAGAGCCCTCATTTGTTTCCCCTAGCACCTGTTTCAAATCTTCACCACTTTCCTCCAAGTTCTACCTTCATGTCTTTCACCTGCCTGTCAATAGACCTTATATCCCATATTACAGAAAATAAAAAATGACTATCAAACCCTTTGCCTCACCCTATCCTCCCAATTCTCAAACTGCTACTTATCTCTTAAGACCCAACTTAAATATTGTCCATCACTTCTGTGAATGCTATTCCACAGCATACCAATCAGAATCTCTAATGTTTATTCCTGCACTTTGTACCTGAGTTGATTGTACCATTTGTCACATTATAGCAATTATTTTTTTCATATCTGCAATTACTGTTTTCATATCTTCTGCTAGTATAGGACCCTCCTCATATTAAATTGTAGGTTTGTTTAAATAACTATGGATGTCTTCTGACAGGTAATTGCATTACCTGTTTGGACACTTCCAGTAATAGAAATGTGACCATAGATATTACATTTTTGGGCAGCTTTTACAAGATGACCTCTTTTCCCATTTTCACTTCTGGGCATTATTCTTCTGCTTTTCCTGCTTTCTCTGCTTTCTACCTCACTATTTTGGAGATTAATTTTTACATCTGGAAATATGTGGCAAATTAAGAGAAAATATCCTTGCAAAGCTGCCAGATTGGGGTAATTAGTCCTAATAATTCCCAATAAGAAAAGTTATTCGTTATAATAAGGGATTTAAAATGTATAATAGATATTTTAAAATAATAAATTTAAAAGATATAGTCATTTACAAACTAAGACAAAACAAGATTTATTCAGGTGGGATATATTAAAGATTGCTGAAAATAGCACTGATTTAAAAGATAATATTTATTTTAAAAATAGGACTCAGGAAAAAAAATAGATATGACCACAGGAATTTTGTCAGAGCTAATAGAGATTAAAGCTGATAAAGACATGGCATTTTGCGAGTATTAAATTTAAAAATTTACCTTCGCATACAGGAGATTCTGGGTACCAACCAAAGTTATAGCATTGAATTAAATCAGATCCACTTAGATAATAATTTTCATGACAGAAAAACTGAACGACATCTCCTTCTTCATAGGTTTGCTTTACAGGATGAAAATAACCATTTTCAATTAATCTTAAAGAAGAGCACTTTAATTCTGCAAATAAAAGAATGAATAAAATTACAAACAAATGTTTATTTTTTCTGCTACAACAAAATGCACTATTTACATGACATAACTAGAATAGAAATTAAATTTGCCAAAAAGCTTATGAATTCATTTTATATATTTGTTAAATATCATTAGGCTTATTCTAATTTAATTCTGTGAGCTAAAATGAATTTATTCTACTTGAGAGCTTTAATTATCAAAGACTGCTATCAACATAATTAAAAATAAAGGCAAAAATGCATGAAAAGGTGAAACATAATGAGCATGACAACTTATATACACTTCTCTATGAGAAAAAGCTTTCAGAGTGAGAGTAGATTTTATTCCAAATGAGAACCTACTGGTACATTTTGGTGTGAGAGACCATCCGTATGTGAGACATTCTACCTCCTCTGTCTTCTTTCCTCCAGCTGTGTAGTAGCCAGTAGCACATTCGTATTGTACTTTGTCCTTCACTTTGAATGTTTTCTGTGTTGTGGAATAATTTCCATTATATAATTCAGGAGCCAAACATGTTTCTAAAATTATAAAAATTATTTATTTTATAAACTTTTTTAATAACCTAGATTATAAAAAATCTCAAAATATGGTTTTACAAATCTTAAGAATACATGGTAAAATCAACTCTTAGCAAAATTGAAAAATAGCCCCAATTTTTCTTTGCCTCTATTCTCTTCTTCATACACCTTGTGACCTAACTCTACCAGTTTTCTGTTTTTAAAATTCTAGTCTACAAGTGCTTGACCAAAGGCCAAAATTCAACTAAAGGCTTGTGCAGTAGCAATTGTGAAAGTATGTGCTGTCTATGCATTTTTACAATTTAAACAACTTACTAACAAAGTATACATATATTTAAATTATTGAACTATTTTTAAGTATATCTGACATTGGTTCACAATATAAAATAATGTACATGATCTTAAATTCTTCTGTAATAAAGGAAATAGTGACATATAAAGAAAAAGCTTCTTTCATTTTATTCCATTCCAATTCCTTTTATTGATGCAAAGTAGGAACTATTGGCGTAGGTGGGTTGTAGGGATTGAGAACATTTGGATTAAGGAATCACCTAGTACTTGAGAAAAGCAATGTAATATCAACTTCCTGCATTGTAGACATAATGAAAAATAAATTCTATTAAATAATAGATATCAATATAAGCTTCAATATATTCAATATAAGCTTGATAAGCACTTATCTTCAGTTTTAGGAAATGATTCTTATACCATGTTCTTTCCTACAGGTTGGTTGAGAAGACCATCCATCAGAGAGACATTGAACCACTTCTTCATCCTTCCCTCCAGTGGTTTTGTACCCTGAAGCGCAACCATAACGCATGTTCTCTTGAATTTTATACAATAACTTTACATCAGAGATGTAACCATTACTCAGGTCAGGCTTAGTGCATTTTTCTATGGGAAAAAAAATTATTTAACTTAATGATGAAACTAAGCTTGTCTTTTACTAAATTGTAAAATTAAGCCAAAAGTATAATGTTATTATTGGCGATTTCATTTTGGAAATATCTGCATAATTTTTTTGAAAATGGATTCAATTTAACACTGACTCTCTTTGTATTTACTAATTTTAGTTCTTATAGTAATTTCTACCCCTACCACATCTACTTCTAGATAGGTTTACTAGATATATCAACCACAATAGCCATATTCAACATCCTCTTTTAAACGAAACTGGCTCAACCAAAGCCCCTTACTCTGGGTCACCTGCCCTAGTGGAAGATCATTGATAGTTTGATGATAGTGTAGCCTGATATAAAATAATGAAATGAGTCAATTAGATTACCTTCTCACAACTTTGAACTCAAACTTTCAATTCAAAATTGAAAAACACATTTTTCAATGGGTATCATGAGAGAAGTTGGCACATGAAGAGAGATGAGTCTTACAAATGATAAAGCATTAGAGTAGCAATCTTGCCCTTCCAGAGGCCAGAGTTTCAAGCATTTTTCTGGCATCTTATGCTTAATTATCAAAATAAGTTTCTTGTTACTTAAAGTAAATTACCTCTCTTTGCCTTGCAATATGATAATTTCAGTTATTACCCTATTCCCTTCAACAGAGTATTATTAAAAACAGATACAGAAAATAACATTTTAATGTAAAAGCATTATTTACTGGATTTCAAATTATGCCTTCATTTTGTAGAAAGACAGATTGCTAGTGATTTTGTTCTTATCTACTAAAAGGTTTAACCGCTTTCCATTTTTATTGGACCCCTATTTTTATATACAAATTTCTTTGAGTATTGAAACATTGAGTGACATATCCAGCTGACTTACTGAAGCACCTTGGCTCTGGAGACCAGCCTTCTGTTGTACACGTGGTTTGCTCTTCTTGTCTTCCACTTTCAGTGGTATAACCAGCCAAGCAGAAAAATGACAATTTTTTGTCTATGCTCATTGGAAAGTAAAAGCTTTTAAAAGTATAGTAATATTGGGCAATTCTTCCATTTTCCACATGAGGAAAACCACAGGGTTTCTCTGAAATGAGTAAATGTCAAGCTGAAAATGGAAAAACAAATCTAAAAACATAAATTTGTAATCAGGTGACAATACAAACTAAAAGTTTTTAGAGACACTTCAACTAGTACTTATTTTTCTTACTTAAATTTTTAAGGTACTTTTGTGACAACTCAAGCAGTCCTTTTATCATAATTGATCTGCAAATGACTTTAAACATCCAACAGTCATGATAAAATTTAGCAGACCACTTTTTCAGGGAAGCTTTGCATAACTTCGTAGAACAGTACTTTTTTTTTTCTTCCTAGACACAGAGTCTTCCTCAGTTATCCAAGCTTCAGTGCAGTGCTGAAATATAGCTCACTGCCACCAGGAGCTCCTGGGCTTAAGCAAGCCTCCTCTCCTGTAGCTAGGACTGCAGGCACATGCCACCACATCTGGCTAATTTTTGTTTTATTTTTTGTAGAGATGAGGGGTCTCACTCTGTTGCTCACGCTGGTCTCAAACTCCTGGACTCAAAGGATCCTTCTGCTTTGGCCTCCCAAAGCACTAGGATTACAAGACTTGAACCACTCCACCCTGCCTGCACTTCCTAATAGATATGTATTGTAAGTCACTTATGTAATTTAAAAATTTCTAATAGTCACATTCATAAAAATACTAAGGAACAATTGAAGTTAGTTTTAATAATAGGTTTTTATTTAACCCAATATATTGAAAATATTTTACATTCTTTTTTTTTCTAACTCTTTAAAATCCACTACATATTTATACTTACAGAATATCTGATCTTGAACTAGTGACATTTTAAGTACTGTCTCCAATAGCTATATGTGGCTGATGGCCACTGTATTGGACAGTACAGTTCAGGAATAGGTAAAGTTTCTCCTTAACATATGCTAACTCATAAAAAATTTTGAAATAAATAGCATTAAAAGAAAAAACAGACAACCAAGTAAAACAAAGCAATACTTGGCAAGAACTTGGCAAAATAGGATATTTAAATGGTTAGAGACCTGGTACTTAGCATTACTAGTCATCAGGGAAATGAAAATTTAAACCACCATGAGATACTACTGCATATCCAATAGAACTGCTGAAATGAAAAAGACAAGCTATCTCAATGATTGTGAAGAAGTGAAGAAACTGGAACTCGCATATTTCTACAACTGAAAGTATAAATCAGTCCAAACTCTATGAGAGAACACCTTTGCAATATATATTGGGGTAAAACATGTACAAACCATATTACCCAATAAAAAAAGCACATATTTGTATACCAAAAGACATGGAAAAAAATGCTTATAGTGGCAGTATTCATATAGTCCCAAACTGGGAACAATCTAAATGCCCATAAATAATAGAAAAGATAAACACATTTTAGACTATGCATACAATGGAATATTATCCAACAACAGAAATGAACAAATGGTGAATCTCATAAACATAATATTGAGTGAAAGAAGCCAATCACATATGAATTAATGTATACATTTGCATAACTTTTTAAAAGAAAACAAACTAATCCATGATAATAGAAGTCAGAATGGTTACCTTTGGGGTTTAGTGCCTTAGAAGGATCATATTTCTGGGGTACTATCACTGTTCTATATCTTGATCTGGATGGTGTAAAATTTTGTAAAAACTATATAAGTGTATCCTGTGATTTTTGCATTTTTCTGGATATGTTATACTCCAAATAAAACATATATTTTAAAAATATATCTTTATGTTGAAGATCTTAAAGTCATAAAAACACTTAAAAGAAAGAAATGCTCGAACAATCCTAGGAGCTGTGGTGGGAAGAAACATGGGCAGTCATGGATGGAAGAAGGCCTAGATCCAGTGTGATTACTACGGCTTCAATGCCTTGGTTGATCACTGTATACCTTAATGCTACTATGAGACATAAAATACTAGTAGTGCTAGCCTAGGTTTGAAGGAAATGGATGTGGAATGATGAGCAACAAAACTTCCACTATCTGATGGAGCAGACAGAAAAACATGGGCTGGATAGTCCCCATTCCTTGAGAATTATTCTCACCATTTTTTCACACCCAAGCACCAAAGGAATTTACAATAAAAAGAGTCTTCCAAAATAGCAGTGCAATGGTGAATACACAAGAAATTTCCCTGAGGGGCACAGTTGCTTGTCAGGGAGGGGCAGCAAAGTATTCTCTGCACAACAATCCTAGGTTGTGGCTTTAAAGACTCTCTGTCCTGGGACATCTCCCTCCACCACCAGGATAGGCACATTATTTGTTAAGGTAGCTGGAATGCCTTGGAGAATATGAATTCCTGACAAAAAATTAATGAGAAATGTGAGGAATATACTAATCACATATAAACCAGGAAATCACAGATGTCTGAACATATTAAAAAAAGTACATGAAGCGATGGACACACTTACTACTGATCAGAGAATGGTAAATAAATAAAAATGGGATATCACTTTATGAATAACCATATAGCAACCAGTACAAAAATGGACAATATGAGGTGTTGGTGAGAATGATGAGGAGCAACAATTTACATCCTCTCTCAGAGATGATATACTTCAAAACTGCCATTCTGCAAAAGTAATCTCTCATTACAGAAATCAAGTACAAGAATAGACTCAATAATGCTATCTGTGAGTGAATACAGACTGATGACATTCTTACAGAAAGATAAGTTGGTTATATTACAATATTCATTCCAGAGCTATTTGTGGTTGAGAGAGCTAGAGTAACATGTTAAAACATTGTAGTAGGTCCCAGGGGAAATGGACTTCAAGATTAGGAATAAGGGGATAAAATGTGTAAGTAAAGCAAGAGTGAGACCTTTCATAGGCCAATAATACTTGCATACCATGAAATGAGAAACACAATTAATTCAATTCTTGTCCCTGAAGTGCACAATGGGAGTTGAGAGAAGCATGCAAAAATAAAATCATTGTCTTGGTCTTCAAGCAGCTTACTTTTTTTTTTGTTGTGTAAAATAGCATTATAACCTTATAATAATTAGAAAATTAACTAGAATATTGCAATGTCTTTATGGTATAGATAACAGACAATTATATCTGCTGGTATTTCCCTATTTAGACAGAAAAATAAAATCAAAAGAAATTCATGCAAAAATCATCCTATTATAGAATTAAAAGTATAAAATAAGATTAATTCTGTGTCTTTCACTTTTATAATTTTAATTATAGATGTTTTGGTAGAAAATTTATAGTTAACTATTCAACTAAAACACAGTTAAAACTTATGTATTTAATTTCAACAAATTCCCAAAAATGTTTATTTTAGAAAAGCTGTATTGCTGTAGCTTCCTTCTTTGTATGTTCACTCTTGCTAATGCTAAGTGTCCTCCCTGGATTCTTCATCCTATGGCCTGATAATATTGATAATGTTCCTGAACAACATACCCATGTACACTGCCTAGCTTCCACTCGCACACTAATCTTACACATTGGGCAATCTGACTATAAAGCTTTCTAATAGGGAGTCCATAGGTATTGGTTTGTTTGGAAAGTCCTGATTTACATGTGTTGTCCAAACAGTTATTAATAGAGCCCCTCTTTTACTCTCTAAGTGTCCCTGTTTGTACAAGCAATTATATGGTTCACCTACTAATCACTACTTAATGTCTCCAACAAATGAATAATTCATTGTGATAAAAATCAAAGTCTCAAAAGTAAAAAATATTTATGGCTATTTCCTTTTCAAATTTCCCACATTAAACTCTCACCTTATGAACAGAATTAAAATTGTACAAGTTTTGTCAGTATTAGGAATGGATTCTAGCATAAATTTAGAATTAAAGTTAACATGTGACTTCGAAATGGACATATTGTTAACCTGAAAACCTTTTCGAAGTATTTAGATCCTGGTCTCCTATGCCCCCTAGAGATACAAGGGTTTTTGTTTTGTTTTGCTTTTCTGACTTATGCTACTGTAAGAACACTTTACTAATTTTGCTCAAAGGAAAAGGTCTAAATATTATAAAAAGTTATATTTATAAAATATGTTATAAAATTGATAATGAAAATAGAAGAGTATATTAAAACTTGAGTTGTATAAATATTAGAATCTCCATTTGTATGTTTTAGAGAATAAAGAATATTAAGAATTAATTTTACCTTCTGCATAGAGTTCTCCTGAGATTATCAATATGATGATAAAAGTCAGGTTTTTCAACCTCATCTTCAGTGGTGTGCTTCACAAAGATTTTAACAATTCTAAGCACTAGGAACTTGTCATTAAGTACACAATACTTCTCTTGAGGAAAAAGTTAATAATTTATAACCTCTGTCTAAGTCCTTTTGTAACGAGTCTTATATTTCACTTAAAATATTTTGAAATAATGTTAAAATAACACAACTATATTAATTGACATTACTTACCATGTCAGAGTCCAGTAAGAGCATGATAACTGATTAGGGCAACAATAGCAGCAGAATAAATAATAAATTATAGCAGCAGAATAAATAATACTAGGTAAATTTTCAACCTAAGTTCCCAATTGTAAATTCATAGAGTAAAGTTCACTTGAGGCCATAGATCTTTACTAATATTGATCAGGTAAAAAGATGAACTTAGGAACATGAGATAACAGATACCTGATGTTGAAATATGTTGTTGCCTAGACTGCACTCCTTAAAGAGATACAGAACCATAGTTGTCTCAATGATAGAATAGTATTACTTATAATAGTAGTGTTTGACATTTAGAGAGTTTTTACTTTGTGGCAGGTGGTGAGATCAGCACTGTGCTATATCAACATTCATTCATGAGAAATGTTTAGAACGTCCATGATAATGGCAGCACATGTAACAGTTTTGAGGTATTTAGCAGTGAAAAAACTGGATTAAAATTATTGCCCTCATGGAGTTTACATTCTAATGAGTTTTAATTTAAAATACAAAATAGGAAAAAATGGTGGATAGGAGGCAGGACTAACTTGCAGCTCCCACTTGGATGGACAGAGCAGGATGTGGAGACTCGCATTGTGAACTTTTGCTCCAAGAACTGCTGCAAGGATATAACAGGAAAGCCAAGATAATCCACAGACCCTCTGAAGAAAGTATATTGCTCCTGCATGACCCAGAAAATAGCCCACATACTGTGAATGCCCAAACTGTGAAAAGTGTGAAAGGGGTATTGTCCACCCCTGAACACACACCCTTGGGGAACCTGAAGGTCTAGATCACAGGAGAAGGATTTGACCTTACCTGGAGCTCAGACAATTTAGAGAGCTGAGCGAAATACAGGGGTAGAGGAAGCAAAGGGTAAAGCCCCATCGTCTCTGTGGGTCCCCAGAGAAGCCATTTCTGACTTGTCTCACAGGGGCTGCCGGAGGAACTGGGAAAAGACCACAGGGAGAAGGAAACCTCCAGCTGAACTTAGTAACAATTCCAACCGAACACAAACTTTCCTGTCCAGAACTCAGGAAAGGGCGTGAATCTGGTGTGCAGACTTAACAGGTAGGGAGGCACAAAAGTCTGGCTTGCATTCTCAGCTGGGAGGCTAGTAGCCTGGGGCAAGTTCTCAATCCTGCTCCCCTACTGCCTGGAAACAAATTCGGTGCTTTTTGGGGGAACACAGTAGAAGTGAGATTTGCTTGTTGGGTTGTGTGAGAGCTGGGTGAGGTCTGTAACTGCCAGCTTTCCCCCACTTCCCTGACAACCTGCATGACACAGAAGAGGCAGCCATAATCCTCCTGGGAAGGTAACTCCATTAACCTGGGAATCACACCCCCATTCCCCACAGAGCCACAACAAGCCCCACCCAAGAAGACTCTGAGCTCAGACATGCCTAACCCTGCCCCCACCTGATGGTCCTTCCCTACCCACCCTGGTAGCTGAAGACAAAGGTCATATTCTCTTGGAAGTTCTAGTGTCCCACCCACCACCTGATCCTCCCCTATATACCACAGCTGATGCTCTCATGAAAGCACTACCTCATGGCAGTGTGTCTGGAATTGGTTCCTTCCAATGGGTTCTTGGTCTTGCTGACTTCAAGAATGAAGCTGCGGACGCTTGCGGTGAGCATTACAGTTTTTAAAGATGGTGTGTCCGGAGTTTGTTCCTCTGATGTTCAGATGTGTCCAGAGTTTCTTCCTTCTGGTGGGTTCCTGGTCTTGCTGACTTCAGGAGTGAAGCCGCAGACCTTCACAGTGAGTGTTACAGCTCTAAAAGATGGTGCGTCCGGAGTTGTTTCTTCCTCCTGGTGGGTTCGAGGTCTTGCTGACTTCAGGAGTGAAGCCACAGACCTTCGCGGTGAGTGTTACAGCTCATAAAGGTAGTGCAGACCCAAAAAGAGAGCAGCAGCAAGATTTATTGCAAAGAGCGAAAGAACAAAGTTTCCACAGCCTGGAAGGGGACCAGACCAGGTTGCTGCGGCTGGCTCGGGTGGCCAGCTTTTATTCCCTTATTTGGCTCCGCCCACATCCCGCTGATTGGCACATTTTACAGAGTGCTGGTTGGTCTGTTTTTACAAAGTGCTGATTGGTGCATTTACAAACCTTTAGCTAGACACAGAGCGCTGATTGGTGTGTTTACAATCCTTTAGCTAGACAGAAAAGTTCTCCAAGTCCCCATTCGACCCAGGAAGTCCAGCTGGCTTCACCTCTCAGCAGGAGGCCAACCAGCACCAAACTAGTGCATCAAACAACTACAACTAAGGACCCTCACAGAGTTCCTTTCACTCCCCTGCCACCTCTACTGGAACAGGTGCTGGTATCCATGACTGAGAGAACTGAAGACAGTTTACATCACAGGACTCTATGCAGACAACCCCCAGTACCAGCCCAGAGCCTGGTAGCCCTTCTGGTGGCTAGATCCAGAAAAGTAATAATAATCACTACAGTTTGGCTCTCAGGAAGTCACATCCCTAGGAAAAGGGGGAGAATACTACATCAAGGGAGCACCCCGTGGGACAAAAGAATCTGAACAGCAGCCTTGAGCCCCAGATCTCCCCTCTGACATAGCCTACCCAAAAGAGAAGGAACTAGAAAAACAATTTTGGTATTATGACAAAACAAGGTTCTTTAACACCACCCAAAAATCACACTAGCTCATCAGCAATGGATCCAAACCAAGAAGAAATTCCTGAACTGCCAGAAAAAGAATTCAGAAGTTTGATTATTAAGCTAATCAAGGAGGCACCAGAGAGAGGTGAAATCCAACTTAAGGATATCAAAAAAATGACACAAGATATGAGCGGAGAAATCTTCAGTGAAATAGATAGCATAAATAAAAAACAGTCACAACTTCAAGAAATAAAGAACACACTTAGAGAAAAGCAAAATGTACTGGAAAGTCTCAGCAATATAATAAAACAAGCAGAAGAAAGAACTTCAGAGCTTGAAGACAAGGTTTTCGAAGTAATCCAATCCAAAAAAGACAAAGAAAAAAATTTAAGTGAATAAAGCCTCCAAGAAGTTTGGGATTATGTTAAATGACTAAACCTAAGAATAATTGGTGTTCCTGAGGAAGAAGAAAAATCTGAAAATTTGGAAAACATATTTAGGGAAATAATTGAAAAAAAAAAACTTCCCTGGCCTTGCTAGAAATCTAGCCATCCATACACAAGAAGCTCAAAGAACACTTGGGAAATCATCATAAAAATATCATTACGGCCGGGCACAGTGGCTCATGCCTGTAATCCCAGCACTTTGGGAGGCCGAGGGAGGTGGATCATGAGGTCAGGAAATCAAGACCATCTTGGCCAAAATGGTGAAACCCTGTCTCTACTAAAATACAAAAAAAAAAAAAAAATTTAGCTGGGCATGGTGGCATATGCCTGTAACCCCAACTACGTGGGAGGCTGATGCACGGCAATTGCTTGAACCCAAGAGGTGGAGGTTGCAGTGAGTTGAGATCGTGCCACTGCACTCCAGCCTGGCGACAGAGCAAGACTCCATCTCAAAAAAAAAAAAAAAAGATTATTGCAGCTAAGTGTGGTGGCTTATGCCTGTAATCTCAACACTTTGGGAGGATGAGGTGGGCAGATCACGAGGTCAAGAGATCAAGACCGTCTTGGCCAACATGGTGAAACCCCATCTTTACTAAAAATACAAAAATTAGCTGGGCGTGGTGCCATGCCTGTAGTCCTAGCTACTCAGGAGGCTGAGGCAAGAGAATCACTTGAAGCCAGGAGGCAGAGGTTGCAGTGAGCTGAGATCGCGCCACTGCACTCCAGCCTGGCAGCAGAGCGAGACACCATCTCAAAATAAATAAATAAATAAATCTTCACCTAGGCACATAGTCATCAGTTTATCTGAAGTCAAGACGAAAGAATCTTAAGAGCTGTGAGGCAAAAGCACCAGGTAACATACAAAAGAAAACCTATCAGATTCACAGCAGATTTCTAAGCAGAAATCCTATAAGCTAGAAGGGATTGGGGACCTATCTTCAGCCTCCTTAAAAAAAATAATTATCAGCTAAGAATTTTGTATCCAGAAAAGCTAGGCTTCATAAATGAAGGAAAGATACAGTCTTTTTTAGACAAACAAATGCTGAGAGAATTTGCCACTACCAAGCCAGCACTACAAGAACTGCTGAAAAGAGCTCTAAATCTTGAAACAAATCCTGGAAACACAACAAAACAGAGCTTCATTAAAGCATGAACCTCACAGGACCCATAAAACAAAAATACAGTAAATAAATAAATACTTAAATAAATAAAATCAAGGTATTCAGGCAACAAATAGCATGATGAATGGAATGGTACCTCACATTTCAATACTAATGTTGAATGTAAATGGCCTAAATGTTCCACTTAAAAGATACAGAATTGCAGAATGGGTAAGAATTCACCAACCAACTATCTGCTGCCTTTAAGAGACTCACCTAACACATATGGACTCACATAAACTTAAGGTAAAGGGGTGAAAAAAGACACCCCATGCAAATGGACACCAAAAGTGAGCAGGAGTAGCTATTCTTATATCAGACAAAACAAACTTCAAAGCAACAGCAGTTAAGAAAGACAAAGAAGGACATTATATAATGATAAAAGGCCTTGTCCAACAGGAAAATATCACAATCTTAATTATACATGTACCTAACACTGGAACTCCCAAATTTATAAAACAATTACTACTAGACCTAAGAAATGAGACAGACAGCAACACAATACTAGTGGGGGACTTCAATATACCACTGCACTAGATATGTCACCAAGACAGAAAGTCAACAACAACAACAACAACAAAATGGATTTAAACTATACCCTGGGACAAATGGACTTAGCAGATATATACAGAAGATTCTACCCAACAACCACAGAATATACATTCTATTCATCAGCACATGGAACTTTCTACAAGATAGACCATATGATAGGCCACAAAATGAGCCTCAATAAATTAAAAAAAAAAATTATGTCAAACACTCTCTCAGACCACAGTGGAATAAGGTGAAAATTAACTCCAAAAGGAATCTTCAAAACCATGCAAATACATGGAAATTAAATAACCTGCTCCTGAATGATCATTGGGCCAACAATGAAAGATGGAAATTAAAAAATTATTTGAACTGAATGACAATAGTGACATAACCTATCAAAACCTCTGGGATACAGCAAAAGGTGGTGCTAAGAGGAAAGTTCATTGTCCTAAAGGCCTACATCAAAAAGTCTGAAAGAGCACCAACAGATAATTTAAGGTCACACCTCAAGGAACTAGAGAAATAAGAACAAACCAAACCTAAGCCCAGCAGAAGAAAGGAAATAACCAAGATCAGAGCAGAACTAAATGAAATTGAAACAAAAAAAATTGTTTTAAATATGAATGAAACAAGAAGCTGGTTCTTTGAAAAGATAAATAAAATTGATAGACCATTATATTAACCAAGAATAACCAAGAAAAGAAGGAATAAAATCCAAATAAGTTCAATTAGAAATGAAACGGGAGATAATACAACTGACACCACAGAAAAAGATCAGTCAAATCTACTATGAACACCATTACATGCATAAACTAGAAAACCTAGAAGAGATGGGCCGGGAGCGGTGGCTTACACCTGTAATCCCAGCACTTTGGGAGGCCGAGGCGGGAGGATCACGAGGTCAGGAGATTGAGACCATCCTGGCTAACACAGTGAAACCCCGTCTCTACTAAAAATACAAAAAAAAAAATTAGCCGGGCATGGTGGTGGGCACCTGTAACAGCTCCCAGCTACTAGGGAGGCTGAGGAAGGAGAATGGCGTGAACCTGGGAGGCAGAGCTTGCAGTGAGCCAAGATCCCGCCACTGCACTCCAGCCTGGGCAACAGAGCAAGACTCCATCTCAAAAAAAAAAAAAGAAAAAGTAAAAGAAAAAGAAAACCTAGAAGAGATGAATAAATTCCTGGAAAATACAACCCTCCTAGCTTAAATCAGGAAGAATTAGATACCCTGAACAGACCAATAACAAGCAGTGAGATTGAAGTGGTAACAAAAAAATTACCAACAACAATTCCAGGGCCAGGGATTCACAACAGAATTATACCAGACACTCAAAGAAAAATTGGTGCCACTCCTATTGACACCATTTCACAAGACAGAGAAAGAGGGAATCCTCCCTAATTCATTCTATGAAGCCAGTATCACCCTAACACCAAAACCAGGAAAGGACATGACAAAAAAAAAGAAAACTACAGGCCAATATCCCTGGTGAACACAGAAATAAAAATCCTTAACAAAATACTAGCTAACTGAATCCAATAACATATCAAAAAGATAATCCACAATGATCAAGTGGGTTTCATACTGCAGGGATTGTTTAACATACATACCCAAGTCAGTAAATGCGATACACCACATAAACAGAATTAAAAACAAAATCACATGATCATCTCAGTAAACACAGTAAAATCATTTGACAAAATCCAGCATCCCTTTATGATTAAAACGCTTAGTGAAATTGGCATACGAGGGACATACCTCAATGTAGTAAAAGCCATCTATGACGAATCCACAACAAACATAATACTGAATGGGGAAAAGTCGAAAGCATTCCCTCTGAAAACTGGAACAAGATAAGGATGCCCACTCTCACCAGTTCTCTTCAACATAGTGCTGGAATTCCTAGCTAGAAAAATCAGACAAGAGAAAGAAATAAAGGGAAACCAAATTGGTAAAGAGGAAGTCAAACTTTCACTGTTTACTGATGATATGATTGTATATCTAGAAAACCCTAAGGACTCCTCCACAAAGCTCCTGGAACTGATGAAAGAATTCAGCAAAGTTTCTGTACACAAAATTAATGTACACAAGTCAGTAGCTCTCCTATACACCAACAGCAACCAAGCTGAGGATCAAATCAAGAACTCAACTCCTTTTACAATAGCTGCAAGAAAAAAAAAATACAAAAAATACTTAGGAATATACCTAACCAAAAAGGTGAAAGGCCTCTACAAAGAGAACTACAAAACACAGCTGAAAGAAATCATAGATGACACAAATGGAAACACATCCCATGCTCATCGATGAGTGGAATCAATATTGTGAAAATGACCATACTGCCAAAAGCAGTTTACAAATTCAATGCAATTCCTATCAAAATACCATCATCATTCTTCACAGAACTAGAAAAAACAATACTAAAGTGTATATGAAACCAAAAAGAGAGCCCACACACCCAAAGCAAGACTAAGCAAAAAGAACAAATCATTTGGAGGCATCATGTTACCTGACTTCACACTATACTATAAGGCCATAGGCACCAAAACATCATGGTACTGGTATAAAAATAGGCACATAGACCAATGGAACAGAATGGAGAACCCAGAAATAAACCCAAATAGTTACAGCCAACTGATCTTCAACAAGTCAAACAAAAACATAAAGTGGGAAAGGACACCCTATTCAACAAATGGTGCTGGGATAATTGTCAAGCCATATGTAGGAGAATGAAATTGGATACTCATCTCTCACCTTACACAAAAAAAATCAACTCAAGATGGATCAAGGACTTAAATCTAAGACATGAAACTATAAAAATTCTAGAAGATAACATTGGAAAAACCCTTTTAGACATTGGCTTAGGCAAAGACTTCATGACCAAGAACCCAAAAGCAAATGCAACAAAAACAAAGATTAATAGATGGGACTTAATTAAACTAAAGAGCTTCTGCATGGCAAAAGGAACAGTCAGCAGAATAAACAGGGAGAAAGTCTTCACAATCTATGCATTTGTCAAAGGACTAATGTCTAGAATCTACAAAGAACTTAAACAAATAAGCAATAAAAAAAAAAAACAATCCCATCCAAAAGTAGTCTAAGGACATAAACAGACAATTCTCAAAAGAAGATATACAAATGGCCAACAAATGTGTGAAAAAATGTTCAACATCACTCATGATCAGGAAATCCAAATCTAAACCACAATGCAATACCACCTTACTCCTGCAATGGCCATAATAAAAAAATAATAATAATAGATGTTGGTGTGGATTCAGTGAAAAGGGAACACTTCTATACTGTTGGTGGGAATGTAAACTAGTACAACTACTGTGGAAAACAGTGTGGAGATTCCTTAAAGAACTAAAAGTAGAACTACCATTTGATCCAGCAATCCCATTACTGGTTATCTACCCAGAGGAAAATAAGTCATTATACAAAAAAGATACTTGCACAAGCAGGTGATGTTAATAACATCACAATTCACAATTGCAAAAATATGGAACCAGCCCAAATGTCCATCAACATCAATCAATGAGTGGATAAAAAATTGTGATATATATACAGGATGGAATACTACTCAGCCATAAAAAGGAATGAGTTAATGGCATTCACAGCAACATGAATGGAACTGGAGACAATTATTCTAAGTGAAGTAACTCAGAAATGGAAAGCCAAATATCATATGTTCTCACTCATAATTGGGAGCTAAGCTATGAGGATGCAAAGGCATAAGAATGATACAATGGATTTTGGGGATTCTGGAGAAAGGTGGAAGGGGGCTGAGGGATAAAACACTACAAATTTGGTTCAGCGTATACTGGTTGGGTGATGGGTGCACCAAAATCTCACAGATCACTGCTAAAGAACTTACTCATGTAACCAAATACAGCCTGTTCCCCCAATAGCCTATGGAAATAAAAATAAAATAAAATAGAGTACAAAATAATTCTGCAAGGCAGAAGCTATTATTATTTCAATTTTGTATTTTTTATTAAATGTATTAACAGAAAAGTGTACATATGTTAAGAATTCTCACAAGTCTAAGACATCCATGAATCCACAACCCAGAACAAAGAAGGAATATACCAGCACCCCAAAATCCCCCTACCAAGTTACTGCCTACATCTACCCTAGTGTTAAACATTATCTTGACTTCTAATAACATAGATCAATCAGTAGTTTTATACTATATAAATGGAATCATATGGGAAATACATGTATATTTTTATGTCTGGTTCCTTTTGTTTAACATTTTGGTTCTGAGATTTATCCATTTGAGGATACAGTAGATAGCACCTTTTCTAAATAGTATTGCATTCTGTAAATATGCCATAATTTATCCATTCAACTATTTATGTAAATTTGGGTTACTTACAATTTATAAAAATCATTGACATCTGCTTATTTTCAAATATTTTTTTCACACAAAACCTCTACCTAGATGCTATCATTAACATTTTACTATCGTTTTCTTACTAATTTTTAAATGCTTCAATTAACCTAATTTTTCAACAATAGGTCTCCAGAATGTATTCATTTTGCATAACTGAAACTTTGTTGCCTTTGACCAAAACCTCTTTATTTTCTCTTCCCTGCAATCCCCTAGCAACCACCACCATTTTACTCTCTGTTTCCACTTGTTTGACTGTTTTAAATTCCACACATAAATGAGAGGATGGAGTATTTGTCTTTCTGTGTCTAGTTATTTCACTCCACATAATGTCCTCCAGGTCCATCCTTGTTGCTGTCAGTGGCAGGATTTTCTTCCTTTTTTAGACTGTATAATATGTCATTGTATGCATATAAAGTTGAGCCTTAAAAAAGTGGGGGTTAGGGCTGCTGACTCTCTGCACAGTCAAAATTCTACATATAACTTGACTCTCCCAAGACTTAACTACTAATACCATGTTGTGAACTGAAAGCCTTACCAATAACACAAATAGATGATTAACACACTTTTTTTATTATATGTTATAGACCATATTCTTACAATAGAGTAAGCTAGAAGAAAGAAAATGTAACTAATAAAATCATAAAAGGAGGAAATATATTTACTAAGTGAAAGTGGATCATCATAAAGGCTTTATCCTTGTCATCTTCATTTTGAAAAAAGGAGGAGTTATTCTTGTTGTCTCAGGAGTGGCAGAGGCAAAAGAGGTGGAAGAAGTGGAAGTGGAAGCAGGAAAGGCAGGCAAACTTTGTGTAACTTTATGGAAATGCATTGTAATCTCTGATGTTTTCTTTTTTCATTTCTCTAAAAATGTTTCTACACAGTACCAATCTTTCTTTCCCCATTTGCTTTAGTTTCTCTGCCCATATCATAGAAGGGTCCATGTCATAAAAGAAGTCAAAAGCAGTCTTGAATAATCAGAACCCTTCTGCCAGATTGTCTAATGTAAATTTGTTTTCTGGCACTGCTTCTTCTCTATCTTCTTCCTCATAATTTGGCACTGGTTCAGAAGCCCTCTTCTCCATCAAGTCTTCTATTAATTTCTCTGCTGTGGTGTCTATTACCTCTTGAATTTCTGCAAAATTCATATCTTTAAACCTTTCACTCCTTACCTTTTTTTTTTCTTTTGCCATATCCACACTCTTCCTTGATTGGCTCCATTGTAAATCCTGTGAAGGCATGCACATCTGGACAGTTCTCTGCAGCAGGAATTTATTGTTTTATGATCGATGGCATTCACAGCTATTTATACAACAACAAATGACATCTTCAGTAGTGTAATTCTTCCAGACTTTTATGATGCTCTTTCTTTCAGGGGTTCTCTATCTGGATTCTCTTCCAGAGCATTGACAATCTTTTCCATATGGTAATGTGTGTAATGAGCCTTAAAGATCCTTATAACCCCTGATCTAGAGGCCAAATTGAGTTGTATTTGGGGGAAAGAAGATGACTTCTACCTCTTCACTGTTGAACTCATGCGGTTTTGCATGGCTGGGGCATTGTCCAATATCAAAAGTACAGTAATAGGAAGTTCCTTACTGGCAAGGTACTTCCTAGCTTCAGGGACAAAGCATCCATGGAACCAATCCAGAAATAGAGTTCTCATTGTTCAACTGAGGTTCTCTTGTCATACAACCAAGAGACTGGCAACAGGTGTTTCTCTTTTCCTTTCAAGGCCCAGGAGTTACCAACTTTATAGATAAGGGCAGTCCTGATCATAAACCCGACTGCATTTACACTAAATGGTAGAGTTAGCATACCCCTTCCTGACTTAAATCATGGTACTTGCTTGTCTTCCTTACTAATAAATGTCCTTTGTGTCAGTTTCTTTTATTTAGGACATTTTTGTCTGCATTTAAAGTGCATTCAGACAGATATCCTTTCTTCTCAATGATTTTCTTAATGGCACCTGGGAATTCATCTGCTGCTTCTAGGTTGGCAGAAGCTACTTCTGTTTCCTGACATTTTTAAAACCAAAACTTTTTCTAAAATTATCAAACTGTCTTTTGCTGCCATTAAATTTTCCAGCTTTAACTCCTTTACTTCCCTTTGGCTGTAAGTTGTCATATAATGACTTTGTTTTTTTATGAATTATGTTATAGTCTATAAGGGTGCCTTTCCTATAACAATCTTGCACCTACATAAAAGCTACATTCTCAATACAGAAAGATATTTTTCAAAAAGTGCAAGGTTTTTGTCCCTGTTGGCATAGATGCAGTGATGGCTATCCAAATTTCCTTTTCTTTCTTTACAATGTTCCTTATCCTATATTCATTTACCTTGAAATTGTGGGCAACTTCATCTGCAGACCTCAATCTGCAGTACATATCAAGCAATTCAAACTTTTCTTTTAGTATCATGACTTTTCTTTGCTTCTTGTGAGCCCTTGCAGTTCACTAGTAGCACTTGGTGTGTGCTTCCTATTGTTATTCAAGGTTTACAGTATCGCACTAAATACAATGAAGAATACACAAAAACCGTGAGAGATCTCTTTTTACTGCAATACACAATTTACTAGAGTGATGAACTGCTCACATGGAAATGATTAGCATCACATGGCATTTTAAGCAGATACAACACTGGAGCTCATTACATAATAACAGGAGGTGGCTATGAAATTATCACAGTAGTACAGTATATACAATTAATTTTATGTGGTTATGATTTAATACTGCATATTTATGCTTATTTACATTTATCTCCACTGTGAATGGTCTCATGTATGGTCTGCAGGTGTTTGTGTGTGTAAATTTTAATACATTTTGACTTCTTTCAATAGATTTGTGTATATTTTATGGTAGTATATAATAAAAGACTATTATCCACATATATTTATGCATGCATGGTATATCTAACTTTTTCTTAATGTTTTTAACGTTTCTAGGTTACACAGTTTACCTGCATGTTTTTTCAAATTATCACAAATCTCCAAAAAGTTTTCCAACATATATATTGAAAAAAAAATCTGCATAGGAGTGCACTTACATGGTTTAAACCCATGTTATTAAAGAGACAACTGTACTGCTTTTGAAAATTCTTTCATCAGTGAACACTTGTTTCCATATCTTGACTACTGTAAATAATCCTGCAATGAACATTGGAGTACAGACACCTCTTTGAGGTACTGAGTTTAATTCCTTTGGACATATATTCAGAAGTGAGATTTCTCGATCAAATGGTAATTCTACTTTTAATTTTTTAAAGAAACCTCCATATTGTTTTCTATAGCTGCACCTTTTTTACATTTCCACTAACCATGTATAAAGGTTTCCTTTTCTCCACTTTCTGACCAATAACAGGTCTGAGCTGACATCTCATTGTAGTTTTGATTTGCATTTACCTAATGATTAGTGATGTTGAACACATTTTCATATACCTGTTAGCAATTTATATGTCTTCTTTGCCAGTTTTAAAATCAGGTAATTTATTTTCCTATTAAGTTATAGGAGTTACTCATATATTTTGGATACTAATGTCTGCTATGATTTGCAAGTGTTCCCCAAAGTTCGTATGTTGGAAACGTAATCTCCAATGTAAAGGTGTTGGGAGGTGGGACATTTAAGATATAATTAGGTCGTGAGATCTCGATCCTCATGGAAGGATTAATGCTATTTTCAAGGGGGGTAGGTTAGTTATTGTGGGTGTTAGTTCCTAATAAAAGGAAGCATTTGGCCCCCATGATGGTTAATATTAGATGATATGATTTGGCTGTGTCTCCACTCAAATCTCATCTTGAATTCCCACATATCATGGGAGGGACCCAGTGGGAGGTGATTGAATCAAGGGGGCAGATATTTCCTGTGCTGTTCTCCTGATAGTGAATAAGACTCATGAGATCTGATGGCTTTAAAAGGCAGAGTTTCCCTGCACAAGCTCTTTTTCCCTGACATCCTTGTAAGACGTGACTTGCTCCTCCTTGCCTTCTGCCATGATTGTAAGGCTTCCCCAGCCACGTGGAACTGTAAGTACATTAAACCCCTTTTCCTGTATAAATTACCCAGTCTTGAATATGCCTTTATCAGCAGCCTGAAAATGGAATAATAGAGTAAATTGATACCAGGAATGGGGTACTGCTGAAAAAATACCTGAAAATGTTGAAGCGACTTTGGAACTGGGTAACAGGCAGAGTTTGGAACAGTTTGGAGGGCTCAAAGACAGAAAAATGTGAGAAAGTATGGAACTTCCTACAGACTTGTTGAATGGCTTTGTCCAAAATGCTGACAGTGATATGGACAATGAAATCCAGGATGAGGTGGTCTCAGATGGAGATGAGGAACTTGTTGGGAACTGGGGTAAAGGTGACCCCCTGGTGGCATTTTGCCTCTGCCCCAGATATTTGTGGATCTTTGAACTTGAGAGAGATGATTTAGGGTATCTGGTGGAAGAAATTTCTAAGCAGCAAAGCATTCAAGAGGTGACTTGAGTGCTGTTAAAGGCATTCAGTTTTGTAGGGGAAGCAGAGCACAAAAGTCAGGAAAATTTGTAGCCTAACAATGTGATAGAAAAGAAAGTCCCATTTCCTGAGGAGAAATGTAAGCCAGCTGCAGAAATTTGCATAAGTAATGAGGACCCAAATGTTAATCTCCAAAACAATGGGGAAAATGTCTCCAGGGCATGTTAAGAGGTCTTCATAGCAGCCACTCCCATTACAGGCCTGGAGGATTAGGAGGAAAAAGTGGTTTCGTGGGCTGAGCCCAGGATCCTCATGCTGTGTGCAACCTAGGAACTTGCTGACCTGCATCCCAGCCGCTTGAGCCAAGGTGGAAAGGAGTCAATGTAGATCTCGGAACATGGCTTTAGAGGGTGCAAACCTCAAGCCTTGGCAGCTTCCATGTGGTATTGAGCCTGCCAGTGCACAGAAGTCAATAATTGGGGTTTGGGAACCTCCACCTAGATTTCAGAGGATGTATGGGAATGCCTGGATGCCCAGGCAGAAGTTTGCTGGAGGGGCGGGGCCCTCATGGAGAATCCCTGCTAGGGCAGTGAGAAGGGAAATGTGGGGTCAGAGTCCCCACACAGAGTCCTTACTGGGGTACCACCTATTGGAGCTGTGAGAGGAAGGCCACCATGTTCCTATTGGAGCTGTGAGAGGAAGGCCACCATCTTCCGCAACCCAGAATGGTAGATCCACCAGCAGCTTGCACCTGCACTTGGAAAAGCTGTAGACATTCAACCCCAGCCCATGAAAGCAGCTGGAAGAGAGGCTGTTCCCTGAAAAGCCACAGGGGGAGAGCTGCCCAAGACCATGGGAACCTACCTCTTGCATCAGCGTGACCTGGATGTGAGACATGGATTCAAAGGAGATCATTTTAGAGCTTTAAGATTTGACTGCCTTGCTGGATTTCAGACTTGCATGGGGCCTGCAGTTCTTTGTTTTGGTCAATTTCTCCCATTTGGAATGGCTGTATTTACCTAATGCTTATACCCTCACTGCATCTAGGAAGTAACTAGCCTGCTTTTGATTTTCCAGGCTCATACATAAAAGAAACTTGCCTTGTCTTGGATGAGACTTTTGACTGTGAACTTTTGAGTTAATGCTGAAATGGGTTAAGACTTGGGATGGTTGGGAAGGTATGATTGGTTTAGAAATATGAGGATATGAGATTTGGTATGGTCCAGGGACAGAATGATATGTTTTGGCTGTTTCTCCACCCAAATGTCACCTTGAATTCCCACGTGTTGTGGGAGGGACCCAGTAAGAGGTAACTGAATCATGGGTACTTTTCCCTGTGCTGTTCTTCTGATATTAAATAAGTCTCACAAGATTTGATGGCTTTATAAGGTGGAGCTTCCCTGCACAGGTTCTTTTTGCCTGCTGCCATCCACGTAAGACTTGACTTGCTCCTCCTTGCCTTTTGCCAGGATTGCAAGGTGTCCCCAGCCACATGTAACTGTAAGTCCCTTATACCCTTTTTCCTGTATAAATTAACTAGACTCGGGTATGTCTTTATCAGCAGTGTGAAAACAGACTAATACATTAGATATCAACTTGATTGCATTTAAGGATGCCTGGATAGCTGGTAAAGTATTGTTTCTTGATGTGTCTGTGAGGGTGTTGCCAGAGGAGATTGAAATTTGAGTCAGTGGACTGAGAGATAGAGACCCGAGATTGACATTTGAGTCAGTGGACTGGGAGAGGGAGACCCACCCTCAATGTGGGTGGGCACCATCCAACCAGCTGCCAGCACAACTGGAACAAAGCAGGTGAAAGAGGGTGGGAAAAACTGGCTTGCTGAGTCTTCTGGCTTCCATCTTTCTCCCACGCTGAATGCTTTCTTCTGTTCCTACTGCCTTTGGACATCAGACTGCAGGTTCTCTGGCCTTTGGACTCTTGGAATCACACCAGTGGTTTGCTGGGGGCTCTCAGGCCTTTAGACACAGGCTCAAGGCTGAACTGCTGGCTTCCTTGCTTTTGAGACTGTTGGATTCAAATTGAGCCACTACTGGCTTCTTTCTTCTCCGGCTTGCAGACGGCTTATCCTAAGACTTCTCCATTTGATCACGTGAGCCAATTCTCCCTAATGAATTTCCTTTCATGTATACATATATACTATTAGTTCTTTCCCTCTGGAGAGCCCTGACTAATACAGATTTTGGTACCAGTAGTTGTTCTAGAGGAACAGAGTTTTAAGGATGGATTTCTTTAGCTGGTTTTGGGGTTTCTGGAGTTGGCTGTTTAATCTGATTAGATCCAAAAATGCTAAGGACTCTATTTCTAATAGTATGGAGAACACTGATAGTTTTTTATGTGAATTGTTTAGAGAGTTATGCAAAATAAATGCATTTGATACTCCTTATTAACTGCTCCTGAGAAGCAAGGAGTTTAGTGTCTCTATAAATAATACCTTTGACCATATGTGGAGAACCAAGGAATATAATGAAGTTAGTTGATACTCCTAAGTTCACTGAACAAAGTGATGAAAGAAAAGGATGAGCCCAGGGATTCTAACTCCCATGGGCAGACTTTGAGACTCTATTCAGATTTCAGCCATAAGAATTAGACATCTGTGGCCCTGAAACCACAGATACTAGTAATAGTGACTCAAAGAGTAGAAAAAAAATCACATTTCAATACTGAATCATTTTCAGGTCTGTGGTGTATAACTACACAACAAGATTCTATTATAAGCAATAGCATGTTCCTTCCACTTCAAATTATAACCCCCATCAGTTCAATGGTAAGAATTTTTAGTAAATACAGTGGTGGGTGTATTCTTTTTGTGAGCCTAGAAGGGCTCACTTGCTTATCTGGATGCTTTAGCCAGTCAAGGATATAGATAAGGATGCCATTGATATGAATTTGTGAGATTATTTTATCCTAGTCTCACTTCTTAGTGAGTAGACAGAACTTCAATTTCTAACATTTGTTTTATGAAAATTCCTCAACTTACCTATAAAAAAGGTGTAATCAGCTATTATTTCCTTTTAGTAATAAGATTACATTGAAACTACTATAATACTTTAAGATAATAGACAGGAATAATATAATCATCTTATGACATATTAGTTTATTACATGCATAAAACTATAAATGATAAAAATGAAGAATGTAATGAACAGTTTATGTTTTTTTAAAACAAAGTCAGATTTTAAAAGTTGTACACGGAGAGCAAAAATCACTTTACGTACTCATGATTGGCTTTAATATTTCTTTACACTATACATACTGAAAATGTTTACATTTACTAATAAGGAATGCCAAGCGTATCCATCACCATTTGAATAGCTTGCAGGGGATTTGTGATTTCTTCCATGTTATCTCTTCTCAAAACCCAATCTGGCTTAAGTCTGTTAAAAAAAAAAAAAAAGTCTGGCATTAATAAAGTTCTTCTCTTTAGAGTTACCTTCACCTTTTTTCTCTTAACTAAATTGTAGCTACTCCTGAACACATCATTTCCCTTACAAACTGCTCAAAGAGGTGGGAGAACTTCATATTATTGCCCATCACTAGTTCCAGACTATTTCTCTCCATCCTTTCTAAAAAATAATGCTGGCTTCTTTGAAGCTTATGCTATTTAGCTTGACCACTGCCTTTTGGTCATCAGCCAAACTCTCAGTGTCTTATTCCTTGTAAACCTGGTTCTTGTTCTCCTCTTACCTACTGTCACCGTTCTCAGCAACAGCAACATCTATGTGGCCAAAAAGCCAACAACCTAGTCCGTTTTTGCCCCACTTTCCTTCAATTCTACCTCAACCAATCCTTTTTAATATGATCACATACTAGACTTTGTCATCATCAGAAAGTGTGCGACCACTGAAATCTTGAGACTTCCATTCTCCATCCACCATTTCTGATTCATCCATGTCATATGCTCTAACACAGTCATTGAACCAGTTCTTCTACCCCACTGAGATCTCCACTTCATTTGGCCTCAACACATACCCAACATCCACCAGAATGCTGTCCTTACTTTCCTGTGTATCTAGCTCAGGTGCATCAGTATTATCAAAACCTTTGCAAATGCCATTAACTGTTGTCTCTCTCTCCTACCAAACTAGTCTGAAGAATTCTACTTGGATTTCAAATTGAGTCAAAATATCTGCCTTCTCCATTCCTATACAGCTGCATATTACTAAAAATGTTTACACAACCAAGCTGATTTTATTTTTTGCCAATAATTACAAATCTAAAATGAGCATTTGAAATTGCCAGCATGCTCCCTTTCTCTCCAAGATGACTATCTTGGTCCTTTCCTCTTTTCAAACTTCCCCTCCATACCCTCTGAGCTGCTTCTGAGTTGTTGAGTTTATAATCTCAAACTTATTGAGAAAATAGTATCAAACCGAGGGAGTTCATGCATCTTCTCACATAATTCCCTACTATATGCATTTCCATCATCTTATTTTGTCCTGCTAAAAATCCAAAGATATATCAATTGGTGAGTGAACAAAGTGTGGTACGACCATACAATGGAATAGTACTAAGTGATAGAAAGGAATGAAATTCAAATCCATGCATAAACATGAACGAATTTCAAAAGCATTATGCTAAGGAAAAGAATCCAGTCACAAAAAGCTATCTACTATATGATTCCATATATGTGACAGTATAGAAATGGCAAAACTAAAGGTACAAAAATCAGATCAGTAGTTCCCAAAATCCAGGGAATAAAGAAAGAGAACTGACAACAAAGGGGCATAAGGAAACTTTGTGTTACAGAAATATTTTGTATCTCAGTGGTGGTAGTTTCCTAACTGTATACATTTGTCAAAACGAATTGAATTGCATACATTTAAAGGATGCATTTATACTGTCAGTAAATTTTACCTCAAAAGCCTGACCTACATCAAAATTTTAAGAGAATCCATTCATATGTTAGTATGAGCTTTTAAAACATAATGAATATTAAATTCTACCAAGTCCTTAAAAAACATGTAGAAATGGTCCCATTAATATATTTCAAGCAAATGAACTTTACATTATGCTGTGAAATATGCATGCATAAAACCAATTTATAACTACATTATACAGTTTATAATTATGAGTATAATTATAAAGCTAATGGCTGTGTAACCACTCAGGTCAAGAAATAGTGTGTTGTCAATAATGTAGGATTTGTACCTAGTATAGAGAATTGCTAAGTCTCAAGAAGGAAAGAAGGAAGGAAGGGAGGGAGAGAGGGAGAAGGGGGAAGAAAAAAAGGAGGAGGGAGAAAGAAGGAAGGGAGTAAAAACACTAATTAAATGCCATGACGGTTCACCAAAATAAATTAAATCTTTTTGCCAATAAAATCAGAAAATGTCAATCTAAATTTCCAGAAGGAGAAATTTCAAGAATCAGGGTGATTATGGGAGGACTGGAGGTTGATATTTTGGCTAAGAAGGACTTTTGGCACTTCTTAAACAGTGTAGTTTGTCTTTCATGCAAAATAAAATAAATAAAATAAAATGACAAAACTTATAACAAGCTTCTTAGCCTTAGCTCTTAACTATTTAATATAAGAAGTTTGTTGAATAACTATTAAATGTCCAAAGCTACAGTATAATGTTATTTCTTTATTTACCAAGACTGCTTCTTTTAAATTTACCAAACATTCCATTCTTATTCATATGTTGTTTCTCCACTGAAAAGCACATCTTGTTTATGGTAAGTGCTCAATAAATATTTGTTAAATGAATGAATGAACAGTGACACAAATTTATGGACTATATTTAATTGCTTACCTTGAAACTATTCTGGTCCTTACAGGTGTTTCTGGGATAAAAGGAATGCTTATAGAAGAATTCTTCTTTTGCTTGTAAAGTATTCTTTCAGTATTCATTTTATGTTTATGAGCTGTAAGTTTGTAGAGACTGTAAATACGGTCAACAACTTTGGACCTACTTCGTACATCCTACAAAATAAAATGCACAGTTACTAAAAAGTAATAAGAATTAAAATTTTATCTCTTTTAGACTAGCAAAATCAAATATAATAAAAACTATGCAGTAAACCTTTTTTTTTTCTTTTTTGAGATGGTCTCTCTTGCTCTGTCGCCCAGGCTGAAGTGCAGTGGTGCGATCTTAGCTCAATGCAATCTCTGCCTCCCGGGTTCACGCCATTCTCCTGCCTCAGTCTCCCAAGTAGCTGGGATTACAGGCACCCGCCACCACACCCGGCTAATTTTTTTTGTATTTTTAGTAGAGATGGAGTTTCACCGTGTGAGCCAGGATGGTCTCAATCTCCTGACCTCGTGATCTGCCTACCTCAGCCTCCCAAAGTGCTGGGATTACAGGCGTGAGCCACCGTGCCCAGCCTGCAGTAAACTTTTAAGCTTTGAATAATCAAAGAAACCTCACCAAGTTTGGCAGGTAGATTGATTTAAATTACGAGCTAATTTGCAAGGCAATTATAAGGAAGATAAATATTCAAAAGTTGCATACTTAACTCCACACTGAATATAAGAAGGAATTATTATAGTCAACATAGCAATTATAGTCAACACACCTATCATATCCAGTTACCAAGTCTTGAAAAGTTTACCTCTGCAGTTTCCAAAGTCTTCTACTTACCTCTCAGCGACACAATCCTAAGACAAGCACAATCTCTTGCCTAGATCACTACATATCAACACTTGCCACCTTCTTTGATGGTCTCACTATATCCACACATGCTCTCCCAAATTCATTCTTCAATCAGAAGCCAGAGTGTTGTTAAAATTTAAATTGGAAAATATTATTCCCTTGCTTTACCCTGCAGCGGTTCCCACTTACCAGGATAAAGGCCACAGTCCAATTATGGCCTATGGTTTCCCCATGTTAATTATGACACTTAAAAAGAATGACTCAGAGGTCTCATCGTAGAAAAGCTTGAAATACAATTATGGTTACAACAGGAGGATAAGAAGTTATACCTATCTGGTTTTCTATCTTGCTAGGATACTTTTCTCTCTAGTAAATGGGAAATGGTTACTTATATGGCTGTAATAAATTTATTTTCAGAATTCAGTTTCTTTAATAGTCAGAAAGAAACAACTCATAGATACATCCTGAATTCATTTTATCCGTGCAAAAAGCAGGTTTGAACACACATAAAACCCTATTTTAGAGTGATAATTACTAAAGGAAAACTATAAAAGTCATAGACTTAAGACCACAGAAAAATAATCTTAAAGAAAGGCAACTGACTAATACTTACAGAGGCTCTATTTGTTGTCTTCAGTAAAATAGCCAACAAACAACAAGTTTTTGTAAAAATGCTTCCGCCTTTGTCTGCAACTTTATTACCAGGCTTTTCTCGGTATATCTGCAAAAGCTCCAATAGTATATCTATACAATTTTCTACATCATAAACTGCTGAAGTAGTTTTCTCATACTTGAAGAGAACAGAATGAAATTAAAAGTTGTAATAAACACATACATTTACAAACAACCCAACCAAAAAAACAAAATACAAAAGTCCATACTTAGTATAGCCAAATTTTTGGACCACCTGCAGCAAGTGCAAAGGACTTTGTGAAATAGCTTTGATATTATCATTATTTACGGATCTATCATATATGTGTATTCACATTTTAATCTTAATCTTTTCCCCCTAATTCTAAAGTTTCACATAAAATAAATCAAATTTAAAACCTCTGAAAACAAACATCTTGAAGTCAATAAAAGCAAACTTTTAAAGATAAGACCACTTTAGTAAGAATCTCTAAGGAAAAAGATAACTTATCTGTGGTATTATTAATCATAGGTAAGATAATGATAAAGGCAGGATCTAATTAGTTACTCTATTACATGCTCCTTGAGAGGAAGAAGAGCTTGCTCGAAAATAAAACAAAATACATATGATGCTAGTAAGTCTAGGATATATTTTCCACGCCTCATTTTTCTAATTGTATTATTAGATTCATAGTGAAATTTGCATGGTAACAAATAATGATACTAAGATAAAAATAACAAAACAACATAGCTGACCCTTTGTATGGCATGTTTATGTATTAATGTGTATTAACTCAATGTGTATAGTAACAGTTTTGAGTACTGTTACTATACTCATTTTATAGTTGCAGAAAGTAAAGTACAGAGAAGCTAAGTAACCTATAATAAGCTACTGAGCTGGGATTCAAACTCAAGCAGTTTGGCCTCAGATCTGTGTTCTTAACCACTACCTCTCAAAATAAAAATATTGGGTAAAGCGCTTTAAGTTGTCACTGAAAGGTTGAGTAGGAAAGAGAAATCTTTCAACCTTTGGTTGCATACAATATAGTTTGGAATAGTCCAAGGCCAAAAGACAAATTCTGATACACAGATTAACAATTACAGAGTAACTAAGTTATAGCAATATTTTTCTTTCACACACTTTGCTAGACATGATTATAATGTGGTAATACTATTTTGATATAATGCAGTAGATAACATCACCACCTCTAAAGGCAGACAGAAATGAATCCAAATTCAACTCTACCACTTATCACACTCAGGTTCTTACAGGAGGAACCTAATTTCTATAATTATTATTATTTTTTCTCTATAAAATGGGAATAATAATATGAACTACTTTAGAGGATTATTATGAGGATTAAACAATGCATGAAAAATACTAGCATGTAGTAAGTACTTAATAACTTTTAATCATCATTGTTTTTAATATTATTAATCATCATTGTTTTTAATATTATAAAGACTGAGGAAATAATATAAAAATTGGTACTTAAATCTACATTTATGTTAATAAACATTTTTTCATCCTAAGACTCTTGCACATAAATGAATTTAACTTAGAGATTTAAGCCCTAGTGATGAGTAAACCCAAACTTAATTTGCAGGGGCATATTTGTTGACCAGTGAATATCTCATTAATAAAATGAAAAACTACCTTAGATACATTAAGCAAGACTTGCACAGCATATCTGATGACTTCCATACAAGGAATACTGCGATTACAACTTCGGATCAAAACAAATATTTTAGAAATTGCTCCACTCTGGGCCATGTTCTCACAACAAAGTGGAGACAATCTAGTAACTACCTCTGAAAGAAAAAAAAAACACACACACACAGGTAAATTTACAGCAACAAAATGAAGTTTTAGCTAATAATGTAGTATTACATCATTCTTTAAACATGTTAACACAAACTAACCTAGGTGTTTTAAGGCCTCAAGAATGGCAGAAAGGTGCTTATATGTCAAAAGGTAATGAAGTGCAAGTGCAGTTCTTTTGTAGAGTTTGTTTTCTTCTCGAATCTCCCTATTAACAACTTGAAGACTTAGTCGTATAGCTTTAATTTTTGTACAATCATTTTTCTTCCTCCAAGAATAGCCTCTCCATAATGCCTTAAAGAGATAAAACAGAGTAATTTTAAGATTATAGCCAATGTTTTCTATTTATATCTACATCTGTTTTCACAATGTAAACATTTTCAGTAAATTTATTTGACATGATCACATACATTTCAATTAAAATCTCAAGTTCAAATAAATAGCAAAATCAACTTTCAAAAAAAGAAATACAGATAATATTCCTATATGTAAACTGGACAGCATTTATCGACCAAAGATGTCTAAATTTATTCAAAATGTTAAAATATTTTTACTTCTTGATTATAAACCTCCTCTAGAGCATTTGAAAATAAAGAGCTTAGCAATGAAATTATGGTAGTATAGTGCTTATGAGTTATTCTACCGGCTAATGCGTTAGCTTTTTAAAATGGTAACTATGTTTTTATAGTGTTAGATATCATGTAGATGAATTGCAAACTAAAGTTTTGAACTAAAACTATACAAGTTTCAATTACCTGAATTTTAATGATTCCACTAGTGAATTTTTCCTGCTTTTTACGGAGGAGAAAATGGCGCACTGCTTTCTGTATTACTGATGCAGCCCTATTTCGCTGGCTCAGACATTCTTGACCTTCATGCTCAATCTTTTTGATGCTATGATATTTCTGAATAAATCTCTTTTCTTGTAATCTTGCTCGAAACCATCTCTGTTTAAAACATAGAATTTTGTTTTTCATTTCTACTTCAGGTTTTTTTAAAAAAATATACAAATATACATTTATACATAAATGAAAGAAATAGAACAGTATATCAAGAAATCTTTCAGCTTTCCACAGAGGCATTACTTCCCCACTCCACTTGGTGCAAAAACCTTTCCAGTCCATGTTGGGTGCCTGTGTGTGTGTGTGTGTGCACACACATGCACAGGAGTATATTTAATCCTGGACAACAATGTCTTCATTTTACAATTCTACCAAACTGCATGTATCATTCTGCATTTTTTTTACTAAATACTTTATATGTAAATGTATGTTAATGTATATAAACAAATAGAATTCTTCTTCAAAATACATAAAGAACTCCTATAAATCATAACAAAAAAGAACAGCCAATGGAAAAACGGGCAAAGTGTATGAGAAAAAGATGTTAAAAAAAAGTACACAGATAAGAACTTGAATAACCAACATATAGAATATAATTTCAGAATCATTAGCCATCAAGTAAATCCAAAACAAAAATGAGATGCTATTTCCCATTCATTAGAATGGCAAAAATCAGAAAGTCTTCTGATACTTTATGTTGGCAAGCATGTAGAGAAACAGGGTACCCTCAAGACTTTGCTGGCAGGAATGTAAATGAGTACAATTACATCAGACAATAATTCACAACTTTAGTACTGTGCCATAAAACATCAATCTATTTCTAACCCTCAAATCATTGTAACAGCTATAAGGTGAAAGGCTAAATGTTGTACGACCTTAGCATAAAGCATTTGGAAATTGTTTATTACATATCAAAAATTTCTAACAGAAAAATTATATCATATAGTTTTACTGCAAAGAAGAAGCAAACCTGAATACAGATGACTGAATTAACCTGCTTGTTAGCATTCTTCACAGCCAGGTAAAGTTTATAGGCTCTTTGAATTCTAACAGCATTCAGGTGATAATATGCAGCTGCAGTGAAGTGAAGAAGTCGAATTTTGGCTCTCTGTTCTAAAAACTAAAGGTGAAAAAACAAAGCATATTCAAGTATCTGCCTCCTAAGTTAATCAATGAGTGTTTTTTTTTGTATAACCTCAACATCAAATTATATAAACTAGCAAGAATAAACTAATTTTTAATCATTACAATTACTTATATTGTAATTCAAAGTAATTACAATATTGTACTATACAATATTTCCAGTAGTGTAACTCATAACTCAGAGTGTAGAAAGCAAAATTATATTTTGGGTACTTTACTAAATAACCATAGCTTCTAATTCAACTAGACTGCCCTATTAGAGAAGGGTATAAATATTAAACTCAAAAAATGTTACAGAATTCCAAGCAGAACTCTTGGAAATGGTGATATTAAATCAGAAAAAGTATATGAATTAACTTCTCTACTATTAAATAGTACAGTGCAACTCCAGCATAAGACCCTGCAGAAGGAGCTTTCTACAGTTGCTGTTGGGCTTCAGACTTTCACTTGATGTTTAATAAACAAAATACAAACATTCCTCCTATTTAACTTCAAATCAAATTGTTTTGTCTATGCCAGTACTTCACATATTGTAAGCTTGAATATCATGACCTCCCTAAAAATAATTCTCTCTTGCTGAAGATGTGGAAGCTGTCACAGGAATGCTGGTTGCAACACCTCAAAAGTTGCTTGGTGGTGGCAAAAAGCTACTAGAATAACATTTAACCTCTTTCACATATGGAGCCTCTCTCTCATATTTTCAGTTCCTTTGTTAAGATTCATTACAAAAGAGAAATTTTATTTTGCGTCTTTGGTGGTGAACCCCTGTGAGAAATAGTAGGACTAGGTTCAGAGAAAAAAAATTTGACAGTCAGTGCTCTTGTCACTTACCTTTCTAGCAGCTGAATTAATTCAAGTTAATGGTCATATTAGTTCTGAAATTATTCTCTAAAATCCAAAGTTTCTTAACACTATTTAACATCAAGTGCTTTCATTTTATAAGAATGAGATATGCTACTTGAAAATACTTACTCTTTTTCGTACTAGCCAACCACGCACCAGTGCTTGTAGGATAACTGTAGATTTTTTAAATTCAATATATTTTATCCTTTCATGCTTTCCAGCCTCCCTGGCTCGTATATATTTTTGTATGATCAAAGCAGCAGATTTCTGCCGAAGAAAGACCTGCCTTCCTTTATATCCTCTATAATGTGCTTGGATCAAACAAGCAGCTCGATGTCTCTATAAGGAAAAATTTACAAGTAACATTAATGGGTAGAAAGAAAAAGATTTCCAACCCACTAGAAGTTCTTGAATTTCTCAATGAGATGGCATAATTATGATTTATAGTCTAAGAATGCCATGTTTCATAGATATGAAATGATGATGAAGCATTATTTCTAAACTCACATAGGTCTATAGCCAAGATGAAGGTGTAAGCCAAGGGTCAAGGGTCAATAGATACCTGGTGCTCTTTCCCTCTCATCCTCTTGATACTTTTCATTGTGAGAGGGAAAAGGACTAACATTACAGGACAAATACATTTAATAAAAATGCTAGCTACAATAGAAAGAGCACGGTGATCATAAATAGCTATGACAGAAGCTGTCTGTAGCTTGAAAAAACATAGCATACCACTAGCACACCTTAGATTCCTCAATTACGTAACAACCTGTGAGAATTACCAAAATGAGACAGAGCCACAAAGTGAGCACATGATGCTGGAAATATGGCACCAACAGACTTGCTCAACACAGGGTTGACAGAAACCTTTAATTTATAAAAAATGCAATATCTGCAAAGCACCATAAAGCGAAGTACAATAAAACAAGGTATGCCTGTACAGTTATATATTTTTAAAAACTAGCAAATAGTATTTTTATGGGAGAATATAATTTTTAATTGACTGAAATAGATGTGTGTGAAATAAATGCATACTTAGGTCTTAAAAACACTTTTTTTCCAGCGAAGGATTTATTTTTAAAAATTAAAAAATACAAAACATTCTTTGTTTTCTATTTCCTAAAGTAGTTATTTGCAAGTGAATTAATTTTTAATACCTACTTTTATCATTAAGAAGTGTTCATGAGCTATCTTTGCAGGAAGTATAGCTCTCCATTTTCTCTGAATGATAATTGCTGATGCTCTCACATTCAAAAACCTAAAAAGTAGTTATTGGAAAGCAATGTCAAATTACTTTAACTTATTCAATGAGTATTTATTGCCTCCCCCCCTTTAAAATATTAGAAGAGAATAAAATATAAGAAAGGCAATGACAGAATTTTAAAAAGTGGGCAAGTATAATTCATAGTTAAGTTCTAACAATCAGAATTTACACACGCACACGAAAGAAGTTTTACAATTGGCAATATTCCAGTGGGTAAGAAATATGAAGTTCTACGATTCTAATATGGCACAGAATTTTGAACAGGATCAAAATAAAGTATGGTTACCCAGATCTAGACAAAAACTAGATAAAGGGGGAATGGTAGAAATAATGGTAAAATATAAGATTTGAGTCTGCATGGCAAGTGAGTCTTTGAGCAGACGGGAGGTGGTTAAGAAGAGAATGTGATTACAAGCAGCATCAGGTACTTCCTTTCATTTGAAAGGAAAAATAGATATCATCAAAATATCTAAGTAGAGATATTTCGTAAACAGAACTGGAGAAAAATTTTAAAAAATCTGAGCACTAGAGATTAAATTTTAGGGATCAACATAATACTAAGAGATAAAATGTGAGAATGGACAGGTTTTCTACTCTGTTCTTGATAATGTGGAAAAAGTACAATGAGTAGCTTGTTTTGTTGCCATGTTTCTTAGAAAATAGGACCAAACACCATTGAGAAAAATTCAGCATCTGTTACAGGAAAATTAGATACTGGTCCTTAATAGCTGATAGTAGCAACTGTATCTTTATATGCTTTTTAATTTTTATTTTTATGGATATATAATAGTTGTAAATATTTACAGAGTACATGTGATATTTTGATTCAAGCACACAATGAGTAATGATCAAATCAGGGTAAATGGGATATCCATCACCTCGAACATTTATCATTTCCTTCTATTAGGAAACTTCTAATTCTATTCCTCTAGTTATTTTGAAATATACAATAAATTATTGTTAACTATAGTTGCCCTATTGTGCTACTAAACAGTAAATCTTATTCCTTCTCACTGTATTTTTGTACCCATTAACCAGCCTGTCGTTATCCACCCCTCCCCTCTCCCTATCCTAGCCTCTGGTAACCAACATTCTACTTCTATCTTCATGCGATCAACTGTATATGTTAAGCCCTGCTTCTACCCATGGGCTTCATCCAAAAATTCCTCTCACACTAGTGTGCCTTCCTAAACCATCTTTAAAACCATCATTGATTCAATAATTCATCAACTCTGGGAGCTGAAGAAAAATTCTTATACTATGAACTTAAAAAAAGATGATCTGGTAACAGCTTCTGAAAATGTGTGTGTGAGAAATAAGCTAGGAATAGTGAAATACAATTAGCATAGACAGGTTGGTAATTAGGGTCTTCATCATTAATGACAAAGAGTATGAGGAATAATACAAAGTTCAAAGAAAAAAAGAATGAGTAAGAAAACAAATTTTGCCAGTAGTTAAGTCACCCAGCAAAATGGCCCAAAGCACTAATAAGAAAACCAAGTCTTAACTAAATGATTTTATTCACTTCCTACGTCTCTGTCCTTACTCTAATCCTTATGAACCTGAATTAATCAAGTATATAATATTTTTAGATTATATTAATTAAAGGCTATGCTCTATCTCAAAAAAGCAAGACAGTACGAGAGATGTATTTTGTTTCCTTAATAAAGAAAATATCAACAAAACCAACCATATAAATTAAGCATAACAAATATTTAAAATAAAAATCAATAAGCAGTGTTATTTTATGTAAAGACTTAGCTATCACACACAAATACTTTTACACTCTCCACAGAACTATGATACATTACCGTGTTCTCTCTAGTTTGGTATAGAAGCAACCTTGAATAATTTTAACAGCTTTTAATATAGCTAGATATTCTTTGTGTGCTCTCCAACATCTATACCAGGCTTGAATCTTGCAGGCAGCTTTCACTTTACATAAATATTTCTTGGCTCTATATCTCCTCCACATAGCCTATTAAATACATAAATATAACAAGTATGCAATGAGTTGTCTCTTTTTTTTTGTAAATAAGACAAATCAGTATAAAGACAGTTAAAATAAGGTTAGTGCAGACAAAAATAAATTGCATAGTCATATCATGACTCTTTTAGACTTTGACATGTAATGAGTCTTCTGAGAACAGTGGTGCTTACTATAGTGAACACGTATTATGTGCTTTATCACACATACCTTATGGCTGGCTGCCAGCCCAGCCTAACAAAACCCTAACCAGTATTTATAAATTGTAAGACACACATGTCTGAAAAGCCCCACATTATGTAAATTATCCTCATCACCTCAATCCATTTGGAAGAAAAGAAAATGAACACATTGACCTACTGCAGGTTCTGGGGAGAAAGAGGAATTCTTCCCAATCCATATTCACTTTGGGTTCTGTGTTCAGCCTGCAGGAGAATCCTGAGAGCTCCTGTGATAGGACTGTCAGACTTTCTGATTTTGACAACCTTCTGGAAGACTAAAGGTTTACATGACAGCTACAACTTATTGAACTAAGCACTAAGAAGATTAGTCCTTAATAATCACATGGGTAGATAATACTATTATCTCTAATTTAGAGATGAGGAAATCAAGGCCTAGAGAAATTGAGTAACTTGTTGATGTCACACAGGTTAATAAGTGGCAGAGTTGTCTTACTTAATATTTATAAATATCTTATAAAATGGTTAAGATCTCTGTTTTATAAAAAAGGAAAAAAATCCAAAATTGAAATTAAGAAGGACTTGTTAGCATATAGCTGTTAAGTGACAGAGTCAAGATTTGAACCCAAGTCTATTTGACTCCAACATCCCTACAGGAAGAGGAATTAAAAGAAATTAAAGACTGTGTAAGCAAAAACTCAGTTGTATGTAAGAAAACCCAATTCCCCTTGGGAAGAGAAAGGGCTGGAGTCCTTTAAAATTAACTGTGTTTTTCTCTCTGTGGCTAGTGAGCCTTATCTCTCCCTTTCCCAGGCATTGTGAAGACTGTTTCTCTAGCTGTGCAGCTGCAAGGACACTAGACAGATAATCTCAAGTTGTAAAACATGTTGTTCCTTAAAAAGTAAGAAATAATGTAATGCATCTCTTACTTGAATAACTGTCTTTGTTTCTCTCTTCTGTAATACGCTTCCCCCTGCACAGATCTCCCCATGCCCCACGAAATGCTTAAAAGGTAGCTTGACTCTTTGTTCAGGGCTCAGTCCTCTTTGGATGTTAATCCGACTGGGTCGGTGCACATAAATAATTAAATAATTCCTCCTCAAATCCCTCGGTCTCTCTGATTCCTTAATTATCCCGCAGCACAACAAATACTATAGGCACAACGTATATTTAGATTAGGTTCTAAATTCAGTTGATAATGCAATAATTATATATGGCCAAAATTACTCTGAGATGACCTTAACTCATTCAGACTATATTGTATACGGTTTTTATGTAAATCTGCATACATTATTTATGTATATCCCCAATACCTGCCACCTCAGTCTTAATCAGTGGTAGAAGAATGGTCTCAGAACTGTTTGTTTCAATTGGCCATTTAACTGTAACAGTAAAAGACTGGTTAATGGTAACACTGCATCATAAAACCTTCAGGAGGAAAGGAGAATGTTTTGTGGACCATTTTGGTGTTTTTGTTTTTGTTTTGCTTGTGGCAGTTATAAGTTACTAGTTTTTAAAATCAGTACTTTTTAATGAAAACAAATTGACCGAAAATCTGTCACAGAATTTTGAGACCCATTAAAACAAAGTTTTAATGAGAAAATTATATATATGTATAGATATACGTGTGTGTATATATATATTTACAAATATATATATATATACACACACACACATCACACCTGAAGAACATCAAAATTTACAGACATTGACAAGAGAAGCCAACATAGCGTTAAGAGGGAAAGAAGACAGCTAAGAGATTATGGTATCAAGAAACCAAGGGTTGAGAGAAGAAACAAAGTGTGCTTAAATCCCAAATGCTACAGAGAAGTTGATATATATATATATATAAAACATACATATTTACATATATATGTAAGTATTTAGTAATGTATACTATATCCCAGTGGCTCCCAAACTTCGCTGCTCATTAGAGTCACCTGGGAGCTTTGAAACAAATCCCACGCTTGTGTTGCTTCCCATACCAATTAGAATATCTAAAGGTAGGAGTATGTTTTAAAATTCCAGGTGACTCCAATATGCAGTAAAGTTTTAGACCACTGGCATAGGCTAAAAATTATATGTGTAAAATACAATTTTATTATGTAATTATGTAAGAGAAAAAAATTTTTATAAGATTGTTATTTTGGCTATTTAATCATTTTAAGTGAATAAAACCATAACTAATACATCCAATGAACACCTTTCAATTGTGAACTTCTCAGTAGTGTTAGGAATTTGATACCATAATCTCTTACCTTTCTTCTTTCCCTCTTAACACCTTGGTTTCTTGATACCATTAATCTCTTACCTTTCTTCTTTCCCTCTTAACACCTTGTTGGCTTCTCTTGTCAATGTCTGTGAATTTTGATGTTCTTCAGGGCTCAAGTCCCAGGCCCTCTTTGTTCACTCATTTTATGTATTGTTCCTTGGTGATCTCATTATTCCCAGAACTTTAATTATTAGCATATGCCCATAATGTACAAATCAAATTCTAATACTCACACTACTCTCCTGAACTCCAGACAAACATAGTCAACTGCCTTACTAGATATTTCAAGGGGGTTACCTGCTAGGTACTTCAGATCTTATATACTCCAAACTGAATTCATCATCAATCTCAAAACCTGCTCTTCCCTCTTTATTCCCTATGTCAGGGTGTGAGGGAGTAACTCTGCTGAGTTACTTAAGCCATCAACATGGCTTGCCTCCTTGTTCATGCTCTATATAATGCCAACTTACAATCCCATTGTCACAAACCTACACTGAACTATAACTCTTTCTCACCTGGCTTACTGCCTATTTTCATTTGGTCTACCTGATTCTAGTCTTGCTCCTTTTCCAGTCCATCTTCCACATTCCTGCCAGAGTAATTTTTTTTTTTTTTTTAATAAAAATGACTGTGGTCTTCTCCTGCTTAAACTCCTCTAGAATTTGTTTTGTCTGGAGCATAAAGACTAAATTTTTTCTGTCTTAAAAATCTATCCACAATCTTACTCCCTCTATTGCCAACCTGGTCCCATATCACTTTTTATTGTTTCTAGTTTTTTGATTTTTCCACGTTATCTCTTGCAATTGGAATATTCTTCTATACCTTTTACTGGGCTATTTCTAATTCATACTTCAGTGTAACATTTCAACTTAAATGTTACTCACTCTGGGAAGTCTCTGACCATGGAGACTAGCTTGATTTCCCATTCTGTGTTTCCTGAAACATACACTTCTCATGTTGTATTATAATTATACTTCCTTGTTCAATTAAGTTCCTTGAGGACAGCAACTAAGTATATCTTACTCATTGTCTATTTATAACACCCACTACAGCATTTGGCACATTTCTAGCACTTGACATTTCTTGAATTAAAACATTATTTCTAAATTTAACAGTAATCCAGTAAGATATGAACATATCACATCTGGGTTAAAGCCTGGGTTATTGCAGGTAAAAAGAAATAGCTGAAGTACTTAGATTCAGTTCCTGGATCTGCCTCTCTCTATGCAACATTGGCCAAATTACTTAAACTTTATCACTTCCTTCATATTTTAAAAGAGATAATACTGTACATTCCTCACACATTTGGCAAATAGACAAAACAAAATAATACAAAATTGATTTGGAAGCCAAAGTACTAAACACTCAGAATAAAGTATGTCTACTAGCCTAAGCAGCAAACAGCTCTGGTTAATAGATTATTAGAGGAACAAAGTTACTCTATTTTGCCTATATTATGCCAAATAATACTTTATCTTAGCTTATATTTTCCACTTAAAGAAATAACTTTGCCAAATACAGGACTCCTATTTTCTCAAAATTCTTCTAAGAGTGCTACAATTAACCCATACTGAAATGCACCACACATAGGGTGACCATGGCCAGAACAATCCCCGTTCTGTGCTGTCTTGGCTGACTTACTAGTGCCCTTTCCCTCTTTCAAAAATGTTCCACTTTGGAAGATAAATGGTCACCTCAACTAAGTACTATTCTTTATGACCTGCTTAAGCTCATTTTATACATTCTAACAAATATTGGTCAAAAGAAAGACTCACAGTTTTATATTTAAATTAAATATAGAAATACCTGAATTTTTATGGTGCTATTTTTAATTTCCTGAAACTTCCGTTTCTGTATAAATCCTTTACTTCTAGCTTGAATAATGATAACACTGCTTCTGATCTGTAAATAGACTTGTCTTTGATGTTTTGCAGACAGAAATGCTCTGTAGTGATTTTGTAAAACCACTGCTGCTTTTCTATATAGTAAAAACTGTTTTCTGGTTTGCCACGTCCTAAAATAATGCTGTAAAGTGATAGCAGCTCTTTTCTGCTGAACAAATCTTCTCCGATACACAGCCATCTGAAGGAAGAACTGAATCCGTAGGGCAGCACATTTCTGTGTTTCCAGTTTTCTTGTGACCATTCTACAAAAAGCTTTTTGAATTGTTACTGCAGCCCTACTTTGAGAATGATACTCTGCTTCCTGTGAACAAGCAAGGCCAGAAGCTTTATACCACTCTTGAATCATAACACCTTCACTTTGAACAGCTTCATACTGAGTTTTACTTCTGTAACAGCAGAGTGCAGATTGGTTAACAATGGCTGCCATCTTTTCCTCTGATACATTTTTCAATTTTTGTCTAACTTTCATGCCTCTAAAAGCAGCCTGAATAGTTCGTACAGATTTCTGAACTGCTAAAAAGTTTTTTCTTTCTGTTTTTACTCTAACATACAACCTATAATAATTCTGTATAACCACAATTGCAGTTTTCTTTGTTTCATAATCAACTTTGGCCCTGTGCATTCGATAGAATGACTGAATTAGTGTGGCAGCCCGGTGCATATTTTGAATATCCTTTCGTACTTTAAAGCCTCTGTAATAAGACTGTATACAAATAACTGCTTGGGTACGCACTGCAGTTAGTTTTCTGTATCTTCTTTGAATAGAAACTACTGTTGCTCTAAGGTGGAGATAATGCTTCCTTATTTTAAAGGCTTTACAATGCTTCTGAATAATAATGGCAGCCTGGTGCTGTTCCTGAATCTGTTTTTTTATGTTCATGTCCTGAAAACCTGCCTGAACACAAGTCTCTTTCTTAAGTTCATTGTGTTGAAATACTTTCTGTTTCTTTTTATTTGCTCTATATTTTTCTTGTATGATTTTTGTAGCCCACTGAAGCTTTTGGTAGAAACAATACTGCCTATACATTCTGTAGGTGCTTTGTATTACGATAGAAGCTTTGTGTTTTTCCCTTAAAAGTTGTCTTGCTTTCATTCCTTTATATGCAGCCTGAATAACCACAGCAGAATGCCATTGTCTGATATAATTTTCTCTTTGTAATTTTGCAGCTCTATATGTTCGATAATGTTGCTGAATTAGAATTGAAGCATGTTTCCAAGTCTGAAATGTAATATATGTTCTGTACATCCTGAAAGTAGCCTGAATGAGAACTGCAGCCCTTTGCATTTCTTGTAACTTCTTCTTTACCATCAGTCTTCTGTAAGATGACTGTATTGTAATGGCTGCCTTTCTTAAGTGCAAGAATTGGTACAATTTATGTTTGGCACAAATGGTGGCTCGATATTTCCTCTGAACAAAAATAGTAGCTTTTTTGAGGGAAATGAATCTTCTCCTCACCAGTAATGATCTAAACCTACTCTGAATAAGGGTTGCAGAGGAATGCATACTCTTCAAATGTCTTCTAGTTTTCATACCCCTGAATGCAGCCTGAAGGATCACAGCAGAGTGTCTTTGTCTGAGATAATGCTGCCTCTGCAGTTTTGCAGCTCTATTTGCTTGGTATTGCTGTTGGATCACAACGGAGGCCTGTTTCAAAGCCTGATATCTCATATGTAATCTGTGCATTCTGAAAGTAGACTGGATGAAAGTAGCAGCCCTGTGCATCTCTCGCATCCTTTTCCTTATCATCCATCTTCTGTATGATGACTGGATTTTAATAACTGCATTTTGTACCTGAAGGAACTGTAAGTGATGCTTTGTACAAAGATGTGCCCGATATTTTCTCTGAATCAAAATAGCAGTTTTCTTGAGAGAGAGGAATCTTCTTCTCATCATTAGAGTTCTAAATCTCCTCTGAATGAGAGTTGCGGCTATATGCATCATTTTTAAATGTCTTCTAGCTTTCTTTCCCCTAAAAATAGCCTGAATGTATATTACAGAATGCCTCAGTTTGTTATACCTTTGAAATTGTATGTTTCTTTCTTTCATTGCCCAGTATCTTTGCTGTACTGTTTTTGTTATTTTCTTTAACTTATTAAAGTATGTTTGCTGTCTGTATCTTCTGTAGTTTGACTGAATGAGTGTTGCTGCAGTCTGCATCTTTCTAAGAGTCCGTCTAACTCTTACTCCTCTAAAACTTGCCTGAAGGACTTTAACAGCTTTCAAAATTGTCAGGTACTTTTCACGCTGCATTTTACCTTGATAATATGCTCTACATCTTACTTGAATAACAATAGCTGCTTTTCTCATTGTATGGTAACTTATTCTTGACTGATGCATTTTAAACATGGCTTTAATAAAAGTGGCTGCCCTGTGCATGTGTTGAATATGTCTTCTAACTCTAATACCTCTATAAACAGATTGGATTTTAATTGCTGTCTTCTTCAAATTAAGATACTCCTTATGCTGATGGTTTGTAATTTTAATACCTCGATACCATCTCTGAATTATAATAGCTGAAGCTCTATAGGTTGCATATTTCTTTTTGGTTTTGTAAGCTCTGTATTTAGACTGTATAGTGACTGCTGCTTTGTTGCAATCCTTTATTCTTTTTCTCACTTTCATACCACGATAAGCTGACTGTAAAGTTACTACAGCTGCTTTTGTTTTCAAATATAAATGATTCTGTTCTCTTCCAATACTGTAAGCCCTATAATACTTTTGAATCAGAAGAGCAGCTTTTTTCATGATTTTCCACTTCTTTTGTTGCACATGCATTCTATAGTATGACTGTATGATGATAGCACATTTATGTTGCCTTTGAAGCTGTCTTCTCAGTGTTTTTCCCTTCCACATAGATTGAAGCACCAGTACCGCATGACGGAGTTCAATATACTCCATACATTGCTTCCTTCCTGCAGTCCATGCTCTGAAATTTTGCTGGATGACTAATGCTGCTGTTTTAAACAATCTAAACTGTTTCTGGGCCTTGGCCATTCTAAAAGCAGACTGAATCTTCAAGGCAGCTTGATGTTCCCTTCTAATCTGTTTCCGAACCTTCCAGCCACGATAAGCAGACTGGAGGGAAATCACAGCTGCCTTTGTCTTCAAAAAATGTGTTCTTGTATCATGAAGAGTCTTGTACGCCCTGTACCATCTCTGAATCTTTATTATAGATTGAAGCACAGATTGATATTTTACCCTTTTATTATAGCCTCTAAAAGCAGACTGAATTTTAAGAGCAGCTATAGATTGTTGTTTGATTAGCTGGCGTACTTTATAACCTCTGTAAGCTGCTTGCAAGCAAGTAGCTGCTTTTTTGACTTGCAAGAAGTTCTTCCTCTGATTGACCTGTGCTTTGTATGCATGATAGTAATTCTGAATGACAATAATTGCTTTATACATTTTCAGATAATACTGCCGAGCCTTTCTCATTCTGAAATAAGACTGTAGTGAAATAACAGCTTTTCTTTGTAACCTCATCTGCTTTCGGACAAGGTATCCTCTAACAAATGCTTGCAGTTTGATACAAGATTCCCGCATCTGCATATACTCTTCTCTCTTTTGTGCAGCTATTTTTTTGGAACGGTAACATTGCTGGATAAATAGTGCAGCTGCTCTTAAATGCAAATATTGTTTACGTGTTTGTTTCATCTTAACAGTTGACTGCAATTTTATTGTAGCATTTTTTAGGCTCAAAAATTCCTTTTTAGAAACATAAGCACGATAATATGATTGAATCTTTATAACAGATGTGAGGATGTGAATATACATTTTCCTGGCTTGCATCCCTCTATATGCAGACTGCAGCACAATGACAGCAGAGCGTGTTTTCTGGTAAGATGCTAGAACTTTCATGGCAAAAATATAAGCTCGGAAATGAGTCTGAATTATAACAGCTGCTTTCTTCATCTTCTTATATTTCTGTCGTTGTTGATGTTTTCTTACATGTGCCTGAAATTTGATAATAGTCTTCTTAAGGTTTAAAAATCGAACTCTGTCTTGTCTCATTCTCCAGTATGACTGAATAACACAAGCAGCTCTAATTTGTCTACATAAATTATGAGCTTTCAGTCTCCTAAAAGCAGCTTGTAATTGAATGGCTGCAGCTCGTTTCTGCAAATAGTTGGTGCGCTCAATCTTTCCTTTCAGATATGCTTTGTAGTACTTCTGGATGGTTAGTATGGACTCTTTTCTTCTTTTATATAACTTTTGGGCTTGAAAGCACCGAAATCTTTTCTGAATGATAACAACACAAGATCTAATATAAATATATTTCCGTAATTCTTTATGCATTCTATACCATGATTGTATGATAATAGCAGAATTTTCTTCTTTAGCTTGTTTTCTTAAATGCCATTCTCTAAAAGCTCTTTGCAATATTACTGTAGCTTTTACTTGTGATTGCATTTTACGTTGCTTCCATTTTCTGAACATAGATTGGATTATAAGAGTTGATGATTTTAGCATTTCATATCTTTGTTGATCTTGTTTTCTTCTTAAATAAGCACGCCAATGCCTCTGAATTGTAACTGTAGCCCAAAGATATCGTTTATAAGATGTAACAGCAATTATCATTCTTATCCTAGATTGCAGGATGATTGAATAATATTTCAATTTCAGAAATCTTTGTCTAGTGGAATATCTTCTCCAATATCCCTGGAAAAGGTAAGAAAGGACACAAAGTAAAATAGGCATAGCTTTCTATATTTAACACTTTTCAAAATACTAATTTTTCTAACATTCTGCTTAAAAATAAACACATTGAATTAGAAAACTAATTATTTTTGTGAGATATTTGTCTCTTTTGTTTTTAGTTTAGGTTTTACATTGATATACCTGTAGCCAATTCAGAAATCCATCCAAATCTTCATTATATTTAAATACTGCATTTGTATGCCAGAATCATAAGAAACATAAGCAAGTTTATGTTATATTACAAGCAAAAGAGTCAAAATAAAACTATAGTAATATTCTTTGCTATCTATTGATTCTAAGTAATTTCCTATGAGTTTATTTCTGGGCCTTATATGGTCCCCTTACTTCAATGTTTCTAAGCTACCTTATAATGACTAGAAACTGTTTATGTGAAGGATCCTGCATTATCACATTACAGGCCTGATAATATAAATATAGGAATTTAGGAATAAATAAACCAGATCACTCTCAGAGTCATTATTTTCATTAAGAATAAAATTACTTCCTTTTCCCAAATTTAGGAACTATAAATACATGGCTTAAAAGTAGAATTCTAGAAAGACTTGAGAAATGACAAAACTTTTGTCTTTTGAAAAGCCATGGTTACAATGGCTAATCCAACTGTATGTTGGCTCAACAAAAAGAGCTACAAACTCTCAAGCTAATTCCAGTTGCTGGTATCTAAAATGGTCCCAGGCTAATGGTAGTCAAGTTCTAGATGTTTTAGCAATAAGACCATTCCTTTGTACAAACACTCCAAACATTGCTGAGATTGGGGGTGGCATGGAGAGGTTGTTCTCTACTACATCTTACTTTTTCTCGCATATAAGTAGAGTAATATAGGGACTGGGTACCTCGCTCTCCTATAGCAGTATCGAGTTTGCTTGCAGCTATCACTGGCCTAAGCATACCTATCCATGGGTGAGGAAGCTTAAGGAGAACATGCACATCCCTTTTCCTGACCCTTTTCCTGTAAGTTTTATTGTCTTCTTCCTCTACTAAATGTTACCTGAGGTTTTGTTCATACTCTTCAACCTGACAGGAAATGATTGTATACATTTTATCTTACCAAGAAGAGATGCACAAGTTGTCAAAATATTTATCCAACAACAGTCAAACTTATTTGTACAAAAGTATTTTGAAAACAATAAACTCTACATAAAGTATTAACTTGCTTTAAATTAGGGCAAAGTAAAGCAGTAATAGTACTCAGAAATTCAGATATTATTTTTCTTTTGAGCACCCACCCCCAACAGATATTTCTATGTAAAATCCTCAAACTAAGAAATTGAAGAATCAGTGTGTACAGATTGTTTTATACTTTAATAATCACTTTTTCTACATTACTATTACTACTCCATTACTGAAATGTTAATCAATGTTGATATATAACATGGAAGATATGATCATCTCCTCTCCTAACAGTTTTGCTTATTACAATAGCAATTTTTTCACCATTGTCATACAATTCTTAAAAATAAATAGCTTTTACTAAGGAACACATTACATACAATTTTCTCACTTAATTCTCACAAAAATACATTAAGTTGGCATTGTTTCTTCACTTAAAGAAAGGAACACTAATGTTACAAAACTTTTTGCAAAGTCCCACAGCAAATAAAAATAATTGATCTTAGGATCTACATTATTACACCAAAATCAAATGTTCTTTCTACTCTACCACAGATATCTGCAGCAGGTTGAGTGCATTAACAGCCCAATTCTTCATCTCTCCCAGTAACTATAACCTGTGCCATACTTTGTTTTTCCTCATACAAAAGAGTTTCTCTGCTTGAGATATGGGCGCAGTCATGGAAAGAATGCAGTAGAGCAGTGTAACTCAATCTTCAGTTTTCTGGTCAGATGATGAAACAAGGCAGCCCTGAGGAACTAGAGGGTACCAGGGAGATGGTAGAGACTGGGGAGCTCAGGGAAGCAATCTGATAATGTTGTTTATGAATTTCTAGGTTCACCACCAAGTTGTGCACAATGTGAATCTAGACCACAGTAGGCTATAGACTTTAAGAATTGAATAAGATACAGATCACAATCTAGATCCCAGACTGGCTACTGGGTGTTACATAATGAAACTGATATGATACAAATATCACTCACTGTAAAGGCTTTCAAAAAGGAACTGTCACTGAAGCTACGCTCATGGAAGGCTGATGAGAACAGGTGGCCTGAACCCAATCAAGTGAATTAGCTGCTAAAACTAAAATATCAACATTCTCCATAGGATTTAAACAAAACATAGAGTCTGATAACATAACATTAAATTTCCAGAATGCAATTAAAAATTATTTGACATACAACATAACAGAAAAATTTCAACTCTCACAAGAAAAGATAATCAATAGACACCAATGATGAGATGACAAAGATACTGGAATTGGAATTAACTGACAACGACTTTAGAGCAGATAAAGTAAAAATGCTACAACAAGTTGAAACTAATGGAAAGATAAAAAGTCTCAGTAAAGACATCAAAGATATGAGTAAGAACCAAGTGAGAATAGTAGAACCGAAAAACACACTAACCAAAATAAAAATTCACTGGTATGGCACAATAGCAGAATGGAGATGACAGCCAAGATGGCAAATATCTCAGCTTTGTGGGCCAATTCTGTTGCAACAAGTCAATTATGCTATTGTAGTACAAAAGCAGCTCCCAAATAATACATAAACAAATAGTTGTGACCATATTCTAAAAAACTCTATTTATAAAAACACATGGTAGGCCAAATTTGGCCTGCAGATATACCAACCTCTGACCATGATAGACCATATTGTGGATCATAAACTAAAGGTTATCAAATAGGAAAGAATTGAAATCACAGTATGTGCTCTGGTCATAATGGAATTGAAGAAAAAGTCACTAACAGAAAAATAATAGGAAAATCTCCAAACATTTAGAAAGTAAATAACATATTCTGAAACTTTAAATCATAGAAAAAGCCTCAAGAGAAATTAAAAACTATTTGAACTGAATGAAAAAAAAATACCATATCAAAATTTGTAGTATGTGGCTAAACCTGTATTTAGAAGAAAATTTATACCATTAATGTGTTACATTAAAAGTGGAAGGACTCAAATCAGTTACTCAAGATTATACTTAAAGAAACTATAGACAGAAAAGCAAAATTAATCAAAACAAGAAATAATAAAGACTGAGCAGAGACCAATGAAGCCAAAGGGTTGTCCACTGAAAAGATCAAGAGAGTTAAAACTCTAGCAAGACTGACAAAGAAGAAAAGAGAAGATACAAATTATCAATATCAGGAATGAAAAAGGGAATATCACTACAGACTACCCAGGCATCAAAAGGATATTAAAGATATACTTTGTATATACATATGGTAAATTCAACAACTTGGATGAAATGGACCAATTCTTCGAAAATTAGAAACTGCCAAAACTCATCAAAGATAAATAGTCCTATACAAATTTAAAAAACAGAATCTGGCAAGGTGTAGTAGCTCACACCTGTATTCCTAGCACTTTAGGAGGCCAAGGCAGGAGGATGACTAGAGCCCAGGAGTTCGAGACCAGCCTGGGGAATTTAGTGAGACCCTATCTCCACAAAAAATACAAAAATTAGTTGAGTGTGGTGGTACATGCCTGTAGTCTCAGCTACTTGGGAGGCTGAGGTGGGATGATGGCTTGAGCCTAGGAGATTGAGGCTGCAGTGAGCTGTGTTTGCACCACTGTACTCTAGCCTGGGCGACAGAGCAAGACCCTGTCTCCAAAAAAAAAAAAAAAAAAAAAAGTCCAGAGAAGAATGTTTGAGATGATGAATATGCTAATTGTCCTAATGTGATCGCTATACAGTATATGTATCAAAACATCACTATGTGCTTTATGAATATGCACAATTATGTCAAGTAAAAAAAGAGGAAAAAAATAAAATAAAATAGAAATTTCCACTCTAAGATAGTATCACTGGTGAGTTGTATAAAATAATTAAAGACAAAATAATAACATGTCAACAATCTCTTCCAGAAAACATAAAAGAACGCTGAAACTTCCCAACTCATTACACAGATGCAAAACTCTTCAATAAAATACTAGCAAGTGGAATTAATGAAATATCAATGCATATAAAAAATACATAACTAATATTTGAATTTTATCCTTGGAATGTAAGTTTACAGTAAGATTAGAAACCCAATAAATGTTAATATATCCATTGAAGCAGAAAAAGTATTTAATGAAACCCAAATCTATGTGATAAAACTCTCAGTAAGCTAAGAAACAGAGACTCCTTCAACCTGATAAAGGGCATCTACAAGAAAACTACAGTTTATATAATACTTAATGCGTGAACAAGGCAAAGATATTGAATCTTACCACTCCTATTTAGCATCATACTGGAATTCTTAGCCAATAAAATAAGTGGGGGAAATAAAAAATAGAAAGAATATTTAGATTGGAAAGAAAGGCAGACAACACGACTATGTAGAAAATCTCAAAGAATCTAAAACAAAAACAAACATAAAAACTTCATAGAAATAAGTGAGTTTTTTTAACAGGATTAATAGTTAACCCTTTTATATGTTAAAGGGTTAACATATAAGGATGAATGTTTATAAAAAAGAAACAAATGGGAACTGAAATTAAAAAGCAATACTATTTATAATAGCTCCAAAATAAAATAAGATACTGAGGTATGAATCTAACAAAAAGCTGATGATGAACAACTCAAAGATCTAAATAAATGGAGATATGTATCACCTTTATGAATCAGAATAATCAACATAGTAAAGTTGTCAGTGTACCTCAAAATATCTGTAAATGTGATGCAATTTCAATCAAAATTTGACAGTATTTTTTGAGGACATAGAAAAACTAACCTAAAACTTAAATGGAAAGACAAAGCAACTAGAAAATTCCAACTCATTTTGAAAAAAGAATAAAATTGGACGAATCACAATATCCATTAAGGCTTACTATAAAGCTGCAGTAATCAAGAAACTGTGGTATTGATGAAGGTATAGACACATGTATTAATGAAACAGAATACAGTCCAGAAGATCAACACACATATGACCAACTGATTTATGACAAAGGTGCAAAGACATTTCAATGTGGAAAGAATAGTTTTTTACAGCAAATAGTGTTGGAATAATTGGACATGTATATATAAAAAAAGTGAACATTGACCTAACCCTTACCTTAGAGGAGAACTAACACAAAATACATCATAGGTCAAAATTTAGAATGAAAAATTATAAAACTTTTAGAGTACTTTGATATGACGCTAAAAGCATAATCCATAAAAGAAGAAAAGTGATAACTGGATTCCAATAAAATGAACTACTTCTGCTGAACAAAAAGCCCTGTTACAAGAATAAAAAGACAAGCTGCAGATTGGGAGAAATTGTGTGAAATCACTAACAAAGAAGGAGGATTACCTACTAGATATCCAGATTTCACCTACTGCTACAGTGCGAGGCTCAAAGATAGACAAATGGACCAATTGAATAGAAAGAAATACTAGAAACAGAATCACACATATAAGAATAGCTGATGTCTACTACACAAATAGAAAAGGGTAGAGAACCCAAAAATAAAACCACATACCTAAAACCACCTGATCTTTGACATAGTTGACAATAACAAACAATGGGGAAAGGATATGCTATTCAATAAACGGTCAGTGCAGAAGATTAAAATTGGACGCTTTCCTTTCACCACATACAAAAAATTAATGCAAGATGGATTAAAGACTTAAATGTAAGACCCAAACCAATAAAAACCCTAGAAGAAAACCTAGGAAATACTACTCCGGATATCAGCCTTGGGAAAGAATTTATAACAAAGTCCCCAAAAGCAATTGCAACAAAAAACATAATTGACAAATGGGACCTAATTAAACTAAAGAGATTCTGCACAGCAAAATAAACTATCAACAGAATAAACAGACAACCTACAGAATGGGAGAAAATATTTGCAAACAATGTATCTAACAAAGGTCTAATATTCAGTATCTATAAGGAACTTAATTCAAAAAACAAAAAACAAATAACCCCACTAAAAAATGGGCAAAGGACATACACACCTCTCAAAGGAAGACACACATGCGGCCAAGAAATCTATGAAAAAATGCCCATCACCACTAAACATCAGAAAAATACAAATCAGAACCACAGTGAGATACCATCTCACCCGTCAAGATGGCTGTTTTTAAAAAGTCAAAAAACAGATGCTGGCAAGATTACAGAGAAAAGAGAACACTTATATACTCCTGGTGGAAATGTAAATTAGTTCGGCTACTTTGAAAATCAATTTGGAGATTTTTCAAAGAACTTAAAACAGAACTTCCATTTGATCCAGAAAACCCACTACGGGGTATATACCCAAAGAAAATAAATCATTCTACCAAAAAGACACATGGATTCATATGTTCATCGCAGAACTAATTCACAATAGCAAAGACATGGAATCAACCAAGACGTCCATCAACAGTGGACTGGATAAAGAAAATGTGGTACACACACACTGGAGACATACATGCAGCCAACAATCATATGGAAAAAGGTCAACATCACTGATCATTATAGAAATGCAAATCAAAGCCACAATAAGATACTATCTCACATCAATCATAATGGCTATTACTAAAAAGTCAAAAAGTCAGATGCTGGTGAGGTTGTAGAGAAAAAGGAATGCTTATACACTGTTGGTGGGAGTATAAATTAGCTCAACCATTGTGGAAGACAGTGTGGTGATTTCTCAAAGGCCTAAAAGCAGAAATACCATTCAACCCAGCAATCCCATTAATGGGTATTTACCCAAAGGAATATAAATTGTTCAATCATAAAGAAGCATGCGTGATGTTCACTGCAGCAATATTCACAATAGCAAAGACATGGAATCAACCTAAATGTCCATCAATGACAGACTGGATGAAGAAAATGCGGTACATATATACCATGGAATACAATGCAGCCACAAGAAAGAATGAAATCACGTCCTTTGCAGGGACATGGATGGAGCTGGAGGCCATTATCCTTAGCAAACTAACACGGGAACAGAAAACCAAACACTGCATGTTCTTACTTATAAGTGGGAGCTAAATGATGAGAAAACATGGACACACAGAGGGAAACAACACACAGTGGGGCCTATTGGAGAGTGAAGGGTGGGAGGAGGGAAAGGATCAGGAAAAATAACTAATGGGTACTAGGCTTAATACTTGGGTGACAAAATAATCTGTACAACAAACCCCCATGACACAAGTCTACCTATATAACTGTGACAGAAAAATATATTGGGCCCCCCAAATCACTAAGCTTAAAGAAAAACTCAAGCTGGAAACTGTTTAGGGCAAACCTGTCTCCCATTCTATTCAGCTACCCCTGTGCTCACTGAGGTAAATGCATATCTGATGCCTCCTTTGGAAAGGCTAATCAGAAATTTGAAAGAATGCAACTGTTTGTCTCTCACCTATCTGACCTGGAAGCCCCCTCCCTGCTTTGGGTCTTCCTGCCTTTGTCTCAAGTTATCCTGACTTTCCAGACTAAACCAATGTACTTCTTACATATATTGATTGATGTCTCATGTCTCCCTAAAATGTATAAAACCAAGCTGTGCCCCGACTGCCTTGGGCACATGTCAAGACTTCCTGATGCAGTGTAATGGGTGCACATCCTCAACTCTGGCAAAATAAACTTTCTAAATTAACTGAGACCTGACTCAAATTTTGGGGGTTCATATAACAAACCTGCAAATGTACCCCTAAACCTAAAATAAAAGGTAATTTTCAAAAAAAGGAAATGTAGCACATAAGCACCATGGAATACCATGCAGCCATAAAAAAAATTATGTCCTTTGCAGTAATGTGCATTTAGCTGGAGGCCATTATCCTAAGTGATGTAACACAGGAACAGAAAACCAAATATTACATATTCTCACTTATAAGTGGGAGCTAAACACTGAATACATATGGACACAAAGATGGGAACAATAGACACCGGGACTGCTTGATGAGCGCAAGTCAGAGGGAAGTGTGGGTTGGAAGATTATCAGGTACTATGCTCAATACCTGGGTGACAGGATCATTTGTACACTAAGGCTTAATGACATGCAATTTACCCATGTAACATATCTGCTCACATATACCCAGAATCTAAAATAGAAGTAGAAGAAACAAAAAAAGAATATATAATGTATACTGAAGGTAGCATGGCAAAAGGGCAAGGATGGTCATTTCAGTAAAACATGCTGAAACAACTGGATAGCCATATATTTTTTAAATGTCCTCTAAAACAAATCATCTAAAAATTAGTTTTAGGTGAGATCAAAATGAGGAAGACAAAACATTAATGCTTGTAGAGTATAACATAGGCATACATCTACAAGGCCTTAAGATAAAGAAGATAAAGAAACACTCCTTATATAATACACAAAAAATACTAACAATAAAAGAAAAACAAGAAATTTCATTAGTAAGATATAAAACAGTAAGTTATAGCCTGGGAGAAGACACAACACACATACCAAATAGAGGCCTAATAACAATCATAGTATAACGCTCTTTTATAAATCCACAAGAAGGCAACAGTTTTAAAAGATGCTCAAAATAATACTTCACAAAAGATTTCCAAAATGGAAAAGTTGTTCAACATCATTAATGAAGAAAAATCAAATTAAAACTACTCTGAATACTACTACACAATCACCAGAATGGCTAAAATTAAAAAGACAATTTCCAAATGTTAATGTAGACATGGAGTCATGTGAATGGTCATAAACACCTGGTGGGTTTTAAATCTTTACAAGTACTTTAAAAAACTCTTGGATAGTTGAAATATATACAGGCATATCTCGAAGATATTGTAGGTTCAGTTCCAGACCACCACAATAAAGCAAATATTACAATAAAGTGAGTCACACAATTTTTTTGGTTTCCCAATACATACCGAAGTTATCTTTACACTATACTGCAGTCTATTAAGTGTGCAAAACCATTGTGTCTAAAACACTACAAGGTACATACCTAAATTTAAAAATACTAAATTGCTAAAAAATGCTAAGAACCATGTGAGCCTTCAGCAAATTGTAATCTTTTTGCTAGTGGAGGGTCTTACCTTAATGTTGGTGGCTGCTGACTGATCAGAATGGTAGTTATTGTAGGTGGCTTTGGCAATTTTTTAAAAATAAGACAACAATGAAGTTTTACTGCATTGATTGACTCCTTATTCAGAAAAGATTGCTCCATAGCATACAATGCCACTTATTAGCGTTTTACCCAAAGTAGAGATTCTTTTAAAATTGGGGTCAATCCTCTCAAAGCCCGCTGCTGCTTTGTCAACTAAATTTATATACTGTTTTAAATTTTACAAAAAGTACATTTTTTTTTAAACAGTTAGGGTCTCACTGTGTCATCCAGGCTGGAGTGCAGTGGTGCAATAATGGCTCACTGCTGCCTTGAATTTCCAGGCTCAAGGGATCCTCCCACCTCAGCTTCCTGAGTAGCTGGGACTATGGATGTGTGCCACCACACTTGGCTAGTTATTTTATTTATTTTTTTTATTTTTGAGACGGAGTCTCGCTCTGTCACCAAGGCTGAAGTGCAATGACGTGATCTCGGCTCACTGCAACCTCCACCTCCCAGGTTCAAGGGATTTGCCTGCCTCAGCCTCCCAAGTAGCTGGGATTACAGGCATGCACCCCCATGCCTAGCTAATTTCTGTATTTTTAGTGGAGACAGTGTTTCTCCACGTTGGCCAGACTGGTCTCAAACTCCTGACCTCATGTGATCTGCCTGCCTCAGCCTCCCAAAGCGCTTGGGATTACAGGCATGAGCCATCATGCCCAGCTTATTTTTATTTTTAAATGGGGTCTCACTTTGTTGCCCAGGCTGATCTCGAACTCCTAGCCTCAAGCCATCCTCCCACCTCAGCCTCCCAAGTTGTTGAGATTATAGGAATGAGCTACCACACTTGGCTACCAGGAGTAGATCCCATTTCAAGAAACTACTTTGTTTGCTTATCTGTAAGAAGCACCTCCTCATCTGTTCAGCTTATATCATGAGATTGCTGCAATTCGGCACACCTTCAGGCACCACTTCTAATTCTAGTTCTCTTGATATTTCTACCACATCTGCAGTTACTTCCTCCAACGAAATCTTTAACCCATCGAAGTCATCCATAAAAGTTGGTTGGAATCAACTTGTTCCAAACTCCTGTTAATGTTGATATTTTGACCTCCTCCTACGAATCATGAATGTTTTTGATGGCACCTAAAATGATGAATCCTTTCCAGAAGGTTTTCAATTTACTTTACCCAGACCCATCAAAGGAATCACTATATATTGCATCCATAGCCTTACAAAAATGTGTTTCTTAAATAATACAACTTAAAACTCAAATTAATTTTTATCCATGGACTACAGAATGGATGTTGTGTTAGCAGGCATGAAAACAACATTCCTCTCCTTGTCCATGTCCATGACCAGGAGTACTGTCAATTAACAGTAATATTTTAAAAGGAATCTTCTTTTCTGTGTAGTAGGTCTCAACAACGGACTTAGAATATTCAGTAAACCCTGCTATAAACAAATGTGCTGTTATCCAGACTTTGTTGTTCCATTTATAGTGTACAGTCAGAGTATATTTAGCATAATTCTTAAGGGTCCTAGGATTTTCAGAAGGATAAATAAGCACTGGCTTCAACTTAAAGTCACCAGTTGCATTAGCCCCTAATAAGAGAGTAAAACTCTCCTTTGAATCTTTGAAGCTAGAAATTGATTTCCCCTTTCTAGATGCAAAAGTCCTAGATGGCATCTTCTTTTAATAGAAGTCTGTTTTGTCTAGATTGAAAACTTTTGTTTAGTGTAGCCACTTTTATTAATGATCTTAGCTAGATCTTCTGGATAACTTACTGCAGCTTCTACATCAGCACTTGCTGCTTTATCTTGCACTTTTATGTTATGGGAACAGCTTATTTCCTTAAATCTCATGAATCATTCTCTGCTAGCTTCAAAATTTTTGCAGCTTCCTTACTTCTGTCAACCTTCGTAGAACTGAATAGAGTTTGGGCCTTCTCTGGATTAGGCTTTGGCTTATGGGAATGTTGTGGCTGGTTTCATCTTCTATCTAGACCACTCACACTTCCTATCAAAGATCATTAATCTCACATTACCATAATAGATGTAGTACTAATGAAAAAGTTTGAAATATTTTGAGAATTACCAAACTATGACACAAACACAAAGTGAGCATATCCTGTTGGAAAAAGTGTTGCAGACTTGCTTAACACAGGGTTGCCACAAACCTTCAGTTCGTAAAACACTCAATAGCTGCAAAGCACAATAATGCAAAGAGCAATAAAACGAGGTATGCCTATATGCCTTAAGAACAATTGTACTCCTAGTACAATTGAAGAGACTGAATACATTTCACACCAAAAGACATGTTCATAATACCTTTAATCATAATAGCTCAAAACTGGAAAGCCAAATGTTCATCAAAAATAGAACAGATTAAGTATAGTGCAGAATACGAAATAAAAAAATTAAACCACGGCTATACTCAACGCTGATAAATCTCAAAAAATGTAATAATATCAAATCAAAGAATTCATATGGTTTGAACTCACCTGTAACAATTCAAAAAGTAAGCGAAACTAAATTATTGTGTTTAAAGAAAACACTTAGGAAAATGGCATGATTAGCATAATGGTTAGCTTGAGCTGGGATGGGAGAGTTAATTGAAAAATGCCTTTTGCTACACTGGCAATATTCTATTTCTTGGCCTAGGTGGTTTTACATTGGCATTTATTTTGTGAAAAATCATTAGGCTCTATATTTTTATTTTGGGTAATTTTCTATGTGTAATATTTTACATGTTAAAAAAAGGTTAAAAAAGACAATTATTTAAGTCAGAGAACCCTCATTTATCAATAATGGTAGCCAGACACAAAAACTTTCAAATTCATAAATCAGATATATTGATGGGGTGAAGCTTCAATGGCATTTATAAATAGTAAATTTAAATAATGCACATCTCTCATGTCATTAAAATATAATTTAATATAAAAAAACTAATTTACATAGATGTAAAGACTATATTAAGTCAGTATTATATATTTTTTCCTAAAAAGAAAAATAATATAGGTATTCTATAGACTAATTATAAGTACTATTTCCTTTACATGCCAACTAAGTGGAGTAGAGAGAAAAATGTGTACAGTTGTCCCAAAGAGAAGTTTCCAGGACTCAAAGCAAAGATAAAAAAGAACCTGGTTGGTTATGTGGATCTACAAAGTAGAATGGTTCAGTAGGCCAGCATGTCCCACAGCGTAGAAGACGCAACAAAGAAGAGAGCAACAGGTACAGAATTAGAATGTTTGCTTTTTCAGAGCAAATGCATTTCAATTATGTTTCAGCCTTCTGCTGAACACCATAACGAGCTTTTCAGGTAGTAAATATTTGTTAAATTAAGTATTAGATAAAGAATCCTAAAATATAATCATTGAAAACTTCATCACATTTTGCCTTCTTACTTAAAAAAGTCATTAAAATTTTTTAAATTCAAAAATTAGTCCAGGATACTATACCTGAATAAGTGATGCTGCTTTATTTTGAACTTTTTCCAGCTTTTCCTTTTTTAACATTAATAATTTTCTCTGTGCTAAGACTCTTCGCCAATATTTCTGAATGACGAGTGCTGCATTAACTCTTTTTCTCAATCTTTGTTTTGCTAGAAAATTGATTACAGCCAATTGAATAATTCTTGCAGCTTTCTCTCTCTCCTAAAATAAAAAAGTCAGCAAATGTAAATTAAACACTCACTTAAGACCTTAAATTATTCTTTGTAAGATAACCATATGTTAAACACCAATCAAATTGATACTGGAAATAAAACACCCCTACACTTCTTGTGTTCATCTTTGGAATACTGATAATTCCAGGCATGTCGAAAGCGCTGATAGGTGGGCTTGCAGATATTTTGTATGATGAAACAAAGATTCCTAAGAAATAGTCTAAGATAAAGATTAGACATGTTTGATCTATCACAGATCCTCAGTAATCAAGATAAAGGCCATTTGAAGTGTAATGTGGTATGTTTCTCAGATTCAGGTCCACTGAATTCATGATTAACTTTTAGGAAAGGGGAGGATTGTATGAAAAAAAGAATGTGTTAGAGAATTGTAACAATTTGAACAAAGCAAAACACTAAAGGGGAGAAACAAAATACCTCCTCCTTTAGCACAGAATACATTGTGGCCTTAGGTCATACAAGCTGAAGAGGAAAAAGTATAGTTTGGGCTATGAGAAGTGGTATCTGAGATGCCCAACATTTGTGGTCAAAGAGGACCCAGCTCCCTAGTTATGTTAGAAGGCAATACCCCCCATATCTCTACTTGTTACTTCTGATAATAAATTGCTGTAAATAATAACATATTCTATGTCCAGCACCATTCTGAACACTTCATGAACAATCCATTTAAATCTCACAACCACCACCATAAGAACAAATGAGCAAATACTACTCTTACGATCACTAGAAAACTGAGGCAATGAGGTCAATTAGCTTGTTAGTTTATTGGTAATATAGCCAGGATACGAATCAGGCAGTTTGGCTTTAAAGTAACTTTGCTATACTGTCCAATACTAGATTTCTCAATTTACTTCACTGGAATTGGAGACTAGAAAATGAACTATTTCCTCTGGTGGGAAGGAATAACTTATGGCAGGGATGTCTGGCAGCTTTTTGTGTTGCTGTCTGGGACCGTCCACCATGCAAGGGTAGGCTCTACACAGAGATTAGCTATAATTCCAATTATTAATTAATAACAATCAGTGGTTGGTATCTGTGCATGAAAATTGTGCAATAGGGGAAACAACTATGGAAATAATCAAACTGTTATTTTTACATATAAAAAAGGTGACCAATAGATTGAAACATAAATACTAAGGAATGGTAAGTGCTATATATTGGATCATTCCTCTGGGGAGAAAGAGTAGACAATTCCAAAATCGGGCTAGGGGAATTATGTATATAACAAGTTGATTAAGTCATCTAACACCATTATCAATGCCCTTGTGAAACCTATGGGCTTTAGGACTGTAGAGGCTCAAGTTAAAAGCACAACCCTGTTACAGTAAATAAATAAATACACAAATAAAATTTTCAAATGTTGCAGTTCAGAAGTATATTGCATTTGAGACAAAAGTTGTAAGGGTCAGGGCATTCATGGACAAAATAGGCTAAAGTAAATTGTAACTTATCTCAGTTTTTAGATCATCTCTATAGAACTAAAATACAACTTTACATGCCATTAGAGAATTTAAAGATGGAAAGTAAATAAATTAGAAGAGGCAAATATATTACCAAATTTAGCAAGTATTTGAAAATTACATATACTGATGATAAAAGTTTCCATGTATGGTCATTGACCCTTTTTAATCAGACTGTTGTTGAGTCAGCCAGGTACCAGCTTATTTCTTTTATCTTGCCTCATATATATAGGGCCAAATTCTAGGACTTCTTTTGCTTTGGAGTTTATGGCTATTTGTTGACAGGAAGAACTGAGAGCTGTAATGTACCAGGGGATGCTTCAATAGTTCATCAGGTAATTTTAGCTACTTGACAAAGTTTCTTTGTCATAATAAAAGTTTGAGCCACTCCATTAATAGATTTATATGAATTATAACATAAAAGCAAAATATAAAACCTGAAAAATAGCTATCTCAAGTTAATATGTTTAGTAGCTTGCAATAACATAGGGAGCCTGCTGCTTAATGTTCTAAATAGAAAACGGAAAGATATAATTGGATGTGAGGTAATTGTATAAAAGAGGGAGTATGGTCACCAAGAAAAAGGAGAGAAACAGTGGTCTGACTGGGTCCAAGAAGTTTAACCATAAGTATAGAAACTTCTCTTAATTCTTCAAAAAAACTTCTCTTAATCCTTCAAAAAAATGGAAACTTCTATTTGCATTAAGGAAATAAATCAAGAAAAGGGATCTCACTAGCAAAAAGCTGAGAAAATTCTACAGTTAATATCAGACTAAGGCTGGGTGCAGTGGCTCATGCATATAATCCCAGCACTGTGGGAGACAGAGTCAGGCAGATCACTTGAGGCAGGAGTTTAAGACCAGCCTAGGCAATGGGGTGAAATCCTGTCTCTACAAAAAATACAAAAATTAGCTGGGTGTGGTGGCATGCACCTATAATCCCAACTACTCAGGAGGCTGAGGCACAAGAATGGCTTGAACCCAAGAGACAAAATCTGAAGTGAGCCAAGATCGTGCTATTGCACTCCTGCCTGGGTGACAGAGTGAGACCTTGTCTCCAAAAGAAAAAAAAAATCTGATTAATACAAGGCTATCTTGAGCAGAAAATAAAAGCAGAATACATATATATCTATCTCTTGTAATTCTAAAACTCTCATTTAATGCAATATACAATGGGTGAATCAAATAGCTTGAGGACTGGCCAGGGGAGACACTTTTCTGAACTCTTCCAATTCCCCTAGAAGTATTGGAAGCTTCTAGGGGAATTGCTTTAGGAAAGTTTTCAGGAAGTTATTCTCCAAGTGATATGTAGGCAGGGAGGCAGATCCTGAGTTTAGGGGCACTATAGGGCACACAGCATATACAGTAGCAGAAAAGACCATTTGTGAGTGTTAAGACCCTGCCTATTTCCCAAACTTTACTATGAAGAGTTTGAGTAGGGGAAAAGAAAATTATTTCAATTAGTCTTATTTCCAAGTCTGGTGTGAAATGAAAAAACACATATTGTGTTTGAAAGTTGTCAAAATTTATCTGTTTTACACAGCTACCAAGAACTTTATCACAGATGCATTATATTTCAAAGTTGAGAAGGAATATTGGGTGGAATGTATTTCTGAAATATTTATGATAAATTTTACCAGGCATGGATGCTTGTTTTATTTTATTTTTTTTGGTTTTCCAAATAAATAAACACAATATTAGTTAGTAGATGGAATAGGGTGACAAAAAGAGTGAAATAGTTTGTTCAACTTGATCAAGGAGGCCGTTTCTTAGATTATTAAAAATAACAATTTTCTCAGAACTTAAGAAAAAAATTTTTTACATTAATGAAATTTTTGTACTATTGGGGTCACAAAGGGAAACAATAAATAACATCTCTATTCTCATGCCCAGATCCTAACATTTTGAAAAATTAATAGCAGAAACCAAAATACCACTTTTAAAACTAATAAAGGATAAAGTAGAAGACAGCTTCATGGCAAACAAACTAAGCTTACTAGTTAAATCACAAAATCAGACACTTGATGCTCAGGCCCAGGCAGCACTAGTTGAGGTCAAGCCTCATACAGCACAGAATAAAAAATTAATGGAAAGCTCCTGCTCTCCAGAGGCAGGTTAGATTCCAACAGGAGGAAAGGAAGAGCTGAGTCAATGTGAGCTATGTATTCCTCACAAATTTAAAAAGCAGATTAAGTTATTCCTCTTCCCCTGGAACAGACTAGGTGAAGGGGTGGACAGACTGGAAGATACATCAAATGAAGGGAATATTAGCAATTAGGGAGAAATACTCATACCTCCCCAACCCAAAATACATATACACAATTACTAAATTTATCTTAATAATGCCATACATCCATAAAATGTAAAATCATATCAAAAATCAATCAACAAATACCTTCTAAAGTATAATTCACACTATAGTAGTTTCATATTCTAGGAGTACCTGATGGCGTTTGAGATCTGTTTTTAGTTTATATTTTCTCCATGTTGTTTGTATGAGTCGAGCAGCTCTTATTTCTTTACGAAGATCCAAAAGCCTTGCACAAAGAAATGACAAATAGGTAATAACCACCTAAAAAAAACCCACAAAAGATAAAAACAGAATATCAACAGAGAATACAGTACTTACTATCATCTTCTGAGACTTTATTATTGAATTAATAATTAGAAACTCTTCTTTTACTTACCTTTTCATCTGGAATTGTATTTGACATATCTGAATGATTAATCATAGCAGGTATTCCACCAAGGTCTCTAACTGCAGACCTAACCAAGTGAAAATTTTTCTTTTCATTTTCTAGGAGCTCTTTGTATAGCTCTGAAGTATTTTCTATTATGCAGGAGGAAAGGAGAAATTAGCCGTAGCTTCAAATCAGACATGGCAAAAAATTGGAAAAGTAACCAAAAGGGACTAACCATGATCAAATGCTTTAAGAGACATATCCAGAGAACTGTCATCAGATTCAGATGATGAATTTAATACCACTGAACCAGTTTGCGTACATTCCACAGTTTGAGTAGTACGCTGACATATAGCGTCAAATGGCACATAGCAAGGATGGTAATGGTGGATCAGGTAACATAACACACGGCCGTCTGAGAAAGACACTGTAAAATTCTCCACCTGATTGAAAATGCCAGAAAAACAATTAACCGCATTTAGAAAGTAGTATAGACATAATGGTTTGCAGAATACCTGTGAATAATAAAGGCAGAGACTGGAGTGACAAATCTACAAGGCAAGTAATGGCAAGTTTGACTGGTAAACTCTAAAATTTAAAAGAAAAAAATAAAAGAGTATCCCCTAGAACTTTATGTGAGAGCATGGCACATCCAACACCTTGATTTCAGACTTCTAACCTCTGGAACTGTGAGAGAATAAATTTCTACTTTAAGCCACCTAGTTTGCTGTAATTTGCTATGGTAGTCTTAGGAAACTACAACAACAAGCAATGAGAGTGGATTCTCGTTATTTGTGAATATTGAACCATTGCATAGAGGAGAAATATAAGGTTAGTGTCCTGTGAGCCTCTGGTTATAATATGTTTATCAACCAATCCGCACATAACCTTGTTCACAGGTGTTTCTGATTCAATAACACTAACTCATGGCCAACAGCATTATAATTCACGCCTGCATTAAAATTAGTTAACGCATATATTTTCTGTATACGGCACATCACAGTCTTCTCCTAAGAACACTAGACAGGGCTTCATTACTACACTTGAAAGCCATTTTAAACAGGGAACTCACCAACAAAAAGCACAAAAATGCAAAAAAGTACAATGCTAAATAGGTCCTGAAAAGGACGCTTGTTTACAGTATAAGAGCTGAAACAAAAAGAGCACCACCTTGTTTGACATCAGCTGGCTATGAGGGCCCAGGCATTCACACACGTCAATAAATGACCACAAAATACTGCAACTACTAATTTTGGCATTAAAAAGAAATTTTAGCTAGTATGCAAATTCCAAATATGGAATTAATTAATACCGATGATCAACTTTGGCTCTCTAGTATTTAGTTAAAACATAGAAGATTATCCATATGTTTAACAATTTTTGTACTAATAACTTCTTGGTATAATCATATTGCAAGGCTTACCATATTTAGCTATACATACTGTGTATCACTGTTTCTGTCTTATATTTATTACCAGATAGTTTATCCACGTGTTTAGGGGAAATTTTTTTCATATATTTACACTAAGAAGTATACTTCATACAGAAATACAGTGTTAACCTAACAAATGATTATAGAGAGACTCAAATTTTGTTCTTCTTCCTCTAACTAGTGGTAAGTTCTTAGTTGTCCCTTTCTGAATGTGGGCTTATTTGAATTGAACTTTATAATAATGATATGATTCTTTTATGTCCCAGTTCTATGCAAGCATCTTCTACTAAGACTTCCATCTAGGGCATATTTTTCTTTTCTTGATAAAATTATCATGTATCACACAATTGGTGATAGATTAGATGAAATACAGTGTATGATAAAACATTCACTCATTTGAGGGAAAGTTTGCTTACACAGATGAACTAAGAAATTCAAGAAAAGACTTCAGGCATTAAGTTTAAGTGACTTTCATCAAAATTTATTAAAATATATTGGGTTAAAACAAAAAACAAAGAAACTTACCTTTTTATTATAGAAGGCACAAACAGCATTTACCCAATCCATCAATAACTTTATGTTTTCACTATATTGTTCAAAGGAACCACTATCCCTTTTGCCTTTTTTCTTATTAATAAGATCATCAGAATGGCATGATAGTAGAGATATTGTTTTCTTTATACTCTTTGTGTGTTTTAGAAAGGCAATTTCTTCCTTTAATTGATCTAAGTTAAGGGAAATATCCACCTAAAACAAACACAAAAAAAGATAAATACCTTCATATTTTCCATAGATTATTTTTAACCCACAGAAATCAAAGTAACTGTCTTCTATTTAGAGAAACTGTAGATGTTTTAAACCAGGAAGTTAAAAAAATCAAAGAAAATAAAGTGCCTGAAATGGATATTTTAGTACAAAACAGTCGCTTTTTTTTTCCCCAAAGGCAAACACCATCTACACTGAAGTGATAAAATGTTTAGTGGTTAAGAACATGGGATTTGGGGCCCATGGGATTTATCAATGATGTAAACTGTAGTTTCAGTTTCCTCATCTGAGAGGTAGACATAACACCTACTTTGCAGGTGTGGTGAAGATTAGATTGAAATATATATATATATACACATATATATACATATATATATATAGCATTTATCACAGTTACTGGGGCAAAATAAACCTTATTAAATGATGGTTGTTGTTGTTATTCTTTATTAGATTCAAATTGTTTTTATAAATCAGTAATCAAAATTGATAAAAAATACAAGATGTACCAAATGTATAATACCTGAAAAGCAAACGCTATTTTCCAAAGCAACCTGAGAGTTTTTTCTCTGTGCCTATCCACAATATCCTTAGATAGAATTGTATTTCCTATAAAAGAAAAGGTTGTCCATTAGCATAATGTACGCACATATCAATATTCAGTGAGGAGAATAAGTTTTACCTCTACTCAGTTTTTACCATGCTCATCACTTAATTCAATTCCTCGTGATTTAAGAACTTGAAGAACAATGTCAACATTGTGCATCTTTTGAAGACGACTTATTGCCGGAATCCTGAGTTTCTTTGAGAGGTCCCAGTTCTGTGTGAGAAGTTCCATGGTTCGCCTGGCAGTAATAAAATGTTCAGATGAAATTATCATAAAAACGTATATGAAAAAACCCTTCACTGAAATATAGTTATTTCCCACATAAATCCCAACAGTTACAGGGCTTTATGATCAGAAAGACTTCAAAAAACTATCTCAAAACTCTGTTGCTCCATAGTCGGCAAGTAGAGTTCTTATTTTAAGTTTGGGATTGAAGTGTGTGAACAGATGATAAGAAAATAAGATATACATATATAAATGCACACATCAACAAAATAATAGGGCTCTACAGAAAAGAGAAAGAAAGGAAAGGACAGAAAAGAGAGGAGAGGGATGTAGAGCAGAGAGGAAGCACATTTATTGGGATGTACTATATTGTACACATCAAGCAAGTGCTTTATTTTCTTATTTTAGTTATCATGGTAAAGCGCACAATTAATTATTGTTAGATAAAGAAACTAAGGCCCATAGAGCTTAAATGAATTGCCTATGGTCATAGAGCTGGTAATGGCAAAACTAAGATGAGAACTAAAATCCAGTTTTACTTGTTTCCACAGTAATTCCTATATATATATAAAAATATATGTATATATACACGCACGAATATTTGAGTATCTACCTAACAAAGACAGAAAAAGCAAACCCCAACTGATTTCTGTCTTCAACAAAAAGCTGGTAGAATTACTTATACAACCATAGTCTCTAAAGGCTAGAAAGAGACTTAAGATAATTCTAGGCCAACCATCCAGTCAATTGTAGACCAACCCATCACCCATGGCATTAATAGAGTAACCATCCCAAAGCATTCTCAAGTGACTTCAAAGATTTATAAAACAGTCATTTTGCTGACACTTATCAAAACAGAAATTTGGTTATACAAGATTGATCTCTTAACTACTTAGAATTCCTAACCGACTAAATAACATCAACATCCAACAGTGCTAAATCCTCAGTAACTCCTGTAAAAGCATAAAAATGGGCTTTCTGGCCAGCCGCGGTGGCTCACGCCTGTAATCCCAACATTTTGGGAGGCTGAGGTGGGTGGATCACCTGAGGTCAGGAGTTCAAGACCAGCCTGACCAACATGGTGAAACCCCGTCTCCACTGAAAATACAAAAATTAAATAGGCATGGTGGTGCACACCTATAGTCCCAGCTACTCATGGAGCTGAGGCAGGAGAATCGCTAGAACACAGAGGCAGAGGCTGCAGTGAGCCGAGATCGTGCCACTGCACGCCAGCCTGGGTGACAGAGTGAGACTCTGTCTCAAAAAAAAAAAAAAAAAAAAAAAAAAAAGGGAGGGGGACTTTCTTTGTGGAAAAATAGCACTGAACATTAAACCAATCCTTGTTCCTCCTAGAAAGTGGAAAAAGTATAAAAACAATTCCTATTGGCCAGAATATTGATGTGGTAGCTTGAATTTATTAAATAAACAAATTAACCAACTAAAAAAATGTGAAATATTTTAAGCAAAATGATCTTAGCTCATATGGAACTGCTAAAGTGAGACAAAGCTGCAGTAAAAAGACTATTAACTTGTGAGAATACTGATCAGAAAGAAAAGAATGTTCATGGAAATTTAGCCTAAAAGAAGGCAAGGGACATGTAAACTGTTTTTCAAAAACCGGAGATTCATAAAAATCTAGGATCTTGTCCTCATAAATGTCAAAGAATTCCTCCATTCTGGCCAAGCGGTCCTCTGACCTCTGCTTGAACCTTCCAACACTGTGAACTGGTTGTTTGATAAAGACACGTCTGAATATTGGCAAGTTTTTAAACCAAACCCACATTCATCTTCCTGAAATTTTCATTGTTCATGCATACTTATTTTGCTTGGCAATAAACAATTTAATCACCTTTTATTATAAGACAGTTCTTCAAATATCTTAAAACATTTATGCCCCAGAGTTTTCTCTTCTGTTCTATTTCTCTAAATATTCACAGTTCTTTCAATTGGTCTCCATGAAACATGGATATAAGGTTTTCTAGTTTATACTCTAAAGTTATCTCTAGTCGAAACAAAGAAATTAAAAAGTATATCCAAATAGCTTCTTTCCTATTCAGTTGAGTTTTAGACAACATGAATTTTAACATGAAGACTGCCTGCAATTAATTTTAGCTACAATACAAGCAATTTAAAATCTGACAAAAATGTACCAGGGTCAGCTAAAGAGTTTGTTAAGTTTTACTGTAGCAGAGATATTTTATAAAGACCATTAAATCTGTGCTCCCCATACGTCAACATTTAACTAGCTGTTTTGAGGCATAGCAACTTCCTAAATACACAGAGAAAAAAACTTTCATTGCTTTAAAGAAATCTCTTGCCTTGACCCCAAAAGTGCTTCCTTGATAAGGATATAATATATATTTTGGAGAGTTCCCTAGAAATAAAATGAGTATCTCCAACCCAGATACCCTGAAGAGGCCAATCATGGCAAAATGCTAAAGGCCATTCCTTCTAAGCAAAACTGGCTATCCATCATACATACCAAAGCCAATTTTGAGCATTCCAGTTTGTTATTGAGGAAATATTGTGTAATTTGAAGTCAGATTTCATGAGTTTATGTCTCAATTCCACTGTGGAAAACTTGGGCAATCTATTCTACCACTTCATCTTATTTTCCTCATATGTAAAACAAGGTTAATACTACTAAAAATGGTCTCAAATGATATAAAATTCATGAAACCACTGTCAATAAAAAGTGTCATTTTGGCCAGGCACGGTGGCTCATGCCTGTAATCCCAGAACTTTGGGAGGCCGAGGCAGGCGGATCACGAGGTCAGAAGATCGAGACCATCCTGGCTAACACGGTGAAACCCCGTCTCTACTAAAAATACAAAAAATTAGCTGGGCGTGGTGGTGGGCACCTGCAGTCCCAGCTACTCCGGAGGCTGAGGCAGGAGAATGGCGTGAACCCAGGAGGTAGGCTTGCAGTGAGCCGAGACCTTGCCAGTGCCCTCCAGACTGGGCAACAGAGCAAGACTCCGTCTCAAAAAAAAAAAAAAGTGTTATTTCAATGTTTGATATTTTAATTAGTTTAATGGTCTTCCCAACTCCTATTCTGAGACATCAGTAATTATTATCCATGAGTCCCAGTCACATGCCATCAGGAAAAAAGGTGTGGATAGGAGACAAGGTTTCTGGACATAACATTGATGTACCACTTCCCTGAAAAAAAAAAAAAAACCTCAATTTTTTTCAGTACTAAATTTATTGTACTACTTGAAAGAGCAAGATTGAATAATTACAAAAAAAGTGTTTTCCAGAAAATGTTAGTCTATTCCATTAAGCAAAATAATTCTATTTCTTATACGTACACAAGGCGCACTCCACATTGCAAGTCTACGGCAAGATTTGTAACGGCAAAATCAAATTCATCAAATGGTGTCTGAACATGGTTAACAGGTAATCCCAATAAGCCAAGGTGACGGGAAAGGTCACCTTCACCACTTAGGAAATCTCGTGAAAAAGCCAAAAGGATTTCTTTACTAGCCTATAAAGAAATAAGTTCCAGATATTATATTCCAATATTATAATTTTGCTTATAATAAAAACAAATCCTCCAAATCATTCTGTACATATAAAAATAAAATAATATAAAAAGTTTCATATTATACATTAATAATGCAAACTTCATACATATTTCCAACTTAAGATCTTTCTAAAAGTTGCTCATAATAATACACTATAAAAACTAGCATTAACTTGATTATATACTACATCAAAATTAGGGAAGAAATTTTCTCAAAAATTAAATCTTCAGAAGCATAGTTTAATCCATTTTCAAGTCAAAATTAAGAGTAATGATAATGTGCTGATGAAAGGTAAACCAATAAAAACGAGGGATGGTTAGAATTACTGATGGGACTCACCAGACAGGCATTCCTATTTTACTCCTCTGAGTATTATTCTTTGGAAAACTAATTTTTTTTCTAAAGAGAAAACATACCATGAAAGCAAGCAAAAGTCGTAAATGGGAAATATAAAATATAAAGCATACAATGAAAAGCATACCTTGAATTCGGCATCTTTACAGAAGAGACAAGGATCATGATCAATGAGTCTGGAAATTTTAGCATAATCAAGAAAACAGACCAACAACAATAACTTTTTCAATGTAAACTTGGACAAAGCTTCTTCATGACCTTAAATAAAGTACAAAAAAGCACAGCAAGTTAATCTATGAAAGGTAGGTTTCATCTTAAAATATGATAATAATAATAATAAGGTGTTAGTAAAACAAAAAGTGTAGGGTAGCAAGCACAAATAAAACACTATGTGCCTTTTTTAGTGCTTTATGTGTATAAATCCATTTAATCCTCCCAATATCTCTATGGGACAAGTATGCACCACTTAATATTTTCAATTCATAGATGAGGAAACAGGCACAGAGGCATCAAGAGATTTAGTTGGTCTTACTCAACAAATATTTAATGAACACCTACTACATGCAGGCACCATCGTAGGTGTTAGATATACAGTACCAAATTACAACAAACATGACCCCCATAGGACTTACAACCTACTGGGGGGAGAGGATGGGTAGAGACAACAGATAGAATTATAAATAGTGATGGAGGAATTAACGGGGAATGAGGGTGGAGGAAGGGAGAGTACTAGAAGCAGAGACTTATTTAGATTGGTTTCTTTGAGAAAGGAAAATGTAAACAGAAACAGGAAGAATGACAATAAGCCATTCATGTATAATGTGGAGAGAATGTAGGAGAGGCAGAGATACTTACCATCTCTATACAGGTGAGGAACAGTGGGGTGTCTATACTCAGCTGCTATATCAGGATTCCAAAGTAGGCGATTCAGAATAAACATAGCCAACCCTGTGACATCACTGTTATCTTCCAAAGATATGAGTTCTCCATAAGTTGTCTGAAAATAAATTAAAGCCAAAGTCAGAATTATGCTATCTCTAAGAAACAAAGGGAAGTGACTGAGGAATGGCAGACCATAACCTAAGGAACTGGCAATGTTCTACTTTCTAAATGACATGGTTATTTGCTAAATAACTTCTTTAAACTATGCATATATGATTTATGTATATCTTATTGTATATAGTATACGTTGCAATGCAAAAAGACAAAGCTCAGGACTAAGATAAGTCTTAATCATCTGACGAGCAACATTCCCATTTTAATTTTTTCATTTAAGTTAAAGAACTATCAAATATAGGCATGTTGTTCAAATTTATTTATAACTGTCCCATTAAGTACATCGTGAAGTTATAACAGAAACCTAAATATTCAAATTTTTATGATAGTTATCAATGTAGAAAACATCTGCAAATCATCCAAGATAATTTGGAAAGCACAGGTCTGTTTATAATCAATGATTTAAATATAAAATTAGTTTAACATTAGCATGCTTATTAATAATTTTTAAAGCAATTAGGAAAAACTTAAAAAATATCAAATTCTGCAACCCTACATTGACAAAATATAAAGATTAAAGCATGGAAAAGTATTAATTATTACCTACCAAAATAGAGGAATTTAACTTTATTTACTTTTTTTGGCCTTTGAAATTTTCTTAAAATCCTCACGTACATTTATTTAAAGAATCCTAGGGTGTAGTAATAAGGTACCTGTAAAAAGATTATACATCCCCACCACCTGCCATAAATTTGCTGTGACTTGTGGGAGGTTAATACATTCCTAACTAGTTTGTGCTTAGCTACATAATGTGCTTTGGCCAATGGAATGTGGGTGGAGATGATACAAATTACATCCAAGAGGTTTTAAAAAGCATTGCAAGGTTCCACACAAAGTTCTTGATTTTATTTTTGCCACAAAAAAGCTATGTCCCAAATATGGGGGGCTCTATTTCAATTGAGGTTCCAGAATTCTTTCATATGTGAAGCAGAGCTAGTTGATCTGTAACTTGCCAACTATTTAAAGGGAAAGGACACTGGAATTGAAATAAGAAATCCCAGCAATGACACCACAATGCTGTGTAACCACAGTAAGCTTATTATTTATTCTCTCTGGGCCTCAATTTATTGGTATATAAAAGCCAGATTATTACAAAGATCCTGTTCGGTCCCAAAGACTCTTCTATTCCAAAACCTGGAATAAACTGAAATAGTAATGGGAGACCCTACATTAAGAAGGTAAGAAACCTAGAAAAAATGTGAAAGCATACTAGCAAAAAACTAAAGAATACAGACGCACAAAAGATACTTTTAATAAAAATGTCTTTAAACAGCCAATTACTAATAGTATCTTTCTAATTCAGTCAGTTTCAACATTCTAGGTATTACAGAGCCAAGAACTATGTAAAGAATGCAAATCCTGATGACATTTTTATGAGTACTATTTAATCAGATTGGTATAGGTTCAACTCCTGACCAAATAATTGGCATAGGGCAAGTCACTTTTTTTTTTTTTGAGAAGGAGTCTCGCTCTGTCACCCAGGCCCAGGCTGGAGTGCAGTCGTGCGATCTCGGCTAACTGCAAGCTCCACCTCCCGGGTTCCCCTCATTCTCCTGCCTCAGCCTCCCAAGTAGCTGGGACTACACGCGCCCACCATCACGCCTGGCTGATTTTTTTGTATTTTTAGTAGAGATAGGGTTTCACCATGTTAGCCAGGATGGTCTCCATCTCCTGACCTCACGATCAGCTCACCTCAGTCTCCCAAAGTGCTCGGATTACAGCATGAGCCACCACACCTGGCCAGGGCAAGTCACTTTAACATCTAAGCTTCTGTTTCGTTAGTGAAGTGGAAATAATAATACATACTTCACTGGGTTTTAAGAAATTTAAATTAGAAAATGTATTCACAGCAGCCTCGTTTTGGCATTTGTAAATTTGCAAAAATGAGTTTACTATAGTTGTCATTACGTGCAACACCAAATTATGTTTAAAGAGACTGTACAGTAAAATGTTGTATTACAATATGGTGTAATAATATATAATGGCATAGTCTATTTACCTAATAAGCATTTATTAACGGGTATTACATTTTATACTAAAAGATGAATCAAGCTAACCTAATGACTTTCAACTTTTATAAGTAAAACTACATTGTAATAAAATGAGTCTATTCTACAAAAAGTATATAATAAAAAAATATTATTTTAGAAACCTGAAATATATGCTTACCTCTAGACCAATTCGAAGCCACAAAGGATTGTAGGACAACAGCCAATTCAGGACTTTCTGACGTTCTCCTGAAATGCATGTCAAAGGCAAATAAGTTCAAATTGATAATCAAATAGAGACAAGAAATAAAACTTCAAGGAGAGTATATCAGTGGGAAAAAAATACTTGCTTATATGAAATAAGTTAATTTAAATAAAATACACTTATAGTCTTAAATATACATGATCATATTCAAGTATGTGGGATTTTTGGCAGCAAAGCTAAAGCATGTATACCTAGTTTTGAAATACAAAATCTCTTGGGGACATCAGTATCTGGAAGAGATACCTGCATTCTTATGTTCATTGCAGCATTATCCACAATATCCAAGATATGGAATCAATCTAAGTGTCCATTAGTGAATAAGTGGATAAAGAAAATGTGGGGTATGTGTATGTGTGTGTACGTATATATACAAATAAATATATATGATAAATATATATATATTTATATATAATGAAGTACTATTCAGTCTTAAAAATGAAAATCCTGTCACTTGTGATAACATGGATCAATCTGGAGGATATTATGCAAACTGAAATAGCCTAAGCATAGAAAAACAAATACTGTATGATCTCATTTATATGTGAAATCTAAACAAGTTGAATTTATAGAAGCACAGAGAATGGTGGTTGCCAGAGAATGGGGTAGAGGGACTGGGGCGATGTTGTCAAAGGAGTATAAAGTCTCAGTTACGCAGGATGAATAAATTCTGGAGATCGAATGTACACCATGACGACTATAGTTAATAACAGTGACTTGTATACTTGAAATTTGCTGAGAGTACTTCTTAAATGTTTTCACCACACATACACACAAGAAGGTAACTATGTGAGTAGATACATTAATTAGCTTGATTGTTATAATCATTTAATAATATATACATATATCAACATCATGTTGTATACCTTAAATATATGCCAGTTTTACCTGTCAATTATATGTCAATAAAGCCGGGGGAAAAAAACACAAAATCTCTTGAATGTTTTTAAAGAATTAATGTCAAGATTTCTGCAGTCTTCTTACCCACATCTTTCCATAGGTGTCTATCTTTTCGAACAATTAACCGCCTAGCTTCAATTTCAATTTCAAGCTTTTTAATAGCTTTAACCATTTTTTCAGAAGTAAACAAACGGCATGCTGCACGACGTAGTCTGTTTAACCTACACCGAGCAGTATAAGCTCTGAGAGACATTTCCTCTTTTGTAGGTGCTCTAGGAACACTTATTTTATGTTGATTCTCTATTCCCAAAAGAAGAGTAGCAGCATTTACTGGGTAAAAACAAAAGAAAGAATGTTTCTGGTTAAACAATATCTCTACATATTCTTAAATCCAGCAATAAAATGCAATTTCAGACGGTAAAAACATAATCTATTCCTCACCCACTCCAAGCTTACTCCTTAGGCCAATCTATCATCGCAACCTGTTAGCTCTACCTGCAAAATGTATTCCAAGTCTAGCCACTTTTCACCGCCTCTACTATCACAAATTCAAACATGATTATCTCTAATCCGGACTAATGAATTAACTTCCTCACTGGTTTATCTGTTCCCATCCTTTTTATAAATTAATAAAAGTCAAGTTTCTAAGGAATATAATTTTTAAAAACCAATTGAATTTTGAAATGTAATTTAATCTTTTATAAAACACATTTTCTTTTAAGAAAAGAACGAAAAATGGGGCTTTGCTCCCTTTTGGAAAAGAAACAACTTTTTTCTTTTTTTTTAAGTGATCTCTAAGATCACTGCTTAGAGAGCATCTAATTCAAAGACCCTTTTAATACAAAAATCCAGCCAGGTACAATTGCTCACACCTGTAATCCCAGCCTTTTGGGAGGCCAAGGCAAGTGAATTCCTCGAGCCTAGGAGTTCAAGACCAACTCTGGCAACATAGCAAGAACTCTTCTATTCAAAAATAAAAAATAATAAAAAAAAAAAACTAGCCAGGCATGGTGGCGTGCACTGGTAGTCACAACTACTCAGGAGTTTGAGGGAGCAAGATTGCTTGAGCCTGGGAAGTGGAGGCTGCAGTGACCTGTGATCACACCAATGCACTCCAGACTGGGTGAGGGAGTGAGACCTTGTCTCCAACAGCAAAAAAGAAAAAAAATCCTATACACGCGCTTCTCTGACAAAAATAAATCAGTGTCTGTCTGAACACCAGAATAGGAAAATCATCACTTTAAAAGTTAGCCTATATGATGATTTGACAATTTAAACATTCATAAGAATTTTTCCTTATCTTCAGCTGAAATTGATCCCTATAATTTCTAAGCAAGAGCTGCACAAAAGTTAAGTTTCCTTCTCTTTCACAAGAAAACACTTCAAATGTTTGAAAGGCACATCTCTACCTGGTCCCTTTCCCAAGTTTTCTCTTTTCCAGAACAAACACTGAAATGTTTAAAAATTCCTCATATGAATTGGTGTTTAGTTTCCTCATAATCCTATAGCTTTCCAACATACTTCTTAAACTAAGGTATTGAACAGTGGGGACAATATGCCCAAAGTGGGCAGGCCACACGGGACTGATTGCATTGACTGATGAGAGAGAATAGAGAACAAAAAGTATATTTCAGTACTTTCGGTAAAGAAAATGTACATATATAAATTTATGTAAATAAAAATTCTTACCTATACAAGCATTTAGGCTAATGAACAGGGAATTATGCCATTAATTATAATAACTATGTATAATTAAAGAATGACAAACGATGTTAAAAATCTTTATCTGTTAAAAGTATTATTAAATTTAAACATTAATTTAACGTTTACCTTCAGAAATATTTGTTTTTACAGTGAAGTCATCAGGGGTTAATATAAAATTTAACCACCAAGTGAAGCCCTGTTCCTGCTTTTCCTTCCAGCGTTCATCATAAAACATGTTTTTTGCAGCAAATGGCATCGGGTGTCTGGGAATATCTAAGAATACAATTAGGTTACTGCATAACAAAATTTCCTTTAACTTATTGTACAATATACAGCAAAAGTCATTTTTACTAGCAATACCATCTTTAAAACACTGAACAATATTTGCTTTTCTACTACTTGCAGGAAAGAGCTGAAAGCATTTTGGGTAAGAAATGTAATCAGAGCAAAATGGGGAAAAGTAAAGCGATATTTCCTGGTTATTTAACACTAAACCACCATGAATCAACTACATTAAAGTCTGATAGAATATCTTTTTTATAATTGATGCATAATAGATGTACACAATTTTGTGGTACATGTGATAATATATTCATAGAATTTATACAAATCAGGTCAGGGTACTTGGGATATCCATCACCTTAAATATCTGTCTTTTTTTTTTTTTTTTTTTTTTTGCCTTTTTGGTAGAATGATTTATTTTCTTTTGGGTCTTTACCAAGTAATGAGATTGCTGGGTAAATGGTAGTCCTGGGCAGATTGCTTGAGGCCAGGGGTTTGTAACCAGCCTGGGCAACATGGCAAAACCCCGTCTCTACCAAAAACACAAATAAACTAGCTGGGCATGGTGGCACATGCCTGTAGCCCCAGCTACCTGGGAGGCCGAGACGGGAGAATCACCCAAACCCAAGAGATGGAGGTCTCAGTGAGCTGAGATCACACCACTGCACTCCAGCCTGGGCAACAGAACAGGACTCTGTCCCAAAAAACAAAACAAAAAGACAATGTGAGAATCTTGAAAGCTCAGAGAGAAGAGCAACTCTCACAGACAAGGGATCTGGATAACATTAGCAGCTGATTTCTCAGCAGAAAACTTGAAGGCCAGTAGGCAGTGGATTATGTATTTAAAATAATGAAGAAACCTGTCAATTGAGAAACTGATAGCTGGAAAACCTGTCCTTCAAAAATAAGGGAGAAATTAAGACATTTCTAGATTTTTTTTAAAGCTGAAAAAATCCATTTATCTCTAAATTTGCCATACAAGAAGCATTAAAGTCCTTCAGGTTGAAATAAATGAACTCTAGGCAGTAACTATATAAGTAAATAACCAAGCTATATGAATATATAAAGCTCTCTGGTAAAGGTAAATATATAAACAAGCATAAAAACAGTATTATTGTAATTTTGGTTTGTAACTCCGCTTTTTATTTTCTACATGATTTAAAAGGCAAATGCATAAAATGTAATTATAAATATGTTAGGTGGTGTACAATGAATAAAGATATAATCTGTGACATCAATAACCTAAAAAGAGTAGAGCTATATAGCAGTAGAATTTTGGTATGTGATTGAAGTTAAGTTGAAATAAATTCAAATTAGAATGTTATAACTCTAGGATGTTATATGTAATTTTCATAGTAAACAAAAACAAAATATACATAGAATATACACAAAAGGAAATGAGAATAGAAACAAAACTTGTCACTACAAAAAAAATCAACTAAAGATAAAAGAAGTTAACAACTGAGAAAATGACTGGCAAAAATCAGTAACTCTGACTTATTAAAACTCTCCATGCTACATAAATCTGGAAACTCTATTTCACATAAAACTGGAGCTGAAAGAGACAAATATTTACTTATAAAATTAAAAGTTATATGGGAAACAAACACTAATTTTTTTTAGAAAAAATATGAACAGAGTAAAAATATGCCTTATAGTTATCATATAATATCATGTTTTATAGCTCTGGGAAAATAGAAAATAAAATGTTCTGTTAGCATGAATCCTTCTGTGCCCTAAAAAAACCCTATGGATCATACTATTATTACCTAAAAAGTCTATTCTCAAATGCAGCAGAGTGATAATTTTTATAAGGTAGATATTATTTTTAGATATGGAATAATATTGGTGATTTCAATTTTAATAACATTGGATTAAGATGAAAGAATGAGAAGATAAAGGTCCCTCAGCAATATAACTCACAAACATGTTCAGAAGCAGTAAGAAGTCACATTAATTATTTTTTGAAAGTCAATAATCTACATTTTTAATTTATGCATATAGCATAGCTAATGTACTATTGCTGGGTCCATTTATTCAAGGAATAATTGCCGCTATGTGTCAGACATTGTTCTAGGCCTAGGAATGGACACTTAAGTGAACAAAGCAAAGATTCTGGTTCTTGTAGTTTCCATTAAAAGACCATTTAGTAAAATTTTTCTTCCCCCAAATTATAAAATCTGTAAGATGATTTAACAACATGTATAAAAGTCATCGTAGGCCGGGCATGGTGGCTCATACCAGGTGTAGTGACTCATAGCGCTCTGTCACTCATGCTGGAGTGCAGTGGCACAATCTCTGTTCACTGCACCTCTGCCTCCTGGGTATAAGCGACTCTCCCGCCTCAGCCTTTCGAGTAGCAGGGACTACAGGTGCACACCATCATGCCCAGCCAACTTCTGCATTATCAGTAGGGATGGGGTTTCACCATGCCAGCCGGGCAGGTCACAAACTCCTGACCTCAAGTGATCCGCCCACTTTGGCCTCCCAAAGTGCTGGGACCACAGGTGTAAGCCACTGCACCCAGCCTTATTTTTACAACTTTGATAACTTTAGCGTATACCCCAAATCTGTAAGACATAATATTATCATTCAAATGCAACTCATGGCTTCTCATTGTACTCTGATTTTCTCTAGCTTTTGAATTCTTTATTCTAATATCAGTTTTAAGTCTGACATAAAAGCATGAGAGTTCTAATCAAAATCCAATCTTTTATCATAATAAAAACTATCAAGAAATTATTAGAATTTAAAAAGGAAAATAGGCCTATTAATTAGATTTGTATAACATAATATTTTATGCCTATGAGTCCCCAACAAAGCCTCAAGCTTCTATTTAGATATAAAATGTAAAAGTCACTACTGGATCCACAAGCAGGACTATGGTAAAGAAATTTCTCCACCTAAACTGCTCCTTTAACATGATGTTACATGTTTATTTTTTCATTTTGGCAAATATTGATTGAATGTCATCTTCGTGTTAGTCTACATCCTAAGTGCCAGGATACAGAATCTGAAAAGATGGACACAGGACCTGTCTTCAGGGAGTTCACACCTTTTTATTTCTTGAGATGGAGTCCCGCCCTTGTCGCCCAGGCTGGAGTGCAATGGCAAGAACCTGGCTCGCTGCAACCTCCACCTCTGGGGCCCAAGTGACTCTCCCAGCCTCCCAAGCAGCTGGGACCACAGGTACCGGCCACCAAGCCCAGCCAACTCTTGTATTCCCAGCAGAGACAGGGCCTCATCATCCTGGTCAGGCTGGTCTTGAACTCCTGACCTCAGATGGTCCACCTGCCTCAGCCTCCCAAAGTGCTGGGATCACAGGCATGAGCCACCACGCCCCACTAGGAGTTCACACTTTAGTTAGGGAAAATATACAATAAGCAAGCCAATTTTTAAAATAAGAACTTCAATCAGATTTAAATGCTACAAATACAATCACAGGAAGCTGGGATGTGAATGATAGGGCTCTCAAACAGAAAATTAAGAGAAACGATTATTTCTTACGATGTTTGTCTTTCTTTGTATTGGTGCTCAGCTGAGTCTGCAGTGCCTCAGAAGCAGCCTTCATTTTATAAAAAATCTATTATTTCTCCTTCCAGTTGTTTTTTCTCTTCTTCGAGCTTCCTTATCTCCTCCTGTTGAATCATTTTAAGATGCTTGAACTTGTCCTGCAGCTCTTTTTCAGCTTCTTTCTCCTTGACTCGCTGCATAAATCTGTTTCAACTCTTCTTCTCTCTGACATTGATCATAGCACTCTTGTCTTTTGGCTTCAAAGATTTCTTGAAAACTAACTGGCTGGTTGTCTGGGCCCAGATCTGTAAAGCCCATTTTCTGCAGTTTTTGGTACCTACAGCATTCATAGTGCTGAGTGTAGGTTTTTCTTTTAGATTTTCCACATTGGTACAAAGAAGCATATCTTGGAGCTTAACGAAGTCACAGTGATTTTCATTTTCCACTTGGAAAACTCCCCAAGGCTAGTGACGGCCTCTGACCATCCTTTTACCAACTTTCACTTCATCCATACTCCCTACCACAGCAAAGGATAACAGCCCATGTTTTTGGCCGGGCGCGGTGGCTCACGCCTGAAATCCCAGCACCCTGGGAGGCGAGGGGAGGGATCACGAGGTCAGGAGATTGCCCGACCACCCCGGCCAACACGGTGAAACCCCGTCTCCACTAAAAATACAAAAAAATTAGCCGGGCATGGTCGTGGGTGCCCGCAGTCCAAATATCTGTCTTTTCTTTATGCTAGAAACATCAGTTATTCTCTTCTAGCTATTTTGAAATATACAATAATTACTATAGTGACCCTACTGATCTATTGAACATTTGGTCTTTATTTCTTTTATCAAACAGAAAGTTGACACAATATCCTGTCATTTTAATACACACTTTAACAATTCTTCCAGGCTGTTATTCAACAACAAAAATCAATTCATTTCCATGTGAAATGCAATTAATGCTTCATTCGATGTCATGTTTTCAGAGAGTTTAAGTATAATAAATACTTGCCTGTTTTTAATGGTTTTATGAAGGTCAAACTGGACTGTGCCACAGCGATAATGGGTTTTGTCCTTTTGTTTGTTTTAGAAATTGGAGTTCTGAATATTGATAAATCTAAAATAAATTAGAAAACAAAACTAAGAGCATTAAAATACAAATTCCCTAAATAGGTCAGTGATTTGAAAGTTAAAGTTTGGGTTCTTCACAATCATATTCATTTAGCAAACACTTAATAACCACTGTACTCCACGCACTAATGCTATGAATTCAGTGGTTTATCAAACCAACATCCAGAAGTCACAGACCATAAACCACAATTTATTTTGTGTTTACAGAGGCTAAAGTCTAGATTCAACCAAAACTTATTGTGTCTGTATATTCCAGACTCTCTACGAGGTGCTGAGAATATGCAGAATTGAAAAATATGGTCTCAGCCCTGAAGTAGTTCTCAGTCTGGTAAAAAAAGAAGTTTAAAAATGGTAGAAGAGCCTTCCCAGATGGGAATCTACTTGAGTTAACTTATGAAATTAAAATTAGGCATGAGGAATGTGGCCTGTTGCCAGAACTGCAATAAGGATGAAGCAAAGAATACACGTAGGAAATGACATACAAGAGGCTAGAAGAGGTAGGGAGGAGTTCAATAATATTCAAAATAATAGTGGCAGCTAATACTTAAATACTTTGTGCCAGGCACTATCATAATCTTTTTCTCACACAGTTATGAGAACAAATTTATGAGAAGTGTACTATTATTACCACAATGTATATAATTAGGATACTGAGGCTTTGAGCAATTAAGCCACATGGTCTAAGGTCACATAAGCTAGTAAGTAGCAAAGATTTGAACAAAGGCAGTATAGTTACAGAACCTCCACTATTAATCACTTTGAAGCACCTTCTATGCTAGTGAAGAATTTTAATCAAGGAAGTAAAAACCCTCATTTATATTTAAGAAAACAGTATGGACAATGGAATGAACAGGGTCAAGATTAGAAACAGAAAATTACAAAGCAGTTATTACAATGACCCAAGGTGGATATGGTGAGACAAATTAAAACAGAGTCAATGGAGACAAATCAGAGGAGAGTTATTTTAATAGTGGAAGAAACAACCCTTAATACCAACTTATTAGAAAAGTGATAGAGAATAACAGGCTGATTCCCAAATATGTAACCAAGATGGTTGATATAATGCCAGGTGGCTATCAAAGAAAATGCAATACAAATTGCAGTAGCAAATAACCTATTGGAATAGCAGTTCACTCTTTCAAAAACAGGTTTCACAACAAAATATACTGCTACTAAATATAAGCAAAGAGACAATAAGAGCAGGGGTCAGCAAACTACATCCATTCCCCATGCAAAACCCTCCCTACTGTTTTTGTATGTTCCAAGAGCTAAATATAGCTTTTACATTTGTAAAGAGTTAAAAAAAAAATGAAAATAATAATATTTCATAAAACACAAAACTTACATAAAATTCAAATTTCGGTGTTTATGAATAAAATTTTACTGAAACACAGCCATACTCCTTGATTTGCACATTGTCTATGGCTGTTTTCCCACAAGTGCAGCAGAGTTGAGTAATTGCAGTGCAAATCTATATGGCCTGCAAAGCCTAAAATGTTTACTATCTGGACCAGTAGAGGAACAGTTTGCTTACCCTTGTTTTAAAGTAATCTCAAACCTATATCAATTGTGAAAATAAGGAACATGACTAAATTGCAACATAATACTTATTAGATTGTAAGGTTCTATGAATTGAACATTTAAAAAGTAAATTTCTAAGGAGAAATTCCTCATTCTTAAACCTTACAGAAATTAGTCCCTCTCCCTGCAACCATTTTCTTCTTTAGGAAGTCTTTCTTGGAACCATCTCATACTTCCTTGCAATTTACACACAAACCCTCTGCTTCTGTGCTTCCTTAATTTCCTAAGCATAGCATAATCACAGGACTGAACGCAACTTGAGGACAGGAATTATCCCTTTCCTCCCTGTGTACACAGTGCCTAGAAAAATGCACATCACATAGTAGGTACCTTATCAGTCAAATAAATATATCTAGAAAAATTGCCTTCTCTGTTCCCTTAGATTTGTCAAGAGGTAGAAAGAGCCACTCTTGGTGACTTACTTGCCTCTCACATAGGCTCATAAATCAGATACCCAATATGTACAATTCTGATTCTAGACTAGAGGCTCAACCAGCTGGCTGCCTCAAACAAACAGTAGGTGTGAGTGTCGACCTTTCAGTGGTTTATTTGTTCATTTATTCACTTATCCATTCATTCAATTCATCTTTTATTGTACATCTTGTAGGAGATTAAAATAGGTATGTTCCTTACTATCAAAGAATTTGTTATCTGATCAGAACATATCTACAAGAAACAGCAAAAGCAAAGAAAAATCAGACAGATACAAGATGTCACATAAGCTGTATTCACATTTGCTAAGGAAATGTACCCAGCAAATAAGTAAAAACTATAATACAAGCTTATCAATAGCAGATTTACTAAACCAAAAGGAAGTATCCCCTTTACAGGTATACTTCAGTAGATTTTATAAACAAGACTCACCAGTTTTCTTCTTCAGGTTTAATTTCTCTCTGTTGCTAATACGTTTTGAGATGGGTGTTGTCACATTTTTTGTTTTCTTAACAGCTGATGTTTTAGGCTCTGAGGGAGAAAAATGGATTCTTTTGATTTCTCGCACTTCTGTATGTTCTGTAATTGCAACTCTCACATTTGCATCTTCCATGCTTCCATCGCTCTTTCTTTTCCGAGCAACTGAAGCTGTTGTCGAAGAGGGTGTTACCTCGTTTTTATAACTCTTAGATTTACTTAATATTGGATCTATAATTGGAAGATAAGAATGAAAATCTTCTTTTTCCTTTTGATTATTTATTACTTTTTCATGTTCACCCACTGCACTGTTGAGACATCTTTTTGCTTTTGGTTTATTAATCTCAGTTTGGTTTTCTCTGGTACAGGTGGCCTTCCTTTTAGTAACAGTGGCAGAAAGTATTGGACGTCTCTTAGGTTGTTTATTGTGGCTATGACTAGAAATATCCTGAACTGCAGAAAATTTAGGATTATTTTGTTTTATAAAACTGTAGTAATTTGACTTCATTTCTACTAGTTCTTCAAAAATAGCTTTGGGAGATTTTGAACCCTGACATTCAGGAATACGTGGCGAAACTTCACTTTTTCTCCAATCTTCAGGAGACTGTGGGACTTGAGAATTTTCATTTGATAATGGTACTTTACATGTTTGCTGAGATGTACACATATATGCCATGTTATCTTTTAAAAATTGATTAGGGGATAAAATAGGATTAACTGACTCTGATTCTAGATCCTGATTTAGTCCATAATTATCTTTTATGAAAGAATCTGGACTTAAAATTTTCTGATAAATTTCATGTGCAATTGTTGATTCCAAATGCACAGGCTGTGAATTATCTTTCATAAACATATCTGATGAAAGACATGTTACTAATTCTAGTTCATTATTAGCTCCATGACTATTATTTACAAAAGAATCTGGACTTAGAAAATGTATTTGGCTTTGTGTAATGTTCAAAGTTGAAGAACAGTTGGGGGTAAGACTAAGTTTACTATTCTCTCCTCTTTGGCCATTAACATTTACGGAATTAAAGGAAGTTTCAGTTACAGCTTTCTCATTAAAAGAAACTTTTGAAACGTTGGCACTGTGTACATTTAATAGTTCCCTATTTTCTGATGCATGAAGAGATGAGTAGGTAGTAGATCGACGTACAGAGAGTGGCAAGCAAGTTGCACCATGGCATTCATTGAAAGCAGGGCTAATAGGTGATATGGGTATTTTATTTTCTTCAAGTATTAAAGAATTGTTTTCTGTTGGGGGACCGCCTTCATTCATAGCCAAGTTTTCACAAGCTTGTAGTGGGCTCCTAACTCTGTCAACTTTTTGGGAAACACTAAATGTTTTATTAACATTCTGAATATTTGAAACCCTTCTGTTGTGACTTGTAGAGGCTGAAATTTTCTTCTTTTTAATGGTATCCCAAAGACTCCTCTGCAAAAATAAGGAAAATATACCAATTAAGTTTGTAGCTATTGAATATTAAATAAGCAATATTACTTCAAGCCTGTTATCAAAATAAGTTTTATTTATTATTAAACAATTTCTTAGAGTAAATCACAGAATGGTTAAAACATTACCTTTTTCTTTTTCTGCTCTTCTGCATTTCCTAGTAATATAGCTTGGTGTTTCAGAACATCATTTACAAGAAATGTCATAATCTCTCTTACTCGGCCTTCTTTGAGTGGTGTCCAGTTAACAGAAATAACAATTTTCTCTTTAGGCTATAATCAAAACAATACATTATATAATTACAATAGTAATTACATAATAACCAAAACACCTTATATACAACTTACAATATAGTAGGGCTTAATAATTGTTAACCAACACTCTATATACTAAACATTTAATAAATCAAATATATTTCTCCTACCCTATCTGCTTAATTATAAGAAAAAAAGTCACTAAAAATAACAGGGTTCACAACAAAATAAATAATAAAATCTTAACTGTATTAAAGCAATAGAACAGATAGTCTCTAAATCATTTTGTTTGAGTGGTTTCAAAAGATTTAATTGTACATTTCTAATTTTTAGATGTGTAGAGTACTTCTACTTCAAACACAAGGACCCTGCATTATGAAGACTTTATTTAAAAAGAAATGTAAAGATGATCAGCTAAATTCCTTCTTCCTTACAAATTCCTCTAAGGTCCACATCATCATACTGAGATTTCTTAAACAGGTATTATTGTTCCAGGCATAAGTGCAGGTATCCTGTAAAACTCATTTAATGCTAACATCCCTAGGAAGCAGGTATTATGATTATGCACATTTTACAGATGAAGTAACTAACATCCAGAAAAGTCTGCCAAAGTCACGCAGGTACCTATTAGAACCCAGGCAGTCTAATGCCAGAGTTTGGACTTTAACATCTACACCCCACACCCTGGCAGGTAGACAGAATCTGCCAAATTTAAACGCTGACATGACAAAACAAATTTTGTTTTTCAGGAGAAACAGACAAGTTTCTGTTTTAAAGGAGAAATAATATAACATCATAAACAACTAATTTTAAAAAATAAGAATGGTGCATTTTTACTCTATAAAATAGTTTATTCTAAAAATACCACAAAATTTAGTTCCACATTATAACAAAAAAGAGTAAGTTGAAGTATTATGTGGATAGAAAAGAAATCTGTCTTTCCAAAGAAAGGAAAGCAGGCAGTGATTCATGAAACAGAGGGGCGGGGTGGGTAGGTTCTGAAGTGTAGATAGATGAACCATTGGTGACACACAAGTTAAGGGACCTCAGATTAGAATCTCTTTTTTCTGCCTAATGAAGTGGTTATTAGCCTACTAGTTCAGACCTCCTCGGCTAACGGTTTTCATACTTTTGGTGATTCTACTCAATGGAAAGGTCACAGCAGTCAAAATAAAAACATAAATTCTCCAGTCTTTGGTGAAGGGGATTGGAGCATTACTCTTGCAAATGCAATGCAGTAAAAGAAAGCTACAGGAGTTCTTGAAACAACATTTATAAAATTAAATTTGATGCAGCATTAAAATTACACTTAACAGCAAAGAAAAAAAGGACTAAAATACTAAAGTGTGCATACATACTACACGTATATATTGAAAACAACTCTGAATAGGTTTTTTTGGTTTTTATTGTAGGCATTTAGCCAGAACAAAGCTCACTATTTCACCGGAAAAAAAAACCAGTTACCTCGACTCTAAGGGTACATATGGAAACTAAAATGCATATTAAGATGGCTGATAGAAATTTTAAAAAAAGCTGCTTTAACCAACCAAGGTACTCCTGTCAATCTTAAAAAAGTGTTAAAAAAGTGCATTGTCTATTAATTTAGAACGGCAAGGCTATTTCACAACGCCTTAAGTCTAGTAAAAGTGCTTGTCAATTTAACAGAGAAGTCTATATAACTTGCTCCTAAAGATGCTAAGTGCGCGCGCGTTTATGTGTTGTCCCCGCCCAAGTTAGCGTCTATCCTAGCCTTCAATTAGAGAATATATATATATATATATATATAATATTGACACATATATATATACTCACACACATGTGTATGCGTCAAGGGCCCACCCACAGTTATTGAAAAGGAACTGACTTCACTCTCTAAGGGTCTTTTCTGATTTCTTTTCCAAGAGCCACCCACAGTTATTGAGTGAAAGGGAACTGACTTTATTCTCTAAGGGTCTTTTCTGATTTCTTCTCCAATCGTCAACCTTCCTGAGGAGGGTGGCAGGAAAGATAGCGGAGAAGCAGAACACCGGCCTGGAGCACGCTCCTCCTGAGACCTACCTGCAACACGAAACAGCGCTGCGACACACTGAAGCCCAGGTCCGCGGCCGGGAAGTGGGAGATCTTCACTTCTGCCACCTCCTCGTTAGGGTTGTCTAGGGCCAGAGACAGCGTCCGTGAGGCTCCCAGGAGAACGTCCCCGAAGCAAAGGAAAGGAGACCTGCAGAAGTGGCTGAGAGACAGGACCGGCGGGGAAGACGCCTCCTCCTCGGCCGCGGGGCCCCGCAGCCCCGCGGGCGGCCTCCGCTCGGTCGGGCTCACTTCCCAGCAGCCTCGCCCCACTCGCCGGTTCGCCATGGCAGATTCGAGACCCCTCCTGGATCTCCTTGCCCCGCTCCCACGAGGCGGCTCCGGAGCGGGGATCCGGGACTTACGCTGACCGCTTCCCCTCAGGGGCGGCTGTAGAGGTCGTGGGAGTGAATTCGGCCCTTTTTCTTTTCCACTAACCTACTCCCTAGAAAACAGAAAACAAGCCCAATAAACTCGCAAATTAAAAAGAGGAGCCAAACAAGTATGGCGTTTTGACTCTGTTTAAACTTGCCGCCTCCACCAATGAGGACCTCCGGGCACCGCCCTCCTCGTCACGGGACCAATCGGTGAGCAGCATCCCCTGGCCAATGAGACGGCGGCGCTTCATTTGAATGATTGCATCCGGCCGCCAATCGCTATCTGCGGAGGAGGTGAGAACGGTAGCGGAATCCTGGCCACCGTCTAAAACCCGGGGCTTAGAATTGAAATTCGTCTTTATATTTTTGGTTGTGCTGAAGGGAAGGGAGTCACAGCATTTCCACAATACATGTAGTAATCATTGCGGTTTCCAGGAACAATCATAGATAAAACTGTTACGTAGGCAAAAATTGGTTTATGCCACTCCTCTCATATGCATACCCCGCCCAGAATTATATTAACTTTACTGTCGCGGTTTCCAGGGCTGAATGGTAGAGATGTAAAGATAATTAGTTTGTATGAACATGCTTATTTTAGTGACAACATAGCAGGGACTCAGTACATTTACATGCTGTTAATTACCTCGGGACGCTGGGAGCAAAACCAGGTAAACAAATGAAACCTGAGATTACCAGTAATTCATAAATGATTGTTTTGACTGGCAATGCCCTTCACAAATATCTTATTAGTTTTTATTTCAATTGTAGGGATCTAATAATAATTATAGCTTACATATTAGGGATTTTTTAAATTATTTATTTATTTTGAGATGGAGTCTCGCTCTGTCTCCCAGGCTGGAGTGCAGTGACGTGATCTTGGTTCACTGCAACCTCCGCCTCCCGGGTTCAAGCGATTCTCCTGCCTCAGCCTCCCAAGTAGCTGGAATTAGAGGCGCGCCTCACCACGACTGGCTAATTTTTGTATTTTTGGTAGAGAGGGGAGTTCGCCATGTTGGCCAGGCTGGTCTGGAACTCCTGGCCTCAAGTGATCCGCCTGCCTCCGCCTCGGCCTCCCAAAGTGCTGGGATTACAGGCCTGAGCGGCGCCCGACCCTAGGCTAGGGATTTTTTAAAAATCCTTTACCTATTTATCTCAACCTTTGCCTTAAACCTACGAGGTATCTCTTAGGGCGTAGGTACCATTATTTGTATCTTACAGATGAGGAATACAGGTCATACAGCTAAGTAGGAAGTGGCATAACCCAGATAGGTACACATGCCTGTAATCCCAGCAGTTTGGCCCTAGTCTTGCTCTTACCCACTACACTATATTGCCTCTAAAGGCAGTAGAAAACTTAAAAAATAAAAATAATGTCTGGATGTATGTATGGTTACACAAAACATGTAAAAAGAGAAGTCAATGGGAAATCAAAATAAGGAAGATGAGACATGAAATTATATTCAATGGTGTCCAATTTCACCTGAAGTTGGACCTTAACAATATTTAAACGAAATTTTTCCACTGGGCACGGTGGCTCAAGCCTGTAACCCAGCACTTTGGGAGGCTGAGGCAGGCGGATTCTTGAGGTCAGGGGTTTGAGACCAGCCTGGCCAACATGGCGAAATGCCGTCTCCACTAAAAATAAAAAAATTAGCCAGGCGTGGTGGAGCATGCCTGTAATCCCACCTACCCCGGAGGCTGAGACAGAAGAATCGCTTGAACCTGGGGTGGGGGGTGGGGGCAAGGTTGCAGTGAGCCGAGATCATGGCACTGAACTCCAGCTTGGGCAAGAGAGCAAGACGCTGTCAAAAAAAAAAAAAAAAAAAAAAAAAATTCTTTCATAGAGGCTTAAAAAAAAAAACAACAAAACAAAACCCTGGAGCAGAGCCTCACAAGTCATTTCCAGTTCTCCTCAGCATCTACCCCCCACGACCTCTCCATTAGCTTAGTTAGGCTCCAAAAAATAAAACTTGGACGGAGGAGAGTGCAAGATATGCTGTGGGAGGGAGGAAACAGCCTATACAGCAAAGAGTTAAAAGATTTTGACAGTCTAAGGTGGAATGTAATGGTGTTAGACCAAGAGGACAAATCATAAGGAACAATAAGGCCAAATTTATTGTCATGGGTGCACTTTACCCATTTAATTAATACAATGTCCGAAGTACCTGGGAATGGCTTTAATAGTTTAATAGGTTCACTAATTGAAAACTGAACTCAGTAGTGGTTTACAGTCAGGTAGGTCAAGGCCAGGCACGGTAGCTCATGCCTGTAATTCCAGCACTTTGGGAGGCTGAGACAGGAAGATCGCTTGAGCCCAGGAGTTAAAAACCAGCAACAAAGTGAGACATGGTCTTTATAAAAACAAAAACAAAACAGGCAGTTAGGTCAAAATGCTCAAACTACCTGGCATTCTGTACACGAAGGAGTCCAAAAGCTCAGGAAGATAGGAATGTTGGAGAAAATCTACATGTGCAACCTGCTTGGCCAAGTCACATCTAAACATGCACACCCTCCACCCATTCTCCTTTTACCAAGGTGTTGATAAATGCATTAACTAATAAAAAGGACTCCAGCATCCATGAAAAGACCTGGGTGACTATTTTTTATAGGCCAGAAATGATGATAGAGGATCAATAATGAAAATAGGTTCTCTGATCTCCATGTGAATTATATGATCCACAAGTGGTCAAAGTCGATTGGCACTTAATAGACAAGGTGGTATAGTTCTTACCACAATATGCTAATGGCAGAATTGTAATTAGAGGCAGGGATCTGTGGCAATGGCCAGTTTCTCAAGGGCCCTATAAATAAGATGAGCTATATACTATGGTGCTGCCTAACATATATAGGCAGAGAAATACCACATATGCAAAGCAAAAAACCTAACTGAAGCCAATGTTGTGGCAGTTATGCCTTTTACCCACTTTCCAAACTTAAGACAGTTCATACACCCAAAGCTCCTTGACTAGAAAGAACCCTGCAACACGAATACCATAAATCTTCTCTCAACAATTCCCCAGAGGGAACTGCAGTCATTTACCCACATGAATATGGATTGGGGGCAGGAACTTGACTTCCTAAGGGTTATTAGATAATGAGATAATAGCTCTGCCTTTCTGCTATACTCCAGAATCCTAAAATGTCACTGTGGACCACCAGACATAGTGAGAGCTTCTCAAGAACCGGTGACAGATGGCATCTAAGTCAGAATCTGTCTTACCAAGTGTCCTTTGGATCCACCCATTTCCAGAATATAAAATAGGAACACTTACTGACCACATTCTCACACTGGTTCCTAGATCCAAGGAACAAGGGCAATTATTGGAGAAAGGGCCAAGTGGAAGCCCCTGAAAATCACCATTTTCCCACCACGGCAATTCAGAGATTATTCTGAATACCTGAGAGATGTTGGGATAGTGATTTTGTCCATATACCCACTTTCTCCACTTATTTGGCCAGTGCAAAAGCCAGATAGATTCTGGAAAATGATAGTAGATTATAGCAATTAGGTGATGATGCCAATTATTACACTACAGTTTCAGATGTGTTATTTTTATACACAAATCAACATACCTTTGTCAGCTGGTTTGCAGCTATGAATCAAGCAAAATGCATTTTTCTTGTTTTTCCCCATTCATCCAGTATTGAAAAACCGAAGCACTTTGTACTTAAGTAGTGGTACAATGCTGTAGCATTACTGTCCTGCCTCAGGGCTCGTCAAATTTCCTACCTATACTGTAATATTGTTCAGAGAGACCTGGATCTTAGTATCACACTGGTCCATTATATTGATGACATTTGCTAATTAAACCTGGTGAGCAAGAAGTACTTGTCAAGAATTGTGTGAGTCTGAGATTTTATCCCTCTTGCAAGCTAAAGAGTTAGCGTGCCAGTTTCATAAAGGCCAGCAGAAAATATGACAGTTTTGGGTTAGAGACAAGACTTTATTATTCACAGAAAAAACAGTAGCTAGAGTGTCAGCATGTTCATTCACATTGATTCCTCCTGCTTCCTAAGTCTCATGGGACCATACAAAGGGCCCTTGATGGATGCCTGCACACACAGTGGGTTGTATTACAGGAAAGGAAGAGCGAATTGGAGATTTGACTGTTTTTATAGTACTATGCCTGGGCAGGGAGACATCCTATCGTCCCTCAAGATTTCTGCAAACACAATCCTGAGAAATGGCCTATGTAGAAATTAATAAGGGCTTCACATTCTTAGCATAGCCAGCAAGAATGTGTAGGCCTGCTCAGAGCCCATGGTAAGTTGCATCTCTCAACAGGAGCAAGCACTGTGGATGCCAATAATAAAACAAATGTAAACCAGATGGGACAAAGTTCAGGGTCCTATCACATCTGTAAAGTTTTTAGGGATCCAATGGTCTGAGACATGTCAGGCTATCTCTTCTAAAATAAGAGGCAACTTGTACTTTGTATCATTTGTAAAGCCTCTTTAGATTTTGGAGGCAATGCATGCATTATTAAGACACATCTCACCAAACCATTTACCTAGTAAACTCTAAGACTGACATTTTTGAGTTAGGCCTGGAACAAGTAAGATCTCTGCAGTAGGTCTGGGCTGCAATGGCCCAAAACACTCATTCCATGACAATCCAAGATGTGGAATAGAAGCTCTGGCAAGTTTCCAGAGAAGTATCACAGTACAAAATTCCAGGTTTGGAGAATAAGACTATGCCTTCCTCTGCAGAAAATCATCTATCATTTGAAAAACAGATCCTAATTATGCTATTAGGTATGGTAGAGACTGAATGCCTCATCAAAGGACTATAAGTGACTGTGATACAAACTGTTTATTATCAACTATTACCTAATCCAGGGATCAGCAAACTATGGCCTAAGGGCTGAATCTGACCCATTGGCTTTTTTTTTTTTTTTTTTTTTTGGCAAATAAAGTTTTACTGGAGCAAGGCCATAAGCATTTATTTACATATTGTCTATGCCTTCACACTGCAATGGCAGAATAGCTGTGATAGAAAACATATAGCTTGTATAGCCTAAAATATTTAGTGTCTGGCCCTTTACGAAATATTTGCTGACCTGGGATCTAATCTCAAGGACCATAAAATTTGATGTGAAGAGCAACATTGCACTATCAAACAAAAGCAGAATCTACAAGACCAGGGCTAAGCAGGCCCCAAATACACAAGTAAGTGATACAAACAGGTGATTCAGATTTTAGTAAGTATCTTTTACTACTTCTACTACTTTGCCACTTCCCTCTCTCTCAAACTACACAGGAAAAACTGGGTATCTCTTAATGATAATTTCACAAGAAAAAAGGCCTGATTTATGAATGAAGCTGTATAGTAGGTCAGACATAAACAGACTTACATTACAGCTTCTCCTTAGGGGTGGATGGGAATACTCTCAGTGAGAATTCTGGATGGTATGTTTGGTAGTCCACTTCATAAGGAAGAGAACATGGCCTAAGGTAAAGCTCTGTGCTGATTCATGGATAATGGCTGACAGGTTGGCCAGCTGGTCAAACCTTTGGAGAAAACAAAATGGAAAATTGGTGACAGCTTGGTCTGGGGAGGAGCGGTATATAAAAGGGCTTCTCAAAATAGGTATAGGAAGTTAAATTTGTGTTCCATGTAAATGCCCATCAGAGAATATCCATGGCTGAGAAGGAGCTCAAAAATCAGGTAAAAAGGACAATCTATCCTGTGGAGGTCAGCTTCTTCCCCCAGAGATCCATTTGCTTGCGCGTTGAACCCATTTAGAAAGTGGCTATGGCAGCAGTGGTGGAGGATAAGAATGGGCTCAAGGTGGTTTCCCTTGCCAAAGCTGATGTGATAAGCCCCTGTGGAGTGCTTAACCTACTGAAAGAGGCTGATGCTGAACATCCAGTCTAATTCCATTCTCCAGTGGGACCAGCTAACTACCTGTGGCATGTGGTTACATTGAACGCTTTCTATTATGGAAGATGCAATATTCTTCCTCTCTGGGATAAATATATTTTTCTGAGTATAGATTACTGTACCTGCCCCCATTATATATATATTTACAGAAAGCTTTATCTATAAACCAATGAATATGTAATGGTTTTCACATATGTCCAAAAATTTGTTGCTATCCTCTCTTCAAGAGAGGGAGTTTAATTTGTGTCCCTTGCATGTGGACTAGAATTAGTGACAATAGAATACAGAAGTGATACTATATCACTTCCAAGATTAGGTTATAAAAAGACAACAACTGAAATCCTGGGTACGCTCTCTTTTTTGGATTGCTTTCAGGAAAGTGGTGTGTGTGTGGAGGGGTGGGGGGAAGGCGGGGCAGGCAGTTGCCATATCACTAGGCAGCCCTGTGGAGAGGCCATGTGATGAACTAAGGCCAAAGACCACGAGTGAGCTTGGAAGTAAAGCCATCCCCAGTGAAGCCTCTAGAGATGGCAACTGACTTAACAGCTTGATTTCAATCTCATGAAAGACCCTGAGCTAAAACCACCCAGCTAAATCCGGCCTAGATTCCTTACCCACAGAAACTTGGAGGTAATAAAAGTTTGTTGTTTTAAGCCACTAAGTTCGGTATAATGTATTAGACAGCAATAGTAAACTAAGTATCACACACGACATTGGCTATAATCAGAAAACTCATTTTGCAGAAATGTGCTCATGCCTATAGAATTTACTGGTCTTCTAACACTCAGAAGCAGCTGCTGAGATAAAATAGAGAAAGTCTATTGGAGGCTCACTTATGGTGCCAGATAGGGATAACAACTTGCAAGTTTGGGGGTACCATCCTATAGCCTACAGTTTATGCTTTCAACCAACAACCATTTCTCCCATAGCCAGAATGTATGTTTCTGGGAGTGAGGGGGATTAGAGGTAAGAGTGGCCCCTCTCAATATTATACAGAATAACTCATTTCACTAATGAATTTTACTACACTTCAGACTTCTCTCTAAAAAACAGCATAATATGACTACTTCAAGCATAAAAGTCATCACTAATATTTGAATTTATATTACACTTAAAATTAGTTTAATGGTTTATACATTTAATATATAAAATATTTCAAAACATATAGCTTATGAGAAAATGTTTTAAAATGTGCTGCAAGTTACTTGGTTTCAGAGTACTGCATTCCCATCCTGTGAAAATGTGGTTCAATAAAACCTAGATATGCTGTATTAGGACCAAAGAACTTTATATTTATTTTAAATATCAAAGTAACACAAAGAACTAGTTCAATATACAGTACACTTCCTACTCTTCACAGAGAACTGAAATTTTCTATAAAGACATTTATACTTAGGAAACATCAGACAACCAAAGTATGTATAAAACTCACAAGATATTTTACACACAGTTCACAATAATTAATTCTGATATTTTAGATTTTTCTGTCATTGCTTTTAAAGTATCCTTAATTAAAAACAAAAATTATTATTTGAGACTGAAAACAAGTGCAAAAGCATTTCTACTTTAATATACACTGTAAATCCCCATAATCAAAACATTTACTACACAATGTGGAACAGCTAAATGCCCAGTTTTGTATTATTTTCTGGCAGCCACACTCATCAATTGTAATACAGTTTTATCAATAGGGATAAGAAGAGTTCAATCGTTAGAAGGAATAAAAATTTTGTAATTACATCACAGTACATTGTCCAGCTTTAATGCAAGCAGGAATACCAAGCAAAAAAATACGCAGTAACAATGAGATGTGTACATCCTCTTCATTCAATACATCTTTTAGAATCTCCAACAGCAATGCAAGCATTGATTACTTTTCTTTACCTAAGAATTTGACCAAACAAGGTTATATTCTTTGTATAACCTCTGTGCTCTAAATATAATCCTTAATTTCTCCTCTGAATATAATCCTTAATTTCTCTTTATGTAATTGGCTGCATAGGCTAAATTTAAATTGTTTTAGGATTTTTCTCAAGATCATAGATTTATGATCATACACAGCAAGTTGAAACATGAGTAAACAAAACATAAGCACTCTCTCTACAAAAACCTTCTTTTTCTCATCTTCCACACATCTTAATCCTATTACATCTATCTTATTAATGCTACTTCCAAAGAGAAAGAGCAGAAAGCATGCTAAGATTATAGGGAAAAGGTATCTTAAGTAAAAACAATTTTAGAGGAAATAAGGAGGGGATTCCCTCTACCCTCAAAACAAACAAACAAACAAAAAACCCCACATTAGAGAAATGTGGAAAAGGGTAGGATATAAGGAAGAACTGTCTAGTTTCTAGAAGTCGTTTAGAAAATTATTCTCACATTATCCATTATTCACTCTAACAGCAAGTAGCATTTACTATAACACTACTTAAAGTTTTAGAAATGCTACTTGTAGAATACATTTCTAGGCATTTTAAATTTGGCACTGAATCTTAGAATATCCAAATACAACCTTCTTTAAAGTCCTAATTTTTCCTGAGTTGATCAACTCATTATATATTGGTTGGGATGTTGCTGCTCCTAATGAGAAACTCATCTCAAACCATCACCTCTTGTTCAGTTTTAGGCAAACTGAAATAAGGTCATTCAGTGCAGGGCTGTGTAGTTATGGTTACTGGTTATTTAAAAGACAGAGAAACAGAGACACAGATGCAGACACACTACTCATTTTATTTTACTTGTCAGATTCCTCTAATAAGCATATAGAGACAGGCCCAAGAGTGGCTTCACAGTAACTATAAAGGCCACAACAGAGATTTTTAAAATGATATATAAATCATAAAAACAAATATTCACACTAACACTTAGTGCCAATTTGCCTATATAAACATAAAGCAACCTAAAAAAAAAAAGTTGCCCAACCAGCAGGCAACACAATCATAACACCCATAACCAAAAAAAAATAAAAATAAAAATCTATTAATCAGTACAATCTAGCCAGCAGAATCAACTCTAAGCAACTACAACACATCGAAAAGGCACAAAGCATTCAATGCAGAAAAGACTGGGTATAAAAGGACACTGTCAAAGAGCTACTGCTCAAAATCTGACATTTCATCACTGATATATGAGAGTGATATGGTAGGAAGAAAACTCAAGCTTATAAACATATTAGTTTAACTGTGTTTTTAATTTGTTTGCAATTATATTGAAAAGCAACCAATGATAATTACTTATTAACCCTTAATTAGCAGTTTAGAGTCACCCTACAAAGATGCTTTGACACTTTTTAAGGTTGATAGAAAATTATTAGTGTACCTATTTCATGACCTGCCATCGCCTAAAAGGAAGTCACCTAATAAAGCACCAATTTAAAACCATATTTTTGCTACTCCTATTCTCCCAGCAATAAATGCCTTAATTACTTAAATGTATGCAAAGACTACTATCTTTACAGTTGGTTAAATCTTGCTGGCATAAGGACCAACCCCTAACCTTAAATGGGATTTTAGGCTGCAAAAAAAATAGGTTGGGTTTCTTACAAAAATAACCTCAACTTGACTTAAAAAAATTCGAAGGCAAAAATTATTTTGATAGTGTAGTGTAAAAAATAGGCTTATTTAGCATTTAGTAGTGTTCTCTAAAAAACATAACATTGTATTAATTAAACTAAGGAAAACAGTATTCTCACTTATAATTGGTTTGTCAGTATGACTATTCCCAGAGTATTTTCTTTTGCTCCTATTTTTATACATATAAACACAATAATCAATCTCAGTATTCAAACTAACAACTTTTTTTTTTTAAAAAAATCCATTATTCTAGGACTTCAACTGTGCTTCTTTGGACAAATAGTTATTCAAGCAAGAAAGAATTTAAAGTCTTTTAAACTATTTAATACCTACTAAAAATCTTTGGTGCATTTAAGTCAAAACCCATTAGATTAACACATTCCTGCACTTGATAAATTATTCAATTTACAGATTAAGTGCTAACTGCTATCTGCTAAAAAATTAATTTAAAACAATAAATTATGCTCACAAAATAAAAAAATTCTGAATGAGGCTAAACTTAGTTGCAAGATTCAAAATTTTAAGTACAGTTACAAAATAAATGGATTAGAGTTATAGAGCATTTGTCCAAAATACTCTAAATCAAATATTACAAAAGGTCAACTGAAAAGAATAGGCCTCCTTTTATACTTTTTGTGCCAACTTTTGTCAAAAGCCTATATACATTCAGTTTGCCCAAATCCATGAGGTTTTCACAATTGTAAAATTTCTTACATTTTTGGAAATTAGAGGCAGCAGATTAGTTTCATTTTGTTTTTGTTGTTGTTGTTTTCAATCATCCACTGAAACTATTACTTCACCAGAATTATATTACGCATCTCCCAGACTAGGTTAAGATTAAATGACAGGATGTAGTACCTGGCACATAGTAAGCATTCATTAATGCTAGCTTTCTTCTTTCCCTACTAGTAGCTCTGCCACCTACTGACCATGTGAGCTTAAATGAGTCCTTTTATCTTAACCTCAAATTCTTTATAAAGTGGGAATATAGCTTGTTTTTACTATTTCAGGGCTGGTTATGAGGTTCAAATGAGATAACATATATGAAAGCATTTTATAAAACAGTAAATCACTACTCAAGTTTAAGTTATCTACAATAGTAACTAAATACAATTATATTATTATATTTCACTTTACTAAGAGATGTATTCCAAAAAAGTTCTGTGTAAACCAATTCCTACAATTAAATCATATATTTAAAGCATTAGGACGGACATTATTATTAAAAGAACCCTAAAGTAAATACCTTCAAAAATCAAAGTATTCTTTTCAATGTGAAAATGCAGTATCTTCTTTTTCTGCCACCAAATGTATAATATACCATATACATACATGTATATAAATATATATATACTATCTGCCTTTTTATAAGTCTAAACTTTTCTACATTAGCTTATATGTAAGGCAGGCTACATTTTTATGTATGATTTCTTTCATTATAGTAAGATTTTTAGTTATAATATTGCCAGTCTTTATGATGAAAATCATAAAGATATGTATTTTTAAAAGTCAATTTGAAAGACTAACAGACTAACAGTACCTCATATAGTCAACCTCAATCATGTAAGTACCCCAGATATAACATTTCCACACAAAGAAATAAGAATACTTTAAAAAGGAGAACATAGTAAGTATGTCCACTAGTCTTAAGACAATTACAACCAAACCTTGACAAATGAGGCTAAACTCAGATTGGTTTTATTATTTATATGAGCTACTTTGGTTAACTGCCTCAGTTTTCAATATTTCTTTTGTTTTACCTCCGCTAGTATGGCGAATGTTGCTGTAAAGTACCTTTATTTCTTAAGTGCTTCAGCGACAGTTTCCGCCATTACTAATTGATTAAACTTTATTCATTAAAACTTCACTGTTTTATTTGTGATTTTTTTTTTCACAAGGGCTGGGCTAGACTTTACAGTTTACACACACAAAAAAAGTGCTTAAAGCAATTAGGAGTGTAAACAAAACTGAAATAGAAAACTTTTAAAACTGCTATTTTCTACTAGTTTATGTACAAATGACATGCTAATAATAAATCAACCCTGTCTAGTCTAATCTTCAAGCAACTCTACTAGGAAACATTATCTTAGTTTTTAGTTAAAATTGACTTGAAAATATGGAAAGTGCATGTCTTTAAAGGTATTTTATAATTTTGACTTTTTCCTCAATTGTAATCACTGAGGTTTTGCTGTAACTGCTATTTCCTTTCACCAAGTCCTCAACTTTTGTCTCATACAGAAATAAAAATTAAAGGTTAATTACAGACATTAGGCTTTTGTGAAGGCAAAATTAAAGATCTGGATTGCATGTAAATCTGTATATAAGTAGTGGTTCCATTTAATTAAACAATGTTAAGTTAAATTAGGCACAAATTTCATAATCTGTTTGGCACCTTTTCTAACAATTGAACACAAAATATCTAGGTTCTGTTTCCCAGAGTTTCTATCAGCCAAGTAAATGAAATCAAAAGTAGCATGTTTAATTAAATTTCATTGAGTTACAACTGCTCTTTTCTTAGTGAGATGAAGACATATGCTATGTTGTATTGTCAACATTTCTGAAATAAATAGTAAAGTACAAAAGGTGAACTTACCTTGAAAAACATCTAGTTAAAACTCTCATATTTTTCTTGTAACACATTTTCAGTTTGTATAATTTAATGCCCAGACCTATGTTTGCCTTTCTTATTCATAACAATTGAAGTATAGGCAAAAACCAATTATCTGGATTATTATTTCAGTCCTACAAATAATAGCTAATCTTACATTAGTTAAGCTTTCTGGCTTTGAGTATATCAAAAGTCCAAAGGATAATGATAACCTAAAATTATGTATGAATGGAAAGACAACACAGAAATATCCAAGGCATTCTTGTAAATTCAAATTCCTAATTTCAATTTTAAAAATTTGTATAACGTAATATTGAATCTTAGGATAAGAAACAGTTGCAATTATCAGTGTACTCTTAATTCCTTCTTAAAGGCTACATGGTCCTCAAACTTGTTTGTAAGAAGGGCTAGGAAGAAGAAGGAGAGGAATGAGACTAAAGAAGAATAAAAATTTCCACTGATGATTAAAAAAAATACTTCCATAATATCAGCAGCTAATAATTGCAAAAAATTTAAGAAACCATTAAAAGTTAGCACTAAATAATCTTTAAAAATCACAAAAATGTGCACTTCAAATATTATGCCAGAAATTTTGTCCAAATATTCATGTTCAGTAAACAGAGACACATAGTTTTCTTGATTTGAAACTGTTCTGAGGACTTGAGAAACTAGAGAAAACAAGAAAATAGCAGCCCCACAAATTTAAAAGCTATCATCTCTACCATTAGCATATAACCATCCAAAAATCTGTGGAATGTTTAGATTTACTCATGAATGATGCTCATTCGTAGAAATATTTTGAACACCAGTAGTGCTATCAAGGCCCAGTAATGTTCCAAGATAAGATTGTTCTCTAGGATCTAGCATTTGTTCAGGTCGAACTGGGTGAACTATATTTGCAGGTTGAGGAGTAAGAGTATATTTTTCCAGAAAAGCTAAATCCGCTGCTCGTGGATAATCAGTTGACTGTGGCTGTGGTGACAGAATCTCATGAGAAGATGGTGGGAGTGTGGTAGTATGACGCACTAGGTCACTCGGAGTGTCAGGCATCTGAACTGGAACCAGAGTTACTGGAACACATACTTCAGCAGATACATTCTGTAACATCGTCTTGGCTTCCGACTGATAAACTTTGGGCTGGTCCATATATTGTTTTGTTTCTGTTTGAAAGATTTTGTCATCAGATGAGTACTCAACTGGCAAGGATACAAGTTTTTCCTCAGAAGTACTGAGAGGATCATCAGGAGATTTTATTTCATGAACATGGTCAATGTGGTATTTCAGCTTGTCTTTCCGCTTAAATGTTGCATTACAGTGCTGACAGTTGAAAGGTCGGGCATCAGAATGAATAACCAGGTGTTTTGTTAATGTTTTCTTAATTCTAAAAGACTGATTGCAAATTTGACACTTGTATGGTTTTTCACCTATATGAATGAACAAGAATATAATTAGATGTAAAATGTACTCAACTTGATAAGACAATGACTTCAAGTAGCAAACTTCCAATGTGAATACTTGCCAGAACTTGATAATAGCAATAATACTGTATACTATCACAAAATGCAGACAGTACAATAAACTGGTAAAAATAAGAAGCTTAAACATTAAAAAGATCTGGGTTTGAATTCTGACTATAACACTTACTAGCCAAACATTGAGCAAGCTACCCAACTTCTATGCCTAATTTTCTCATCTGTAATATGGAATAATAACCAACCTCACAGAGTTGGTAAATGGACCAAAAGAGAAAGTAGAGTAATAGGGCTTAGCACTGCACCTAGTACATAATAAGTGCTTGTAAACTATTGTTATTGCTTACTTTTATTCCCATAGCCCTCAAAAAGGTTAAACCAAAACATCTGATTTTCTCCCCCACGCAAGGAGGATAAAAACTAAAACAGCAATTCTAATTAACATGGTTCCTTGGATTAGATAACAAGTAGTTATCTCTAGCCTGAGGTCAAAATAAGAAGAGTTGTTCAGCGGAAAGAACAAAGAAGCTGGACCTGTTTTTAGATCCCCCTGAGTCAGGTTCTCACACTGTAGTTTTGTTTTGTTTTGTTTTATATAAAACATTATAAATTCCTAGGTTAGCCAATGTGGTAGGCAGAATGATGGCCTATCAAAGATGTACACACTCTAGTCCCAGGAAGCTGTAGATACTTATGTGGTAAAAGAGACTTTGCAGATCAGATTAAGGTAAGACCTTGAAATAGGCAGACCAACAGGCGTACACAGGTGAGTCAAATCTAATCATAGGCGTCGTAGAAGATGGCCAATAACTGAGGAAGAATGGGTCAGACAGATGCAACATGAGAACTCAATCACAAATTGTTAGCTTTGAAAATGGAAGGAGGAAGCTAGAACATAAGGAATGCTGCGGCCACTATAAGATGTGAAAGGCTCTCAGTTTACAATAGGCAAGAAAACGGGAATCTCAGTCCTGGTCCTACAACTCCAATAATTGATTCCTGTCAGTAACCTGAATGAGCAGGAAACTCATTATTCCCTATAGCCCCTGGAAAGAAATACAGCTCTACCAAACACTTAGATTTCAGCTTGGTGTCAGACTTCTGACCTAAAGAACTATACGGTAATAAATTTGTATTGTTTAAACCACCAAATTTGTGGTGGTTTGTTAACAGCAGCAATAGAAAACTCATATATCCAGAAACACTAATACTGCAGTAGACACAAAGGCATTATTTTAAAGCCAAATTAGAAAATTACATATTAATTGTCACATGAGTTTGTTGATATTTTCCTCTCATCTCTCCATTTGAAGCATCATCCATTCTCCTAGTAAATTAAAAGATAATTACATCTTCAAGTTGAATCACTAATATCAAACTATTATTTGTTAAATATTATTGTTAAATATTTTGTAGCCCATTGGAACCTTCAAATCCCACTACCAGAAAATTTAGACAGATTGGGAGGCTGATTACCTAGTACTACTGAATTTCTACTTGTTTCTGGACTAACATTATTACTGATGTCATTAGAGAGGCAGTGAGACATGAATACATTATATAGATAATTAACTTTTCAGAAAAAGTATTTTTAACTGTGTATAGAACACACAGCATCTAACATTTGATTTTACAAGTGAATGCCTATAATCAGAGATAATAAGGAAAAGCTCAGAGGAGAGTGCTTTGAAAACAAAATGTACACTTCCAAAATGCAAGAACTCTTAAGTGCGTTCTATAAATCCCTGGCATCAATACTTGTCATGCAATGAGCATTCTATAATTTTTTTAAAAAAAATAAGAACACGACCACAGCAATACTAACACCACCAAGAAGCACAGAGTCTACTTTTATAGACAAAAGTTTAAGTTTTGAGTGTTCTCTGGCACAGGACCAGCATGATGGTCCTTAAGCATTTTCATTAAAAAAGTTTTATAAGTGCAACGATGTTTTTAAACTTAGAATAATCTTCAATCAGTTCTGGTGTGTAACAAATACTTTTAGAAAACTGTAATCCAGATGGGCATATTCCTTTGAGTAGTTTCCATTATCATTTTAAACAACTTTCATTTTCAATAGAAAAATCAATTTAGGTTTCTAAAAAGATGAAAATTCATAAAGAAAATGTTAACATTATTAAATGTAAAAAGCAAACTTATAGTGCTTAAAGATAGATAGCAGAAAAGGTGAAAACTATCAACTTGAAAAAATATAGATTAAAGAAATAAACCTTCTACAGTGAGAGTTTCTATGGTAAAATTATGTATTTAACAATAATGCAAGTAGAGTGCATCTCAAGATCATAAATCAGAGACATAAGGCAACCAAAAGGTCCCTTTAATGACAGAAAGGAGCATTAAGAGCAGAAGGAAATAAACAATACTCAAAGAGATGTAAACTAATAGTTAAAATCGTAGAATCTATGAGCCTTTAGAATTTAAAAATGTCATCCACAGAATCATCTTTCTTTAGATATTAAAAATTGGTATGTGAAAAATGTGCATTGGGAGACTTATTTCAGACTTATTTCAGACTTACATCATATCATGGCTCTTACTGATGAGAAGGGAAAGATAAAAGATTTTTAAAAAATAACCCCCACACCCAAATTACTCTTTGCAGGCATCAAAGCACAGCCAAGTCAGCCAGAACCTAAGGGGCAAGGTCTGGTGACATAGGAAGTATAGAGGTGCTTTCTTTTCTCCTCAGTGCACTTTCAGAGTCAGTCTATGAGGAAATAGACGCCAAGCTGCAACCCAGCACTTGAGGAAATCTCATTGGAATGGGAAGATAAAAGTTGGAGTTTGGGACTACCAAAGAATTGAAGGGTCAGGAGCCTGAAAAAGAAGGAACAACAGAGAAATGAACAAAAATATCTGTATTTGCCAACTATTAAAAGAAACATTTGCTGGGTGAGACAGCTGGAAACCAAGAGTCAGAAGGCTACAGGGTTGACCAATATTTCAGCAATCCCAAGAATACTGGGAGACAGAGATTAGAGTTCAGGACTCACCAAAGTGAGAAACTCTGGTAAAAACACCATGCAGTCAGTAGAGACCCCAATGCAATGATGAACTAGGAGAAAGGCAGATCAGAAGTAGCCAGAAACAAAACAAAGTCCTCTCATATTCTATTTGCTTGTGAGAAAAAATTTAAATCTAACTGGAAGAAACACATCTTCAAGGGCTTCTGTAATTTTTAACTCACAAAATCTAAAGTTCAATACAAAGTGACCCAAATGATCAAATGCCAAGAGGGGAAAAAATACAATACACACACTCAAAGCAAATATTATATATATAAGACTGGGACATCAAAATCAATATGATTAATATGTACAGGACAATACAGGAAAAGTAAATTTTACCAGAGATTGGAATCTATGGGAAAAAAAGGAAACTCTAAAAAAGATAAGTGAAGATGCCTAATGTACATGTAATCAAAGTCTCAGGAGGAGGAGAGAGAATAGGCAATAGCAATATTTAAAAAGAAAATGGCCAAGAATCTTCCTAAATAAAAGAAAGACATCAAGTCACAGATTCAATAAACACTATAAACCTCACAAAATACAAAACACACACACACACACACACACAGAAACACTCAAATCAAGGCACACTATAGTAAAACTTCTGAAAACCAAAAACAGAAAAATCTAAAAAAGTAGCCAATTAAAAAGAGACATTTCCTTCAAATGAGCAACAATAAGACTGATAGTATATTTTTTCAACAAAAGCAAAACAAGCTCCAAAACCAAAAATAACCTATCTAAAGTGCCAAATGAAAAAAGCTGCTAACGTAAATTCTACAGTCAGAAAAAAAATTACCTATGAGGTAAAATAAAAACATTTTCAGACAAATAATATGGTGCCAGCAGACTGCATGAAAGAGAACTTTTCATGTATAAGGAAAATGACTCCAGGTGGAAGAACAGTAAACAGTAAAGAATAAATACATGGTTAAATAGCAATAATATTAAATATTTAAAACAAAAAAGCGATGTCTTTGGGTTTTAAGAGACATGAAGAATTTAAATACATACAATATATAACAGATAAGAAAGATAAGGGTGTTATAAGGTATTTGCAGTTTCTGGAAAGTGACGAATAATTTCAATTATTTTATTTATCTTTTCTAGAAGGTAAGGTAGACTGTAACAATTTCAGAATGCACATTGTTATCCTGGGTAACCACTAAAAACATAATGAAAGAACACATAATTAAGAAGCTAACTGAGGGAAAAATGACAACAACAATCCTTAATGATTATAAACAAAGTGAAGACAAGAGAAAAAAGCATCAAGGAATCAATTGTGTGAACAGCATGATGATACATTCAAGCCCAAATAAGTGAGAAATCACATAATTTAAATGAACTAAACATACAAATTAAAGGACAAAGATGATCAAAATAGATAATTAAACAATACCAAAAGATGCATATCATAAATATAAGTCCAAAGAAGGCTTGGAAGTAAAAAAAGAAAAAATATTTAATATAAAAGTATCCAAAAGAGTGCTGGTAATCTTTATCCCATAATAAAGAGCAACATTTTATAATGATATAAAAGACCATTCAACAGAAAGATATGACTAATATATATCTAATACATATATTATATTAGATATATAATACGTATCTAATATATTATATATATTATATATAATACGTATCTAATATATTATATATATTATATATAATACATATCTAATATATTATATATAATACATATATAATATATTATATATATTATATATAATACATATCTAATATATTATATATATTATATATAATACATATCTAATATATTATATATATTATATATAATACATATCTAATATATTATATATAATACATATCTAATATATTATATATATTATATATAATACATATCTAATATATTATATATATTATATATAATAATATAACCTCAAAATAAAGCAAAAAATGAAAAAATCAAAAGAAATAAACAATTTACAATCATGGTTACAGTAGAGATTTTCACATAAATATCTCAGTAACTTACAAAATAAGTGGTAAAAAATGAAGAATGTAGAATATTTGAATGGAATATCTTCTCTGACAAGAGTAGAATTACACTAGGTATCAGTAACATAAACTTGCTTAGAAAATCCCCACATATTTAGGAATTGGGTAATACAATTTGAAGTAAACCATTAACGAGAGAACAATTTAGAACAGACATTAGAAAATATTTTTAACTGAATTATAATGGAAATATGAAATTAAAAATGAGGTACGGAGCCAGGCATGGTGGCTCATGCCTGTAATGCCAGCACTTTGGGAGGCCGAGGCGGGCGGATCACGAGGTCAGGAGATCGAGACCATCCTGGCTAACACGGTGAAACCCCGTCTCTACTAAAAATGCAAAAAAATTAGCCGGGCATGGTGGCAGGCGCCTGTAGTCCCAGCTACTCAGGAGGCTGAGGCGGGAGAATGGCGTCAACCCGGGAGGCGGAGCTTGCAGTGAGCCGAGATTGCACCACGGCACTCCAGCCTGGGTGACAGAGCGAGACTCTATCTCAAAAAAAAAACAAAAAAAACAACAAAAAAAAGTGAGGTATGGAAGGTAACTAAAGCAGTATTTAGAGGATAACATGGCTTTAAAATACATACAATAAACAATAAGAAATACTACAATTTAACAACTTAGGCATCCCCATAAAAAAGGCAGGGAAAGGCAAATTAAAAAAAATATATATATAAGCCAGTGGCTGACAAGATGGCCAAACAGGAACAGCTCCAGTCTGCAGCTCCCAGCAAGATCAACGCAGAAGGCAGGTGATTTCTGCATTTCCAACTGAGGTACCCAGCTCATCTCACTGGGACTGGCTAGACAGTGGGTGCAGCCCATGGGGGGCGAGCAGAACCAGGGTGGGGCGTTGCCTCACTGAGGCTGAACAAAGAGAACACATGGACACAGGGAGGGGAACAGCACACACTAAGGCCTGTTGGGGGATGGGGGGGCCTGGGGAGGGATAGCATAAGTACAAATACCTGATGTAGGTGACGGGTTGATGGGTGCAGGAAACCACCATAGCACGTGTATACCTATGTAACAAACCTGCACATTCTGCACATGTATCCCAGAACTTAAAGTATAATAATAAAAAAAAAGAAGAAATACAAGCAAAATGGGAGAAATACAAAAGAGAAAGCAGATATGAAAAATAAAATAAATCAACAAAGAGAAAAATCAGCAAAACCTAGTGGTTCTTTCAAAAGCTTAATGAAATCAATAAATCCTTAGCAAGAAAAGGCATATTACTAGTAACAGGAATGACAAAAAGGTTATCACTAAAGACACTATCATCACTAAAAAGATCAATAACAAAATACCCCAAATTCTGCCAATAGATTTCACATTTTAGATTAACAGAATACCTTTAAAGTGAATAAATAAATTGAAAATATGACAGCTCTTTAACGGTCATACTAAAACACAAATTAAAAAACACACTTAAAAAATCTTTAATTAGGCCCAGCATGGTGGCTCACACCTGTAATCCCAGCACTTTGGGAGGCCGAGGTGGGTAGATCACAAGGTCAGGAGTTAGAGATCAGCCTGGCCAAGATGGTGAAACCTCATCTCTACTTAAAAAAAAAAAAAAATTAGCCGGGTGTGGAGGCTGGTGCCTGTAATCCCAGCTACTCAGGAGGCTGAAGCAGGAGAATCGCTTGAACCCAGGAGGTGGAGGTTGCGGTGAGCCAAGATCGTGCTATTGCACTCCAGTGTGGGCGACAGAGTGAGACTCGGTCTCAAAAACAACAACAACAACAAAAAAATTTAATTAAAACCTTTCCCTACAGAAAACAAACTCAGGAATTTATTCTGTCAATTCTTGCAAACACTAATGAGGAAATGATGCCAATTTTACACAAACTCCTCCAGATAACTGAAAAAGATAAATTATTTCCCAAATCATCTTTTGAGACCAGCATAGTTATGATAACACAGCCTGTCAGGGACATTACAAGGGAAAAGATATAGGCAATATGTCTCGTGAACCAAAAAAATGTACAAAATATAAGCAAATTGAATTCAATTATACAGGATAATATATCATGAACAGGATATATGTATGTGTATGTCTGTATATTTATGTGTTTGAATGTTTGTTTATTTTTGAGACAAGTTCTCACTCCATCACCCAGGCTGGAGTGCAGTGGTGCCATCCCAGCTCACTGCAGCCTCAATTTCCCCGGCTAGGTGATCCTCCCGCCTCTGCCTTTAGAGTAGCTCAGACTACAGGCATGCGCCACCACGCTTGGCTAATTTTTGGAATTTTTGTAGAGAAGGGGTTTTGCCATGTTTCCCAGGCTGGTCTTGAACTCCTGGGCTCAAGCAAATCATCCACCTCGACTTCCCAAAGCGCTGGGATTACAGGGGTTTGTGAGCCATCGCACCAAGCATGAACAGGATATATTATATCTTCAATACACCATGAACAGGATAAACAAGATAATATATCATTAGCAAGATACTATATCAAACCAGTCTGGGTTTATTCCAGAAATGAGGTTTAATATTCAAAAATCAATCAGTACAATTTACCACATAAATAAAAAAATATGATCACCTCAATCAATATAGAAAAAACATAAAATTCAACAACTATTCATGACAAAAACTCTAAATAAACTAGGGATAGTAATTTCCTTATCTGACTATCTACAAAAAACCTATAAAAAATATCATACTTAATTGTGAATTATTGAAAGCTTTTCCCTTGAAGATGAGAATAAGAAAATAATGTCTACTCTCAATGTTTCTACTGGAGATGTGACCAAAGCAATAATGTGACCGAAGCAACAAGGTTTACTTCCCAACCCTGAAAGACAGAGAGAGAGAGAGTGTGTGTTATAAAGACTAAAAAGGGGAAAATGAACCTGTCATTATTCACAGATAACTTGTTTGCATGCTTTGAAAGTTCAAAAAAAGCTAGGGGTAAACTATAAAATTTAATAGAAATTTAGCAAGGTCACTGGATAAAAAGTCAATAAACAAACTCAATTCTATTCCTGTATACCAGAAACAAATAAAAAATAAAATTAAAAAAAGGTCAAAATTTGATACAAAAATATCAAATACCTAGGCATAAATCTAATGCAAAATGTGTAAGATAGCTACACTAAAAACTACAAATCATCTTTGAAAAAAATCTAAACAAATTAATGGAGGTGTTCACAGACTGGATAATACGATGTTATAAAAAAAATCAGTTAAGGAAACGTTGACCACAGGTTCAATGAAATTCCAATAATTCCTAGCCAGTATTTTTGTGTGTGGAAATTAACAGACTATTTCTAAATTTATATAAAAATACAAAGGGACAAAAATAATAAACACATTTGAAACTAAAAAGTTGACAAACAAAGCACACATATATGATCACTTAATTTACAACAATATGCCAATGAAATGTAGTGAGAAAGGATCATCTTTCCAAAAAATAGCGCTAAAGCAATTGGATAACCATATGTTAAAAAAAGAACTTTCACCTTTACCTAATAACAAACAAAAACAAATTATAGAAAGTTCATGGATCTAGATAAGAAAGTTAAAATAAATCTTCTAGAAGGTAACCGCAAAAAATATTAATGACCTTGGGTTGAGCAAAAGTTTCTTAAAGAGGACACAAAAGAACTATAAAGAAAAAAATGGTACATGACGTCTTTAAACTTCAAAACCTTTGTTCATCAAAAGACATCATTAAGAGTGAAAAGGTAAGTCATAGAGGAGAAGGTATCTGTAATATATATATCCGGAATGTAGAAAGAATACCTACAAATCCATTAGAAAAAGACAGACACTCCAATTTTTAAAAATGAGTACAAGAATTAATCTAGTATTACACAAAAGTAGATATCCAAATGGCCAGTGAGCACAAGAACAGGTATTCAACATCAATACTCATCACAGAGGTGCAAATCGAAGCCATTCTCAGATAGTGCTACGTATCTATCAAATGGATTTAAAAAAAAAGTATCAAATGTTGGTGAAAATGTGAAGCAATTGAGATTCTCATATGTGGCTGCTGGTGGTGTAAACTGACACAATTACTTTGAAAAAACTACTTAGTAGTATCTCCTAAAGTAGAACATATGCATATCCTATGAGCCAGGAATCCTAGGGCCATGAATATATATAAGAGAAAAGAATGCATATGTGTATGAAAAGACATGGACAAGGATGTTCACAGCAGCTTTATTCCTAAGAGAACCAAGCAAATATAAACCAAGTATCCATAAAAGTAGAATGAATAAATTGTAACAGTCATATGAAGATGAAAATGAAAAGAAACAAATTACTGTCATAAGGGAATCCACACTTAATATTTATTAGGTAAAAGAATCCAGAAAAAAAAGATTACATACTACATGATTTCACTTATATGAAGTTCAAATAGACAAAATTAATTTTTGGTGCTATTAATATAAGTCAAAATAGTCATCATCTTTGCAAGGAGGTTACTGACTGGGAGGAGCCATAGAGAATCCTTCTGAAATCTTGGTAGTGTTTTAATATCTTGATCTGAGTCATGACTACATTGATGGATTCATTCATAAAAATTAATTGAACTGTTTGAGATTTGTGCACTTTGTGTGCTATACTTCAATAAAAAAAAGCTTACAAAGAAAATTCACCTTGAATAAAAAAATCAGTCAACATTAAAATCAAGTCCTAAATTTGTGGTCATCTTTATGCCAATTTAATGAATATGTTTCAACAAGACAACTGTTAAAGAATAGATGTAATCACTACATTCTGAGGATTGAACAAACAAAACTCATGATTAGAAAAAGCCATCTGTACAAGAAAATCTTATATACATTTTCCAACTAATTTATCTAACTGTGTGGTTTAAAAAAAATAAAATAGAGAAGAGTCATAGGAGAACATAATAAATTTATTTACTCAGCAAATATTTATTGAGTGCCAAACTCTTCAAAAGCCCTACGATATGCATTGATTGTACATACTTATTTGAAGCAATTAGGTGTACTGAACTGGCCAAAACTGAAACAAACACATTTTATTGTTTCTCCAGATGAGGATATGGAGAAAAGACATACTAACAGAAGAAAAAAGGTTATAGAGGAAATCTAGTTAAGGAAATTCTAAAAAACAAAAATTTAGCAATATATATATAATGAACTAAGGGTATCCCAACAAGGAAAAAAAAAATCTGAAGAACAAAATTTTTCTGGTCACCTGCTATGAGGGTAAGGATGGTTCAAAATCCTTCACCATTTCCTGGATAAACTATCCCATAAAATTACTATCTAATTTTACTCTATCTCTACATTTGGCAATTTTCCTTCTGATTAATAAACTCAGCAATTCTGCTTCCTTGATAAAGATACCCTAGCTAGTAAACATTAATATCTCATTTTCTAGAATGTAAATTAATGACATTCTGGCTAATCTATTCCCAGTGTTTACTGTGAAGAATTACTCACAATACTTATAACTCTCAATGCACAGATAAAATTGAGTCTCTGAACCTATAAATCTCAAAAATGGACTTGGGAACATGGTGACCATTTCTTGCAAAAGCCACTCTGTGAAGTCCTGTCTGGGTAGACTGTTGGTCACTTTAGATTGAGAGTTGGTAAATAGAGTTTTATTGGAATACAGGCATGCTTCATCTGTTTACACATTGTCTATGGCTGCTTTCACATCACAACAGCAGAGCTGAATGATTGTGACAGACTCTTAGTTGCAAAGCCTAAAACATTTACTATCTAGCCCTCAACAAGTATTTGCTGACTTTTGCCTTCTATTATTTTTCCCTCTCATTTCATAATAGCCATAGTCTTTGTCTTATTCCATCATAGAGCTAATGTCCTCAATTTTCAAAGGGCAGAGAGACTTGTCTTCTAATTCCAATTAACTGTGAAATATCCAGATATTGATGTTCCACATTGTCACTGGCCACCAGCCAATCACTATAAATCAGTGTTTTTAAAAATTTTGATGCAATGTAGTCAGCACTAAATTTCTACTCAAGTTGTACAGTTCTTAAATCATCAATGGTTTGAAATTAACTTTCTGTAAGTTCACCATCTCTTTCAAGTCATGAGTTCTATTAGGTTAATTATTTACAAAAGATATGGAAGATACCATCAAGTTCGTTTCCTCATTTTACACTTTTATTTATGCTCTCCCAAATTATGCCTTTTTTTATTTGGAGAGGGCTGTAACTTTGCTTTTAACAGCAGCACTGTATCAGTAGTAAATCCTTTACTGCAACTATTTGCTAATAATATTGCCCAAATTCAGTTATTTCCCATTCTAATATTTATGAAATCACTTATTTTTCTCTTCCAGAATAGCAGCTTGACAAAATCCGAATTGAATATAAAACAAAGCAGCCATAAATACATAAATGGGCTTGTTTCTTAAGGAAAACAAGGTTTTAAAAATGTTAATTTATATGTAAAGGCAAACAAGGATTCAGACAATATATAAGAAAGAATCTAACATATTCTGTATTTCAAAATGTAGTAACATTCCCAACGGAGAAAAAAGAAAGATTTTGCAAATGACAACTTCTGGAAAGCAGCTGAGGCAAAGCCTTTTACTATAACTACCTATAAATCATGACTGGCTATGTAAAAAGGAAAATGAAACGATGGTAACTTGGCAAACAAGACAATGAGGTCATATTTGCATTACTCTTTTAAAAGAGAAGAAAATAAAAGATAAAAAGGAATTTAATCTGAAGGCTTAAGAAAAGCCTTCAGAAAGCAAAATAAAGAAGAATCATAAAACAATCAGAAAAGGGAAAATTACAACTAAAAGTTGAGTAAATATCTTATGGAAAAAGTTTTCTCAAGTTTTGTAAAATATTTAAAAGTATTGAAGCTTACATAATAGAGAATAGAAGATGAGAATATTGTTCAGTCATGGCATGAACTTCAATATAATAAGTAAAAATCTTAATGGGGAAAACCAAAGAAATTTAACCAAGAACAACAAAGTTTAAATGCCTATATTTTACTTCTGATTACACTATATATATCTCTCTCTATATATATATATCTATGAACCACTCATTAAATTTTACCTGAATGCGTTCGAAAATGCATTTCCAGACTTGATTTGCCTTTAAAAATTTTCTTACAAACATCACATTGATGAAATGTTGCTTTATATCTAAGAAAATAAAAAGATTTGAGTTTTTCAATATAATTTTAATAACTATAATAAATATGACAATATTAATAATTATATTAATAACTAACATAATGAAAATAAGTTGCAACTTCATTTACAACTGTGTATATAATTCTCACATTAACAAAGTATAGAACTCCAAAGAAACATGGAAATACTTTTAATATGTTGAGCTTGCCTCTGGTTTTTCCTCTTCCAGTTACATCCAACAAACGAATCTATAAAAAGAGGTCTGTAGATTTTCAACTGCTTTAAGTCACTGAACTTTTATTATTACTAGCTATCCAAATATACAAAAAGAAAAATTATAAGGTAGAAACAGATCAAGAGTGGCCTAAAGGGGAAATGAAGAGTTGTCTAGAAAGGGACATGGCAGAAATTTTGTGGTGATGAAACTATTCCATATCTTAATTGTGGTGATGATTACATGACTTGCAGAATTATACACTAAAAAGAATGAATTTCACTTTCTGTAAATTACACCTTAACTAAATTTAAAAAATAGATGCTCAGGCTGATTAAAAAGAATCTGCGGCAATTTTAAAACCCGCATTTATCAAAAAGGTGAAATTGCTCTCATCAGTTCATGTCCTAACAAAAAAATTATAAATTTGAACTAATAAATAAAATTTTATACCTAAATTTAAAAATGAAATATTAGTCCTTTATTTTTACTACAAAATAATAGACAGAAATAAAGCAATAAGTTACCGAAAAGTTAACTTAGTAAGCACCACAGCATAGTGCCTAAGAAGTGTCTTTGAGTTAAACAGTTCTCAACTGAAAATTTTATTGTGAGAATTGAGATATTTACAAAATAATTATCATTTAAGTGGCAGTTATTGAGAAAGCCATACCATCTCACCTCAGAAGCAATTCATATGGAATGAATACATGGCAAAATAATTAAATCAAACCTGGGCTACTTAATCTTCTGTAAAACAGTTTGCTCTTAACATATCCATTGAGTTTTACTGGAAATGTTTAGAACATTGTTACCAATACGAAATACCAACATACTATGCCTAGGATTTTAAATGTCCCTCATTTTTCAATTCATCCAACCCAACATTTATAAGACAACATAAAAAGCACTGTCCTAGATGAACTTAATTCTACTTGATGAAACAGATGGTTGTTTTAATTTTTGTTAGAGACAGGGTCTTGTTCTGTCACCCAGACTAGGTTGCAGCAGCATCATAATAGCTCACTGCAGCCTTGAACTCCTGGGCTCAAGCTATCCTTCTGCCTCAGCCTCCTGAGTAGCTGAGACTACAGGTACATGCCACCACACCCAGATAATTTATTTTCTTTTATTGTTTTGTAGAGACAGGGTCTCACTTTGTTGCCCAGGCTGGTGTCAAACTCCTGAAACAAACATTTACACAGATAATTTGGATTTTGTGAATTGAGGTTGTGAATAATAACCCTGGCAAAAGACTCCTAACCAGTATGCTTGGTTTACCTTATTCCATTCATATCCATGGTAAATATAAACAGAGATACAAACAGGGTCACCATGGGCACATAGAGAAAGAGGAAGTAGTACTCGACTGGGGGCAATTTTGCCCCCCATAAAACATGTGGCAATGCCTGAAAACGTTTTTGTTTTTCACATCTGGGGATACGATAATAAGTGCTACTGGCATATAATGGGTAGAAGCCATGAATATTGAGAAACGTCCTACAATACACAAGAAAAGAATTACTTGGTCCAAAATGTCAACAGTGTTTGGGCTGAGAAACCTTGCTCTATACTATGAACAAAGTGATATTTTCAACATAAATATGTACAAAACACTTTAACTTCCTCACAGTGGACTTAAGATAAATTCTGTAGGGCCTTGCATGGCTAAGACCCTATGAAAATATACCTTGCAATTACCACATGGATGCTAAGCCATACAGATTTTCAAGGAAGGAGAGGATAAACAATTTGAACTGAAGCAGAGATGTCAGTAAAAAAAGAACTTAAAAATGCCTATTGATTTGGCAACAAGGAAGTCATACTGATAACTGAGCAGAATAAGATCAGAGGTCAGATTGCAACAGTGGCTGGAATGTGAAGTGGTTACTGAGGTAGTCACCATAAAAAAGTTTAGAAGCAAAGATTAGAAAAATAATTGGTGGTTGGAGGCGTGTTAATCCTATGTACATTTTGCTAATTATGCTCAGGACTATTAAGTGAAGTCTCTTGGCACTTTAGAACATGTCTGTTGTTTATCATTTGCCCAAATGCCTAACCCCAAAACATGAATTACTTGAATGTTTTACACTTAGCAACTAACCTCAGTTAAACTTGGATATCTAAATTATACTAAAAAGCTGATGTTCAAGATAGCACACAGCGCCTTCAAATAAAATAATATTTTAAATGCTTAGTATGATTAGAAACAAGTTTAAATTCTGACTGCAAACATTTCCTAACAACTGCTGTCTTATTAAGTATAATATATAGGCAGTATATTTAGCTCTCAAAGAGCCTCAGCAACCAAATGCCAAGATTTTTTATTAATTATTGTTAACTTGCATGTCACCTCCCTGGCCTTTGAATTAACTGAAAACAAGGAGGAAAATATATGCTTGCTGAATTCTTTTAGGTCTATAGAGATGCTACAGAATGTAGAGAAAGAGAACTGGTTAACCTAACTTCAATTAAACAAAGTAAACAAAAAAAGTTACAACTTTCCTCAGAGACTTAGCCAATGTAAACTATGAGACATTTTGCTTTTTCACTTACTTTTGCCACACTTTCTCTCCAAGGTGTACGCTTTTGTAATGAACAGTGAGATGATCCCTACGACCAAAACATTTTCCACATTCTTCACACTGATGAGCTTTTTCACCTTAAAATAAAGACCCAAATATTTTCATTATAATATACATCTCAGGTTTTTATCCCCAGAAACAAACTATCAAACAGTAAGATCACATGATGTCAAATATAACAGGAAAGTAAAGCCACATTTTATTCTGCACTATTTGCTTTATATTCCTTACTCAAATAACTTTCTTCAAAAAATGTATGCTTAATTTCATGGATGTGAATCTTTTCCCCGCTTGGAAAAGGAATCAATAGCCTTTTGTTGAACACTTCAAATCATACATTTCAATGTAACAGAGCAAGATAAACGAAACTACTTCAAAACTTAGGAATTTTAAATATATATATATATATATGTCTGTATATCAAACACCTCAAATTGATATACATTAAATTAAGATGAGGGTGTCTTACTGTTTATAAAAAGGACCCAAACATTTTCAGATCTTTGTACTTTACTTTTAGAAGATTTTTCATCTGTGAGGATTTCTTACGTTTGCAATGAGCCAAAATACAAATATAATGAAAAATTCTACGTAAGTCCAATTTCTCATCTCTATTCTTACATTTACTTACAAAGGCTTGGTTTTAAAAAACAATTACTGTCTCAATACCAGTGTGCAATTAAAGCATGTGGCCTCTAGACTTAGAAATTAAGAATTCTCCTCATAAAAATAAAAAGGCATAATTCCAATGGAAAAAGTCATCAGATTTTTAGTATCTGTTAGAAGTGGTGAAAACAACTGCAACCTATCTCATTGAGATCATCTCAGAAAATTACTATCTGTTGCATACTTTATATTCAAAAATTATGTTTAAAATAATAATAATAATCACCTGTTCTACCGTGCTCATAGAGATGGCTCTTTCCCATTATTGTGCTCACAGAGTTGGCTCTCTTAGCACTTCCTGAACATCAATCTGAGAGGAAAATATGAAAGAAATCCCCAGAATATAAAAATTATACAGTATAAAGATCTGAAATTGGTCAGGATTATTAAGGTACTCTTCTCCAAAGACAGGGTTTCAAAATTCACTATAATATACACTTTTAGCACCTAATTTTAATCATTTCCCTTTTAATATGTAAGTTTCACCAACTTCTTCTCAAATCCAATCAAAATGAGAAAAATTATCATGGCTTCTCCCTTTAAGGAACTGTCAATAGCAATTATTAGATATATCCATGTAATATGCAAAATGCAAATTTTGAGAATTTATTTAAAATTAAACTTTACACTTTATAGTCACAAAGGGTTACCAAATAATTAAAATTACAGTGAATATGTCATAAACTTATGTCCCTTTTGGATGCTTTTTAAAAAATGTTTTCAGAACCAGAATTACAAAGAAGTGATGAGCATAAACCAAATTATTAAACTTATAGCCAACATAAACATAACATCATATTATGTTCCTTTCAGGTATTTAAAAAGGATTTTCGAACTAGCATTACAAAATATGGTATACCTGAATGTATTTTTTTGTGCTTTGTAAGGTGATCATGACGGATAAATGTTTTTCCACATTCATCGCACTCATATCTTTTATCATCATGATGTACTCGTAAGTGAAGTCTATAAAGAAAAAAGAATTGAACACCATTAAAACTGGTGACATAGAAGGAAAAAGCTCAATAATGAATAAATGATGAATAAACAATGAAAACTGGGCTGTCTACTCAACCACTCATACATTATTGGCTTTATTTCTATGACTTTCAGAGTCCTTTTCAGTCTTTTACCACCTGACCCCAGGTCCCTACTCATCTCTTTCAAGAAAGCATTTCAACATTTGTATATGCTCAAACCACTTCTCAACATTATTCCTTCCCATCATATTAGATCCTAAATCTAGTTCACTGAATCTATCAAATGTCTAAGGTTATTATCTAGCTGACTGGCCAAGACTCAAAAATATAAAAAGTAGGAGTAATCAGAAAGGAATTAGAATCAGACAAATGAAGTAAGTGTACAAGTGACTAGGCATATCATGATGATAGCAAATGATACAGTAAATGGTATGGTTTGGCTCTGTGTTCCCACCCAAATCTCATCTCAAATTGTAATCCCCACATATTGAAGGAGGGACCTGGTGGCAGGTAACTGGATCATGGGGGCAGTTTCCCCATGCTGTTCTTGTAACAGTCAGTGAGTTCTCACAAGATCTGATGCTTTAAAAGTGTTCCAGCAGTTGCCCCTACTCTCTCTTTCTCCTGCTTCGCCTAGGTAAGACGTGCCTTGCTTGCACCTTCACATACCGCCATGATTCTAAGTTTCCTGAGGCCTTCCCAGCCATGCGGAACTGTGAGTCAATTAAATCCTTTTTCTTTGTAAGTTACCCAGTCTCAAGTATGTCTTTATAGCAGTGTGAAAACAGACTAATAGAGCAAATAATGGAGAATCTGTCCTATTCTGGATAATTGTTATCAACTACAAACTGATATTTAAGAATTTTCTTTTCTAAGAACTCAACTTTATGAAAATTACATCTTACTGCTTTTCTTCACACCAATAGAACAAAATGGGGCTCATTTTATAGTCACCCAAAGACAGTATAAAAGGCTCAGATTATTAAGATTAATTTAACTTGAATTACTTTTATCTCCAGAGCCTCTCTCTCTATATATATTCTAATGAAAGGAATAGCTTTCCCTTGCAAATTGCCAAAATAAGTGTTGATTTTACCAAGACCAACTGACTAGACTACCTCTAAAGGGGAAGTATTCAATTTAAACTTAAAGCAAGATAAATAATAAATGAAAGTGTATATATTAAAGCCTTGTAACATTTTAATAAAAATTAAAATTGTACACACATTTCAGAAGTAGTTACATATTATTTATTTAGAAAAAAACTTTTCATAAACTGCAAATATGGTCAAGGATTCAACCACAGAAATAACTAAATAAGTTATAATCACTATTAATGCACAGAAGACTTTTGAAAATTGAGAATGGGGAGTTTTTTACTTTGTCTTACTTTCATATTAAAATGTTCTTTGATAGTAAAGAGTGGAGAAATACACTAAGTTTAACTGACTTTTCATTCAGAGAAAAGTAATGAAATAAATATTTAAATAATGCCTTAGTAAAGCCTTCTGCAAACTTGGTGTGAGAAAATATTTAATAATATTTTATACCACAGAATAAAGATAATAAAATGTTTAGTAAAAAAAAAATCTATGCAGTAAAGTTTTTGCACAACTTTGCATATCATAAGGACTAAGAAATGTTTCAATTCAACAAAGTAATAAGAAAATAGAACTAAAATAGAGATATAATTCTATCTTACTTAATAAAGGGAAAAAATGGTTTTACTTACCTATACGAACTTCCATGACGAAAACTTTGCCCACAAATACTACAAAGGTGAGGCTTTTCTCCACTGTGGATTCTCAAATGTTCTTTCAAAGTAGTTCTGCATTAAAATATATAGATTCGAGATTTTTTAAATGCCTATATATAGTAAATAGATTTCTGGAAAACTTACTAGAAAGGTATTCAAGCTAACTGATATTATGGCAATTCTCTCCTCTTTCTTACAATAATTTTGTTCTTTTCTATTCTCACTAGTATACAAACATGCTTGTTATAGCTCTCTCTCCTTAAAAACAAAAAATACTTCGGCCTCATTTGCCATTGGTTTGCTCAGAGATTTAATTACACAACTTAAGCAGACTTTCAAGAAGTATAATTTTAAAATGCTCATTATGACACTGAATTAAGTTGATGTGAATTTTGATAGAGAGGGTTTAATAATATTTAAGTAATCCAGTTTATCAGTACTATTTCTTCCAAATATGTGCTTAGTATTTATTGAAAAAATGTTTTAAAGCAAAGAAAATGTTGTAGTATTTCTAACTTCCAGGTGCTGATGTGAAAAAGGAACCTATATACAGAATGTAATTATTGCTATTCCTAAGTCTTCCAGCCCCACTGGCCCTGGATGGGCTACTATGAAACCATTACTCCTCAAAGTACATCACTAGCAATTCCTACAGTTCTAACCTTCAGAGCTTCCCCACATATCTAAAGTGCTGAGTAATAATGAACAAAGTTATTTTAAGGGGAAATAAAGTGAAAGGGAAATATGACTGACCTCTGCAGGCTTTTAGCTATCACTACTACAGTCATGTACTGCATAATGACATTTCAATCAATGACAGACCACATAAACAATGCTGTCCCATAAGATTACAACGGAGCTACACAATTCCTATAACCTAGTGGCATCATAGCACAATACATTACTCACATGTTTGTGGTGATGCTGTTGTAGACAAACATACTACATTGCCAACTGTATATAGGCATAGCACATACAATTGTGTCCAGTACATAATTATTGATAATGATAAGCGACTATGTTACTGGTATGTATTTACTATACTTTTTATCATGATTTAGAGTGTACTTCTTCTACTTATTAAAAAAAAAAGAAAACTAACTGTAAAACAGCCTCAGCCAAGTCCTTCTAGAGGTATTCTCTAAGAAGGCATGGTTACCATAGGACATGACAGCTCTATGCATGTACTGTCCCTGAAGACCTTCCAGTGGGACAAGATGTGCAGGTGGAAGACAGTGATATTGATGATCCTGACCCTGTGTAGGCCTAGGCTAATGTTTGTGTTTGTGTCTTTTGTTTTTAACCAAAAAAAAGTTTAAAAAGTAAAACATAAAAAATTTAAAAATATAAAAAAGCTTATAGAAAATAAAATATCTTTATGCAGCTGTACAATGTGTGTTTTAAGCTAAGTGTTACTTTAAATGAGTAAGAAGGTTGAAAAAATCAAAAGTTTATAAAATAAAAATGTTACAGTAAGCTGCTGTTCATTTGAGGGAAAAAATTTTAATACATTTAGTGAAACCTAAATGTACAGTGTTTATAAAGTCTACATTAGTGTACACTAATGTCCGCGGCCTTCACATTCACTCACCACTCACTCACTGACTCCCCTAGAGAAACTTCTAGTCCTGCAAGCTCTACTCATGATCGGTAACCTACACAAACACATATATTCTTTTTTATATTTTATACCATTTTTACAGTTCTTTTTCCATGCTTAAGTATGTTTAAATATATCAACACTTACCACTGTGTTACAATTATCTACAGTATTCACTACAGTAACATGCTATACAGGTTTGTAGCCTGGGAGCAATGGGCTGGCTAAACCACATAGCCTACATGTGTAGTAGGCTATACCATCTAGGTTTGCATAAGTACACTCTATATTTGTGTGATGACAAAACTGCTTAACAATGCATTTCTCCGAACATAGCACTATCATTAAGCGGCGCATGACTGTACTTGGTTTGTATTTCAATCCCATACCTAGTAAGTTTAAAGGATGAATCTGAAATAAAAGTAGAGTTTTGCCAGTAGATGGTGCTCTTCTACAAGGCCCACCAATATGACAGTCTGTAGATAACACCCAGCTTTGTGGAAAATATCTCTAAAGATATTCCCAGATCCCTACCTGTTAAATAGTTATAGTAAAAGATGGAAAGGTTATCTTTGGGATTCTTGTTTTGCCTTGATCCATCTGTTTTATAGCTTCCAAACCTGTGTCATTCATGTTACATTTCTGTTCTCCCTATCTTTGTAGCTTATTCTTTTTAAAAAACAAACAAAAACCCTTAATCTAGTTTTAGTGGGGTTTCAGAAAGACATAAAATATGTACATTAAATCATCCATCTAAAACCTGCAAATCTTGAATCCATGTCATCTTCCATAACATTTGTGTAATTCCTTTTTTCCTTATATTTCAAACTAAAGCACAATTCATGCATTTTGTGTCTTATGTTACCCTAATTCCTATAAATCATATTGATTGATTATTTCTACATAATAGTACTAGGATTTTTGTGGGTGTGCAGATAATTCTTCACCTTTCTCGTACTGATTTTCCACAGATAAAGCAAGTCCATTTTCTCTTTCCACCATGAGTACATTCTATATGACGTTTCAAATTTCCAGTGTCGTTAAACTGGCGACCACATATATCACATGGAAAAGGACCTAAAAAGGAAAAAAAAAAAGTGTGCATTTAAAGTTTAAAGAGGAGATACTAAGTTAAATTTAATAGGTATGCTGTAAGTTCATGCCTATCCTATTGGTGCATATGTCATAATACACTGCAATTTCTCTTCTAGGTTATTTATTCCTAGAATAACATTTCCATATCCCTATAACCAAGTATAGGGCTCAGCATCTAACAAACAGAATGAATGCTGAACAAACTAATGAGTTAACAAATTGAAATGGCCAATTCCTGGTTTGAAATCAGACTGGAACAAAGTAGAAATGGCTGCATACTAAAGTTTTTGGGAAAGCGGGTAATAAAAAACTTTGGAAGAATGAATGGAGGACTTAAGAGAGTTTATAGTTTGGAAATATTTCTATTTGGTGATACAAAATTAAGCCCAGGCCTCTCATAGTAACACTGACATTAGTTGGATACTGAATTTCACTATGATTTTACCAAATAAAAAACTGGAGACAAGACAGTGTTCTACTGACTGACAAAATATAAGAAAGACAAAGAATGCGTAAAAAAGAAGTTTAGTAAATACAGCTCAAAGAAGCTATATATTAGCAAGAAGATGTCTCAGTATATGGAAGGACAAACTGAAGAAAGAATTCTAATGAATTAATCATAATAGCACAATGGAAAGAAAATAGAATTAAGATGCTGAAATTCAGAAACGTAACTATAAGCAAAATTGCTTGGTAGCCACAGTAGCTCTGGGTAAATTTCAATGTGTTTTACACATTAGAAATGAGAGATGACCTCAAAATGTACATTGTATTAAGTATCTTTAATGGATTCTCATTTAAAACCTCTAATATTTCATTTTTCATGGGATCTAAATATTTTACTCATTTATTAACTCATTCAACAAGTATTTATTTATTCTTAATTCACATCAAGCACTGTGTTAAGTATTATGAAAAATCTCTCCACCTCCTCTGAACCAAAAAAAGGCTCTAAGAAATTGAGAAAACGAAAGTCAGTACTTACATAGCTGAAAAAAAAAGGTGAAGTAAATACACGTGCCAAAATAAGGTTATTATGCAAAATGTGTGGTTAGTCAAAGAATGAAATATCTACTAGTAAAACTTTTTATAAAATATGACTATCTGTATAGCTGGCGGCTTCAGCTGGGCAAAGGAAGAAATGAAGCATTCTCTTTAATGTTCAGTTACTTATCAGGATTCTTCAAAGAAAATAACAACTGCATTTTTTTCCTATACTGGATATCCAGTTTTGCATGCAGCTAAACCTATTTTAAACAACCTCCTGGGCTCAAGCAATCCTTCCACTTCAGCCTCCCCTCTTTTATTTATTTATTTTTTCTATATAGACAGTATCTCACTAGGTTGCCCAGGCTGGTCTCAAACTCCTGGGCTCAAGTGATCCTCCCACCTGTCTCCCAAAGTGCTGAGATTACAGACGTGAGTCACCATGCCTGGCCAAGTTCTGACTTTTAAAAGCCAAACTACAACTTTTGCACATATATATTCATATATATTAAAAATTCTTCTCCTTTAACTGTTCAGATTGCATTAAATACATATCTTTCCCTCTGATTTAACAGAATATATATTCCTAATGTAGACAGTATGAGTATTGCTTTGAATAATCTAAAGCAGTCATTATCAAAATGTGATATCTAGACCATTTGCACCAGCACTACCTGGGAACTTGTGCAAATTGCAAACTGTACAAGTTCCAAATGCAAATACAAATTTGGGGCCATACGCCAGACCTATCTGAGTCAGACACTCTGGGAAATCCGTTTTAATAAGGTCTCCAGGTGCTTGTGATATATACCAAACTGCATGAAGCACTTATCTGAAGTGTACAGTGATTCAAGGGAACAGAAACATAGAGACGGAATGCAAAAGAAGCTCTCTCTATATATATATAATATTGCTTTGAGTATTTTATATATGCATGTATACATATATGTATACATATGTACACACACACAAATACAGAAAATACTTATAACAATACTCTATTTGGTTTATTAATAATAGTGGCCCAAAATGCAAAGCTACTATGTCACAAACCATATTTCTCAAAGGTCTTGGAAAGACTGAAAACTATAATACTAGAAATGACAATACATTCAGAGAAAGAGAATGAAAACTATGCCTGGCTCTACATTTGGCACTTATACAGTACCTCATATAATCCTCACAACAGTATCTAAGAAGTACGTATTAACTTCATTTTAACAAATGAGGAAACTGGAAGTCTGAGAGGCTGTTCCAGATCACCTAGTAAGTGGCTAAGTCAGACTCAGAAAACAAGGCTGGCTAGAAAGTCTTCTACTTCCACTTCTACATCATGCCACACCTATTAAACTTTTTCTTCTAGTAAATGTCAACCTAACCCAGTAAATGTCAACTCTTATTAAAAATCATACAAATTACCTAATCAGTTGTAAAATATTTGTGGGTGTACAGTAGTAAAATGTAATGATTTATTTACTAGTTAGATTACCTATTGCGCCGTAATTTAATTTGGCAGAAATAGTATCCCCAGATCCTAACACAGAGCTGATCATACATTTAGCAGTTGCTCCATAAATATTTACTATTTTGAATGTCGAATGTACTTTCCTTGTATATTTTCCGCCATGAACATTAGATAGCAGGGGAGCTAAGCCTTACTGCCTAACATTTCTGGAACACCTCTCATTATTGGTATGCTGCAGCATGATAGAAGAATCTCTTAACAAGTCATAAAAATCTTCCAGTTCAACCACTTCTGAAGAATGCCCTCTTCACCAGCTCTAACAGTTAGTAAGGTAAGTTCAGCATATGCTTGTATACTTGTATAATTTCACTGATGGGAAAGTAACTATTGTGTAAGACAAGTTACTTTAGTTTGTAAGTTCCAACACTTAAAAAGTTATTATAGTTCCCTCTGATGTTTCTACAAGGTAGAACCAAAAAGATTACCTAAAATTTTCAAATCAAAAAGAAGGAAGTGCACCAATTCTCCAATAAAAACTACTTTTTCTGGAACTAAACTCTAAAGAAATTTCTCCCATGAAACAGAATCATGAACATGTCAACTACAGTTTGGTAACTATAAAAACTGTTTCTACATGATGGCTTCTTAGAAGTGCTGAAACTGAATACTATGAAAGAACAACTTAGTAAAGGCAATTTGGAGAGATTAAGCTTCAGGTAAATAATCTTCCAACATATACTAGTCTTATATACTAGACTCACAAAGATTAAGAATCCCTTGTTGCGCAATAGTGCCTTGAAAGTATTTGAAGACAGCTGCTCTATCTTCCTTTCCCAGACAAAAAATTTCAAGGACCATGTTTTTCACATGATAAGATTTCAAGACTCTACATCACCAAAATTACCCATCTCTAAAATATATATTTGTCAATATCCATCTTAAATGTGGTATACAGAAATGAATGCAATTTTCCAGATCAATTCAAAATCAGACTATTATTTCCCTAATTCTGAAAAATACACTTTTATTAATATAGTTTAAAACTACATTTGTTTTGTAAATCATATCACATTATTGGTTCACACTGTGTCCAAAAAGCCTCTGCCTTTAAGATCATCTGTAAAGTGAGTAGTTTGGATGATAAACTATTTTATAGTTCTTAAAGACTTAATGACTAAAAGTCAGATCACTTCCTTAAGTTTACAACTATTTATTTATTTATTTATTTATTTATTTATATTTTTGAGACAGAATTTCGCTCTTGTTGCCCAGGCTGGTGTGCAATAGCGCGATCTTGACTCACCACAACCTCCGCCTCTTGGGTTCAAGCTATTCTCCTGCCTCAGCCTCCTGAGTAGCTGGGATTACAGGCGTCCGCCACCACGCCCAGCTAATTTTGTATTTTTAGTAGAGTCAAGGTTTCTCCATGTTGGTCAGGCTAGTCTCGAACTCCTGACCTCAGGTGATCTGCCAGCTTTGGCCTCCCAAAGTGCTGGCATTACAGGCGTGAGTCACCGCACACAGCCTAACTTTGTATTTATTCTTAATTAATTTTAACTTAATTTGTTTTGACCTATTGTACAGCATACAGATTTTTTAAATATGTTTATTTTCTGGTATACTAAATACCCTTGATAGCTTTATGACATCTATAAATTTCATAAGCAATGAAGTGTATATTTTTATCTAAGTTGTTAACAAAAGTAATGAACTGAACATGGAGAGGACCTCTACCTGGAATGACAAAATTCATTAGTGGGATTAACAATCAGAAATTTACCAAAGTATACCACCATCTAGACCACAACTCTCCACCTTGGCCATAAGCATTAGGGAGGTAATTCATTAAATACTATAGCGCATTCCAAATATACTAAGTTTATTCTACTCCTTGAAAAATTATCTTTTTCCAAAACAAGAATGTCTCATTCTAAGCACTCACAAACCTATGCAACATCAACTATGAATAAATGCACAGTTTATGCCCACTGGCACATTTGTCACCAAAAAAAAAAACAAACCAAAAAAACCCCCCAACACACACAAAAAAACACATTTACACATCTCCAAGAACTGTGACATATACAGTACTCCTTTCAATTTATATGACTTTCTTTGCCTAAGCCAATACTCAAGGTTCACCAAGAGTAGTTCAACAATCCCCCAAAATGAAATATTTAGGTATAAATCTAACAACATAGGTACAAGATCTATATGAGAAAACTACAAAACTCGGATGAAAGAAATCAAAGAAAAACGAAATAAATGAAGAGATATCCCATGTTCATGGAAAGAAAGACTCAACTTCACAACATGATCTATACATTCAATGCAATCCCAATCAAAATCCCAGAAAGTCATTTTGTGGATATCAACAAACTGATTCTAAAGTTAATATGGAAAGGCAAAAGATCCAGAAGAGCCAACACAACACTGAAGGAGAAAAATAAGGTTGGAGGGCTGACATTACTTGGCTTTAAATCTTACTATAAAGTTACAGTAATCAAGACAGTGTAGTATTGGCAAAAATAAAAAATAAAAAAAAAAGATCAACAGAACAGAATACAGAGCCCAGAAACAGACCTACATAAATATGGTCAACTAATCTTTCACAAAGAAGCAGAGCCAATACAATATAGTAAAGATAGTCTTTTTAAGAAATGGTCCTAGTACAAATGGATATCCACAGACAAAAAAAAAAAAAATACATCTAGACACAGACCTTACATCCTTTGCAAAAGTGAACTCAAAATGAATCACAAAAATGTAGATGACCTTAGGTTTGGCAATGACTTCGCACAATCCATGAAAGAAACAATGGATAAATTGGACTTAATTAAAATTTTCCTCTGTCACAGAAACTGTCAAGATGATGAAAAGTCACAGATGAAAGGAAATACTTGAAAAGAAATATCTGATAAGTGTTATCCAAAATATACAAAGAACTCTCAAAACTCAACAATAAGTAAGCAACTTGATTAAAAAATGGGCCAGCCAGGCGTGGTGGCTCACGCCTGTAATCCCAGCACTTTGGGAGGCCGAGGTGGGTGGGTCACCTGAGGTCAGGAGTTCAAGACCAGCCTGAGTAACCTGGTGAAACCCCATCTCTATTAAAAATACAAAAAACTTAGCTGGACATGGTGGCAGGCGCCTGTAATCCCAGCTACTCTGGAGGCTGAGGCAGGAGAATCACTTGAACCTGGGAGGTGGAGGTTGCAGTAAGCCAAGATTGCGCCATTACACTCCAGCCTGGGCAACAGAGCAAGACTCTGTCACAAAAAAACAAACAAAAAAACAAAAAAACCAAAAAAAATTGGGCCAAAGACTGAACAGACACCACACCAAAGATATACAGATGGTAAATAAACATGAAAAGATGCTCCACATTATATGCATCAGGAAAATGCAAATCAATGCAATGAGATACCACTACAAACCTATTACAATGGCCAAAATTTGGAACACAGAAAACACCAAATGCTGGCAAGAACATGAAGTGACAGACATTCTCATGGGAATGTAAAATGATACAACTACTTTGGAAGACAATTTGACAGTTTCTTACAAACTAATTATACTCTTACCATCTGATCCAGCCCCTGTTTTCCAAGGTATTTAACCAAAGGAATTGAAAATCTAAGTCTACATAAAAGCCTACACAAAGATGTTTATAGCAATTTTATTTATAATTGCCAAAACTTGGAAGCAACCAAGATATCCTTCAGTGAGCGAATGGATAAACTGTGGTATATCCAGACAATGGAATAAAGTCCTCCCTAGGTATCCATGAGGGACTGGTTCCAGGATGGCCCAGGATACCAAAATCCATGGATGCTCCAGTCCGTTATCTAAAGTGGTGTAGTATTTACATGGAAACTATGCACATCATCCCATATACTTTAAATCATCTCTTGATTACTTAATACTAATACAATGGAAATGTGATGTAAATCACTGTTATACTATATTTTAAAATGTGTATTATTTTTTATTGTTGTATTGTTATGTTTTGTTATTTTTTTTTAATATCTCCAATCCACAGTTGGCTGAATCCACAGACATGGCACTTATAGATATGGAGGGCCAATTGTATCATTTAGCACTATACTAAGTGGAAGAAGGCAACCTGAAAAGGCAACACAGTGTATGATTCCAACCATATGACATTCTGGAAAAGGTAAAACTATGGAGACAGTAAAAAGATCATCAAATAGTAGATGAGGTATCTAAAAAAAATGAACCAACAAACAAAATACAAAGGTCAGTGGTTGCCAGGGGTTGGTGTGGGAGACAGATGGAGAAGCACAGGGAAATTTCGGGGCAGTGAAACTATTCTGTATGATACTATAATGATACCCGTCATTACAGGTTTGTCTAAAACAACACAAAATACAATACTAAGAGTGAACCCTAGTCTAAACTAGAGTCTTTGGGCGATTATGATGTACCAACGTAGGTTCTTCGATTGTAACAAACGTACCACTCTGGTGAAGAACTGCTGATAATGGGGGAGGCTGTGCATATGTGGAGGCATAGGGCATATGGGAAATATCTATTCCTTCCTCTCAATTTTGCTGTGAACCTAAAACCACTCTTAAAAAGTCTTTTAGAAGAAAAAGAGTAATTCAGCTATAGAAGGCTCCTCCAGCATGATGTGATAATTAAAATTGTCATGACTGCCTTAAGAAAAAGTAACTTGCTTACCCAGATGGAACTTTTCTTGATGCTTTAACCGAGCAAACCGTGATTTAAAATGTTCTTCACAATAGGTACACTTAAAAGGTTTATCTTGAGAATGTAGAATCATATGTTCCTCCAAGTGTGGTCTTCGAGTAAAAGATTTCTTACAAATCTAAATTAAAATGCAAACAAAATGTTAAGAGAACCTGAATTAAAAATTGTAATATTAAGCTTGTAATGAGAAGAAAACCATATAAATTCAATAAAGAGACTTTTCTCCCAACAGAAAACTTACAAAAAGTAAAATTCAATTCTAATTGTGCAGAAAAAAATGCTCTAGAGGAAGTAAGGAATGATTTTAAATTAGTACTAAAGGTAGCTGAATTTCAACTCTTTACATTTCTAGTAGGGATACAGAATAATCATACTATCTTAATTCTAGTCAGAATTTCTAAATCCATGAAATATATTGTTTTTTAGTCACTTATGTCAGGAATAAAAGGTTTTTTCAGTGTTGCCATATATTTGAATAAGAATCTGAATAAGAAGTCACAGAAAAATTATTTTAAAGTGTATCTCTTGAAGTGGTCAGTCTAAAAATTTGACATTCATCAGGTTTTTAAAAAGAGGTAGGCTGCTATAGTAACAGCACCAACAATAATGACATAGCACATATTATATATACCAGGCACAACGCTAAGTAATTCATGGATTATTTTTCTTGATTCTCACAATAATTCTGTGAGATAGATGCAACTGGCATTATTAACATTTTATAGCCAAGGATGATGAAACTTGGTAAGGGGAAGACACTATCTTATGCAGACTAAAATACTGTAATAAATAATTAACTTCAATTTCTAGAAGCTGAAATCAGAGAAATTGTGAGAAATTTGCTGTATATATAAATTGAATCTTGGATTAAAGAAGGCAAAAATAACAGCTAGGGATGCCTTAAAAAAGATTAACCTAGGCTGGGCACAGCAGCTCACCCCTGTAATCCCGGGAAGCACTTTGGGAGGCCGAGACGGGTAGATCACCTGGGGTCAGAACTTCAAGATCGGCCTGGCCAACATAGTGAAACCCCATCACTACTAAAAATACAAAAATTAGTTGGGCGTGGTAGTGTGCACCTGTAGTCCCAGCTACTCGGGAGGCTGAGGCACAAGAATCACTTGAACCCAGGAGGAGGAGGTTGCAGCGAGCCAAGATCACACCACTGCACTCCAGCCTGGGTGACAAAGCGAGACTCCGTCTCAAAAAAAAAAAAAAATTAATGTAAATACTGAAAAAATAATTAGAGGTACTGTAGAATAAAGATGTCCATAAATACGATGGTACTCCTCCTGTTAAAAAATGGAATCTAATTCCCTTCTCTTTAAATCTACCCAGGTTGGAGTGATTTGTTTGGCCAACAAAATGTAGTAGAAGTGATTTTCAGAGACTTCTGAGACTATGCCATAAAGTCTAATAGTTTTTATCTAGGTTTCTTGGAACACATACTCACTCTTGGAACTTAGTTGCTATGCTAGAAAGAAGCTCAAGAAGCCTCAAAAAAAGACCGAAGTAGAGAAGAACTAAGGTTCCTGGTAAACAGTCCTTGCTGAGATTCTCGCCAAGAACAAACACCAAGTGACCTGTCACGTGGGTGGGCCACTTTGTTTTTTTTGAGATGGAGTCTGGCTCTGTCGCCCAGGCTGGAGTGCAGTGGTGTCATCTTGGCTCACTGCAACCTCTGCCTCCCGAGTTCAAGTGATTCTCTTGCCTCAGTCTCCAGAGCAACTGGGATTACAGGCATGTGCCACCATGCCCAGCTAATTTTTTTTTATTTTTAGTAGAGATGGGGTTTTGCCATGTTGGCCAGATTGGTCTCGAACTCCTGACCTCAGGTGATCCACTCGCCTAGGCCTCCCAAAGTGCTAAGATTACAGGCATGAACCACCATACTCGGCCTTGAGTGAGCCACTCTGGAAGTGTTCCCAGACCAGACCAGACCATGCACTAGTTGAAAACAGCTGAGTGACTTCAGCTGACAACAAGCAGAACAGAAGAATTAACCTAGCAAATCCCTGCCCCAAATTTGGATTCCTAACACACAAAAGGGTGAGACATATCAAAATAGTTATTTAAGGCCACTAAGTTTTGATATAGTTTATTATGTTAACACCACATACCCAGAAATGGGGGAGAAAGTCTAACATTTTATACTCTGTGCAACAGTAATGTCACAGTTTATATACATAACCATAAATACATGGTATGGTGATTACAATGAAAATAAAAACTAGGATTTCCACTGTTTAGGTCCATCATCTAAAAACTAACCTATACCAGGCTTAATTTACAAAATATATTAGAATAATTTTATATAAAAGGAAAATTCTAAAAGTGAGATAAGCTAAGTCACATTACTTTAAAACCTAATTACTTTACTTCCCCAAAAGACGTTGCATTTACTTTGGTTTTCTAATTTGTTTTAATTAAAAACTCTTACATCACATTTCCAACTTTCACTCTTAGTCTTCTTAATGGAAATAAATTCTTGTGCATTTTCAGGATGAAATCTATCAGAGGAAAAGAAAAAGATTATTAGGAAAAGGTTATATTAGTTAAATCAATATTCCATGTGAATATGTTGACAGTAATTACCAGGATCAAGTACTGATTCCTTTCATAATGAGACAAGTAGGCATAGATGAGCTCTTTAAGAAGGTATCATTATCATTTTAAACACATTCAGGAACCTAGCTCTTTATAGATAAACTGAAAGGTAATATACCTGATTTTTTTTAGTCCAGATTTCAGTAAATTTAATTTTTAGAGTTAAATATATAATACTCTATTAAATATTATTTATCTCACAAACTGTTACACATTAAAGACAATGTTGAGTATAAGAATAAATTTCTTGACCGGGCGTGGTGGCTCACACCTGTAATCCCAGCACTTTGGGAGGTCAAGGCGGGCAGATCACTTGAGCCTAGGAGTTTGAGACCAGCCTGGGCAATATAGTGAAACCCAGTCTCTACAAAAAATACAAAAATTAGCTGGGCATGGTGCACGCCTGTAGTTCCAGCTACTCAGGAGGCTGAAATGGGAGGATTGATTGAACCCAGGAGTTAGAGGTTGCAGTGAGCTGAGATTGTACCACTGCCCTCCAGCCTGGGCGACACAGTGAAGCCCTACTTCAAAAAAAAAAAAAAAAAAAAAAGAGAAAGAAACTTATCAGAGTATAAAAACCACATATTTCTGAAGACAGACTTGCCAAAACCCAAGAAAGAAAACAGGATAATCAAAATACTGTATCTCAATGAATCTCCAATGAAAGAATTGGAGATAAGCACTTTATAGATGTTTTTAGCTTTCCACATATTTAAATTAAAAGGCACAATAAAGTATATTATGGAAGCAAGATAATACTTGCCTCTTAACATGCTTGGCTAAAGTCTTCTTGCTTGCATGAAGTTTATTACAATAAGGGCACTTGTGCTCCTTCTTATGAAATTCTGTTTCATTACTGTGCTTCTTTCTGTGAACAGTTAGGTTAGACTTTGTTGAATAGCGCTGGTGACAAATATCACACTCAAAGGGCTTCTCACCTGTGTGAACACGGGTGTGGCTCTCATATTTTCCTATAAAAAAAGAAAAATTAAAATTAAATTTAGTACATTTGCTATACTGTGATTGGAATTTGAGAGTGGAATAAAACCTCATGATTTAGCAAACTTATATACACATCCAAATCCACACACAAAACTAGAAAAAAGTTTACGTAAATTTCTACCTCTGATAAACCTAATGACTTACTATTTTGTGCTTCCTGTTCAAAGTGTACTTTTCCTCAAAAACTTGAGTCATTAAAAAAAAATATTCATGATCACACATTTTAAAAATTAAGAGGTTTGATACATTTTCTGAAAACTGTTGGAAAATTCTCTGAAACTTAAATTTTTAAATGTATTTTTAAACTTAAAATTAACTTTTAGCAAAAGATCAATTCATCATTTAAGATTTATTATGTTCATATTTTTGGTATCTCTGTGGGTCCATACACCTGGATATGGATACTGGCTCTCTAAATAGAGGGTTACGTGACCTTGGACAAGTAACCTCTATATGCCTCAAATCTTCCTCATCTGAAAAACTGCGGTAATAACAGAATTTACCTAATAGAACTGTTGTAATAATAAACAAATTCATACACATAATGCACTTACAACAGTGTCGAACACATAAGTTATCAATTACTGTTGTCTATTATTATTACTGGGTAATCTGTGTACTGTGAATATGCACATCTAGTAATTTGAATTAGAAATTTTGAAATATATTTCCAAGCAAAAGGCAATAAAAATAGGAAAATAAATCAACATGAAAGGTAACTCTTAATTAAAAACTTAGCTTTGCTCTCTCCTGAAAAATAAATGTATAAATAAATTTTTCTTCAGGTGAAAACTAATGTGAAAGTATAGCATTTCAGTCATATACTTTAAAAAGGATACATCCTATGTATAACATGAAAATTATGAAAAATCCAAAATATTCCAAGGCCACTGAGGAAAGATATAATCATAATTATGTGTCTACCCAATAAAATAAAATAAATTCAATAATTTAGTAAATATATATACAACTGATTTTATTAAGCAAGTAATATCATATTTTCTAAAAATAATAAAAAAACTGAGGAAAGGAAACCAATGTATTTCCTTAAGGTAAGGGAAGAATGTTAATCACAAGCAAAGAAAACAGAAGTACAATGAAAAATTAGGTATTTAGGTGTAGAACATAGTAATGGTATATGCATATCTGATATGCATATAGTCAGAAAACTCAGTCAATATTTAGGCATCTCCTAAATTAGTTGCGCGATTTTAATCAAGCTAATAATTTAACCTCTCTTTACTTGCGTTAGTAACACTTCATGGGGTTGTGACAAGTAAATACGTTAACAAATACACACAACAACACTTAAAACATCCTGGCACAGCCAGGCACGGTGGCTCATGCCTGTAATCTCAGCACTTTGGGAGGCCAAGGTGGGTGAACACTTGAGGTCATGAGTTTGAGACCAGCCTGGCCAGCATGGCAAAACCCCAACTCTACAAAAAAACAAACAAAAAAAAAACCAAAAAAACAAAAAAACCCAGCACATAGTAAGCACTAATAAATATTAACTGTCATCATTATTATCATACGGGTTACTAGTCATAATATGGACATGTAGGTATACCTCAAATATAAACATGGATACATCTGATTTATGAATATCTGTTATAACAAATCAAACTAGGGTTTCAGCTCTCTGATAACATTGGATACACTTGGCTCTTTCCCCTTGCCACTGCTAAAATTGCTTAGTATCTCAGTTCCCTCTCTGCTACTGCTAGAGTATACTCAACCATTTACACATACATGTACACATCCTACCACCACCACCTCCCCCGCTGTGTTCAAGGAATCAGACCAAATACTGGGAAAAGACAGAGGTCACTATATGGGTTTTTAAGTATTCCCTTATTGTGAAAGTTTTCACATTTCATTTTTAACTCACCTTTTAAATTATGTAAATAATCATACTGATATTTAAAAAACTGTAAAATCAAAAGTATACAGTCTGATTTTTTAATAACTAAACTTGTGATTTTTGGAACAGGTCCATTTTTAACTGGGGATTGACTGTGCATGTTTAGCACAGATTCTCAAGATTGAGAGACAACTTATCAACCTCCTAATGCTTAAATCTTCTCATCTTTCTTTCTTTTTTTTTTGAGACGGAGTTTTGCTCTTGTCCAGGCTGGAGTGCACTGGCGCGATCTCGGCTCACTGCAACCTCTGCCTCCCGGGTTCAAGCGATTCTCCTGACTCAGCCTCCTGAGTAGCAGGGATTGCAGGCACATGCTATACGCCCAGCTAATTTTTTGTATTTTTAGTAGACACGGGTTTCATCATATTGGTCAGGCTGGTCTCGAACTCCTGACCTCAGGTGATCCGTCCACCTCGGCCTCCCAAAGTGCTGGGATTACAGGCAGGAGCCACTGCGCCTGGACCTCATTTTTATTTCTAACAAAAGTAGCAGCATAATAAAAATCTTAAAGTATGAAAAATTTTTCAACAAATCATTTACTTGCTATGAAAATGTCTTTGCTGAAAAGATGTTAAATTAATAATTAGCAGCATTCTCCCTCTATTTAAAATTGAGAATTTCTTCTATGCATGCAAATAAAAATTAAGTTACTTATAGCTAAATACTGAAGTCATTGAAATGGCAGTTATATTAAAAATTAAAATCACTTTGACTAGTAAGCTTCCATTTCCCTACAGACCAGGAGAGATAAAGATTTAAGCAAGAAAAAAAAAAAAAAAGAAGAAGAAGAAGGAAGTTTGGGAATTTAAACTGAAATAGCCAAATTTAGAAAAATCTCATGATTTTTTTAAAAACCATTTTAAATAAATTCAGCCAAATCAAGCAGACCAATGATAATACAGAAATTTGAGTAAGTAAAATAATTTTTTAGTTATTAATTCAAATTTTATGCACTTAGGCTTTGCATGGCCTGTTATCACCATGGATTTGAATTTCTGAACAAGAACAGGAGAGACAACTTTTGACGGAATGCTGGACCCAGAAGAGCTAGGTAGATCTCTACAGACTAGTGGGAAAATATATGTTAATCTTCGATTTTCATGTTTAAATCATTTGGTAGGGTTTTTTCTTTGTTTTTGTTTTGTTTCGTTTTGTTTTTTGCCAGGGGGAGGGCACTCCTCAGCACAAACAGTAAACATCTACAACTGTTTCTCTACTTTCATGGAGTGGGGCATTCAATAATAATGTATAAATCAAAATGTTCACTTAAAACTTATCAAAGTTTCAATTTCAAAAACAGTATTCCTTCACAGAATATTAAACTACACCCAAGCATTCCTGATCCTGAACAGAAAATACATAACATTTTATAACATAAGAAATTTTATCCACAGCATTTTTCTGAACTGAATCCCAATATGAATCATGTCTCAAATCAGAAGTCATAAATTAAAGATATTTTCACATGAACAAATTTGACCTTATACAGAGTTTACTCCCACATGGGTCATATAAAATTACCAATGTTAGATTTTGTATGCAGTTTTTACAAAGAGAAATATCACCAGATGAGTTCATTATATATCTGATATTGCTACATCTTAAAATGTACCTTGAAATATTCATATGAGTTAGTCTAAAGAATATGTAATTAAAATACTTAGCCTTAGAGAGTTGTGCCATTGTTATAACCCTTTTCTATTAAGAACTAAGTGGAATATCTGCACGATGGACTAGTCACATTTTTTTTTAAAGGTATAAAACATGTTCTACCTCTAGAAGAGATTGTGAATTTAATCTAATGAAAGATTTTAGTTCTCTGTGGAAACAATAAAAAAGATGAATTATCCAAATTTTCTCTCTCACCCCATCTGTCATCTCCCTATTTTTGCCTGTTTATCCACTAGGTTTTTGGTATAAGGGGAAAGGTCAAAGGACTCTTATTTGCATGATAATTTGCTGAGAGGAAGACAGCCGGTAGCCTAAGGAAAAATATAACTGGAAGAAAGGATAAAAGATGCAAAGTAATGGAATCAAATTAGTAGATTACTTATTGTGGAACTAATGGTTCCAGCAGAAGGTCTCAAAGCTTATGCATCTCTCATAAACCCACCCCAAAGAAGCCAAGTTAGAAGCTTAAAGAAGGCTAATTGGCTTCTTACAAGCCCAAAGTCAAGCCAGATACCAACTTTTCAACTTAGCTCAAATAAACAAGTGCTTACTAAAAATTTATTTGAAATGACCTGAGATGTTACAAAGAATACTAGCCAAGAGTAAGATACGTAACCTCCAGGCTCACAATCTAAGACAGATAAATACCCCAAAATCTGGGTGGCATTTTAAAATTCTACGAAAGGAATGTGGATGATATGAGAATAATGGGAAGGTGGCGCTCGAACTCCTGTGTTGTTATTTTTTTAAATAAACTGTACTTCTAATAATAAAGATGGTAAGAGAGGACACTTAAGACACATGGATCTTCTGCTACATATTCTTTTCATTCTACTCATCACCAGTCTACTTAGTCTACATTCAATGTATCATAACTCTCTGCTTTACTCTCATTCTACATCCCACTCCCAACGCCACTCATCTTCCAAGTCTAAGCTACATTATCATTCTGGTCCTTTGTTATATGCTCCTTCTTGTCTCCCTGGCTCTTTTTTCATCCCTTTTTCCAATTTCCTTCTCCACACTGAAGCCACCATGATCTTTCTAAAATTCTTACAGGCCATGGTTTCCTTTGTAAAATTCTTTTCAACAGTCCCTATCACCTACTGAATAAAGTCTAGTCTAGTTAAATTAGATTGTCCAAAGTATACACCTCTGTAGAACATACAAGACATACAAAATCTGACCACCACTTTCTTGCCCACCTTCATCTCCTGTTATTTTCACTATGCCTCCCTGACCACCTTGAAACCACTCACACTTGAGCAATTTCCAGAATACAACATACCTCAATGCCTTTGCACATGCTGGTCCTTCTGTCTTGTAAACTGTTCCCTATTCTTTGAGTCTCAGCTCAAATACTATCTGCTCTGAGACACTTCTCCTGATTTCCTTAGTCTTCTATACTTATCCTGATAAAATTATCTTTATTGTAACATGATTGTGTTTTTTCATGTACCCATTAAACTCTAAGGTTCTTGATGACAGAGAATATATCATTTCATATTTGTTTAATAATGTTTGGCAGCTTAGAGACAATAAATATGCTAGAACACCTACATTTTGTGCAATATTTTAAGTGATTCCCTAGAATTACCCCATTTAATCCTCATAATAACCTTTCCCTACCCCATGAGAAGGTACTATTAGCATCACATTAGCATCATCTCACTTTACTTATGAGGAAACAAAAACACAGACAGGTTAAGTAACTCACCCAAGAACAGGATTCCAAAAAAACCAAGCAGTCTTATATTACTATAACTCAGGCTTTTTAACTAGCGATATATGAATAAGATATAGATAGATATAGATATAGATACACTAAGGTAATAGAGATGAGAAACTACTGGTGAAAAGCAAGCAGCAGGGCTAAACAAAAAAGAGGAATGGGTAGAAGAGTGACATAATGTAAAATACATTCAGAAAGGTCAGTCAGAAATAAACCTACAATGTGACCTACTGATTCCCACAATTATCTGGGCTGAACTTGGAAAAAAAGGAAGGGGAAGGGGACAGGAGGGAGAGAGGGAGGGAAGGAGGGAGGGAGGGAGGGAGCGAGGGAGGGAGGAAGGAAGGAAGGAAGGAGCAAAATGTCCTCCTCTTAGTAAATCAGCACCTCAATCTTGAGCAGTATTTTCCCAAATTGTGCAGAAAACTCTAGTTTCCTAGGATGCTCAAAGAAGTACCTCCAAAGTATCTTGCGGTAAAATGATTTAAGGAAATACTGGGTTAAGCAAAATCAACAGGTTTCTTTACTAAAGAATTGGGCAGTTAAAACCGATTGTGAATTACGTAGTTCCCAATCTTACTTGAACACAGAAGCCTTCTCTTACATAGCATGTCACGGGACTAATGTTCAGTGGGACAGTTTGAGATATTTGTGTTGCACCTACAATACCATTTGTGAACTCATCCCTATTCACTCATCTCCAAGTCAAATTAAGACAATTAAGGCAGAATACAGGAAGCATGCACTAAGAGTACAAAGTCTAAGAAGTCTATTGGAAAGATGCAATGTTCTCAGGTACTTCAACCCAAAAGCTGTTCTCACCTCTATACATATCTTCACAGTATTTGTTTACAGTTCTACAACAGCATTTTATCCAGTCTAACTTTAACAACTTACTTGTATACATATGCTCTTGGAATTGTTACTGAAGAAGTTATTTTATTCATGTTTACACACAGCCTCAGTTAAAATATTAATAATTATTAAATTAGATTGTCCAAAGTATTCTGATTCAGAGAGAAAATTATTCCAAAAAACATTATAAAAAGCAAAAAGCAGATACCACTGTTATGTCAGCGTATAATGCAACATCTTTTTACAGCAAATGATCACCAATTCCTTAAAAAACCAATTTCCGCCTATATCAATAACATAAGTAAGTTAACACTGTAAGACATATGGGGATATATTAAACTGGGTAAGTAATTTCTACCAGGTCAGATTGCAGTAATTTTTTTTTATCATTATATGTGGTAGAATATATTTCACAATTTCATAACTTCAATTTACCTGGAAGCTTAATTGTTGCAACTGAAAAGTTTACATTAGAACAGTTCATCTCAGACACTTCCAAGAATTATCTTACCTAGCAAATATTAGACAACTTGAAATTAAACATGTACTGACATAAAACTTAAAGTGATAGACTACATTTCCTCAAATTCTTTTCTAAAAGAAAAAAAGTTGATGTATTCATTATTATAACAACCAAAGCTTCTTGGCCTTTTGGCTAAAGTCACATGTATAATATAACCAGAGTGCTACTAACTAGGATACTACCTAAAGTCTCTATCTACAGTATTAAATTACATTCATTTCAATTTTATCCTTCACCATAGTTTAATATAAAACATCCCCTTTCTATTAAATAGTGCTAGATACTGGAAAAGTGACAACATTTATAACTCATATATTACCATGCACGGGGAAAACAGTATACACATTATTAAATCTAATATAATCCACTTTTTTAATGAGTTAAAAATAGTATTTATCACTGGAATTAAACCGGCATATAAATCAAAGCTCTACATGATAATTATTGACACTCTGGAGTCTTTCATAGCAAATACATGATCTAATGATGTGTCACTGGGAGATGAAGAAAAGTAAAGGCTAATATAAATACTTAAATTAATTCCTGAATCACAACAACTTTAAAGTAACAGGATAAACACTATTGAAAACCAAGGTATTCTCCCTACTTAAACAGTCTTTTTAGAAGTTACTTTCCAAGTTTAGTTTTTATTTATCACCTTTAAAATATCCAAGAAAAGTAAGTGATTAGAGATAGAAAACCAGTTTTCTTTTCTTACCTATTCGGTCAAATGTTTTATCACATTTAGGACACTGCAATATTTTTTTGTTGCTGTTCTGAATGACCACTGGAGTTAACCCCTCATGAACATTTCCTACAGAATCACCAGCCTCAGGTTCTTCTTCTGCATCATTATGATCCTTTTCACTTTGTTCTTCAATGTCAGAGTACTCATCTGACATCTCCTCCTCTAGCTCATCTTCTTCAGCATTATATTCACTTCCAGGGTCCTCAGAATCATTTCTATCTGACTTTTCCTTATCAAAATTTTCTTGATTCAAATTGTCTGACCCATCACCACTTTCCTGTTCATCATCGCTGGTGTCATCAAACTTAACAGGGCACTTCCGATTCCTTTTTGATCTTCTTGCGGAGAAACTTCTCTCCAGCATTTTTAACCCATGTTTTTTCCCTAATAAAAGGGACCTATGGGTTTTAGCCAAATGATTCTCTAAAGACTTTTTATAACAAAAATGTCTACTACAGAATTTGCACTGATGATTATTTGATAGTCTTCCAGTTAATTCATTTAGTGTTTCTTCTGGTGATGACTTTTCAGTTAGCTCTGAATGAAAAGGGGCAACATTTTCGTTATTTAACAACTTCACTGCATCTATAATGTCCAAAAATTTTGCAGCCTCTAAAACAAGAGGTATTTCATATTTGTACACAAAAAATTCTGATGTGTAAAGAAATTCAAGCAAATGCTGAAAAACTGAATGTGTTACGTGATCCAGGGTGACAACATCAGTGCTTGGATTTTTGCTCAAACACGCATGAAAATAACTACTGCCGACAGCAACGACTACTTTATGTGCACTAAATTCTTTTCCTTCCACTATGATAAGTAAATCACAAAAAGATGGTTGCTTCTGCCTATCATCATTTAAATATTTTAGCAAATTCTTATTATACTGCAAAGAACTTAAAAGCTTTCTCTGATCTGGAGAGGGAGGAAGTTCCTGGTAACAGTGAAGAGCTTCAGGAGTTGGTCTTCCTGCAGAATGAGTATAGGTCACTTGGTCACACTCCACTGCAACATTTCCTTCTGAAGAATCTTTATGATAGCCTAGATGGATCTTCTCAAGATTTGAAGTAACCTTTCTCCTCTTCTTCATTGCAGTACAGCAATTTCAGAACAAGAAACTTCATAAGTGTCTTAAGTGATTTATAAAGGAAAACTAGATTGTCTTGGATAACAGCTTCTGAAGGGGCGTGCCCAAGGGTTTCATGGTCTGCAAAAGAGTGAGAACCACGTAAAATAACTCCATGGCAAAGCAATGCTAAATCAGCCAACGGCAATCATCAACGAATTCTTTCTAATTATAACTGAATGATGATAAAATCACAGCTTACACTCATTCGTGGCAAAGATTTTGGGGCGGAGAACAAGGAGGGCCGGGTTTAGAAAAGGCAGCCAACAAAAGAATAATTTTAAAGGAACCCAGGCACACCTTCCAGGCCTGATTCACGAACAGGGTGAAAATACCCGGGCAGAAAGGGGAGAGATCTTCCAAGATCGTTGACGGTGCGGGTTGAGGAGGCTGAAGTCGTGGTTTAGGGGTGCTGGGATGGTGACAATAAGGCCGTGGCGGCCGCGAGATCCGAGTCTCTCCATTAACATGCTTTCCTCGGGCGGGCAAGGCACAGCTCTTCAGGAATAGAGAGCGTCCCTCAGCCAAAGCCACCCGGTGAGAGACGGCCCCAGGAGGGGCGCAGAGCAGAAGTGGGGTCAACCAGAGGGACGACTAAAGGAAGCAGAAGAGCTTTCCCAGGCCCGGGCAAGGCGGAGAATGCGCTTGTAGTCGGCGATCCCGCTACCCTTCCCACCCAGTTTCCCTGGGAAAACGCCCCACAGATCCATTACCGGGAACCCAAGGCTCCCCCGCTGGCTCCCAGCAGCTGAGCTCCACTCTGGGCGCGCTCGCTCCTGCGCCTACCCACTTCCGGGTTCAGCCCCCCACCTCACCACCCCCTCCCCTCCCTCCGCTCCTTCCCCTCCCAGAGCTCCGCCGCCTCCGCAGCCAACGAACACGTCAACCGCTCGCGCAGCCTCCAAGCCCTCCTGAGAGAGACCGGCGCGCGACCCTGCGCGAACGAGTGCGCATGTGCGCGCACGCCGCTTTACGCATGCTCCTTAAGTTCCCCGTACTCCCTCGGAGACCCTAGCTACACGCCGAATCCGTTACTCCGGGTTTTCGCAGTGGCTCGGTGGCCTACCCCGATCGAAACCGTGAGGCTTTTGCTGAGGGAGGGCAATGGGAGAGGGGAGGATGGACGCAGAGTTTAGAAGTAGTTTGCCGAGGTGCAGTCGCACGAATGGATTTCATCCTCACTGGTGTATTTAATAGTTTGTAATCTACCAAACAGCAACTGCCAGAAGCCAGTCCCAGCTAACCTACTGGCGTGCACGAAAGAACCCAGCGATGCTGATCTCGTTTCGTTATTTTTCTGACTTAAACGGTTAAATCTAAACGCGATTACTAAGAAAAAAAATTTTATACCTATCATTGTACACAGAAAAAAAATAGAAAAATGTTTATATAAGCGTAAAGCTGGTAGGACAGGAAAGGAAGCCGAAACAAAAAGTAAAGAAAAATCCACAAGGACAACTTTTGGAGCTAGTGCCTGAGATTTTGGATTTCTGAGTCCCAGGAGGTGCTGATATCATTTATCTGCGGACTCGTATTATGAAGCGCAAGGTCCTAGAGCGTGTGATTTTACAGGCATAAGGAATATAAGATGAAGGCTGAGACAAAATAGGATGGGTGGCCTAATTTTCTTCCCCCACCCTCTCGTCCCTCCCATACACATACAACCTGACAACTAAAAGGGCCGCACTCCATGGAAGAACTCCTGCAGAGTTGGACTCCCCACCGGCAAACAGGAGGAGGCTATGAAGAAACTTGCCTGTCTCCGATTTTCTTGGGAATTGAAAAAATAAAATTTTTAAGCCTTTCATGAAAATTCCTAGCAAAAACTCACATTCACATGGATTTGCACAAAGATTCATATCACCTGTGAGACTCATCCCACAAAAACTAGCCACACTGAAAAGAGAGAAAAATGTAAAACCAAGATAGAAAAAGGATGGTAGTCTGCAGATATTGCAATTATCAGAAACAAGTATATTTAAAGAAATGAAGGGAAATGAAAAAATTATCAAAAATAACTAAGCAGATTAAAAGAATAATTTAGAAGTGAAAGCTATCATTATCTTAGTACTTAGAACGTTGATGGAAATGTGTTTTTATTAAAACAGAAGGGCTGATCCAAGATAGAAAAATATAAATCCAAAGAAATAGAAAAAATTCTGATAAGAGCAAATAATGAAATAGTGAAATATACAATAAAGAGAACCAATAGACCAAAAATTTGGGTGTTGGGATATGTAAAAGGTTTAGAAACTTTTGGAAAGATTTGATATTGCCAGTTTTACCCAACTCTTCAAAAAATTTAAAATGGGTGGCAGGGGCAGGTCACATCTCATGAGACAAGCATAATGATTATACCCAAACTTGAAAATACGTTGCAGGAAATGAACATTATAGGTCAAACTCATAAAATTAGGTGCAAAAATCGTAGACCTACAAGTGATGTCTTTGTGGTGTGTGTGTGTGTGTGTGTCTGTGTGTGTGTGTGTGACGGAGAGAGAGAGAGATACAACTGAATTGGATTTAATAAAGGAATGAAAGATTTAGTTAGCATTTAAAAATAAACGTGTAATTCTTCGTATTAACAGAATGAAAGATGAAAACCATTGATCATCTCAATAGATGCAGAAAAATATTTGATAAATTTAACACATGATTTTTTAAAAATCTCAAGCAAGGATTAGAAAATGGCTTAATATAAATAGAAGCTACTGAAAAATTTTTAAATGGAGCAAATATCACACTTAATGAAAGATTGAAAACTTCCACGGAATTTGAGAATAAACCAAGTATGCTTTCTATCATTACTTGACTTTTTTTTTCTTTTTTTGAGACAGTCTCGCTCTGTCACCCAGGCTGGAGTGCAGTGGTGCTATCTTGGCTCACTGCAACCTCCGCTTCCCGGGTTTAAGCAATTCTCCTGCCTCAGCCTCAGCCTCCCGAGTAGTGTGACTACAGGCGCATGCTACCACACCGGGCTAATTTTTGTATTTTTAGTAGAGAGGGGCTTTCATTATGTTGGCCAGGCTGGTCTTGAACTCCTGACCTCAGGTGATCCACCCGCCTTGGCCTCCCAAAGAGCTGGGATTATAGGTGTGAGCCATGGCGACTGGCCTACTTGACATTTTAATAGAGGCCTTACCTAGGAGAAATAAGCATAAGTAAGAAATAGAATGTATAAGTTTTGGAAAGGAAGACTAAAATTAATCATTATATGTTTTAAGTATGTTGGTGCCATATTTAGATATTTAGAAAAAATGGTTTTAAATCCTATGGATTAATTACTTTTGACTTTTTAATTTCAATATGTTTAGGGGAACAGGTGGTATTTGGTTACGTGAATAAGTTCTTTAGTGGTGATTTCTGAGATTTTGGTGCACCCATCATCCAAGTAGTACACACTATACCTAATGTGTAGCCTTTTATCCCTCACCCCCCTCCCACCCTTTCCCTGAATCCCCAGAGTCCATTGTATTATTCTTATGCCTTTGCATCCTCATAGTTTAGCTCCCACTTATGAGTGAGAACATATGATATTTGGTTTTCCATTCCTGAGTTACTTCACTTAGAATAATAGTCTCCAATCCATGTTGCTGTGAATGCCATTATTTTGTTCCTTTTTATAGCTGAGTAGTAATCCATAATATATATGTATACTACAATTTCTTTATCTGCTCATTGATTGATGGGCACTTGGGCTGGTTCCATATTTTTGCAATTGCAAATTGTGCTGCTACAAGCCTGCGTGTGCAAATATATTTTTCGTATAATGACTTCTTTTCCTCTGGGTAGATCCCCAGGAGTGGGATTGCTGGATTAACTGGTAGTTCTTTAAGGAATCTCCTCCGCTTTTCCATAGCGGTTGTACTAGTTCACATTCCCACCAGTAGTGTAAAAGTGTTCCCTTTTCACCATGTCCCAGCCAACATCTATTATTTTTTGATTTTTTTATTATGGCCATTCTTGCAGGATTAAGGTGGTATCACATTGTGCTTTTGATTTTTATTTCCCTGATCATTAGTGATGTTGAGCATTTTTTCATATGTTTGTTGGCCATTTGTATATCTTCTTTTGAGGATTATCTATTCATGTCTGTAGCCCACTTTTTGATGGAATTTTTTTTCTTACCAATTTGTTTGAGTTCCTTGTAGATTCTGGATATTAGTCCTTCATCAGATGTAGAGATTTCGAAGATTTTCTCCCACTCTGCGGGTTGTCTGTATACTCTGCTGATTGTTTCTTTTGCTGTGCAGAAAATTGTAGTTTAATTAAACCCCATCTATTTATCTTTGTTTTTGTTGCATTTGCTTTTGGGTTCTTGGTCATGAAGTCTTTGCCTAAGCCAATGTCTATAAGAGTTTTTCCAATGTTATCTTCTAGAATTTTTATGGTTTCACGTCTTAGATTTAAGTCTTTGATCCATCTTGAGTTAATTTTTTTATAAGGTGAGAGATGAGGATCACCTCCTTGGTTAGGTGTATTCCTAAGAATTTTATTTTATTTTTTTGCAGCTATTGTAAAAGGGTTTGAGTTACTGATTTGATTCTCAGCTTGGACGCTGTTGGTGTATAGCAAAGCTACTGATTTGTGTACATTAATTTTATATCCTAAAACTTTGCTTAATTCATTTATCAATTCTAGGAGCTTTTTGGAGTAATGTGTAGGGTTTTCTAGGTATCATATCATCAGCAAGCAGCAACAGTTTGACTTCTTCACTGATTTGGATGTCCTTTATTTCTCGTCTGATTGTTCTGGCTCAGACTTCCAGTACTGTGTTGAATAGAAGTGGTGAGAGTGGGCATCGTTATTTTGTTCCAGTTCTCAGGGGGAATGCTTTCAACTTTTCCCCATTCAATATAATGTTGGCTGTGAATTTGTCATAGACAGCTTTTATTATGTTAAGGTATGTCCCTTCTATGCCGATTTTGCTGAAGGTTTCAATCATAAAGGGATGCTGGATTTTGTAAAATGCATTTTCTGTGTCTATTAAGATGATCATGTGACTTTTGTTTTGAATTCTGTTTATGTGGTGTATCACATTTATTGACTTGCGTATGTTAAACCATCCCTGCATCTCTGGTATGAAACCCATTGGATCATGGTGGATTATCTTTTCCATATGCTGTTGGATTTGGTTAACTAGTATTTTGTTGAGGATTTTTGCATCTGTTTTCATCAGGGATATTGATCTGTAGTGTTCTTTTTCTGTTATATCCTTTCCTGGTTTTGGTATTAGGGTGATACTGGCTTCATAGAATTATTTAGGGAGGATTCCCTCTTTCTCTGTCTTGTGGAATAATGTCAATAGGATTGGTACCAATTTCTCATTCAATGTCTGATAGAATTCAGCTGCGAATCCATCTGGTCCTGGACTTTTTTTTTTTTTTTGTAGGCAGTTTTTAAATTACCGTTTCAATTTCACTACTTGTTATTGGTCCCTTCAGAGTTTCTAATTCTTCCTGGTTTTAACTGGGAGGGTTGTACATTTCCAGGTATTTATCCATCTCCTCTAGGTTTTCTAGTTTATGCACATAAAGATGTACACAGTAGCCTTCAATGATCTTTTGTATTTCTGTGGTATCAGCTGTAATATCTCCCATTTCATTTCTAATTGTGCTTAATTTGATCTTCTCCTTTTTCTTGTTTAACCTCCTCACTAGTGGTCTATCAATTTTATTCATCTTTTCAAAGAACCAGCTTTTTGTTTTATTTATCTTTTGTATTTTTTTGTTTCAATATCATTTAGTTCTGCTCTGATCTTTGTTACTTCTTTTCTTCTGCTGGGTTTAGGTTTGGTTTGTTCTTGTTTCTTTAGTTCCTTGAGATGTGACCATAGATTGTCTATTTGTGCTCTTTCAGACTTTTTGATGTAGGCATTTAAGGCTATGAACTTTCCTTTTAGCACTGCTTTTGCTGTATCCCAGAGGTTTTGATAGGTTGTGTCACTGTTATTGTTCAGTTCAGAGAATTTTTAAATTTCTATCTTGATTTCATTGTTGACCCAATGATCATTCAGGAGCAAGTTATTTAATTTCCATGGTTTTGAGGGTTTCTTTTGGAGTTGATTTCTAATTTTATTTCACTGTGATCTGAAAGAGTACTTTTATAATTTCAGTTTTCTTAAATTTATTGAGACTCATTTTGTGGCCTATCATATGGTCTGTCTTGGAGAATGTACCATGTGCTGATGATATATTCTGTAGTTGTTGGGTAGAATGTTCTGTAAATATCTTTTAAGTCCATTTGTTCTAAAGTATAGTTTAAATCCATTTTTTCTTTGTTTAATTTCTGTCTTGATAACCTGTCTAGTGCTGTCAGTGGAGTATTGAAGTCCCCCAATATTACTGTGTTGCCATCTATCTCATTTCTTAGGTCTAGTAGTAATTGTTTTGTAAATGTAGAAGCTCCAGTATTAGGTGTATGTATATTTAGGACTGTGATATTTTCCTGTTGGACAAGGCCTTTTATCATTATATAATTTCCCTCTTTGTCTTTTTTAACTGCTGTTGCTTTAAAGTTTGTTTTGTCTGATATATGAATAGCTATTCCTCCTTGCTTTTGGTGTCCATTTGCATGGAATATCTTTTTCCAGCCCTTCCTTATATGTTGAGTCTCTTGAAGACAGCAAACACTTGGTTGGTGAATTCTTATCCATTCTGCCATTCTGTATCTTTTAAGTGGAGCATTTTGGCCGTTTACATTCAACATTACTATTGAGATGTGAGGTACTATTCTATTCATTGTGCTATTTGTTGCCTGAATACCTTGCCTTTTTTTTTTCATTGGGTTTTTATTTTATAGGTACTGTGAGATTTATGTTTTAAGGAGGTTTTATTTTGGTGTATTTTGAGGATTTGTTCCAAGATTTAGAGCTCTTTTTAGCAGTTCTTGTAGTGCTTGGTAGTGGTGAATTCTCTCAGCATTTGTTAGCCTGAAAAAAGACTGTATCTTTCCTTCAGTTATGAACCTTAGTTTTGCTGGATACAAAATTCTTGGCTGATAATTATTTTGTTTAAGGAGGGCAAAGATAGGGCCCCAATCTCCTCTAGCTTATAGGGTTTCTGCTGAGAAATCTGCTGTTATTCTGATAGGTTTTCCTTCATGGGTTACCTGATACTTTTGCCTCATGGCTCTTAAGATTCTTTCCTTCATCTAGACTTTAGATAACTTTATGACTATGTGCCTAGGTGATTATCTTTTTGCAATAAATTTCCCAGGTGTTCTTTGAGCTTCTTGTATTTGGATGTTTATGTCCCTAGCAAAACTGGGGAAATTTTTTTTCGATTAGTCCCTTAAATGTGTTTTCCAAACTTTTAGATTTCTCTTCTTCCTTAGGAACACCAGTTATTCCTAGGTTTGGTCATTTAACATAATCCCAAACTTCTTGGAGGCTATGCTCTTTTTTTAAATTATTTTTTCTTTGTTTTGGTTGGATTGAGTTAATTCAAAAGCCTTGTCTTTGAGCTCTGAATTTCTTTCTTCTACCTGTTCAATTCTATTGCTGAGATTTTCCAGTGTATTTTGCATTTCTCTAAGTATGTCCTTCATTTCCAGAAGTTGTGATTTTTTTTTAATTTATACTATCTATTTCACTGAAGATTGTTCCCTTCATATCTTGTATCTGTTTTTATAATTCACTAAGTTGGACTTCACCTTTCTCTGGTACCTCCTTGATTACTTAATAATCAACTTTCTGAATTCTTTTTCTGGCAATTCAGAGTTTTCTTCTTGGTTTGGATCCATTGATGTTGAGCTAGTGTGATCTTTTTGTGTTGTTAAAGAACCTTGTTTTGCCATATTACCAGAATTGTTTTTCTGGTTACTTCTCTTTTGGGTAGACTATGTTAGAGAGAAGATCTGGGGCTCAAGGGCTGCTATTCAGATTCCTCCATCCCATGGAGTGCTCCCTTATTGTGGTGCTCTCCCCCTTCCCCTAGGTATGTGGTTTCCTCAGAGCCAAACTGCAATGATTTTTATTTTTCTTCTGGATGTAGCCACCCAGTGGAGCTACCAGGCTCCAGAAGTGTCTGCGCAGAGTCCTGTGATGTGAACTGTCTTCAGGTTTCTCAGTTGTGGATACCAGCTCCTGCTCTGGTGTAGGTAGCAGGGGAGTGAAGTGGACTCTGTGAGGGTACTTGGTTGTATTTTTATTAAATGTTCTGGTTTTCTGTTGGTTGGCCTCTAGCCAGGAGGTGATGCTTTCAAGACCACATCACCTCCGGTTGTGTGGGAAGGATACAAACTTGCCCTAGGCTCAGGCATTAGATGAGCCATAGAGCTCCCAAAGAACTATGTGCATTGTCTTTGGCTACCAGGGCAGGTAGAGAAAGACCATCAGGTGGGGGTAGGGTTAGGTGCGTCTGAGCTCAGACTCTCCTTGGTCAGTGTTTGCTGTGGCTGCTGTAGGGATGGGGGTGTGGTTCTCAGGCCAATGGAGTTACGTTCCCAGGGGAATTATGGCTGCCTCTGCTGCATGTAGGTCACCAAGAAAGTGAGAGAAAGCTGGCACTTACAGACCTCACCCCGCTCCCACACAGCCCAAAAGGCCAGTCTCACTTCCATCATGCCCTGCCAACAGCATCAAGTTTATTTCCAGATGGCATGTGAGCAGGGCTGAGAACTTACCCTAGGCTACTAGCCTCCCAACTGAGAAAGCAAGCACAGCTTTCAGGTTTCATGCCTCCCCACATGCCTCAGCTTCTGTGCTGTGTCTGCACTCCCGATTTGCTCCCTCTCCCAGGTTCTGTCCAGAAACTTTGCATTCAATCAAAATTGTTCAGCTGGAAGTTTCCTTCTCTTGCCATTTTTGTTTTGTTTTTGTTTTTGTTTTGTTTTGTTTTGTTTTGTTTTTTTGAGATGGAGTCTCGCTCTGTTGCCCAGGCTGGAGTTCAGTGGTGGCGATCTTGGCTCACTGCAACCTCCACCTCCCAGGCTCAAGCAGTTCTCCTGCCTTAGCCTCCTGAGTAGCTGGGACTACAGGCGAGTGCCACCATGCCTGGCTAATTTTTTTGTATTTTTAGTAAGGACAGGGTTTCCCCATGTTGGCCAGGCTAGTCTTGAACTTCTTACCTCAGGTTGTATGCCTGCCTCAGCCTCCCAAAGTGCTGGGATTACAGGTGTGAGCCACAACACCTGGCCTCTCCTGCGGTCTTTTCCCAGTTCCCCTGGCAGCCCTTTCCAAAAACCCGTGTGAGACAAAGTCAGAAATGGCTTCCCTGGGGACCAAGAATGCGCATAGGGCTCTTCTTGCTGCGTCTTCTACTCCTGTATTTCGCTCAGCTCTCTAAATTTGTCTCAGCTCCAGGTAAGTCCAAATCCTTCCCCTGTGATCTGGACCTTCAGGTTCCCCAGTGGGGGTATGTATTTGGAGGCAGATGATCCCCCTTTTACACATTCACACTTTGGGCATTCACAGTTTTTCCACTGTATCCCAGGGCAGCTATCTGCTTCTTTCAAAGGGTCTGTGAATTATCTCAGCTTTCCTGGTATGTTCCTATGGTAGTTCTTGGAGTAAAAGTTCACAATGTGAGCCTCCACACACTGCTCTGTCCATCCAAGTGGGAGCTGCAAGTTAGTCCTGCCCCCTATTCACCATTTTTTCCCTATGGAGAAATTATTAGTTAATGAAGTTGCAGGATGTAACATTGAAGTACAAAATAAAATAGTATTTACCAGTAACAACTGTGATGGTTCATTTTATTTGTCAACTTGGCTAGGCTGTGGTGCCCAATTATGTGGTCAAACACCCTGAGGATGTTGCTGTGGAGGGGTGTTTTATATGTGATTAACAGGCAAATAAGTAGACTTTGAGTAAAGAAAATTACCCTCCATAATGTGGTAGGCCTCATTCAATCAGTTGAAGGCCTTAAGAGCAAGGACAGTTTTCATGAAGAAAAAGAAATTATCTCCAGGAATTCAAGGTAGAAACCCTAACTGAGTTTTCAGCTTGCTGTCCTGCGGAATTCAGTCTCAAGACTGAAACATCATCTCTTACCAGGATTTCCCATCTGTGGACCTGTCCCACAGATTTCAGACTGGCCAGCCCCCACAATCATGTGAGCCAATTCCTTCCAGTCAGTCAAACAATCAGTCTACCTATCTAAGAGCCTATTGCTTCTGCTTGTCTGGAAAACCATGACTAATACACCAGCAATGAAAATTAAGAAAATAAAACTTGAAAACAATGTCATATGATTTCTTCATTCATGTAGTACCAACATCCATGTCTCTAAGATGCCAAAAGTTTTTGTCAGAGAAAGTAACAGGTGGGACAAGGGCCCATAAGAGAGAGTATAGTCTGCAGAAGGCCAAGAAAGAAAGGAGAGCTACACACTCTAGAATCTCTTTCCAGTGTCTTCCTTTTGCTGATCTCTCATGGCCTTAACATCTTTAACAAGCTGTTTCACAAGTTTATTTCTAAAGATGAAAATGTTTTTCTTCATTTATTCAATAGAATATATATTGAACAAATACTTTGTACCAGAAATATAACATTTTAAATAAGCTTAATCATAAACGGATGTTTTTCAGTAGCATCACAAACGTAAAATACCTGGAAGTGAAGCTAATGAATTATGTTCAACATTTATACACAATTCTCTATGACAGGGGCTGGAAAACTTTTTTATAAGAAGCAAATATGAAATATTTTAGTGTTTATCCCACTTTCTTCTGCATTCTAACAACACGTTAAAACCGTAAAAATTATTTTGTGAACCACACCAAATAAACCACAGGTTGGATTTGGCATACCAACAGCCATTGTTTCCTAACCACCACCTCTAAAACAGACTTCCGAGAAATTAAAGAAGACTTAATAATTGAAGAAATGTGCTTCCTTAGTCTGTGCCACTGTAATAAGACATCACAGATTGGGTAACTTATATACAATAGAAATTTATTTCTCACAGTTCTGAAGTCTGGGAAGTCCAAGATCAAGGGGCCAGCATTCAGTGTCTGGTAAGGGCTTTCTTGCTGTGTCCTCACATGGCAGAAGAGGTGAATACACCACATGAATACTGTGTGCTCATGTGGCAGAAGGCAGAAGGCCTAAGCTAGTTACTTCTGGTCCTTTTATTATAAGGTGGAGCTCTCATGAAAATCACTTCCCAAAATGCCTTGCCTCTTAATGCCACCACAAAGGGGATTAGGTTTTAGCTTATAAAATTTGGGGGTTATTTCAGACAATAATATGCCATATTCATAAAGTGGAAAAATCCATATTATGAATATGTTAATTTTTATCAAATTAATCTATAGAATTAAAGAATCAACAAATTGAAATGCATCAATATTAAAATTTTTTTTTCAAAAGACAATGTTAAGAAAATAAAAAAGCAGGCCACACATTGGTGAAAGACATTTGGCAAGCATATATCTGGCAAAGAACTTACATCTAGAATATAAAAAGAACTCTTAACTAATCAATGAGACGAAACATATATACTAATATAAAATGAAAAAAATATTTAAGTAGATACTTCATGAAAGAAGATGAGCACAGGGAAAGATCTTTTTTATCTTTAATTTGCATTTTAAGGAAGATGCAAATTAAAACCACAATGAGATACCACTATACATCCATTAGAATAACCGAAAGTATAAAGACAAACAATATCAAGTGTTTATGAGGACATAGATAAACTGAAAATCTCATACACTTCTTGTGGGAATGTAAACTGGTATAGCACTTTGGAAAATAGTTGAGCAATTTCCAAAAACATTGAATTTGCACATACCATACAAACTAACCATTCCATCCTTATCCAAGAGAAATAAAAGTGTATATCTATATAGTCTTATATACACAAAAGATCATGACAGATTTACTTGTAATAGCCAAACACTGGAAACAACCCAAACCTCCAAAAACCGATAAATGGATAAATAATTTGTGTGTTTGTATAATAAAATACTACTACTACCACACAAATAATAGAGCAAATTGATGATAAAAGCAACAACATAAATGAGTCACAAAATAACATGTTGAGTAAAATACAAAAGGACTCTATTCTATCTGATCAAAATTCTAAAAACTGCAAGTTATTATAACAGAAAGCCAATCAGTTTGTTGTGTGGAGACAGCTGGGGAACAAGGGTAGGGGAAGTGTGATAAATTACAAAAGGGCACAAGAAAACTTTTGTTCATTACTTTGATTATACTGATGGTTTCATCAGGGTGTACATATGTCATAACTGATCAAATTATACACTTTAAATGTACACAGAGTACTGTATGACAAGCCTAAATAAAGCCATTAAAAAGAGTGTCACCCAGACACGTGAACAGAGACACACAATGAAACAAAACAATAGAAAATTCAGAAATGGATCCAAATTTACAGGCAAATTTACTATATAAAAAGATAAAATTTCTAGTCCATGGCAAAAAGATAGACCATCCAGCAAACGGGAATGGATAAAGAGGTGAACATCAAAAATAAAAGTTTCATATAAACTTCTCAACAGATCTAGATAAATTCCAAATGGATCAAAGGTTTCAGTATAAAAATTGAAACTATGAAAGTACTATACCAAAATGCAAACAAACTTCTAAATAACAGTAAAATGGGAAATAGCATTTCCCATGAATCAGAATTTACAAGTAATTAAGACAAAAGAAAGGTTAAATCAACCATATAAAAATTTCTAAAATTTGCATGGAGAAGTTCCAGTATAAGTAATAGTGTATTAAGTGATTCAAACCAACTCTCCTACTGAGAATGATACAACAAAATGTTTTTAAACAGAACGTCTGTTCTGAATGCGCAGAAGAGCTACAAAGTCTGTGTGTAAGGAATTGTGTTGCCATGATTTGCAAGAAGAAAGAGTCACAAAAAGATATCCTGGCATTTGGGGGAGCTTCTCCCTAAAAATAGTTACTGATTAGAAAGCAGCTGCTGAAATGCTGATAAGACGAGCAGAGCAGATCCTTAGACTTGTGAGACAGAAACATAAAAATTAAAGTTATAAGGACCTCAAAAAAGGAAGGGTCCTAATAAAAATCCCATGTGACTCAGAAAGCCCTAGCCTTGAGTAAAAGTATACCAGAAATCAATCACCAATCATAAGATTGAAGCTCTTCTTTGAAACATTTTCTAGGCTAGATCATACATTTGGCCACAAACAAATCTTTTAAAATTTGAAAAGATTGATGTTATACCAAGTATTTTTTCCAACTGAAATGGTATGAAGCTAGAAATCAATAACAGGGAGAATATTGAAAAATTTACAAACATATGAAGATTAAGCAACACACTCCTGAACAACCAATGGTTCAAAAAAGAAAAGTCAAAAGGGAAATTTAAAAACATATTGATACAAAATAAAATGGAAACACAAAACACCGAAACTTACAGAATACAGCAAAAGCAGTTCTAAGAGTGAAACTTATAAACACCTACATTAAGAAAAAAGAAAACTCTCAAATAAACAATCTAACTTTCCACCTCAAAGAAGTAGAAAAGGAAGAACAAGCTAAGCCTAAGGTTAGTTTGGGCTAGCAAAAGGAAGAAAATGATAAAGATAAGAGCCAAAATAAATGAAATAGATGCTAGAAAAAAAATCAACGAAACTAAAAGTTGCGTGGTTTTTTTGTTTGTTTGTTTGCGAAGGAGAAAAAAAAAGCTGGCAAACCTTTAGCTAGACTAAGAAAACAATAGAGAAGACTCAAAACCAGAAATGAAACGGGAAACATTACATTTGATACTACAGAAAATCAAAAGATTGCAAGAGACTACAGTTGACCCTTAAACAACATGGCTTTGAACTGCGTGAGTCTACTTACATGTGGATTTTTTTTTCAATATATACAGTCTGCCCTCCATATGCATGAGTTCAGCATCTGAAACCAAACATGAATGAAAAATAAGAGTATTCATGAGATGCAAAACCTTCTTATATGAAGGGCCCAATTTTAATATTCACAAGTTCCACAGGGCCTACTCTGGGACTTGAGTATGTGTGGATTTTGGTACCCATGGGTGGTCCTGGAACCAAACCCCTGTGGATCCTGAGGGATGACTATACTATGAACAACTATACACTGATAAGTTGGGTAACTTAGAAGAAATGGATAAACTTCTATAAGCATACAACCAATCAAAACTGAATCATGTAAAAAACAAAGTCTGATCTGAACTAAAATAAAAAAACAAGGAGTTGAATTAGTAATGAAAAACTTCACAACAAAGGAAAGTCCAGGACCAGAGCTTTTACTAGTAAATACTACCAATATTTAAAGAACAATTAATACTAATCCTTCTCAAACTGTTCCAAAAACTCGAAGAGAAAGAAATACCTCCAAACTCTTTTCATGAGCCCAGCATTACCCTGATACCAAAGCCAGACCAGGATACTGAAGAAAAAAAAAAAATTACAGGCTAATATCCCTGATGAACATAGATACAAAAATCGTAAAAACAAAACAAAAAGACTGGCAAATTGAATTCAAAAACATATTAAAAGGATCACAAGCCTTGATCAAGTGGTATTTTATCCCTGGGATGCAAGAATGGCTCAACATAAAAGTGACACATTAACAGAATGAAGGAAAAAACATGATCATTTCAATAGAGGCAGAAGAAGTATTTGACACAATTCAACATTCTTCAATGATAAAAACTCAACAAATTAGGTACAGAAAGAATGTACATCAGCATAATAATGGCCATTGGTATAGTTTGGCTGTGTCCCCACCAAAATCTCATCTTGAATTGTAGTTCCCATAATCCCCAAGTGACATGGGAGGGAGCCAGTGGGAGATTTTTTTTTTTTTTTTTTTGAGACGCAGTTTCACTCTTGTTGCCCAGGCTGGAGTCCAATGGCACGATCTCGGCTCACCACAACCTCCACCTCCTGTGTTCAAGCAATTATCCTGCCTCAGCCTCCTGAGTAGCTGGCATAATAGGCATGCACCACCATGCCCGGCTACTTTTGTATTTTTAGTAGAGACAGGGTTTCTCCATGTTGGTCAGGCTGGTCTCGAACTCCCAACCTCAGGTGATCACCTACCTCAGCCTCCCAAAGTGCTGGGATTACAGGCATGTGCCACTGTGCCCGGCGGGAGGTAATTTAATCAGCAAAGTAGTTACCTCCATGCTGTTTTCCTGATAGTGAATGAGTTCTCATGATATCTGATGATTTTATAAGGGACTTTTCCCCCTTTTACCCAGCACTTCTTTCTCCTGCCACCATGTGAAGAAGAACGTGTTTGCTTCCCTTCCACCATGACTGTATGTTTCCTGAGGCCTTCCCAGCCATGCAGAACTGTGAGTCAATTAAACCTCCTTCCCGAATAAAGGACCCCAGAAGTTATTGCATCTCAGAACTTTTCCCATTAATCCAGTCATACATCATTTATATCAATGACATATGTCAATAAAGAATGTAACTAGGTCTCAATTTAATCTATTGGAACATATATCTGCATTTTTCTTTGCAATAGGAACATTTATTTAGATTTAAATGTCCTTAAATTGCTTGTCAGTTTTTACTTAATCATATCAACCAGGAGTTGGAAGATCCTTAAATTTCTTAAACTTAACAGCATGCTCTTTTGCCTCCCATCTGGCCTTCTGAATGTAGAGTTTCCTTTCCTTAGAATATTCTTCCTCCAGTATGTTACCACTTTACCCCCATTTTGGTATAGTCCCATTAATCTATTCAAATAGTTTCAGGTTAGTCATTTTCTCCTTGAAGAAGTTTGCTGTGCATTCATATACAGGTAATGTCCCTCTTTTGTTTGCTCTCAGAACACTATAGCTCCCATATTAACATGGGTGCTTGCCTACTCACCTATGGAACCAAAATATCTATGAGGACAGAAGACATATTAATTCTATTTACAGCTGTATCCTTAATAACCAGTAAAATGTATAGATCCTGATAATAAGTCAGTAAATAGTTTTGAATAAATAAACTAGCTGGAAATCGTCAATTATACATTAGTAAGAAGCCAGAAGTATACTACAATACTGTATCTTGCTGATATTGAGCTACTCTGTTACCCTTAAGTTAGTGTAAAGATACAAGTTTTTCATTGGAGGAATCCAAAATTATTATAAATCCTGGCATGATATTTACCTTCACTAAAAATTAATTATGATTCAAAAGGATATAGAGCTAGATTATTTATTTAAACTAGGGCACTGGAAATTTTATAAAACTAGTACTCAGGTATCACAGTAGTTAAGAGAATAATAGTGTACTGCAATGAGGTCAAAACTGAAGAGGGCCTACAGGGTCTTTTGAAAGACCTACATGAGTGTCAGCTGCCATAGGTCAGGAATGAGGACAGTTCCTTGTGATTTGTGAGAAACATTTACTCTATGATCTTCAGAGAAAGACCAACTGAGGAAAGCATGGTTATAAAGTGACATTCAAGCCCTTCTCATAAAAGTCCCATAAAGAAAGGACATTCTCAAGAAAGTGAAAAGACAACCCATAGAATGGGAGAAAATATTTGAAACTCATAAATCTGATAAGGATCTAGTATCTAGAATATATAAAGAACTCTTACAAATCAATAATAAAAAACAACCCAATTTTTAAAGTGTACATCGAATTGAAATAGATATTTTTCCAAAGACATATGAATGCCAATAAACGCATGAAAAGATGCTCAATATTGTTAGTACTTATGGATGGAAATACAAATCAAAATCACAATAAAGTACCATTTCATACCTACTAAGATGGCCATAATTTTAAAATTGTTGTTGGTGAGAATATACAATGATGCACCTATTTTGGAAAACAGATTGTCAGTTCCTCAACATCAAACATGTGACCCAGAAATTTTAATCCAGTGTATATGCCTAAGAGAGTTGAAAGCACATGTTCACACAAAAACTTGTACATGAAGGATAGCTGTATTATTCATAGCAGCCTCAAATTGGAAACAATGCAAATGTCCATCAACTGATGAACGGATAAACAAAATTTGGTATATCCATGCAAATGAATATTATTCAGCCATAAAAAGGAATAAAATACTGATACATGCTACAACATTGATGAACCTTGGAAACATGCTAAGAGAAAGAAGTAAAACACAAAAGACCACATATAGTATGAATCTGTTTATACAAAATGTCCAGAATACAAATTTATAGAGTTGGAAAGTAGATTAGTAGTTGGTAGGGGATAGAGAGAGAGGGGAATGGGGAATTATTGCTATTGGGTATGGGTTTTTTGGAGGTGATGAAACTGTTCTAAAATTAGATAGTGGTCATTTTGCACAACCTCACAAACATACTAAAATCCATCAAATTGCACGTATTAAAATGGTGAACTTTATGATATATGAACTATATCTCAAAACAGTATAAGAGACTGTAACAACAGAAAAATACTTATGTAATAATTTTTATGTGAAAAACATAGTACTTGTTGCCCATAGGGCATGATCACATATATAGGAAGGAATTGCACTGAGTAAAGATGGGAAGACATTGCACCCAAATATTAACAGAGGTTGTCTCTGTGTAGTGGGGTGATGTAAGATTTTATTTTCTTCAATTAAAAAACAATTTCAGCTCTTCTATTATAAACATGCATTTTCATAATGAAAAAAATTAAAAATTGTTAAAAGTACCATAAAGAGAGCAGATGATGTCATAGTGCTTGCAGACTCTTCTAGACTTTAGAGTCAAAGTCAGAGCTTGCCACCTATGCCGGGCAAGGAACAAGAAAGGTGTGTCAGTTTATCATGAAACAGAATGACTCTCAAAATTGATGTTGTGTCAGGAAGTACTCTGCTACTGGCAAGAACTTTTTAAATTCTAGTTGGGTTATACAAAGCAACCTTGAGAGAGTAATTTGAGATTGAAGGGTACCGGGTGATTGCTAGAACTCATTTATATAATTAGTGAAGAAAGTGCCTTTTTAGAGATTCTCATATATGAGTATGGATTTATGGTGACTCAGTGCCAGTCATGTAAAGTATATATTTTTAAATTTTCCTGGACCAAATAAAACAAGATTTTTAGCCTCATTTTGGCCCATAGGCCCTATTGATGACCTCTATTCTGGTGTTTCACTTGAGTGGAATAAATGTGGAGGTCAATGAAGTTGGATCCATAACCCCAAGAGAAAAGGATGTTGTGTGGGCTGTGTACGTGTAAAAGTCCCTTGACTGTGGATGATACAAGGTTTGTGGATGGCAGGGAATAGGAGAGCAGGACATGATACAGGCAGACACATGGGCTTCAAAGGAGCTAATTTATTTTTACATTAATTTGAAGGGATAATGGACTGGAAGTAGTACTGGAGAACAAAGAGAGGAGGGATGTGTAGTAGGAAACACCTATTTGAGCAGCTGCAGGAAAAACAATATCCTCAGGGAATAACAAGTTTTAAGTTAAGGCTAGAAGTTGGAAGGAGTATTTAGTGAAGAAGTTAAGAGTTAGGAAAACAGATTTATCATAGCAGCAAGCCCAGTGGAAAGGCTTGATGGGGAGAGGAGGACAGGGTTGTTGAGGCATAGACAGTAAGAGGACTAAAGCTCATGTAGCTAACAAGTACTATGGGAGCCCAAGTGAATTGAAAGTGCTGGTAGGTTTGTCATGGCCACTGAAAAGGCTCATAATGTGTTTAAAAATAAGCATAAGACATGAGTATGACAAAATTGGCCACAAGAAAAAGAAATTGTCATTGATGAGAATTCAACCTTGGATAATGTTTTTAAAAATCTGACTCATAATTTTATTTGAAACTGGAACCTCAAATACATAAAGGTTTATCAAATGCTTACTATGTCCTGAATTCTGTGGTAACTAGTTTAGTCTAGCAACACTTTTAATCTTCACAAAATCCTATGAAATAGATAATCCACCACTTACTGTTTTGTTTCTTTCACTTGATTTTTGTGCCTTATTTTCTTCACTTGAAAAATAGGGCTGATAGTAATAGTATGTACATCACAGAGGATTAAAAGAGACAATCCATGAGACACTGTCTAGTGCCAGGTCCATAAAGCTTACCTATTATTACCATTACTACTTCTTATACGACTGCTAATATAATGACTATTGTTCTTGCCATTTCACAGATGAGGCTAAGAGAGATTGAGAAACTTGTCCAAAGTCATGTCGCACAGCGAATACGCAGAGGAGTAAGATTTCAAATGCAAATATCCTCACATTACTCCTCTTAGCTTTGCTGAAGCATTTGAATGGCTTCCATTTGGTTTTAAGATACACACCAAAATTCTCAACAAAACTTGTATGATCTAAACTGCACTTACCTCTAAGTTTTATACTATGTTTCCCTCTCTCTGTGCTCCAGCCACAATGATCTTCTTTTACTTCCTGTAAGTCAGGTTGCTTGTTCTCTCCTCATAAACGGTTGTGTAGTACTATCTCTGTGTCAGTGGCACTCACTGTCTTACATATTTTCATCCTTCCATGAGAAGAGTTCATCTTTTCTTTAGGGAAGCTTTTGCTAACTTCTCTGACTAGGATAATGACCCAGTCACATGTTTTCCTGAAACTGCATACCTCTTCTTGGTAACACTTAACATAGCTATAATTTTTTTTGTGTGTTTTTCTGATTAGTACATTTCCTCCAGTAGACACAAGTCATCCTCTTTCTTTATTCTCCTTTGTGGGTCTGACCTACTATTTAACATGGAGAGGCTGAAAGAAAAAAAATTAACTAAAATTGATTGCAAAAAAGAAAAGGAATAAAAGGAACACAGTAAAGTGTTAAATAATAAAACAAATTGGATAAAGAGTTTAGGAAATGAAGTATTTTTAAAAGAGATGAATAAAAAGTAAGAACTAAGTAAAATAATGTAAAAAGATGTATAAACAAGTAAATAATGAACTTAGAAGAAGTAAAATAAAATGTGGACCAGCAACATAAAAACATTGGATTAGGCATTCAAGACAGGTGAGAACAAACCGTCCCTGACAGCTGAATACCTAGGCCCTGGTTTCAGACAGGGACTTCTGAGATGAGACAAGATCCAAGGAGATGGGAGCAGGGAGGGTGTCAGACCATGGGCTACAAGAGCTTTAGGGAGCAAAGGTAACTATTGCGTTTGCTTTCTTTTGAGAAGTTTTAGGTTGTTTTGTCAATGACAGCTAATGTTTGGCAAAGTGGTAACACAGGAAGAAAAATGTATTTCTTAGCATAATTATTGATATGGTTTGGATTTGTGTTCTTGCCCAAATCTCATGTCGAATTGGAGGAGGGGCCTGGTGAGAGGTGATTAGATCATGGGGGTGAATTTCCCCCTTGCTGTTCTGGTGATAGTGAGCTGATCATTTAAAAGTGTTTGGCACCTTCCCCCACCTCTTTTCCTGCTCTGCCATGTAAGACGTGCTTGCTTCACCTTTGCCTTACAATGTGATTGTAAGTTTCCTGAGGCTTCCCACTCATGCTTCCTGTACAGCCTGTGGAACTGTGAGTCAATTAAACCTCTTTTCTTCATAAATTACCCAGTCTCAGGTAGTTCTGTATAGCAGTGTGAGAACAGACTAATACAATTCTCTATAAGGAAGAGATCTACATGTCTTCTAACGGGCAGGCTAAACATAAAAAGGTAGTCACAGACTACGATACTTGTGTTTTGCCTGGGGTGCATAAGGTGTGTAAAGTGAAGGATAGAGTATAATTAGGAAAATAGAAGAGATTTTTAGAGGCCATGTTGGGTAGAGAGAAGAAAGCCAATGAGGAATAAAGCCAACTTCTAGCAGAAATGACAGTTAAGAAAAGGGCCTCAGTTTTAGGTGATAACTGCCTGATAGTATGCCACTGATTCATAAGAAACGGGAAGATAAAACAAGGGGTGAGCAAAGATTTTGGTGGGAAAGATTTGATAACTATAGAATTAGTGTAGAATATTGTAGGATGAGTTCAGTTTTAGAGTCAAGACCCTCTGTGTTCAAACCATACCTCATCACATTCTGTTAGTATTAGCTTTTATGCTCCTCAGACTGGAGTGAAAAATGGAGAGATGTGCTCAGTGTTTCAGTTCTTTCTGAAAAATAATTTTACTAGCAGTCATAAACATTTTTTACACTGACAAAAAGCACATATATTTTGAAGTAGGATGAAACATTTGCCTGACGAATTTAAAAAATAAAGACATTTCTCACTGATTAGTAGTAGCTGTGGGATATGCCTTCATATTTCTTGCAGCCCATATTCAATTTCCTTTGTCATTAAGAGGACTTTAGTTAAAAAAAAATAATAAAGAGGCTGTATGAACCTGTTTTGAATCACTATAAAATTGGGGTTGGGTGGTGGTGGAATGACTTTGTATATCTAACCACCTAGCCCTGATCCTGACATATGCTCAGTGACTGAAAGTACTATTTTCCTTGCCCTGCTCCTCCTCTCTTCCATTTATGACAAGAATAGGTGATGCTTCAATTTTTATTTAACCATTTTTTTAAATTCCTCTTCCAATATTGGGCAACTACAGATCTTTCCAACCAAAATCTTTGCTCACAGGAATATCTATAAAATATTTCTATATCAAATATATAGTGGAGGATATTCTTTTAGAAAATATTCAATATATACAGGTATAATTTTATTTTTTACTTTTTTTAAAAAATATATTCCTTTAGGCGATGAAAGGACAAGCCCCAGGAGTCAGGATGAGTCCTAATGCCGTCACCCAGTCACACCGCAGTGCTTGCCTGTGTCCTGCCGGCCCGCTCCTTGTTGCCCTGCACTGCGCGGCCGCAGCGGCACCATGATTGTGTTTGCCGTGCTCCTGTCGTTGGTGGCGGGTGTTTGAGGGAACGAGTTTAGTTCTTGGTCTGTTATTTTCAGAAATGGAAATTGGCCTATACCGGGAGAGTGAATCCCAGACGTGGCTGCATTGTCCATGGCCTTCTCTGTGAAGGAAAACCTTTCTTGGCCAGGACTTGCAGTAGGTGACCTATTTCATCGTCCTCGGGCTACCGTCATGGTGATGGTGAAGGGAGTGGACAAACTGGCTCTACCACCAGGCAGTGTCATTTCATACCCTTTGGAGAATGCAGTTCCGTTTGGTCTTGGCAGTGTTGCAAATTCCATTCGCTCTTTATTTTCTGACGAAACTCCTGTTGTTTTGCAGTTGGCTCCTAGTGAGGAAAGAGTGTATTTGGTAGGGAAGGCAAACTCAGTGTTTGAAGACCTTTCAGTCACCTTAGGACAGCTCCATAATTACTTGTTTCAGGAAAACTCCATTCTCAGTTCATTTCCCCTGAATTCTCTGAGTAGGAACAATGGAGTTGACTTGCTCTTTCTTTCTGAACTCCAAGTGCTACATGATATTTCAAGCTTGGTGTCTTGTCATAAGCATCTAGCCAAGGATCATTCTCCTGATTTATATTCACTGGAGCTGGCAGGTTTGGATGAAATTGGGAAGCATTACAGGGAAGACTCTGAACAATTCATAGTTGCTTCTAAAATCCTGTTGACGCTCTGCAAGAGTTTGCAGATAACATGTACAATCTTTACAGTGGGAATGCAGTGGTAGAGTTAGTCACTATTAAGTCATTTGACACCTCCCTTATGAGGAAGACAAGGACTATCTTTGAGGCAAAATAAGTGAAGAACCCAGCAAGTCCCTATAACCTTGCGTATAATTTTGAATATTCAGTGATTTTCAACATGATACTTTGGATAATGATTGCCTTGGCCCTGGCTGTGATTATCACTTCTTACAATATTTGGAACATGGATCCTGGATATGATAGCATCATTTATAGGATTACAAACCAGAAGATTCGAATAGATTGAATATTCCTTGTGCCAGAATTAGAAAAGGGGTTTGGAAATTGGCTGTTTTGTTAAAATATATCATACATTGTGGTTTAAAGTAGATAGCATACTTTAAATTTATTAAAACCTCACATTTCTTCTCTATTTTGTGTGTGCCTATGGTTTTTTTTAGAGTGAATTACAGTATTGATGTGAATCAAACTGTACAGTGTAGATTCCATAATATACTGAAATATATCATAGCCATTTAATAACACGATTTCATTCCCTTTAATGAGTTTGGAAATATGCACTGAAAGAAATTAAAACATTTAGAATAGCTTGTGTTATTTATTATGGAAAAATGCACTGAATTTATTAGAGAAACTTATGAATGTTTAACTTCTTTACACAGCATAGGTGAAAATCATATTTGGACTGTTGTATACTATGAACAATTTGTAAATGTCTTCATTTGATATAAGTATCTCTGAAACAAGAGGAAAGGTTTTTAACTTCGAATAGCCCTAAAATATGGATGTGCTTATACAGTCACTTAGTTTTGGAACTCTTTCTGATTGACAGAGGATGGCTGTTTTTTAACCTTCTTCAAGTTTGGTGACCCATACTCTAGTATGGATACTAAAAATATTACATTTATGTAAGAAGAAACTAGCCTTGTGGAGTATAGATGCTTTTAATTATACACACAAAAATCATTGAGGCATGAACATAAAATATTTTTAGTTCAGTAACTTCTCCCCCTGTGTAAGGTACTATGGTTTGTGGTCCAACTTCATCCTGTAGAATATTAAGTGGAAGTGGATGAGTTCTACTTTTTGGAATGGACTCATGTCTATAAAGACTGACACGTTAATAATAATTCCGAAAAAATTTTTCTTTAAAGCTCTTGTACCGAAAAAATTTTTCTTTAAAGCTCTTGTACTTAGCCAATATTTAATGTCCTGTTTACATAATGGAGTCTGAAACTCAGAGGAACTTCCTGGGGACCCAAAAAGTATAATGTATATCAAATAGAGTGAGATATATATTCATTCTGTATATTCAGGTCATAAAACACAATTACATTTAAAAGAATTTTAGACAGAAGCGACTTTGAATATATTACAGCTGCAATGCAGAAACACATTAAAGTTTTATGGATAAACATTTTTTCCACTGGAGGGTGCAATTTGTCAGTATATCAAAATAGTCACAGTTCCTTTAATGAGTATACTTTATAAATAATATCAGAGAGCTGATTATTTCCAAGACACTAACATAGAATGCTGAGCAGATTTCATGAAACTTTAAATAAATGAAATTTCACCAATAGGAATATGGGCTTTATTCCACAATATCCTTATGTGGAATATACTTACAATTAGGATCAAGTAAGCTGAACATAATTTTATTCTTCTGTTACCTTTTTTGGATACCATATATGACTTTCTTGGCTATTAATACTGCAAAAATATATACTAATAATTCATGCTGAAGATACAGTCCTACTTATAATATTATTAAGTTTTATAGTTGTTTTCTTTAGCAGTCTATGCATTTATTTACAATTCTTTATGAAATATGGATTTATTTTATTAGACTTTATACTCAGTAATAATGAGTAGTCTAAGATGAAATGTAAATTAAATAAGCATAAAACTAACATACATTTAACAAACTTTCTTTTATTATATATATCATATAGTATGAAGGCTATTAGATAATATGTGCTTGAGATATAATACTAATGAAACAAATTATAATAAAAGCTAGTATTTATTAAGCACTGGCTAGGTGTTAGGCACAGTTCTATATTTATTAACTTTGCATTTGTAATTTACTTCCTTATCACAACAACCTCAACAAATAGGTATCATTTTCTCCATTTCACAGATGAATTGAATGTGCCAAGATTTCTTGTCCAAGTCCATACAATTAATACCAGAACTCCACCGAGATGGCCTGGCTCCAGGGCCCAGATTTAATCACTATTCTACAGCTATGTTAACCTTGTTGATGCCATCCACTGCTACTCAAATACCAACGTGTTGATTTTTATTTTAGACACTTGAAGACAGGCACTTTCCATTATGAATTAATGTTTCAAAGATATCCATCAAATATGTATTTGTGTTTTCTATTCTGCCTAAATTAATAGAACTTCTTTAATTATGACTTAGATAAATGAACTTGTGGCAGAGCATCTTAATTGCCTACCCCAGCAGCTCTTTCCATCCCTCTCAGTAACAGAACACCAATATTTTGCTGGCATATTGCCACAGTATAAGGCTGCATTTTCCAGCCTCCCTCTCAGATATTAATGGCCACATAAATGAATGGGCAATGAAATGTTAAGTGTAAGTGTTGTGTGGAACTTCCAGGGAGTCTCCTCAAAAGCGGAGGTCTGTGATCTTGCTACACTTACTCTTAATTACTCTTTTCCACTACCTGCAATGTGGGCATGAAAACAGCTGGAGCTTAACAGCCATTTTGGATCTTGGGGCAGGATAACAGAATGACAGCCAGACAAGGCAGGAACTGCTGTTTCCTTTAAGCCCATATTTTGAAGCTTTCTCGCATACACAGCTGTATCTAATCCTACTAACAAGTTTGATAGGTTTTAAGAGTTCATTTTGTCTATCTTTTGAGCCTCGGTCCACCCCAGACCACAGCCTTTCTTTCTTTTTTTTTCTTTTTTTCAGACGGTAATCGCACTCTGTCACTCAGGCTGGAGTGCAGTGGTGCCATCCCTGCTTACTGCAACCCTGCCTCCTGGGTCCAAGCTATTCTCGTGCCTCAGTCTCCTGAGGAGCTGGGACCACAGGAGCACACCACTATGCCCAACTAACTTTTGTATCTTTTGTGGAGATGTGGAGATGGGGTTTCGCCATGTTGCCCAGGCTGGTTTTGGACTCCTGAACTCAAGCCATCCACCTGCCTCAGCCTCCCAAAGTGTGGGGATTACAGGCATGAGCCACTGCACCCAATTGATGTGATTCTACCATGAGGTCATCAAATATCCTTACAGGCTACATGAACTTTGAATATGTTATTAAGCTACTAATATATTTTATGCTTATTTTTTACCTCATAATTTTTTAAAGATCATTTCTACCTGAAGTCCAAAATTAATTACTTAAATAATTCTACAAGTAGTAGTAACTTGTGTAGTAGTGATTAGTGATTGACTTTTAAATTGTCAATTATTAAAATACTTTAGTTTTTGCAGATTATATTTCCCCTTTTGTAACCAGGAAGATACTTGTTTTAGACTGTGTGTTTGTGCCCTGTCCCCTGCCACCCATCTGTTGAAATCCTAACCCCCAGTGGGATAATATTAGGAGGAGGTCAGGCCTCTGGGCAGTAATTAGGTTTAGATGAGGTCATGAGGGTAGAGCCCTCATGATGGGATTAGCATCCATAGAAGAAGAGAGAGACAAGATTCTCTCTCTCCGTGTGTGTTCTCACACCAAGGAAGGCCATGTGAGGTTGTTTTCAGGAAAAGGACTGTTTCCATGCTGCTGTAAAGATAAACTCAAGATTGGGAAGAAAAAGAAGTTTAATTGGACTTACAGTTCCACATGGCTGGGGAGGCCTCAATCATGGCAGGAGGTGAAAGGCACTTCTTACATGGTGATGACAAGAGAAAATGAGGTGATGCAAGAGCAGAAACCCCTGATAAAACCATTGGATCTTGTGAGGCTTGTTCACTACCATAAGAACAGTATGGGGGGAAACTGCCCCCATGATTCAAATTATCTCCCACCAGGTTCCTCCCACAACATGTGGGAATTATAGGAGTACAATTCAAGATGAGCTTTGGGTGGGGACACAGAGCCAAACCATATCATTCCATCCTTGACCCCTCCAAATCTCATGTCCTCATATTTCAAAACCAATCATGCCTTCCCAACAGTCCCCCAAAGTCTTATCTCATTTCAGCATTAAGCCAAAAGTCCACAGCCCAGAGTGTCATCTGAGACAAGGCAAGTTCCTTCTGCCTATGAGCCTGTAAAATCAAAAGCAAGCTAGTTACTTCCTAGATACAATGGGGGTACAGGTATTGTGTAAGTACAGCCATTCCAAATGAGAGAAATTGGCCAAAACAAAGGGGTTACAGAGCCCATGCAAGTTCGAAATCCAGAAGGGTAGTCAAATTCTTTTTTTCTTTTTCTTTTTTTTTTTTTTTTTGAGATGGAGTCTCGCTCATCGCCCAGGCTGGAGTGCGTGGCACGAAGGGCAGTCAAATTCTAAACCTCCAAAATGATCTCCTTTGACTCCATGTCTCACATCCAGGTCATGCTGATGCAAGAGGTAGGTTCTCATAGTCTTGGGCAGCTCTGCCCCTGTGGTTTTGCAGGGTATAGCCCCCCTCCTGGCTGCTTTCACAGGCTGGCATTCAGTGTCTGTGGCTTTTCCAGGCTCATGGTACAAGCTGTCAGTGGATCTACAATTCTGGCGTCTGGGGGACAGTGGCCTGCTCCTAGTGGAGCCCCCACACAGCTCCACGAGGCAGTGCCCCAGTAGGGACTCTGTGTGGGGGCTCCAACCCCACATTTCCCTTCACTGCCCTACCAGAGGTTTCCATGAGGGCCCCGCTCCTGCAGCAAACTTTTGCCTGGGCATCCAGGCATTTCCGTACATCTTCTGAAATCTAGACGGAGGTTCCCAAACTTCAATTCTTGACTTCTGTGCACCCACAAGCTCAATACCATGTGGAAGCTGCCAAGGTTTGGGGCTTACGTCCTCTGAAACCATGGGCTGAGCTGTACCTTGGCCCCTTTTAGCAATGGCTGGGACACAGGGCACCAAGTCCCTAGGCTTCACACAGCACAAGGTCCTGGGGCCGGGCCCATGAAACCATTCTTTCCTCCTAGGCTTCTGGGTCTGTGATAGGAGGTGCTGCCATGAAGACCTATGACATTCCCTGGAGACATTTTCCCCCTTGTTTTGGGGATTAACATTTGGCTCCTTGTTACTTATGCAAATTTCTGCAGCCAGCTTGAATTTCTCCTCAAAAACTGGGTTTTTCTTTTCTACTGCATCGTCAGGCTGCAAATTTTCTGAACTTTTATGCTCTTTTTCGCTTTTGAAATGAAAAGCTTTAACAGCACCCAAGTCACCTTTTGAATGCTGTGCTGCTTAGAAATTTCTTCCACCAGATACCTTAAATCATCTCTCTCAAGTTCAAAGTTCCACAAATCTCTAGGGCGGGGCAATATGCCACCAGTCTCTTTGCTAAAACATAGCAAGAGTCACCTTTACTCCAGTTTCCCAACAAGTTCCTCATCTCCATCTGAGACCACCTCAGCCTGGACCTTATTGTCCAATATTACTATCAGCATTTTGGGCAAAACCATTCAACAAGTCTCTGGGAAGTTCCAAACTTTCCCACATTTTCCCGGCTTCTTCTGAGCCCTCCAAACTGTTCCAACCTCTGCCTGATACCCAGTTCCAAAGTGGCTTCCAGGTTTTTGGATATCTTTTCAGCAACGCCCTGCTCTACTGGTACCAATATACTGTATTAGTTCGTTTTCATGCTGCTTATAAAGACATACCCTAGACTGGGAAGAAAAAGAGGTTTAATTGGATTTACAGTTCCACATGACTGGGGAGGCCTCAGAATCATGGCGAGAAGTGAAAGGCACTTTTTACGTGGTGGCAGCAAGAGAAAATGAGGAGGTGCAAAAGCGGAAACCCCTGATAAAACCATCAGATCTTGTGAGACTTATTCACTACCATGAGAACAGTATGAGGGAAATTGCCCCCTTGATTCAAATTATCTCCCACCGTGTTCCTCCCATAGAATGTGGTAATTATGGGAGTACAATTCAAGATGAGATTTGGGTGGAGACACAGAGGCAAACCGTATCAAGGACCCTCTCCGAGAACCTGACGATGCTGACATCCTGATCTTGGACTTCCAGCCTCCAGAAATAAATGAGAAATAAATAGGTGTTATGTGTGCCACCCAGTCTGTGATATTCTGTCGTAGTAGCTCAAACTGACAGAGACAGGCACTGTGGTGTACTCTTCTTGAGTTCAAATAAATTTAAAAGTATTTTATGAGATTAGCAACATGATATGATAGTAAAGAATAAGTATGACACAGCCATTTTCTATAAAGGAACTTGCAAACTTCCTAGCTTCCTGGCATTTCCTCTTTGCTCAGACACAAGCCTAGAGTCTTCTGATTTGTCTTTTCCCTTCCCCCAATCTTAATTAATTATTTATTAATACAATTTCAACTTTTAGATTCGGGGGTACATTTGCAGATTTGTTCCATGGGCATATTGCGTGACACTGAGGTTTGGGGTATGAGTGATCCCGTCACCCAGGTAGTGAGCATAGTGCCCAACAGGTAGTTTTTCAGCCCTTGTTCCCCTCCTTCTCTCCCTTCTCTAGTGGTTCCCAGTGTCTGTTGTTCTCATCCCATGTCTACGTGCACTCAATATTTAGCTTTCACTCGTAAGTGAGAACATGGGGTATTTGGTTTTCTGTTTCTGCATTAATTAGATTAGGATAATGGTCTCCCTGCTGATTTTAAACTTGCCCTCTGCCTCTCATTTCAAAGAAAAAGAATAATGAGTCTTGTTCTAAGGCCTTTTCCTCACGATTTAAGCAGGGTTTGGGGCAAAAATAAAAAAAAGACCTACAGCTTCGCTCTTGATTAGAAGATGACCAAAAGTCTATGGGAGTTATGGAAATCATACAGGTTTTAAGATTCAGCCATATGTAATAACAGTAGCAATATATTATGGTTTTAATAATGCTATCTTCTATAGCATTTATAATATGTTCAGCACTACACTAAGTGCATTATATGTATTAAGTCATTTCATCCTCACAACACTCTAAAATAAGTACTAATGTTTTGCAGCTGAGAGAACTCAGTCACTGTGATATTAACTTGCTTAAGATCACTCAGCTGAAGTGGAAATACCAAGACTTCAACTCATGTTTTTGGCCTTACAATATTACTATAAAGTCTTAATCCATTCAGATAATTGTTAGAATTATTGCATTGAATTAGCTCAATGAAAAATACAATTGGAGAAATATAAAATCTATACTAAATATTTTTTGATCTGTACTATCAGATTCTCTTTCTTGGATCGAAGTGTAAATTTGTGTAAATCACTGTTAGAATATGCGTTGCATTAATAAGATTTTTATTTTTTTAACCACCTTTGATAAGTTCCACAAAAATTTTAGTAGTTACCTCAAATTCTTCATTTTTTTTCTATTTTATGGGATTTCACCATGTATAGGTCTTAAGATGGATATGACAACTCAAGTTTAGATTCAGTCTTGGGAAATAATCACTATGTGGCAAATTTACTATCTGATAAGTTATTGATTGTATCTAGTTCTCTTCACTTCTGGTTGCTCTTGCAGGTAAATAAAATTATCCACTTCCATGTCTACCAGTGGTATGTGAAAGGAAGTAATAGGTAGGACTAGAAAGATCCTTTAAAATCAATCAATTACTCCTTGTATTTTTCAGAGAAAAAGAAGTCCCAGACTGATAAAATAGTCTTGACCAACATAATTTACCCAAAGAAAAGGTAGAGGTGAATATAGAGCATGCACTCTAGTATCAGGAGTTCTAGGCTAAATCTTGGCTTTGCAATTGATTAATCAAAAATCTTAGACATGTTATTTAGTCTCTTGGAGGATCAAGTTTTTAACTGGTAAAATTAGAGATATTAAAGATGATAGTATCTCTCATGAAATTGTCATGATGATCAAATGCTCAAATATAAGGCACAGTGTTTTGCAAACTATTAAGTGTTATACAAATGTTTAGCTGTAATTAATAGACTTTGCTTCCCAATTTGGAGAGAAATGCTATAAAATGTGTACACCATCAACAATTTGGAGTTGGTTCTTGTATGAAGACAAGAACAGAAGAAATTATAGCTTCTTTATTACATGTTTTATAAACAGTTACAGGCATTATCTTAAATACTAAATAATTAGACTACAATTCCTGCTTCATTTTAAAGTCATATGTTTATAATCTCATAAAATTATTTTTAGGGTTGCCCAGTGCAAGTAGAACAGGACTACCCCCCTCATCATCTTATTTTTGATATTTTTCATAAATCACATTTAAAATTTGAAAGGAATGTCTACCATTTGCCCACTGCCAGACTCCTCTTATAAGGTATTCCACATGCCTGTTGCCAGGTGAGTAGACATGAAACTGGATTCTGGGAGAGCTGGAATCAAAGAGGGATGTATGCTAAAGTCAGAAAAGGACAACAGGGGAACACTCTCCCATGATACAGGATTTGATACCCTGGCAAGGACCCTAGGAAACAGTGCAAGCATGCTGATAGAATGAAATTTGTAGTATGAAGAAAGTGATGAGCCACAATAAGCGATGTAGAAAATGCTAGAATTGACATCCCAGAGGGTGAAATAAGGGATTAAAAGACTAGGCAAAGTGGGCATGCTAAAGTGGATATACCATGTATATGGAAAGATCACCAGATACCTAGTTTCCATGGAAGGCCTAGAACCATCACTGTTTGCAATCAGGAACATTTTGGTGAGAGGAGTACCAATATCAGAGTCTTAGCAGTAGCTCTCTTCTGTAGACCAGGGCTGATGATAGCAGACGCTATTTGTAGTAGGCTGAATAGTGCCTACCCCACCTCGACCAAAGATGTCTATGTCCTAATTCTCGGAACCTGTGAATGTGTAACCTTCATAGTTTAAGGGACTTTGCAGATTTAATTAAATTAAGGATTCTGAGATGAGGAGATTATCCTGGATTACATAGGTAGGCCCAAAGTAATTACAGGGGCTCCTTATAAGAGAAAGGTAGGAGGGTCAGAGTTAGAGAATGCAATGTGACAATGGAAGTAGGGGTTGGAATGATGCAGCAATGAACTAAGGAATGCAGGCAGCCTGCAGAAGCCAGAAAATGCAAGTAAATGGATTATTCTCTAGAGGATCCAAGGGAATGCAGTTCAGGTAACACTTTGATTTTAGCCTAGTGGACATATTTTGGATTTTGACATTCAAATCTGCAAGAGAAGAAATTTTGTGTTGCTTTAGGCTACTGTGTGTGGTAATTTGTTACAGTAGTAATGGGAAATCAATACACTTAAAGAACTGGGCCAACTGGTGGAAATGACACTCTAAGACAACCGAGATAAAATGGTAATGCTTAACAGTAAGGAGTCAGGTCGATGCAGTTACAATAAAGAAGAGCAAGGTTTGAGTGGTAGTCAGCAGATGTGAGACACAGAGGGTTACAAGAGATGATGACCAGAACATGGTGTCCTTAGGGGCAAGATAGACAGGCAGCCAACACAGATACTACTCAGTCTATACAATGAAAAGAAATCAAGAATAGATGTCCAGAAGGCTGAGGCCAGTTGCTTTAGTTAAAAATTCATGATTCCTCTTCTAAATTTTTGGTTTTCAAACCCCAAATTCATTGACTGAAGGAGAGGCCAGGTCTCTAACAAAAAGGGCTCTTAGAAAGTGTATGTGGTAACAGTTCATCTAATACTATCACAGTAGGACTCTCCTATATTTGGGTAACTATATTCTGAGGAAAGATAAATATACAAACATTTTAAGGACTGCTTAAACTCAGAATCTGAGTTGATATTGTTACTCAGAGAACCAAGAATCTCATCACAGCCCCTCTATTAGAATGAAGACATATGAGGGTCAAGTAATAGGATCCTGGCTCATATACTGCTCACAGGGTCCACTGGTTCCAAAGATATACTTCGGATTTATTTTCCTAGTCTTTGAAGGTATCGTTTAAATGGGCATACTTGATAGTTGACACAACTCCCACTTTGGTTCTTTGGCCTGGGAAGAAAGGGTAATCATAGCAAGGAAGTTTAAGTGGAAGTTTTTGAAACTGCATCCCCATGTGGCCAAGATAGTAAATCAAAAAACAATATTCCATGTCAAGAATGGTAGAAATTAATGCAATTTTTAAAAGTTGCAGAATTGGTGATACTATATTTTCATTTGATCCACTGGTCTGATCTCTACAAAACTGAGATAGTTCCTGGAGGAATGAAAATAGATACTATAAACTCCGTCAAGTAGTTGCCCTAATTGCAATTGCCATACCAAATAAGGTACCTTTTCTAGAGCCAATTAAAAAGAAATTAGGTACATGTATCTGGGAAATGTATTTAAGTAGAATGTAAGTGGCACTAACCACAGTTCTCTACACTGCACCTGATCTCAAGGATGTAAATGATCGTCCTTATCTCTCTCCTCTACTGTGAACTCCAGAAGACCCTCACCTTCAGCTGTTCAAGGTGATTTACTGATAGCATGACCCAGGCTCCCATCTGTGAGGGGTCTGAGCCCTTGGCTCACAAAGCCCTTCTTAGGGCACAGCTTTTATACTTGCCCATTTACATCGAGATTGGTCAACGATGTATCAAGAGCCACGTAGGTGGGAGCCAAACATGTTCCTCCTGCCATACTACTAGAATATGGTTAACTGACAACCTATAGCTGTTGACTTATTCAAGGTCCACCTCTACTTTTGAGCCACGACCATGCTCTTCTCAGGGCAGCCAATGACTGAGTAAAATGGCAGTACATGGGCCTAATCATTTCTGCCTAAAGTAAGATCCCTCTAATGGGTTCTTCTAATAAGCTCTCTGCTCCAGAATTCCCCCAGTTGAGCTGGAGAGACATTTATCAGTCCTACATTGTGATTTGCTTAATCCCTTGCCAAATGCTGTCTCCTCCTTTTGTGTTTCACAGGTGTTACCTCCCCTCCCCCAATACCTTGTTTTTACTCCTAACTCCATCTCTGTGTCTGCTTCCTAAAGAACCTGAGTGACCAGCACAAGGAGGTAGTGTAGGGTAGAGGCATGTGGATGCATCTATGGGAATGAGCATATGGTATGAAGATATTTTTATTACTTGTTGTAGTGGTTTTAAAAATTCATTGATAATCTTCTCTGGTTCCTGGTTCCCCTCGTCTTGAGTTTAGGCTGAACCTAGTGACTCCATTGTAATGAATAGAATAAAGGGAAAGTGGTGATGTGCAACTCTGGAGACTAGTTTATAAAAGGCACTGTAGTTTCCTGACTCTTCTCTCTTGTATAGCTTTCTCTGGGAGAAGCAAACTAGCATGTCATGAGGACACTCAGGTATCACTGGAACAGCCCATGTAGTGAGGAACAGAAGCCTTCTTCCAACAGCCTGAGTGAGCTTGGAGAGAGATCCTTCAGTCCCCAGACTGCAACCTCAGGCAACAAATTGACTACAACCTCTTGAAAGATTGTAAACTAGAAACAGCAATTTTTAGTTGCCAAGAGTTGGAGGAATTTGTTAAACAGCAATAGTTAACAAATATAGATCCCCAGAAATAATCCACAGTTGAAGAGGCACTGAAGAAACAGAGAAAATGACTTGCTCAGTTATCATCGGTCAGCCTCTGGCATCAGCCACTTCAGTGATAGTATAATGGTTCCAAAGATAGAGAAGCCATGTGGGCAAGGACAGAAGCTATTCATGGTTCCAATAACATAGGCTCCCATTCACCAAGCTTATCTAGCTACTGCTGCTCCTAGAAGTCCAATCTGACAAAAATAGAGCACAACACTGAAACATCCTTTGAGGAAAGCAGTCAATTAGGCCAGATAATTACATTAGATCCTTTCTTCTATAGTGCAGAAATGGGCACATGCTCTTAGAATTCAGTTATGTCAGTCACATCCTATCCCATACCACTGAGCAGCTGCTGGCCTGACAGAATGATGGAAGCATTTGTTGAAAGTACAACTAAGATAGCAGCTCAGAGATGATTCCTTACAAGAGTGGGGCATCATCTTTCAGGAGATAGTATGCATTTTAAATCTGTGAAGTATATGGCACTATGTCCCAAGTAGGCAAATATATGGGAACCAAAGGGTAAAAGTAGGAGTGGCCCTATTTGCCCTCCTGTCAGAGACTCGGTAGGGGAACTTATGTTTACTGTCCATGCCATTTTGATGCATAGAGGTCATCATGTTTTGAAGACCTCCTTTCAAAGGGGGAATGCTTCCACTTGGGTCCCATTAATTAAGCTACAACTGTCACCCGTGCACTTCAGGTTGCTCCTGCTAAGAGATAGCAGTCAGAGAGAGAACTCAACATTCTGAAAGAGGTTATTGAGCCAGATCATCAAGCAAAGGTAGGACCACAGAAGCTTGAAATATGTTAGTGCATTGTAGCTTGCTCATGTACTGCTTTTGGAATCCTGTGATTACCATGTGATAAAGTCTGTGTTAACCTGCTAGATGATGACAGACACATGGTACCATTGTCCATGTGCCTCAGTGGATAGGCTGCCAAATATCAGTCATATGAGTGAGACTATCCTAAATTAATCAGCCATCAGCGAAACCACCCACTGAGTGTAGCAGAGGCTTGAGCAATCCAACAAAAATCAGCTGAGGTGATTTAGACCACAGACTCGTAAGTTAAATAAATGGTGGTTGTGTTAAGTACCTAAGTTTTAGAGTGGTTTGTTAAGGAGCAAGAGTGAGCTGATATAAGAAACAGCTTGCCAAGAGAAGGGTTTTAGAAACCAGAATACTGTGGCTTTTTTCTTAAAACCTATATGATCCAAGGATCATTTTGAGAAAATGGGTATTCGTGCTTCTGAATTAAATATTTTATCATCTACCATGATCCCATCCTGGTGACTTGAATGCAACCACAGGCGAATCTTGAGGATTTCTTTATTTTACATTAGGTGTAACCTGAAGTAATGACCTAGTAGCCTGCTACATGTTATCCTTTCCTCTGGTTCTACTTGGACCCAGCTTGGAATTCTTAATCTGATGGTTGTGTTCTTATGGGCTCCAGTACAAACACATTTTAGACAGAAAATAGACTGTAGGATTATTAATCATACATATTGTGGGGTGAACTTGAGAAGTAGCCCTGTACCCACCATGCAGTTATGATCTGTATGGCTTTTATTTCCTTTTTTTTTTTTTTTTTTTGAGACACAAGAGTCTCGCTCTGTCACCCAGGCTGGAGTGCAGTGGCACAATCTCAGCTCACTGCAACCTCCACCTCCCAGGTTCAAGCGATTCTCCCGCCTCAGCCTCCCAAATATTTGGTACTACAGGCATGTGCCACCATGCTCAGCTAATTTTTTGTATTTTTAGTACAGATGCGGTTTCGCCATGTTGGCCGGGCTGGTCTCAAACTCCTGACCTCGTGATCCAACTGCCTCGGCCTCCCAAAGTGCTGGGATTATGGATGTGAGCCACTGCGCTCGGCCAGCTTTTATTTCCTTTTATTGACTTATTGCACTGGCTGAAACTTTCAGCACCATGTTGAATAAGAGAGGTGAGGAGTGCACATTCTTGACATTTCCCTAATCTTAGGATGAAAATATTCTGTCTTTCACCATTAAAAATAATGCTAGCTGTGGGGTTTGCTTGTGATGCTCTTTATCAAGTTAAAGAAGTTCCCCTCTATCCCTGTTTTTCTAAGAATTTCTGTCATATATGGGAGTTAACTTTTTTCAAAGGGTTTTTCTGCATTTAACAATATGATTTTTCTTCTATAAGCCTGTTGATGTGGTGGATTACATTGATTTGCTAATGTTGAACCAGGCTTGCATACCTGAAATAAATCTCATTTTGTTGTGGTATATAATTCTCTTTAAGCTTTTTTAAAATAATTTTTAAGAATTAAACTTGCTAGCATTTTATTGATATTTTTTGCATTTATGTTAGGGAGAAATATTGGCCCATAGTTTTTCTTTTTTATAATTTCTTTACCTGTTTTAGGCATTAGGGTAATGCTAACCTCGGAATGAGTCTGCAAATATTCTCTTTGCTTCTATTTCTGGCAGACATTGTAGAGAGTTTGGATCATTTCTGCCTCAAATGTTTGGTAGAAATTATCAGAAAAAAAAAAGACAGAACATGGTGCTTTTATTTCAGAAGATTATTAATTATATTGATTACTAATTATTGATTCAATTTCTTTATTACATATTACCTTTCTCAGACCATTCTGGCTGTCATAACAAAATACTTTAACCTGGGTAATGTATAAACAATAGAAATTTATTTCTTACAGTTCTTGAGGCTGAGAAGTCGAAGATCAAGGCACCAGCAAATCTGATATCTGGTGAGAGCCTCTTTCTCAAAGATGGCATCTTCTTGCAGCATCCTCACATGGTGAAAGGGGCAAGGCGGCTCCCTTCAACCTCTTTTTATAAGATCACTAATCCCATTCACAAGGGCCCCACCTCTTAATATTATTACTGTAGGTATTCGGTTTGAATATATGAATTTTGGGGGAGGGACACAAACATTCAGACAATAGACATATTCCAATTATTTATTATTTCTTTTACAAATTTTGTAGTTGGTGTCGCTAAAGGAATTGGTCCATTTCATTTAAGTTATCATATTTGTAGACACAGTTGTTCATAGTATTCCTTTTTATTGTCCATGGGATCAGTAGTGATGACTTGTCTTTCATTTCTGATATTCACAATTCGTCTTTTCTCTCTTTTTAAATACATGTCATTTTGGCAGAGGTTCATCAATTTTATTGATTATTTGAAAGGATCAGCTCTTCTTTCACTGATTTTCTCTTTTGTTTTCAATTTTATTGATTTCTGCTCTTTATTATTTTCTTCTTTCTGATAGCTTTGTATTTTCTTTTTGGTCTTCTTTTTCTAGGTTCTTGAGACAGTAGCTTCAATTATGGATTTGAGACTTATCTTCTCTAATGAATGCATTTAGTGCTATTAATTTTCCTCTCAGCAATACTTTCACTGTGTTCTACAAATGTTGATATGTTGTATTTTCACTTTTCACTGAGTTTAATGTGCTTTTAAAAATTTTTGAGACTTCCTTTTTCATCCAAGGATTATTTAGAAGCATGTTTTTGAAGTGTCCAAGGGTTAGGACATTTTTCTGTTATCTTTCTATTATTGATTTATAGTTTGATTTTATTGTTGTCAGAGAACAAACTCTGTATAGTTTTTTTAATAAGTTTACATTCCAGTTCCATAAGAATGTGGAAACATAGAAACAAATGAAGACAAATAAAATGATCCCCAATTTCCCAACAGATGTCAACTAATATTAATGTTAATCAATTGATATTTCTATAATATGCTTATTTATATAGGTATCATTATGCTTATCTCAATATTGTAGACAATATTGCTTTGATCTTATTATTCTGCTTTTTTCCCTTTACATTTCTCTCACCTTAAATATTTTTGAAAGTACGATCTTTTTTTCTTAAATGTAAAATCTCTTCACAATTAAGTACATGATTGTATATGTTTATCCTACATGTCAGTAAATCACCAACTAGACCAGTTGCAGTGGCTCATGCCTGTTACCCCAGCACTTTGGGAGGCCAAAGCAGGCAGCTCACTTGACGTCAGGAGTTTGAGACCAGCCTGACCAACATGGAGAAACCCCATCTCTACTAAAAATACAAAATTAGCCAGCATGGTGGAGCATGCCTATAATCCCAGCTACTTGGGAGGCTGAGGCAGGAGAATCATTTGAACCCAGGAGGCAGAGGTTGCAGTGAGCTGAGATCATACCACTGCACTACAGCCTGGGCAACAAGAGCGAAACTCTGTCTCAAAAAAAAAAATCACCAGCTATTATAAAAACAAGACAAATTATATCACAAAAGAACAAAAACATAGAAAGAAATCATAAGAAATATATCGACCTGTGAAAAGTGTCTTTCTTTTGGTGTCTTCACATCCTAGTCTTCTGCGTATTTATGTATGGAACAGTATTGCCTTGGATAGATGCATCTCTTACTTACTCTTCAGTTGTCCATTTGCATATTCTATCAGCTCCAGGGATATCAAGCTCTATATAATTTTAATTATTTTAAATTTATTAAGTTTTTTTATGGCTCAGGTTATAGTCTATCCGGGTATATCTTCCATGCAAGCTTGAGAATAATGTGTATTCTGCTGTTAGGTGGAGTGTTCTATAGAAGTCAATTAGATTATATTGCCTTATGTTGTTGAGTTTATTCTAGATTATTTCTGAATATTTTGTCTAATATTTGTATCAAATTTTGATATTAAAATATCAAAAATTAAAATTCCCAACTATAATTACACACTTGTCTATTTGTCTTTCAAGTTCTATCAATTTTTGCTTCATATATTTTGCAGTTCTGATCTTGGGGACATACCTATTTAGGAATGCAATATATTCTTGCTTTGTGTAATGTTTCTTTCAGTCTGGTAATTTTCTTTGCTGTAAAGTTGACTATACCTACCATTAATACTAGTCAATGTTTAAGTGATATATCTCTTAATATCATTTTACTTTCAATCTGTCTATATTGTCATAGTTTGTGTGGGTTTCTTATAGACAGCATATAGTTAGGTCATGTTTTAAAATCTACTTTGTAAATCTGTCTTTTAATTGACATATTTTACCCACTTACAAATAATATAATTATTGATACGTTTGGGAAAACATCTGTAGTTTTTTTTTTGTTTTCTGTTTGTTTTCTCTATTTTAATTTCCCTATTTTTTTCTGAATTCTAGTTTTGATATATCCATTTTAATATCTCTATAGTATTTTTGAGTGTATCCCTTTGTATAGCTTTTTGATGGTTGCTCTAGATAACTTATTGTATATTATTTATATAAAAATAAATAATTATAATTTATAATTATTATATATACATGTCTATCATAGTCTATTTGTGTCATAATTTTGCCAATTAGAATGAAGTGTATAAACCTTACCTTCCTTTATGCCCCCTTACTCTCCCCCATTTATGATATAATTATCTCAAATATCTCCTCTACATTCACATAGAACAATGTCAGTGTTATAATTTTTGCTTCAGTGATTAAACATAATTTAGGAAACTCAAGAGGAGAAGAAAAATCTGTTGTCTTCACTTGTATTTTTGCTTACCATGTCTTTCTTTATTTGATGTTCCAAAGGTCCTTTCTTTATAGTTTCCTTTGTGTTTAGAGAACTTTTTTTTAATTATACTTTAAGTTGTGGGATACATGTGCAGAACGTGCAGGTTTCCTACGTAAGTATACACGTGCCATGGTGGTTCGCTGCACCCATCAACCCGTCATCTACGTTAGGTATTTCTTCTAATGCTATCCCTTCCTATGCCCCCACCCTTTGACAGGCCCTGGTGTGCGATGTTCCCCTCCCTGTGTCCATGTGTTCTTATTCTTCAACTCCCATTTATGAGTGAGAACATGCAGTGTTTGGTTTTCTGTTCCTGTGTTAGTTTGCTGAGAATGATGGTTTCCAGCTTCATCCATGTCCCTGCAAAGGACATGAACTCATCCACTTTTATGGCTGCATGGTATTCCATGGTGTATATGTGCCACTTCTTTATCCAGTCTATCATTGATGCGCATTTGGTTTGGTTCCAAGTCTTTGCTGTTGTGAACAGTGCTGCAGTAAACATATGTGTGCATGTGTCTTTATAGTAGAATGATTTATAATCCTTTGAGTATATACGCAGTAATGGGATTGCTGGGTCAAATGGTATTTCTGGTTCTTGATCCTTGAGGAATCACCACATTGTCTTCCACAATGGTTGAACTAATTTATATTCCCACCAACTGTGTAAAAGTGTCCCTATTTCTCCACATCCTCTCCAGTGACTTTTCAATGATCACCATTGAAACTGGCATAAGATGGTATCTCATTGTGGTTTTGATTTGCATTTCTCTAATGACCATTGATGATGAACTTTTCTCATATGTTTGTTGGCCTCATAAATGTGTTCTTTTGAGAAGTGCCTGTTCATATCCTTCACCCACTTTTTGATGGGGTTGTTTGTTTTTTTCTTGTAAATTTGTTTAAGCTCCTTGTAGATTCTGGATATTAGCCCTTTGTCAGATGGATAGATTGCAAAACTTTTCTCCCATTCTGTAGGTTGCCTGTTCACTCTGATGATAGTTTCTTTTGCTGTGCAGAAGCTCTTTAGTTTAATTGGATCTTATTTGTCAATTTTGGCTTTTGTTGGCATTGCTTTTGATGTTTTAGTCATGAAGTCTTTGCCCATGCCTACGTCCTGAATGGTATTCTGTAGGTTTTACTCTAGGGTTTTTATGGTTTTAGGTCTTGCATTTCAGTCTTTAATCCATCTTGAGTTAATTTTTGTACAAGGTGTAAGGAAGAGGACCAGTTGCAGTTTTCTGCATATGCCTAGTGAGTTTTTCCAACACCATTTATTAAATAAGGAATTCTTTCCCCATTGCTTGTTTTTGTCAGGTTTGTCAAAGTTCGGATGGTTGTAGATGTGTGGCATTATTTCTGAGGCCTCTATCCTGTTCCATTGGTCTATATATCTGTTTTGGTACCAGTACCATGCTGTTTTGGTTACTGTAGGCTTGTAGTATAGTTTGAAGTCAGGTAGCATGATGCCTCCAGCTTTGTTCTTTTTGCTTAGGATTGTCTTGGCTATAGGGGCTCTTCTTTTAAAGTAGTTTTTTTTTTTTTTCTAATTCTCTGAACAAAGTCAACGGTAGCTTGATGGGAATAGCATTGAATCTATGCATTGCTTTGGACAGTATGGCCATTTTCACAGTATTGATTCTTCCCATCCATGAGCATGGAATGTTTTCCATTTTTTGTGTCCTTTCTTATTTCCTTGAGCAGTGGTTTGTAATTCTCCTGGAAGAGGTCCTTCACATCCCTTGCAAGTTGTATTCCTAGGTATTTTATTCTGTTTGTAGCAATTGTGAATGGGAATTCACTCATGATTTGGCTCTCTGTTTGTCTCATTGGTGTATAGGAATGCTTGTGATTTTTGTACCTTGATTTTGTATCCTGAGACTTTGCTGAAGTTGCTTATCAGCTTAAGGAGATTTTGGGCTGAGATGATGGGGTTTTCTAAATATACAATTATGTCATCTGCAGAGACAATTTGACTTCCTCTCTTCCTATTTGAATACCCTTTATTTCTTTATCTTGCCTGATTGCCCTGGCCAGAACTCTGTTGATTAGGAGTGTTGAAAGAGGACATTCTTGTCTTCTGTCAGTTTTCAAAGGGAATGCTTCCAGCTGTTGCCCATTCAGTATGATATTGGCTGTGGTTTTGTCATATATAGCTCTTATGATTTTGAGATACGTTTCATGAATACCTGGTTTATTGAAAGTTTTTAGCATGAAGGGGTGTTTAATTTTATCAAAGGCCTTTTCTGCATCTATTGAGATAATCATGTGGTTTTTGTCATTGGTTGTTTTTATGTGATGGATTACGTTTATTGATTTGCACATGTTGAACGAGTCTTGCATCCCAGGGATGAAGCCAACTTGATTGTGGTGGATAAGCTTTTTGATGTGCTGCTGGATTCCATTTGTCAGTATTTTATTGAGGATTTTTGCATTGATGTTCATCAGAGATATTGGCCTGAAATTTTCTTTTGTTGTGTCTCTGCCATGTTTTGTATCAGGATGATGCTGGCCTCATAAAATGAGTTAGGGAGGAGTCCCTCTTTTTATATTGTTTGGAATAGTTTCAGAAGAAATGGTACCAGCTCCTCTTTGTACCTCTGGTAGAATTCAGCTGTGATTCAGTCTGTTCCTGCGCTTTTTTTGGTTGGTAGGTTATTTATTACTGCCTCAATTTCAGAAATTGTTATTGGTCTATTCGGGGATTCAACTTCTTCCTTTTTTAGTCTTGGGAGGGTGTATGTGTCCAGGAATTTATCCATTTCTTCTAGATTTTCTAGTTTATTTGTGTAGAGGTGTTTATAGTATTCTCTGATGGTAGTTTGTATTTCTGTGGTATCAGTGGTGATATCCCCTTTATCATTTTTTATTGCATCTATCTGATTCTTCTCTCTTTTCTCCTTCATTAGTCTGGCTAGTGGTCTATCTATTTTGTTAATCTTTTTAAAAAAAACCAGCTCCTGGATTCATTGATTTTTTTGAAGGGTTTTTCATGTCTCTATCACCTTCAGTTCTGCTCTGATCTTAGTATTTATTGTCGTTTGCTGACTTTTGAATTTGTTTGCTCTTGCTTCTCTAGTTCTTTTAATTGTGATGTTAAAGACTGTCAATTTTAGATCTTTCCTGCTTTCTCCTATGGGCATTTAATGCTATAAATTTCCCTCTAAACACTACTTTAGCATTGTCCCAGAGATTCTGGTATGTTGTGTGTTTGTTCTCATTGGTTTCCAAGAACTTATTTATTTCTGCCTTAATTTCATTATTTACCCAGTAGTCATTCAGGAGGAGGTTTTCTGTTTCCATGTAGTTGTATGGTTTTCAGTGAGTTTCTTAATCCTGAGTTCTAATTTGATTGCATGGTGGTCTGAGAGGCTGTTATGATTTCCGTTCTTTTGCATTTGCTGAGGAGTGTTTTACTTCCAATTATCTCGTCAATTTTAGAATAAGTGTGATATGGTGGTGGGAAAAATGTATATTTTATTGATTTGGGGTGGAGAATTCTGTAGATGTCTATTAGGTTTGCTTGGTGTGGAACTGAGTTCAAGTCCTGAATATCCTTGTTAATTTTCTGTCTCGTTGATCTGTCTAATATTGACAGTGGGTTGTTAAAGTCTCCCACTATTATTGTGTGGGGGTCTAAGTCTCTTTGTAGGTATCTAAGAATTTGTTTTATGAATCTTGTTGCTCATGTATTGGGTGCATATATATTTAGGATAGTTAGCTCTTCTTGTTGCATTGATCTCTTCACTATTATGTAATGGCCTTCTTTGTCTTTTTTGATCTTTGTGGTTTAAAGTCTGTTTTATCAGAGACTAGGATTGCAGCCCTTGCCTTTTATTTTGCTTTCCATTTGCTTGGTAGATATTCCTCCATCCCTTTATTTTGAGCCTGTGTGTGTCTTTGCACATTAGATGTGTCTCCTGAATACAGCACAACGATGGGTCTTGACTCTTTATCCAATTTGCCAGTCTGTGTCTTTTAATTGGGACATTTAGCCCATTTACATTTAAGGTTAATATTGTTATGTTTGAATTTGATCCTGTCATTATGACGTTAGCTGGCTATTTTGCCCATTAGTTGATGCAGTTTCTTCAAAGTATGGATGGTCTTTACAATTTGGTATGTTTTTGCAGTGGCTGGTATGGGTTTTTTCTTTCCATAAGCAATTTTTATTTCATGTAGATCTGCTGGCAGCAAATTATCTTCATTTTTCCTTAGAATGTCTTGGTATCTGTTTCATCCTTAAAATATTTTTTTTTCTGAATATAAGATTTGGTGTTGACAATTTTCTTTCTGAACTTGAAAAGTGTTTTCTTATTTGCTTTTCACCTCCACAATTTCTGATGAGAAATTCTCTGTCATGAAAACAGATTTTTACTTACAGGTAGGGTGTAATTTCCCTTTCATTGATTTCAAGATTTTTTCTTTGTGTTTAATTTTCAAAACTTTGTCAATAATTTTCTTAGTGTATTTATTTGAGTATATTCTGTTTGGTATTTGTTCACCTTCTTGAATCTGTAGTTTTATGTCTTTTTCCAAATTGTGATGCTTCCAGCCATTATTTCTTCAAATAGTTTTTTTTTCTTTTTTGGTCTCATCTATTTCCCCTCTCTTTCAAAGACTCTAATCACACAAACAGTAGATTTTTTTGTTATAGTCCCACAGATTCCTTATGCTTAGTGTATTTTTTTCCTTCTATTTTCTTTATGTTGTTCAGATTGGACAATTTCTATTGTTCTATCTTTTATATCACTGCTTTTTTCCTCTGTTCCCTCCATTCTGCTGTCAAGCTTATCTGTTGAGGTTTGTTTGTCTGTTTGTTTAGGTTATCGTATTTTTAGTTCTAAATTTTTTTATTTGGTTCTTTTGTATACTTCTTTTCTGATACTTTCTATTTCTTTTTTTTTGTACTTTAAGTTTTAGGGTACATGTGCACAACGTGCAGGCTTGTTACGTATGTATACATGTGCCATGTTGGTGTGCTGCACCCATTAACTCGTCATTGAACATTAGGTATATCTCCTAATGCTATCCCTCCCCACTTCCCTCACCCCACAACAGGCCCCGGTGTGTGGAGACTTTCTATTTCTTTAAGAGGCTTTAAAAATTTTTTTCACTTCAAGAATGTTTGTAATTACTCATAGAAGCATTTCTATGATGGCTGCTTTAAAATCTTTGTTAGCTGGGCACAATGGTGTGCATCTGTAGTCCCAGATACTCAAGAGGCTGAGGTCGGAGGATCACTTAGGCCCAGGAGTTTGTGGTGGCAGTATACTATGCTTGTGCCTGTGAATAGCCACTGCATTCCAGCCTGGGAGGCAAAGGTAGACCCCATCTCTTAAAACAAAAAAGACAGATATTAAAAGCATCTTTGTTATATAATTCATTCTAACATCTTTATCACCTTGGTGTTGACATCTACTGATTGTCTTTTCTTTTTTTCCCATTCACCTTGAGATATTTCTGCTTTTTGCTGTTATGAATAATTTTTTATTGAAACATGAAATTTTGTATTTTGTGTTAAGGGTCGCCAGGTCTATTTAAGCTTTCTGTACTAGCTGATTTCCTTTGACGCTGCTCCAGCATGGGAAAGGGATGGATGTTCCTTGCTACTGGCAGGTCAGGGAGAAGAAGGGCAGGTTCCTTACATGATCTATGCTGACACCTAAGAGTGGGTGTCCTCTGTGGCCTCCGCTGATGTTTTTCTTGATGAGAGAAAAAGGAATGCCTTATTATTGCTCCCATGTGCCTTCCACTGCCACCACAGTTGGGGTATATGTCCTCACTGACGTTGGTTGGGGGCAAAAGTTCTAACTTTCCAGCAGGGCTCCTATGACACTACCATAGTGGGGAGGGGTACTTCATAACTGTTGGGCGTGCCAGGAAATTCAGGTTCCCCAGGTAGTCTACACTGGAAATATGGGAGGAGCCTTGTTACCACCTGATAGAGATGAAAGTCCCAGGTACCTACTCAATCTCTGTAACACCCCAGCAGGAAAGTTAGGGTAACTTGTTAGAGGCTGGTGAGGGTGGCACCCCACTCAGCCTATGCTGGCATAGGCAGAGGTGGGGACACAGTTCTTTCTGTGGTGTTTAGCTGGAGTAGAACAGTTACAGTATACAAGTTTTCTGTCTTACTAGGTTGCCCCTTTCCTGGTCTTTTTGCTAAGGAGAGGAGGCTTTATTTATTTATTTATTTCTATTTTTTGTCTTTACTCACTGGCATTTCTGGGTTGCTGGCTTCTTCAGCTCCAAGTCTGAGATATATGAATCCAAAAGAAAACCCAAGGAGCTTACCACCATGTCATTTCTTGTGCCCTGTGTCCCATAGATGGTCTGCTTTCTTCTCACTATCTTTTAGAGTCTCCTTATATTTATTGCATATAAAATGTCCAAGGTTTCTAGTTATCATTAGCAGAAAGAATGGGAAAAATATGTCTACTACAGTTTCCTGGAAGAAGTCGCAAGAATTATTTTAGATAATTAAGTGATTGAAAAAAAGATCAAAGGAAGAATACAATTTCATGACACATGAGAATTACATAAAATTCAAAATTCAGTGTACATAAGTAACGTTTTAATGCACATAGTTACATTCACATACATATTGTCTACAGCTCCTTTTGTGCTACAATGTCTGAGGTTGAATAGCTGTATCAGAGAGTCTATGGTTCACAAAGCCTAAAATATTTACTGTCTGAGCCTTTAAAGAAAGTTTGCTGATCCCTGGCTTACATCATGGAATTACTTACATTTTATTAACAGTGAGTAGAGTACTTCCTCTATCAAAACTTAGAGAAAAATGAATGTATAAATTCAGATAGACTGTACTCAGTTTTAGGGAAATATAATTATCTATAGCAATCATAAGTAAATCCTCATACTGTTAAAAAGGTATATATACAGTTTTCAGTTTACACCAAATGCTACTCAGTTAAGGTTGAATAAATTTTCCTTAAACATTGATGTCAAAATCACTCTTTTACCATTCTTGGTTAGTGCAAAATTTTTTACTCATAATTTTTTCTTCTAGCAAAGTCTGCTACAAATACTGTTATGTATTTTTTCTACTGTCAAAATGTTCCCCAGGAAACCTGAATGTTTCCACAAATATTTTTTATTATAAATGTTTTTGTATGTTTGTAACTTCTTTTGCATGTTGAAATTCTATAGCCAAGGTTGCAAGGTTGTCATTGTTGTAATGTTGACCATAAGAGTCATAAACAGCAAGTTGAACACTAAATTTGAAAGACATTGTGCAAGAAAAGAACACCAAACCAATAGTATTATTTCCCATTTATCTAACCTTTCAAGGGCACTTAGCAGCTAGAAAAAGATTATAAATACAGACAGATTTCATGATTAGAAGCTTCATTAGTAAGAAGGTACAGAATACTAATCACAAGACTTTCATTTGCACTGACAAGGTCTGACCTTGCTAGCATTCATCAGTGACAGTGGAATTGCTCCCTGGTGGTATCAACCACAGGAAAGACAGAGAAAACATGTTTTTCGTGGAGGAATTCATCAAAAGTAAGCAGAACTGTATCACACACCATTGCTTCCAGGAGTTCCCCCAGAGAATAGCTAGCATCTTATCTGAATCAGTTTGTTTAGTCTGTAAAATGTAAAATGTTCAAAGAAACTTTGCATGTTAAAGAAAGTTTAAGCTTTGAAACCTTGGAACAACAACTATCATTTCACATGACTCTTCACCTTAAATCATCTAATTGACCATGAATAGGTGCTTTGGTCAATATTAAATCTAGAAACATAGATATAGTATACTCTGATATTAACTAGGAATTATAAATGTTATAAACTCTTGTAAATGTTTCCATTTAAAAATATTGTGAAACTAAAATGATTAATACATTAAATAAATCAAAATTGTATATTTTAAGTCTGGAAGTGCATTTTCATATTCCAATTATAAGTGTGTATTAAGCGACTGTTTTCCTAAATGTCATTATTTTATATGAAAAATGCCTTCATTGTCTGAAAGCATTTTACTGAGTTCCGAGGTTTGTGATTGGACAAAACTGAGCACAATTTTCTCATCTGCAAATAATTTACTGCTAATTTGTTGTAAAGTTAGCTAATTAAATAATTATTGTATAAAACGAAATATAATTTAGTGGAAGCGCTAAGGCTCTGGAGTCCGACGGGTCTGATTTTGAATCCTTTTAATTGCTTACCAGTTACTGGACCTCAGTTTACTTATCTGTAAAATAGGAAAATACTACCCAACATCCATGCAGGATTGAAATAAGTGTTAGGCAAATGGTGATTATTATAACCAAACTCCAAATTGTGTAATAAATACTTCAAATACATTTACAGAAAAACAACTAAAGAAGATCAGCGAGTTAAGTGAAAATCTAATTGAGTTGAGAGTTGTCTAGGGCTTAAAGATTCTCTGTTTATTATAACAAAAACATTATTATTTTACATTTTAATGTTTCTGAAGTTGATGTTAAAATAAATGGACAATGAATCAGGTCATGATTAAATTGTGTACAGTTAGCATTGTCTACATACTGGCCAGCTTATGAGATCCCACAAGAATGTGAATTTTGACTTTAATTTGGGTCCTTATTATTGATTAAAATGTCTTTGCAAAGATTAAACTCTGATACAGAATTAAAAAGCTTTTATTAAAACAAAATGTGATGAAAGGCCACAGAAGGAACAGATGTCTTAAAGTAGATCATGAAACTTTTATTTCTTTAACTTCAAAATAAATACTACGGTTAGATTTCTCAAAATTAAAAAGATAAATACAAAAATGTATATTATAAAACATATCTAACTCACCCCCTGTCTCTCAGCCACCCAAGTGTTCTTGCCACAGAGAAATAGCTATTGGTCTTTCTTTTCATTTCTTGTAATGATATTTTATGCATATGTAAATAGATAAATTTAATCATATACCTTTTTGTAATTCAAGTGTTGCATACACACCATACATATCATTTTTCACATTGCTTTTTTACAATATCCTTTGGAGATTTTTATAGTCAAGCTAATAAAGAATTTATCTTTTTTGCTTTAACAGCTGTTTAGTGCTCCATTAAATATACAGACCATACATTTTAACCAGTCCCCTTTTGATGGACATACATTTTTTTTTCCTAAACTTGTATAACTACAGTGAAGTCATGAATAATCTTGTACAAAGAACATGGAATTTTCAAATTAGGAAAAGTTGATATAAACCCGTTCATTTTGAAAGATATGCATGCAGGCTCTTGGACATTTCTGAGTGAAGGAGAACAGGAAATATGGTTAGAGACTAGAAGTGTATAAACTATAGGATGCTTTGAATGCTGTGGAATGATAATTCATAATATGACAGGAAATAGTACTGAACTATTAAAAGTAACGAGAGGTCATGAAAAGTAGTATTTAAGGAAGATGAATGTTCAGAGTTTTTATTTCCTGGCACCCTGGAATTGTTTGGAGCTTTGAGAAAGAGCTTTATGAGATTTTCTTGTTAAAATAAAACTATTGGTGTGATAGAGATACAAGCAGGCAAGATGACTAAATCAGACAAAAATTGTAGGCAGAGGCAGAAAATTAGGACCTAAATTCTGAAAGATTAACTCAGATGAGAGAAGCAAGATAATACTCTGACATTTTAAGTAGCAGGCAAAGTCCAGAGTGCAAAAATTCAAGAGTGGATTTAGAAAAGTACTTCGTGAATTTTGAAACTAAGGAATAGGCTATGTGGTCTTTCCCCTATGTACACACTATTCTGAGTTTGAGTGACCCTGGGAAGGTTTATGGCTAAGATATCAAGTTGTGGTCAATATCTACAAGCACCATGCACTCCTGCTTCTCTTTTGCCATATAGATTTTCTCAGTTTTTCGTTTGCTTTTCAGTAAGAGCAAATATATTAATATTTTTTCTTTATAGTGTTTTAATGTTTTATTATTAGTTGAGAAAGTTTTTCCCACTCCAAATCATGTAGTCACACCTGTATTCTATTCTACAGTTTATTGCTCTATATTTTTCATTTAAATTATTAATCTATTGGAAATTTATATTGATGTGTAGTGTGAGGCAGGGGAAAATCTTTTCAAAACCCTTTACTATTATCCTGTGGCATTATTTTCTTAATGTTTTTCCTTTAATTCAATCAATTCGTTTCATCTCTTCATCTTTAATTTCAAAGATAGTGCAAAACTCCTTTTAGGTGGCAAATCTTTTCATAAGACCTGTTTTCCCTTCTTTACTCATTTTTAAATATAGATGACTAGTATTTTCCAACAAACTTTACGATTAGATTCTTTTAGGACTCCCTTCCTGTCTGCTTTCATTCTATTAATGTCGTCTTTCTGAGATTTACATTACATTACATTACATTATATTACATTACATTGGAGGGTTGGTTGATATACGTTATACCAGCTCAGTGATTCAGCAGCATTAGGGGCGTAGAGAGGGGGCTTGTGTAGTTACAGCAAAGGAATATTTTCTCTGTTCAAGCTGGTGTTTGTTGGTATTATAGTACCTGCCATTAGCTTTCCTGTCTAATTTACTTTTGTATCTAACCTTCATTATGGACACGTGTGGCTCTGTCTGACATCCTTCCTAGGACAGTAGCTTACTGCCTCAGGGAGGAGCTGCACCTCAGTCAGAAGAAGCCCTGTTTCCTTGCCGTGTGGTTTTTGTATGGTATGGTTTTTCTTTCCCTTGTGTCTCCTGGAAGAGCTGCTTCTGAAAGTCATTAATCTGCAAAAAGGTTTTAAAAATGAAATAATTTCCATTTGTCTTCCATTCTGCCCACTTGGTAGTCCTTACTTTATATTGAAGTTTTAAGTGATTTCCATAAAATGTAGTTATAGCCATTTTTTATTGAACAACAGAAACACAGACATCATGATACTTTCCATACTTTATCTTATTTGGAGAGATAATAAAACACAGTGGCTAAGAGCATGAACTCTGAATACAGAGTATCTGATTTCCAATCACAGGTCTTCCCCCACAAGCTGTGAAAATTGTTCAATTTGCTTAACTTCTCTGTATTTTGGTTTCCTTACCTGTAAAATGGTGTTATAATTCAAATAAATTAATATATAAAATACTTAAAGCAATGCTGAGCACATAATAAGCACAATAGAAGTGTTTTGGTTGTTGTTGTTGTCTTTGTTTTAATGGTGGTAGTGGTGGTGGTAGTTATTTGATTTTCACAGTAGACCTGTAAGGTACTATTTAAGAAACGGGCTTGAGAAACAGGTTCAGAGATTTTAAGCTTGTATATCATGTAATTGCGTGGAATACAGTTGGTAATTATTAAATATTTATTTAATGAATGAAGTTACAATGATAGCATTAAAGCTCAGGACTGGCTGACATCAAAGCTTGAGCTTTTAATCCCTATTCCTCAAAATATCTCTTCTACTTTTGTCATGGCAAATGAAACCACTTTCTCCAGAATGGGAATTGCATATTGATCCTCCCTGGCTTCCTTTAATCTTTTATTTATGACACTGTATCTGTCAGAAATTCCTTAAATTTTTTTCTATAGAGCTTGTTTCCTTCTCAAGTTTTCAGTGCAATATGGGCTTTCCAAATTTTTTTATGTGTTTGTGCACACATGCATGTGCATGTGGAGGGTGTATGTGTGTGTTTTAAATAATTTCACTTGGTAATGTGGTGTTAAGTAGAAGAAGGAGAGATTATCTGCTTATTGTCAGTTTGTCCAATATTCTCTTGTAGTTATATTTTTCCTTATTTGGGATCTTTGTTAGTTACCAGAAATTGAACTAGGTTAATATCTGTAGCCATTAATATTTTTAGGTTATGATTTTTACTTATGGCAGTAGGACCTTTCTGACTATAACTCATATTAGACCTAGCTATCCACAGTTTTGTTCATACCTTAAATTAGGGGTCAGCAATCTTTTTTGGTAAAGTTCTAGGTAGTAAATATTTTAGGCTTTGTGGGCCCTATGGTCTCTACTCAATTGTAGTATGAATGCAATCATAGATAATATGTATACAAATGAACATAGCTGTGCTCCAATAAAACTTTATGGACACAGAAACTTGAATTTTATATAATTTTTGCATGTCATAGAATATTATTTGATTTTTTTAACCATTTAAAAACATAAAAACCTATTCCATTCTTAGCTTTCAGGTCTCGAAATAGGTGGCTATTTAGAGTTCGTCTTGCAAACCACAGTGCATTCTCTATTCCCCCTTCATGCCCTATATGGCTATAATCCCTATTATTCTAGTGATTCCATTTTATCCCTCATACTAAGCTAGAATTATCATTCTTAAACTTAAATCACTAACCTGATTATATCATTCCTATATCAGTCAGGGCTCTACAGAAAAAAGCCAATAGATTTTATATATATATATATATATATATATATATATATATATATATATATGTGTGTGTGTGTGTGTGTGTGTGTGTGTGTGATATATATATGTGTGTTTATATTACACACACACACACACATATATATAAAATAAAACTTATTATGGGAATTGGCTCATGTGATTATGAAGAATGAGAAGTCCTATGAACTGCATACTACAAGCTGGAGAAACAGGAAAGCCAGTGCAGTAATTCAGCTCAAGTCCGAAGGCCAGAGAACCAGGAGCTCCGATGTCTGAGGGCAGGAGAATATGGATGTCCCAGCCCAAACAGACAGAACAAATTCGCCCTTACATCTGTCTTGTTCTGTTTGGGTTCTCAATGGATTGGATGATGCTCATTCACATTGGTGAAGGCAGATCTTCTTTACTCAGATTATCAATTCAAATGCTAATCCCTCTGGAAACACCTTCACAGACACATCCAGAAAGTATGCTTTACCAGCTATCTGGACATCTGTTAGTCTAGTACAATTGACACATGAAATTAACCATCATAACTCCCCTCTTTACAATCGTTTGTTGACTCTCTAAACTTTATGGCATGACATTTCCATTCACAAAATCTGCATAGTCTACTCTTTCAGACATACCATTCGTTACTTCTCTCTCAGCATTCCTTAGTCAAGGCAATCCCAATTATTTGCTGATTCCGCAGATAAGTACATTCTTTTTTCCCCTGGGCCTTGAATTTCTTTATCACACTTTGCTACTTGGCATACTTATTCTTACTTATTCTTTAAAAGTCTATTTAAAATGGCACGTATTTTATGAAGTTGTCTCTGAACTTTTAGGAAGAATTAATCACTTTTTCATTCATGGTTTCATAGCACTTTGAACATTTTTTAACACAGTGTATCATTATGTTATAATCCACTTTGTTCATGGTTGTTTATACCAATTTTAATATAAACTCTTGATGTAAGAGATTGAATTAATTCACATTTGTTTTCCCCAAACCTGGTATGTATTTTGTGCTTCACAAATGATTTTTAATGCTACAACAAAGAAATTACACATGAATGTTTACATCAGCCATACTTTACCAAAAATCTGCTTTTTAGGGAAGATTTAAAAAATACAGATTATTTTTGGAAAGTACATAATATAATATATGGGTTTACCTTTTTGCAAAGCAAAGAATCATTTGATAAAGAAAAATTTCTCTAAAATTTCTTTGTTTTGAATTTTTTTCTTAATGGGTTTGAATTTTTAAGCTTATAGTTTCATTTGCCAAAAACTATCAAGGTTTTAAGGAAATAACAGCTTTTGTGCTGATAGCTTCGATTACCACCTATAAGTAAGCCAACTGAGAAAAAAAAATCTAGATCTGATATTTTGAGAGGTTTGTGTTTGTTTGTTTGTTTTTGTAATAAACACATCAGCAAATAAATATTCCCAGAGCAAATGTCCTAGGGATGCTAATGGTGAAAATGCTTCAGGCAGCTATTGATCCAAACTCTGGGCCTTCATTCTCTGCCTCCTCATCCTCCTAATTCATACATCTCTTCTCCTTCTTTACGGAGAGGCTAGATACATTTATTTATAGATATAAGTGTAGTTCATGGGAAGAAAGCCACCGCACTTGTATTTGATAGAAAGCTTCCTGGAGATTCTTCAGACTTGTGTGCCTTGTGATTATTTGCCTGGGAAAGCAACCCAAGTTCGCCAAAGTAAAGAGTCAGCACATGAATCCCTTTGTACTTTTTTGGCCATTCCTTGTCCTGAGTGATACACAGAATCTATGCAATCATTATTTATAGCAAGATACAAGAAAAAATACTATAGGGAGCTAAAGGTTTCAGTCCACAAAGTGTTTTTGAAATTAATGTTGATGTCACTGATGACAACCACTCAGAATTGTTCATATTCTTTTCTTAGTAGTGTCACCGTGATTTATGACATGAACAGAATATGTTTTTTTCATATCGTCTCTCTTACCTGAATGTCAGGCTCTGTTGCTATTTCTACTTCTCTGTAGTGGTGATAATTGAATGAGGAGAAGCAAAAAAGCTTCAGCTGTCTTAATTTCTGATTAGGAACATAAATTAACTAGAACTAGGGCTGCTTCCAGAACTCCAAATCAGTTTTTTAAAGAACACCTTTATCTGTCTTTAAATGAAATATAATAATTTCTGAAGGCAATTATAGGCTTTGAATAAAGTAAGTTTATATATGCCAGTAAGCTAATCAAATAATTGCTTTATCTTATGTGACTTCTAGAATTTATAATATTTGTGTTTCTCCTATAATTCTAGAAGTATACATCAATTCAATGTTTGCAAACCTCAGTAACACATATATGCACATTTTTAATGAAGTCAGTGATTTTGTGATGGATCTTATCTTCAACAGGGTCTAATTTTTTTCATGTGCCACCATGTACAGTGACTTCACTCACTGGATTTTGTTGTTGTTAAATTTAAAAGCATGGTAAGGACACTCAAGCCTGTCATGGATTCTTAATTAAACTTTTTGGCTGAGGTCTCTCATGGTCATTTCCTCCTTTTGGTTGCCTGCATCCGTTTCTCTTTCATTTGATAGCAGTGTGCTAAATTCCTTTTGGGGAGTTATACTTTTCCATTGAGTGTAGTTTTAAAACACTGTACTGCAAATCAAGGTGCACTGCCCTACCCTAGTTAGGCTACTCTGACTCTCTCTTCCCACACTTTGATGGAAAAATAGGAAAAAATTAAAATTCACTCATTTGAATGGTATTTTCCTTATGAAATTATGTGTGATGCTTATTGTCTTGACTCCACACCACCATAGTTCCATTCTATTCATATCTATTCTCTTGAATTCTCATCTGTTCTATGCTGCACTGGGTATCCTGCCAATAAATTCTTTATTTTCTTAAGGTAATTTGTTACTTGCAGTCCAAGAACTCTAAATTATTTGATGTGAATCTAGCCATGGAAAATATTTATCAAGTCAGCACCTTTCAACTGTTCACATCCTAGTTGGAAATGAGCATTAGTAATTATAAGAAGGAGCCCACAGTTGAATGCATCTTGATTACTGGCACATAATGCCTGTTTTGGAGAAAAAAGGACGCTTCTGCCTGTCAATCAATTGCTCAAATGTGCAAAGAAAAGTGACAGACCTATACTTAACACATACTCCATTTTCAAAACAAAACCATTACCAACACCTGAAGTGTTGGATCTAGGGGTAATAAAGCAAATTTAATGAGTGATTCAGTCTAATACTTCATGAGTATCTAGCACTGATGTGGATTAAGTACTAAAAACATAGATTATGAAACAAACTCCCTTTCTTAACTTTCTATAGGATAGGAGGAGAGTAGAAAGGTGTCACAACTTTTCCTATCTACTGGGCCATTCCCAACAGCATTCAAATTCAAATGTTCTATAATAATATAGAACATTTTATATATATATATATATATATATATATATATACACTACAATATGAATTATATATGTATGTATATACACATATCCCTTGCATTTTCAATCTGCACTTATTTCTCCTTTCATTTTCTCTTGAACACATTGAAATTTCTCTTGTCAAGGTCATCAATGACCTCCATGTCACCAAACTAACAACCAGCCCTCAGTCATCATCTTCTTTGACTTAGTAGTAGATGACTCGTTAATCACTCTGTTCTTAGAGAAATACTTATTTTGCCTTCTAGGAAACCATCTTTTCTGGATTCTCCTTCTACTCACTGGCTGCTTTTTCTTGGTCTTGTTCTTTTAGATTTACTGAGGTAGGTGAGCCACAGGGAGTAGTCCTTGTTGCTTCCTTTATTATTATTATTTTTTATAAATAACTCCTCTTACCCACTAAGTGTTATTATCTCTCCAAATGGCTTAATGTGCCTCATTATGTCAATTTATATATGTAACTCAGAGTTCTCTCATGAGTTCCAGATTCAAATATACAACTCTTTATTTGATATATGTACTTATATGTTTAAGACACTTCTTAAAATTTAATATGTGTAAATCTGTATTCCTTCTTTTTTTAAATGCCCACTGAGCAGAAGGGCTCCAAGTGGAGTAAAGCTACGTGGCATGAAATTCTAAATCTTTTGAGGAAATGTTTTACATAATTTTTTACTTTCTCTGAACAGCAGAAAATTGATTTTTCTCCTTTATTCTACTTCTCTCTAGCTCACAGAATATAGTATAAGCATGGCACATGTATACATATGTAACTAACCTGCACAATGTGCACATGTACCCTAAAACTTAAAGTATAATAAAAAAAAAGAAAATTTCAGAAAAAAAAACAAAAAAAACTTGGAGGGTGTCTTAGAAGTCTTTAGGGAAAAAGATATATTTAGTCCTATATTAGAATTCTACAAAGAAACAGAACCTATAGGATTTGCGTGTGTGTGTGTGTGTGTGTGTGTGTGTGTGTGTGTGTAATTTATTAGGGAAATTGGCTCACGTTCACTCCCATGATATGCCATCTGCAAACTGGAGAACCAGAAAAGCCAAAGTGGTGTAATTCAGTCTGAGTCCAAAGATCTGAGAACCAGGGGAGCTAATGATGTAACTCTCGGTCCAAGTCCATAGGCCTGAAAACTGGGGGGTGCCGCCGGAGTAAGTCCCAGAGTCCAAAGGCCTAAGAACTAATGTCTGAGGGAAGGAGAAGAGAAATGTCCCAGATCAAGAAGAGAGAGGAAAATTGCCCTTCTTCCACCTTTTTGTTCTGTTTGGGTTCCCAAAGGATTGGATGATGCCCGCCCGCTTTGGAGAGGGCAGATCTTCTTTACTCAGCCTACTGATTCAAATGGTAATCTCTTTTGGAAACACCCCCATTACACACCCAGAAATAATGTTTTACAAGCTATCTGGGCATCTCTTAGCCAGGTCAAGTTGACACATACAATTAACCATCACAAGTCTCTCACTCAATTGGTCCTCATCTACTTGAATAGCTACTTGTGGAGGTGAACTTTATTAAATAGCTATTTGTTATATAGTTTTCTTAGGCTACACAAAAGTCTATTTTCTTGCAATCTCCACCTTGGTTCCAATTTAGCCTAGATCAAGCCTAATCAGTTCTTTCTTTTATATTTACAGACTTCAGTATCCCACTGTCTGAATTCAACCCCAGTCTCATTTCATCTGTTTCTCTACCACATAAATACCGCTAATCCAATGAAACCTCATTTTTTCCATGTCTGTTCATAACTGTCCTCATTAGTTGCCTTAGTTCCCATTGTCTCTAAGCATTGCTTATAAGCCCTCCACCTATTACTTATCCTTCCACTCTGAAAGCTCTCACTCTTGAAGTAGTCCTGTAGCCTCCCAGCTCTGCTGCTGTACTAGCACTCATTTTTGCTGCTGGAAGGGTCATGCCACTGTGCTTTTTAGCATCATTACAAATGAATTTAGCTGGATCAATTCAGCTGGACCCTTTGCTCTGTTATCAAAGCTGGTAGGTGACTCTTGCTGCCTTTCCATTTCTCTGATTCTTCTTCTCTCTATTTAAATACTTGATATTATCTTTTATTCTAAATAGTTAGAAAGAATAAATAAGAACTAGTATTTGATAACACAATAGGGTGACTATAGTTGCTAACAATTTAATTGTACATTTTAAAATAACTAAAATAGTATAATTGGATTTTTTGTAACACAAATGGATCCCATTTTTCTCACCTACTCCTCAGGAAGCTTGCTCCATCAAATATTTTTATCTTTTTCATACCTTCAGTTTTTCTGGTTCCTTCCTTTTTTTTGCGTGTATTTCATGTTAAAAAAATACTTGGCCATAAATCCCTCTTAAACGTTGCCTCCCCATCCCATGTTTTCTGCACAACCCATCTTTTGGAAAGTGTACTTTGCACTTACTGTCTCTACTTGCTAATGTTCAATTCACTCATAAAAATAACTGACATTTGGATTTTGTCCCAATGTTCCATTGATATTTCTGTCACCAAGGTCACTAAAAATCCCCTTCCTGACAAATCAAATTGGTCCTTATCAGACTTCACTTTCCTGCAGCATTACCACTGTTCATCACTCTCTTTCCTGACCCTCTTTCGTCTCTTCCATGACACCACAATGTCCTGGTTATTTCTCTTAAATCTCTGGCTTCTTATCCTCCAATTATTAAGTATTAGTGTGGCTGCTGACCCTCTCCTTTTCTTACTCTACATTCTCTTCTCTTCCAGAGTGACTTATTGGCTGTGCTAACTGAGATAAATCACTGGATCTTTGTATTTTTATCATCTATAAAATGGAAAAAATAGAACCTGCTTCATAGTGTTATGGTAGATATTAAATAAATAATGCATAGAAACGTTTTAGAGAGCATCTGGTTTATAAGAATGACTCAATATGTGTTAAATATTGTAAGGTTATTCAGATACTGAAAAATGCAATATTGAAAAGGTATCAATTATCCCGTCATTAACTTTTACAATAAATGTAATCCCCATTATACTTCAAATAGTAGTTTTTCAAGAAACAACAGATGCTGGCGAGGTTGTGGAGAAATAGGAATGCTTTTACACTGTTGGTGGGAATGCAAGTTAGTTCAACCATTGTGGAAGACAGTGTGATGATTCCTCAAGGATCTAGAACCAGAAATACCATTTGACCCAGCAATCCCATTACTGGGTATATACCCAATGGAATATAAATCATTCTGTTTTAAAGATACATGCATACGTATGTTTATTGCAGTGCTATTCACAATAGCAAAGGCATGGAATCAATCCAAATGCCCATCAATGATAGACTGGATAAAGAAAATGTGGCACATATACACCATGGGATACTATGCAGGCATAAAAAGGAATGAGATCATGTCCTTTGCAGGGACATGGATAAAGCTTTAAGCAATCATCCTCAGCAAACTAACACAGGAACAGAAAACCAAACACTGCATGTTCTCACTCACAAGTGGGAGTTGAACAATGAGAACACATGGACACATGGAGGGAAACAACATACACCAGTCCTGTCAGTGGGGTGGGGGCAAGGGGAGGGAGAACATCAGGACAAATAGCTAATACATGTGGGGCTTGAAACCTAGGTGATGGGTTGATTGGTGCAGCAAACCACCATGACATACGTGTACCTGTGTAACAAACCTGCACTTTGTGCACTTGTATACCTGAACTTAAAGTTAAAAAAAGAAAGAAGTATTGAAAAGATATAAATTATCCCCTCATTAACTTATATAATAAATGCAATCCCCATTATACTTGGAATAGTTGTTGTTGAAAGGAAATAGACCAACTGCTTAGAAAACTATCTGGAAGATAAACTGTACAAGGGAAGGCAAAAACTTAAAACAAAGTTTCAGGCCGGGCATGGTGGCTCATGCCTGCAATCCCAGCACTTTGGGAGGCCAAGGTGGGAGGATCGCCTGAGCCCAGAAGTTAAAGACCAGCCTAGGCACATAGTGAGGCCCCATGTCTAAAAAAAAAAAAAAAAAATTAACCAGGCACACGATGGAGCCTGGCTGTAATCCCAGGTACTCCAGAAGCTGAGGTTGGGAGGATCACTTGAGTTCAGGCTGCTGTGGCCACAAACTGAGATTGCGCTACTGCCTGCACTCCAGGCTGGGTGACAGAGTGAGACCCTAAAAAAAGAAAGAGAGAGAGAGGAAGAGGAAGAGGAAGAAGAGGAAGAGGAAGAAGAGGAAGGAGAAAAACAACTAAGTTTATTGGCAAAAGAATCACAAAGGTTTAATTAAACAAAATTTTTTTTTATATACGGGTTTCATACATGATTTTGTAGTTTGGACATTGGCTATCCATCTGGAAATAAAGTTAAATCTATAATTTAGAAATAAAATTAAAACTGTAAGTTAGATCATTCATAAAAATGTATTCCATGTGGGTTAAAGTCACAAAATTTTAAGAAATTTTAATATATGTATTTTAATTTTTTAAAATAAAATTTGGAATAAAACCCAATGGGAACCCCTGTGTTAGTAAGCCTGATAAGAAAAAAAAGCATTCTTCAATAACACAAAAATCAAAAGTCATAAAAACTTTTCAAAATCAAATAGATAAAGAAAAACTATAAACTTTAAGAGAAAATGAACCTATTGAGAAGGAACATTTTCAACATTTATAGCAGACTAAGAATTAAGATCAAATCTTTATAAGGAAATGCTACAACTAACTAATTTTTTTTTTTTTTTGAGACGGAATCTCGCTCTGTCACCCAGGCTAGAGTGCGGTAGGGAGATCCTGGCTCACTGCAACCTCCGCCTCCCAGGTTCAAGAGATGCTTCTGCCTCAGCCTCCCAAGTAGCTGGGACGACAGGTGTGCATGACCACGCCCAACTAATTTTTGTATTTTTAGTAGAGATAGGGTTTCACCATATTGGCCAGGCTGGTCTCGAACTCCTGACCTCGTGATCCACCCGCCTTGGCCTCCCAAAGTGCTGGGATTACAGGCGTGAGCCACCGCGCCCGGCCTCTAAATAAAAATTTTTAAAGAGTTAATTGAAAAGTGAATATGATATGAGTTGGCAAATCATTGAGGAGTAAATGCAAATGCTAAAAGAGGCTCAATTTTTCTAAATATGAAAAATACACAAATTTAAAATTTCAAGTTTTTTGTAATTAATTTTTAAAAATCTATACAAACACAGAATAAATGATATGATATACCTTTACATACCCAATAGCCAGCTTCAAAATTTATCCTCAAAATTTCTGTATTTGCCTAAGGTAAATTTTAGCATTTACCCTAGAGAAACTCTTGTGCATTTGAACAAACGGGTGTGTAAAATGATTTTTATTAATCATTGTTTGCATAAAGTAAATTGGAAACATTGATTCCCAGAAAAATGAAATCATTAAACTATAGTACATGCATACTATGAAATGCCGCGTGGCATTAAAAAGTATGTGAGTTAAATGCCAAAATCTTCAAGACACGCTGTTGAGTGAGAAAAGCAAGTTGCAGAATAATACATAGAGTATCATACTGTTATTTAAAAAAAGAAGCAAAATAATATTTATGTCTCTATTCATCTATCCATCATCTATCAATCATTTATGTATTTATCAAACTGTAGCATAGAGTGGTATAAAACGATATTCATTAACAAATAACAATGATTACTTCTGGAGAGGAGTGTGGGATTGTTGTTCATCAAAGATTCTTTATATTTATCCTAATATTTGGGATTTTTCACAATAATACATTTATAATTATGTAATTAACAATAAATACCATTATAACAATAATTAAGAGCATTGGAATAAGCAAGTTGGGTGTGAATCTGAACAGCAGCACTTATTATACAGGTAACTTGGGTCTCTCAATCTCTTTTTTGCCATTGTCAAATAGGGTTAATTTAATCTACTTTGTGGAGATGCTGTATTAACTGAGATAATGTGCATAAAATAATCTATAATATAGAGTTGGTATTGAGCTGAAGATAAATCTTTGTACTCTTATTAAATCAATTTTGAATATCAGGGAACTGGGAGAAAAAGTACTTTTTTCCTCAGAAGACTGCATCTGCTCACCAGAGTTTAATTCAACAAGGGTGATGACCCTGTCTTAAACTTGCAAATTACTGATGATGACTCTAGTATCTGATGTATTGCAGGTGTACATATAATATACCTTTTGTATAGTACGTGTAAAACAAACAAATGCTTGTACATTAATATGACATCAATAGTGTCCACCAGTAAGAACAGCTGTCCTACTTTCTGAAATTGTATCTCCAGAACCTACTATGTTCTGGATCTTCACTTGGTTTTGAATAGACAGCTCAAATTGAATATATTTTAAAACTGTACCTTCTATTTTTGTCTATAAATCTTCCTTTTCTTCTATTTTCTTTGTTTTATGGCACCTAATTTATTCTTGAAAAGTCTTTCATCATTTTGATTATTGTTCTACTGTAAACATTTTAGACTTTAACGACAAATGCTGCTGACTTTGTAAGATTTTATTTTGCTTCTTTTACTGCACTGTATGTATTTATTTTTCTTTTTTAAAAAATTTAACTTTTAGATACCGGGGGTAGATGTGCAGATATGTTACATGGGTATATTGTGTGACACTGAGGTTTGAGGTATGAATGATCTCATTGCCCAGGTAGTGAGCATAGCACCCAATAGGTAGTTTTCAGCCCTTCACCCCCTTCTTCTTAACAATAGTCCTCAGTGTCTATTGTTCCCATCTTTATGTCTATGTGTACCCAATATTTAGCTCCCACTTATAAGTAAGAACATGCAGTATTTGATTTTTCTCTTCCTGCATCATTTTGCTTAGGATAATGGCCTGCAGCTGCATCTATGTTCTTGCAAAGGACGCGATTTTGTTGTGTTTATGGCTACAAAGTATTCCATCTTGTATAAGTATCACATTTACTTTATCCAATCCATCGTTGATGGGACCCTAGGTTGATTCCACGTCTTTGCTATTATGAATAGCGCTGTAATGAACATATGATTGCATGTGTATTTCTTGTAGAATGATTTATTTTCCTTTGGGTATATACCCAGAAATGGGATTGCTAGATCAAATGGTATTTCTGTTTTAAGTTCTTTGAGAAATCTTCAAACTGCTTTTCACAGTGGCTGAACTAATTTACATTCCCATCAACAGTGTGTAAGTGTTCCCTTTATCTGTAGCCTCACCAGCATCTGTTGTTTTTTGACTTAAAAAAAAATATTCTTTCTGACTGGTGTGAGATGGCATCTCATTGTAGTTTTGATTTGCATTTCTCTGATGATCAGTGATGTTGAGCATTTTGTTACATGTTTGTTGGCTGCTTGTATGTCTTCTTTTGAGAAGTGTCTGTTCATGTCTTTTGCCCACTTTTTAATGGAGTTGTTTTCTGCTTGTTGAACTGATTAAGTTCCTTATAGATTCTGGATGTAGGACCTTTGTTGGATGCATAGTTTGCAAAAATTTTCTCCCATTCTGTATATTGTTCACTCTGATGATAGTTTCTTTTGCTGTGCAGAAGCTCTTTGGTTTAATTAGGTCCCAATTGTCAATTTTTGTTTTTGTTGCAATTTTGTTGCACTTTAAATGTAATATTTCCTAGGGATTCAGTGAGCTTTTCTAAATTGGAGAAATCATATTTTTTCATATCTGAAAACTGTAGTCCATTAGTTCTTGATACTTACCTTCTCCCACTTTTTTCCTTGCTTCTGAGATAGAACTTTCTATTTTCCGTGTCTCTTTATTGTTCATTCTTTTTCACCAACTCCTTATCTCACATTGATCTATTCTAAAAAAAACTTCAGATCTATCTTCTGTTTAGTATATTGTAGTGTCATCTACTATTTATTAGTTAAATTTTTGAAAAAATTTTAATGACTTTTTTTATTTTTAGAATTTATGTTCAGTTTATTTTCGAATAGGCCTAATCATTTTTATCATGTCTTGTTCTTGTTTTATAAAATAAATACATTCTTTTATCTCTTAAAATTTTTTATTTGTATGTATTTAAAAGGCACAAGTGCAATTTGTTACATGGACATATTGCAGAGTAGTGAAGTTTAGGCTTTTAGTGTATCCATCACCAATGTACATTATACCCATTAAGTAACTTGTCATCATCTATCCCTCCTCCAACTCCCTCAACCTTCCAAGTCTCCATCATCTATCATTTCACACTCTGCATCTATGTGTACACATTATTTAGCTCCCATTTATAAGTGAGAACATGCGGTATTTGTTTTTCTGTGTCTGAGTTGTTTCCCTTCAGATAATAGCCTCCAGTTCCATCCATGTTGCTGTAAAGACATGATTTCATTTTTTATGGCTGAATTGAATTCCATTGTGTTATATATACCGTATTTTCTTTATCCAATCATCCATTGATGGACATTTAGGTTAGTTCTATATCTTTGCTGTTGTGAATAGTACTGCATTAAACATATAAAGTACAGGTATCTTTTTCATACAATGATTCCTTTTCTTTTGGGTAGCTACACAGTAATGGGATTACTGGATCAAATGATAGTTCTATTTTAAGTTCTTTGAGTAATTTCCTTATTGTTTTCCGTAAAGGTTGTACCAATTTACCCATACACAGTGAATAAGAACAGTGCATTCTTCTTTTTTTTTTTTTTTTTTGAGACAAAGTCTCACTCTGTCGCTCTGTCGCCCAGGCTGGAGTGCAGTGGCATGATCTCGGCTCACTGCAACCTCCGCCTCCTGGGTTCAAGGGATTCTTGTGTCTCAGCCTCCCAAGTAGCTAGGATTACAGGTGGCTGCCACCATGCCCGGCTAACTTTTGTTTTTTTTTTAGTAGAGACAGGGTTTCACCATGTTGGCCAGGATGGTCTCAAACTCCTGACCTCATGTGATCCACCCGCCTCAGCCTCCCAGAGTGCTGGGATTACAGACGTGAGCCACCACGCCCGGCCAGAACAGTGCATTCTTTGTTTAACATATTTTCTCAACCAGTTATTTTCTTTGATTCTTTTTTTCTGTTTCTTAACAAAGTGTTATTTTATAATCTCTTAAGTTAGCTCCATTATCATGAATCTTTTGAGTGTGAATTTTCCCACTCATTGTGTCCAATGTCTGTCATGGCAGTGGGTTTCTAGTTTGATTTATAGTTTTAAGCTGTGAGCTCATCTTCGGTAGAGGTTGGCTTCCATGGGAACCATTTGTGAACTGTGAATTGTAGCATTTCCACATGAGAGTTTAGTTTCATCTCAGTTCTCATTGATTTCCCTGTTTCTGAACTACTCTTTTCTTTATTTCCTTCTTTCTTCCCTTCCTTCCTCTCTCCTGCTTCTTTCTTTCCTTTCTTTCTTCCTTCCTTTTGTCCTTTCTTCCTTCCTTTTGTCCTTTCTTCCTTCCTTTTGTCCTCCCTTCCTTCATTTTTCCTTCCTTCTTTTCTTATCTTTCATTTGTTCCTTCCCTCCCTCCCTCCTCCTCTTTCTCTCTCTGTCTTTCCATTCCAAAAGTCAAGAATTGTCTACCTCAATTGGTTATTTTACTTTATTGCTGTTGAGCTCACTTACATATTTCTATAAAAGTTACACTTTGCTCAAATATAGACATATATTTAAATGTGTTTGACTTGGGAAGGATGGTTTTTGCTGTTTCTTGTATAGGTGCCCTTGTCTATATTCTTCATTTTTATGAATGACAATAATAGCCCAAATGCCGAAGCTCAAAACCTGATAAAATTCGTTTTCATGTTGCCTTAATCTCTATATGTCTTTAGATGTATCTAGTTTATTGCTGTTTTGTTTCATTTTATCATCCCCACTGTCTCTGCTTTAGTTCAGTCCCTTATCATCTCTCTTGTGGACAACGGCAATATCCTTCTCACTGGTTTCTGTGCTTTCCATCTGCCCTTTTCCAAACATTGCTACATTGCTGCTAGATTTATCTTTCTAAGCACAACTCTGAGTATGTGAATTCACTACTTAAAACCTATTAATGGTGTCTTTTCCTCATACTGAAAATCAAACTTCCTTGATTTTGTGGATTTGCTGAGTCTTATTTCCTGACATCTCTTCACACCTATGTTTCTGCAATATCAGAATATTTCTAGTTTCTTGATTTGCCCAACTGCTTTAGGCCTCTATTCCTATATACATATCCTTTTTCTGTAAAACTCTTAAACTTCACTCTTGCCCTATTTATTTGTTATACCTTTAGTTTTTTCATACTGCTATAACAAAATTTAGACTGGGTAATTTATAACAAGAGAAATTGACTTCTTATAATTTTGGAGACTGGGAAGAGGAACATCAAGGTACCAGCAAATTTGGTAGCTGCCAAGGGCCTGTTCCTCATAGAAGGTTCCTTCTATGTGTCCTCATGTGGTGCAAGGGGCAAATAAACTCCCTCAGGCCTCTTTTATAAGGGCAGTAATCCCATTCATGAGGGTTAGGTCTAACCACCTTTCAAAACTCCCCACCTCTTAATACTATCACATTGGGGATTAGGTTTCAACATGTGAATTTGGGAAGGGGGGAAAACATTCAGACCGCAGCATACCCATACTTATGCTTGAAAATTCAACGTAAATATTATATGTTTTTCTAAAGGAATTCCTGACTAGCCCAAATCTGACACATGGTAGCCATTGACTCATTTGTATAATGGCTATATCCACTTACTTTTTTATATTCAAACCCCATGTATATAATTCCTATAACCATCCTTTGTATAACATGTTCTCTCAACCACTTATTTTCTTCGACACTTTTGTCTTTTGAAAAACTAATTTTCTTTGTTTCTTTGATTGTGACACTCATAATTAAAGACACCCTAACAGAAGGCTTTCTAATACCATAAGATTCTTTACCTGAGTCTATTCATTTTTTTTTCCAGTCTATCAATCGGCCTTCCATGTTGTAAATTCCTTAGTCTTGGGGTTCATGGTGGAGGCCTTTTTAGAACGAATGGAGATCAAGTTGGTTCAGTATGTAGATGTCCCAGAATGGTATCGTTGCAAAAGGCATGACAGAAAACATAAGAATAAAGATGAAAAGAGACTTCACAAGATTTAGTGAAGAACTAATGTTCTAGAAATCATGGGAAGACTCTGGTCCTAATGTTGACACTGACCCACCAGATGACTCTGGGCACACAGAATAATTGCTCTGCTTCTCAATTCTCCAATTGACAAAACACAGGGATTAGAATAGGGAGTTAATAATGCTTCTGTAATCTGAAATTCTTTTACTCTAATTGTTAAATTGCCCAAGTTAAATTATTTGCATGAGGGGAGGAAAAAATCTTTAAAAATAATAATTGTCATGAATTCTATAAAAATTAAATAATTTTAAATGGATAAATCCTACTTCAGCAAGTAAATCTGTGAGTATGTGAGAGAATAATATTGATAAAAAACATTAAGCTGACTGTCAAAATATTAGAGACATGGGCAGAAAATATAAAGACTTCAAAATATATGTTATATAGTTAAATATCTGGCAGATTTATAAAGCTTTGTAAAAATCAGCTATAGAAATTGCATTTTAAAGTGTAACAGTGAACAGTTTTAACAATGGAAAAAGGCTCTGTACTAGCACTAACACCAATTAGAAAATAAAGCATTCTGGTTTTAATTAATGGATGTTTTCATGGTGTCTAATAAAAATACAATTTTAAGGACTTGAACAATTTAATCTGAGAAAATATTGTGTATTTAAAGCAAGTGTATTTTTTAAATAAGCAAACATGTTTACATTCATCAATTATAGTAAAACAAAAGCTCAAGAAATCCCAGAGCATATAATTTCATGAACCGAGAATAAAATGAGCTCTGGACTTACGACAAAATCTGCCCCTGAATGATCTTCAGAACTCTGTTCATTTTATGCAGTAGTTTAAGTTTTCTTCTGTCTTGGCCCAACTTACAAACAGCAGAAATCTGAGTTGTGGGAATATAATTTATGAACAGAAAAGATTACTTGTCTGTGAATTATTTTCTGAAGATGAAAGTAAATATACAGGAACATACGGTATTCCTTTAAAAGTTGCCAGATCATAATTGTGTGGCAAGGCAGTTATCAGAAATTAATCCCTCTATTGAGAGCAATTGAAGACACTATTCTAATGTAGGCCCTTTTGAGGAGGCAGCATGAACAGAAGAAAACTCGCAGCAAAGGCTTGAGGGGGGAATGAATCCAATCCAGCCTGAAAAAATCTGCACCAGGTTTGAAAAATCACCCCATCCTCCCGTGTAAGTGATGCTAAGAAGCACAAACTGCATTTTGAATCTAAGTCCCTGTATTTTCTGTGAAGGAGCTGTAAGTAGGGTGGGACAGAGATGGCACCTGGGGGTTCTGAGGCACCCGCTCCTCTCTGAGACAGACAGGGATCAGGAGCCGGACTGGGACCAGACCACCAGCAACACACCAGAGGATGTTCTCTAAATAAGACCATGGCACTTAAGAACATTAACTACCTTCTCATCTTCTACCTCAGTTTCTCACTGCTTATCTACATAAAAAGTAAGCCTTTCCCACTTTGGGCATTTTTCCTGGTTTATTTCTGGCTTATTATATTTCTTACAAATAATGGATAATGTTGCATGTTCTATAAAATACAATGCTAAAAAAGGAAGTTTTTATTTGTTTTTTTTTTAAGTGTCCTGTGTTAAAGAAATCAGTGATACCAGTCAATGTGAACAGTCAGTTTTAAGATTCTATGATTTCCAATAGGTATTCAGGTACAGAAATTTTGTTTTTAACCTTTGTAGTAGTGAGCTGGAGAATGAAATGGTCACATAGACTAGAAGATATTTTGTTGTGTTTACGCTTTTACAAAATAGATTTGGCCCTTACTAATTGATATCCTTTAAAAGGAAGTTATTCATAACCTGTATTTCATTTTATTCCCACATACTATATATTTATCTTCACTTTTAAATAACTCTGTGTTGCAACATTTGCTCTCATAATTAAGGGGATAGTCTCAATGTTTCCCAGAGGATAATGGTTCAAAGTGTTTCTTTCACCAGAGAAATGGGCTTTTACTGTTATGTGTTTCTGTTTTATAAATGAAGATATTATTTTCCACAAACTTCCCCAAATAGAAGCAAGAGCAATGTTTCTGAGATAATCTTGTCGGTTCTATAGCAGGATGGAAAATCAGAGGAGACCAAATTGCCCCAGCTGTGTGTTTATGAAGCACAGTAGCTATTCAACACGTTTAAAACGAAGACAGGGAGAGTGTGTGCTTGTCAAAGGGGCCATGTGATTTGTGTCTGTTGAATCTGAATATCAATAAGGCAAAGCGTAGAGCAGCTGCCGTTGAACAAGACAACTTGGCATTAGCACACAGTGTTGGATAATCTGGGTCACCTTCTGTGGCTGCACCAGTGAGATTGTTACTTGTACGGTTTACAGTTGAACATATATTAGAGACTGAGTGAAGAAATAAGTAAATGCTGTGGGTAGGTAGCTGATGGCACATATAGAAAAACCAAGTCAAACTTTAAACAAATGATCAGTATAATACTTGACTGCAACGCACACTCACAAAAGATTTTTTTTCATATATATTTACTAAAGAGTTGTTATTTAAATAGTTATTTACCCTCCTTGAAACTTAATGTGGGCCCCAGGCAATGAGGAATGAGGAAGAGAAGTGCTGTGTTTAGTTGTGCAGGTAGGAGAAGAAAGGGAGAAAAAGAAATAAGTCATAAAATGAATGTGAAGTGAGTTTATGGTGCATTTTATGGCAAACAGCTTTGTCATTCAATGTAATATATATGGAAATTCCTGGAGTTTGCTGCAGTTTGTTTTAAAGGAAATGAATGTATGATATCTTTAATTAAAAGTATAGTAACTATGAATTGATAAATATATATCATTTGTTTTTGCTCTCTTTGAGTAAGTGATTTTATTGATAGATTCTAAATACTTTGTAATTATTTTATTTGTTCTCCAGCATAGTATTTTTATTCGTTTAAAAAAGTACATTTGAAGTCTCATTTTCTTCGATTTTTAAGCAGGTAGACTTTTGTCTGTGTTGATATATTTATTGGCAAGATATAATCATATTGCTTTCCCAATCAAAACACGTAGTTTAGACCTTGTTAGCTGAGTTTTTTTCCCACCTGACTTTAAAACAATCTAGCATCAGCCTTCCTTTCTACCCTTATTACCTAGTATTCTTGACACAAATTCTGTGTTCCAGACAAGTGAATAACATAATATCTAGCAGTAAAAATTGCTAACATTGTGTTAAGCATTTTCTATATCATATATGTCATTTACTTCTTGCAACAACCCTATAAGATAGATACTATCATAGTAATTCACATTTTATAGAAGATGAAACAAAGATTCAAGTCACTATACCAGTGTACCTCAAACTTTGAGGCACCTCAGGGAGCTGGAATGCCTGGTTAAAATGTGCAGCCTCTCAAGTCTAGCCCCAGGTACTTAGTAGATCCTAGGAAACTATAATTTAATTAGCTCTTCATTTCAAATACAGGTAACCAGAAGCTCTGAGCTATACAATAAATCTTTATTAAGAACCTACTACATAATGATGCTAGGAATCATCAGAATAGTTAAATATAAACATATCTCTCTCTTCAATGAGATTATTTAGGAGAAAAGATAAACACTATGAGCTTTATAACTGTTGTCACTCTTATATACATAATAACCCTGTCAAGTAGAATTTATTATTAATTCCATTTTGCAGCTGAAGAAACTGAGGCACATAGAGGTTTATTAATTTGTCCAAGGCCATACTACTAGTGAATGGTAGATCTGGAATGTGAACCTGGAGATCTGGCTCTGGAGTGTGGGCTCTTAGCTTGCATGTAGTTATTCCCATGAAGTGATAATGCATAAGGACTTTAAGTGATAATGCTTAAGCAGACTTTATTATGTTCTGCTTGGAACATAATAGCAAACAAAGAAATGTCCATTATCCAGGTATGGTGGCTCAAGCCTGTAGTCCCAGCACTTTGAGAGGCTGAAATGAGTTCACTTAAGCCTAGTTCAAGACCAGCCTGGGCAACATAACAAGACCTCATTTCTACACACAAAAATATAAAAAATTAATGGGGCATCGTGGTATGTGCCTGTAGTCTCAGCTACTCAGGAGGCTGAGGTGGGAGGATCGCTTGAGACTGGAAGGTCGAGACTGCTGTGAGCCATGATCCTGCCACTGCACTCCAGCCTGGTAAAAAGGGCTACACCCTGTCTCAAGAAATAAAAAGAAAGGGAGAAAGAAATTTCAGTTATTAATATCATATTAATTGAAGGAATCAATGATTCTTTCTTCGAACTTTGAAATATGTTCCCTTAAATTTAAGAGAAAATAATCACCTCCAGCTCCATACTGTATTTTGTATCTAAAGTTCTACCTTGCTCAGCTACCAGGGGAACGCTGTTTATGTTTTGATCAACCTTTATGTCCTTCCAGTTGAGGACATGTGACATGAGGAATATTAGAGCAGAGTTCAGGAAGTGACATTCCCTTTCTGTTCCTGAGCAGGTAGACATTCTCCTAACTTGGAGTTGCAATGAATTTGTCCTGATTGTTTTTATACCTGTTCCTTGATTTTGCAAAACTGGTTCTAATGTGTGGGACCAATTAAATTTTAATAATTCAAGAAGAGCTATTATTTTTTGCTTCTGATGTATTAAAAGAGAAACTTATTAGAGTGAGACTCTCCTGTGATCCATTATTCAGAGACTGTTTTAAATAATAACAGTACTTTATAATAAACTCTTTTTGGGACCTTGATGTATGAATCTGTTCTGAAGGGTTTTAAAGAAACAACCATACCATGAATTAGAAAAGTAATGTCTATCTCTCTAGTCCTTTATAAATTTGGGGGTAAACAATATTTTCAATGTAAATGCCACATCGAGATTAATTTAAAAGTAACTGTTTTAATCTACGTTTAAAGTATGATCACAACATGTAAAAAAAATGTGGTTTGACAAAACTACTTTAGAGTTACCAGAACAATGTTAAAGAGTTTGGGGTAGCATCCAGTCTTCCAAAAACCATTAGCAATTATTAAGTAATTGATTTGAATGGCATTATTTTAAAAAGTACTTTCTAAAGTACTAAAAGAATGAAGAACAAATAGAGATTAAATAAGAAATAATTGAATTTGCTTAATATGTCAGAGAAGGCTGATGTTATTCATTAGGGAGTAATCACATACTCTTAAAATTCTACATGTGTAGAAACATTGAAAACTTTGATCGTTACTGTGCAAGTTAATATCCTTGCAGTGGCATTTTGTAAAGTGCCTACCTAATTATTAGTGTGAGAAAAAGGTATCTTTTTGCTTCCTCATAAATGAAATAATCTCATCAGTTTACAGTAAAATCATCACTACTCCATGAAAGTTACCCAGGGTTTCCTACATTACATAGCAGAGTTAACTGTGGCTTCTTTTATTAGATACTTCTCTTAGCAAAATTTTCTGGAGAATTGCATGCTTTTTTTTCATCATTGGTGATTTTCAAAAATTATCATTCATGGTCTCACAATAACAAATACTGGAATTCAAGTGGACAAGAAAAGTTAGAGTGAGTGTTTAAGCAAACCGTGCTACATCTATATAATGGAATATTACTCAGTAATAAAAAGAAATGAACTATCAAGTCACAAAAGCACATGGAGGGAGCTTAAATAAATATTGCTGTGTGAAAGAAGCTCGTCCAGAAAGGCTACATATTGTATGATTCCAATTTTATAGCATCCTGTAAAAGACAAAATTATAGAGACATGGAATGATCAGTGGCTGCCAGAGAATCAAGGGTGTAGAGAAGAGGCACAGGGGACTTTTAGAATAGTAATTATTCTGCATAATACTTTAATGGTGCATTTGTCAAAATGTACAGAATTTTACAGTACAAAGAGTCAATCTAATTGCATGCAAATTTATAAAATCATTTAGGAAATCAAGGAAATCCCAGGAAGTAATTCAGACTCTGACTCAACAATCTAACTGCATTACAAATGTATGAGATAATCTCACAGAAGGGGTTGGGGAAAAACTGTTCACCTAAGTAGTTTATGTACATTTCCTTAGATATTACCTGACATGCTTTCCCTGTTCTAGTATCCCATCCAAGATATCACAGTACATTTTGCTGTCTTGTATTTTGAGGTTCCTCTTGGCTGTGACAGTTCCTCAGGCTTTCCTTGTTTTTGATGACCTTGAAGGTTTTGAGTTCTGGCCAGGTATTTTATAGATTCTCCCAATATTGGAGTTAGTTTTGTGTTTTCCTCATGGTGAAACTGGAGTTATGGGCTATTGGAATGAAGACCACAAAGGCAAAGGGTTATCCTCATTACATCATATCTATAATATTATCAATGATTTATACAATCAACATGATATGTGACTGCTGATATTGACCTTACTCACCTGGGAGGTGGTGTTATCAGGTTTCCCTGATAACTATAAAGTTATGTCTTTTATTCTTCTCCATACTGTACTCTTAGAAAAGGAAGTCACTGTGTGTAACCCACACTTAAGAAGTTTGGAGTTATGATCTCTCTCCTGGAGGGAAAAATTTACATAAATTATTCGAAATTCTTCTGCATAGGAGATCTGGCTCTTCTCTTTCATTTATTTATTTATTCAATTGTTTATTCATATCAGTATGAATCTATTGACATTTATTTTATACTCTGGGTTATAAGTCAATACTATTTTATTTTGTTACTCAAATTATTCCATCTTTGGCCTGTGGGAGTTCTTTTCAGTTGGCTCCTATTTTCTTTTCACGTACTCCCCATCAATGTGGGGTGCTTTTTAAAAAAGGATTTTCTTCCTTTATGGCTCTACAATCCCTTTCAGACTGATCTTGTGTATTTCCTGACCCAATCCTAGCATAAATCACCATTTCTCCAAGGAGCTCTGTTTCCTTTTATTAGAGAATGGTAACCAAAACCAAGATCTGGATGTGAGGTGTGCTTGTTGCTGCTGGGGTGTCAGGTCTTTTAGGCAATCTCAGCTGAAAGAGCACAGAAATATGTCTGTGTACTAGTCCGTGTATATACATGTTTCTATAGATATCTCTATATGTAAATCTGTGTCTGTCTGTATTAAGCTAAATATGAGTTCATATTGATGCCTCTAACTCCATTTCCACATGGATCATTCTAGCTGTCTCCCCTTGCTTATCTGTAAATTTCAACAGTGAGAAACCTGATTTCCACTATCTGCCATTTATTCACTTGTTTAAATTCAGTATACATATATAGCGGTATTGGACTGTTAACCCATACTCCTATGGGAAACAACTTTAACTGTTTAGGTACAGTACTTATAGCTGTTTCATTTTGTTTTTAGTTTTTCAGAATCCACTTGTTTCCAAAACTACTTAGGTGAACAGTTCTCCCCCAACCCCTTCTGTGAGATTATTTCATACATTTGTAATGCAGTTAGATTGTTGTGTCAAAGTCTGAATTACTTCATGGGATTTCTTTGATGTCCTAAATGATTTTATAAATTTGCATGCAATTGGATTGACTCTTTGTACTGTAAAATTCTGTACATTTTGACAAATGCACCATTAAAGTATTATGCAGAATAATTACTATTCTAAAAGTCCCCTGTGCCTCTTCTCTACACCCTTGATTCTCTGGAAGCCACTGATCATTCTATGTCTCTATAGTTTTGTCTTTTATAGGATGCTATAAAATTGGAATCATACAATATGTAGCCTTTCTGGACGAGCTTCTTTCACACAGCAATATTTATTTAAGCTTCCTCCATGTGCTTTTGTGACTTGATAGTTCATTTCTTTTTATTACTGAAAAATATTCCATTATATAGATGTAGCACGGTTTGCTTAAACACTCACCTACTGAAGGACAACTTTGTTACTTTCAGTTTGGGGCTATTAGTTCCTAGGGCTACTGTAACAAAGTACTACAAACTGGGTGGCTTAAAGCAACATAAATGTATTCTCTCATAGCTCTGGAGGCTAGAAGTCTGAAATCAAAGGTAAGAAGCCCCTTGCTTCCACTGAGACTCCACTTGGAATCCTTACCTGCCTTTTCCTGGCTTCTAGTGGTGTCATTCAGTCCCGGGTGTTTCTTAGCTTGCAACTGCATCACTCCAGTCTCTGCTACTATCACATGATATTCTCACTTTATCTGTCTACCTCTCTTCTATTCTTCTTATAAGGACGTCAGTCATATTGGAGTAGATTCACCCTAATGACCCCATGTTAACTTGATTACATCTGCAAAAACCCTATTTACAAATAAGGGCACATTCACAGGTACTGAGGGTTAGGACTCTGACATACCTTGGGGACACAATTCAACCTATAACATCTACTATGAATAAAACTCTGATATATGATTTAAAAAACACTTGGTTAATACCACTTTTATTGGGTAAAATTGGTTTACAATTGATTTTTTAAACATAGTAAGTGCTTGGTAAATATTTGTGGAGTAAATAGTTGTTATGTTTCAAGAGACATTATATCGATATCCTTGTATTAACATGTGGTAGAAGAAAGATTATGCTAAACAATGTGCCCATATTGTTCTCTTATTTTCCCCCTCTTTACACTGTCCCTACCTTTTACATATTCAGCCTTTCACTTTGAATTAAGTGTTCAGAAATTTCCTCCTATGTAAATTTGCCCTATGAAATTAACTTAGAGTCTGATCAATATGTAAAATAGCACTAGAATTAGGTGTAAACATGCCTCCATATTTCCTCGGGACAAATAGTTTAGCTGTCTTCCATATGTGAATGTTCAATTTTTTAACCTACTTTTTTTCACAAACTGCATTCATTACTTGGGGCACCAAAAGATTACTTTCCTTTATTATTGATTCAAAACAGTGATTGCAAGTTATTTTACTGTGCATGTGTTATTTGTTGTGCTTATTAATAAAATGTCATCTTTTATTTTATGTACATATTTTTGACTTAACAATAAACAGTAAAATTTCTGAAAGGAAGAAGGTACTCAGTCATCTAGTATTAGATCCTATTGGTTGCTATGGTTAGCACCCTTTATCAGTCATCTAGTGTCCTTCCTAGTTTAATAAAAAGTAGTGATTCCTTCAAAGTTTCGTTGCAACATGCTAAGTAGATTGTCCTATATTTCCTAGTTTTTATCTTCAGAAAAGTTTTATTAAAAGCAAAACCAAAGGCAGTGTACTTTTAATAATAACACTATGGGATTCAGTCATGCTGTATCCCATACTGCTGTATCCCATACTGCTGTATCCCGTACATGTAGGAATTAGCATGACTATTTGGAGTTGAATGGTTTGACGGGACCAAAAATTTTACTGGTTTTAGAGGCAACCAATGTAAAGTTAGTTGTCCCTAGCCTTAAGATAGGATAATTAATAAATATTAAAATTTACTATTTATTCCATAATTTTTTTATTTACTTATTTATCCAATAAGTATTTATTGAGGGCCGTAAATCTATATATCTGACACTGTTCTAGGCTCCAAGGGTACAGTAGTGAATAGAAGAGACCACAATCCTTGATATTGTGAAATTTACACTTTAGTGGGGTAAGAGAGACAAAAACCAAATAAATAAGTAAATTATGTAATTGTGAGCTGGCAAAAAGTGCTATAGAAGAAAGCAAAAGATGAGTAACAGAGAGCAGCTGGACCATGAGGATATCACAGTGAATAATATTTTGATAAAGAAAATAGCAAGTGCAAAGACCCTGAAGCAGGAGCGTGCCTATAGTGTTTGAGATACTGTAAGTTGTCCAACATAACTGAAGTGGATTGAGTAAAACAGGGCAAATTAGGAAAGGTGTCAGGGGTTTTACAATAAGTATCTCTCATTCTTGCAATCATACTACATAGTAGCTATTAAGACCATTAGGACACCTTAAGCAAATGACAGCCTAGGGTACATACTAAAAACACAGCTACAAGGGGATACAACTGAGATTTAAAACAAGTTTGTCAGATTCTAAACCTCCCACAAGCTCACACCAGCTTATTTATTCCAAAAGATAAACATTGAGGAATTTAAAAGGCCAGTTATTAAAGCGTTGGTGGCTTAAAATCAGCCACGGTGGAAGTAATTTCATCACAGAATTTGGCAAACACTACAAATCAGTGTTTGGGAAGATTTATTTTTTTAAAAAAAGTTAGTCCTAAATAATAAAAGTTTTCATTCTACCTTTAAAATTTTTTCAGGGTAAAATGTTTATAGTTTCAACCACTATCCCATTCTTGTGACTAAAATCTGCCAAAGCAGGAATGGCTGATATGTAACCTAGATTAACCGCATTGTGTAGTCTTTTTGGTTCTCCACGTAATTGTCCTGATAATTCCCAGATGGATGACTCTTTTCTCTACATTCAGAATTCTTGGAACCTTTAAATACTTATTTTACTTTCTGCAAATTAGTGAGAGCAGAGTGCTAATGAGGCTGAGTTTACGGTTCAATCTCAACACAATTCAGTTTGCTTTGCACAGAGACCAGCTCTGTACAACAAGCAATTATGTCTAGTCAGATGGTCTCAAATTTGTAGTTTTTAATACAAGGAGAGAAAATGAAATTAACTCAACAAATTAAGCAACACCATTGAAATAATCAGTTGCGGGTTTGCAGCAATAACTTTTTCACATAGGTGATGCATTATTATTATTGTGTTTCTGTCTATAATTTTCATTATCTATTCTTTTAATATAGCTGAAGAATAAATATTTATATTCAGCATTAATTTTTATATGAGTTGTGTCAGTAAATACAGATTCTGGCTCTGGCCCACAATTAGTTGTGTATCTATAAATGCATCATTTAAACTTTCTAGGTCTCCAATTTCTCACTTGTAAAATGAGGGGGTTATATTATCTAATTACCACGTTTTTTCAAGGCCTACATTTTATGATTTCATGATTATTCTAGGTAATCGAATCATAGACATTGATGAGCAGAGTGTTTTTAGTGACCAGTCACTCTACATGATCCAGCTTCCACTAGGTTATATTGCAACAAAAAACAAACCCAACATCTTAGTGTTAAAACAACAAGGTGTATATCTTGTTCCCACCACGTACTGTGTGCAAGTTGGCTGCAGCTCTGCCTCGTTTGTATTCTTCATTGCTATAGTGAATGTTTGTCCCCTCTCCCCAAATGAACATATGTATATTGAAGCCCTAATCTCCAAAGTGGCGGTTTTAGGGGGTGGGGCCTTTGGTAGGGGATTAGGTCACTAGGGTGGAGGCCTCACACATGGGATTAGTGCCCTTGTAAAAGAGACCTCCAAGAAATTCCTTACTCCTTCCACCATGTGAGGACATATGGAGAAGATGGCCCTCTACCTATGAACCAGAAGTTGGCCCTGGACAGACCCCATATCTACTGGTGCTTTGACCTAGGACTTTCCAGTCTCCAAAACAAGAACAACAACAAAAATTCTCTTGTTTATAAAGCCACTTAGTCTATGATAGTTTGTTTTGGCAGCCTAAACAGATTAAGACATTCATTTTAGGACACAATCTGCAGGGGCATTCCCTTTTAGAGAACACTGTTTTAATGGCAGAGGGAAAAAGGTAATGGAGGAAGCATACAATAGCTCTTAAAAGCTTCAGCTCAGCTTTGACATACCTCGGTTTGGCTCACATTTCATTAACAAAAGCAGGTCATGTGGCTAAGCTTGACATCAATGGACTAAAGTCCATATTCAGGCATAAAATATTTGGAACAAATAATGTTTTCTACTCCATCTTTTTTCCTCTTTCCAACTTCCAGGGATCAATTTATAAACAAATTTCTTTAAATAACCATTAAAATAAATATTAGAAATTTAAAAGACTTGACAAAACTATTATTTCAGCAACTATATATTAAGCAGTTAAAATGAGCAAGGTCCACTGTTCTCCAGGCACGTACACTGTAGTGGGGTGGGCATATGTGTAAAGGCTGTCCAGACATTTTTGCCTAAGAAAATCATCACACTTTTTAAAATAATGTCAGAAGTCTGTGCATGGATCTGGCTACTATTTTCACATGTAGATAGAGGTAGAAATTTTATTCCGAAAAATAAAACTAGTCTTGTGTATGAAGAAATGTTTTCTGAAAGAAAATATAATCAAGCTTGCTTCGAAATTATTAGCCCTAATGAAAGTAGTTATATTTTGAGGTTACGGTCAACTCAGATTTGGCAAACAGCATATACAGTTTGTAGATTAGGAATTCCTATTTCTCTTTAACCTCATTTCACTTATCATTAGCACCTATACCAGAGGTTGGGTAAGGAAAGAGAGGAAAAATGAAATGTAAAATTTTACATTTTATATATCAATGCCTGAAAATTACATCAAACACAATATTGCAAGGAGCTACTTAATACTTTCACAGACTAGGAGCCTTAAAAGAAGCCTTTACAGCCTACTCATTATAGTATTGACTGTATTTCTACAATTTCTCCTAAAGTAATCTTAAAATAATTAAAGCATTACTTTCTGTAATTATAAACTCAAATAATTATAGATGTAAATATAAATTGCTTTCTCTTCACTAACCTCATTATATCAAATTTTTTTTTGTTTGTTTTCTGGCTTTTTTTTTTTTTTTAACAACCCCTCTATGGAGCAACTGAAATCAGGAAATGTATGTGTTGTTTAACTCTTTCTACTCAGCTGCTTCAGTTAGCAGGCTAGCTATATGAACTACTTGAAGTTCAGAATAGCCATAGAACTAAGGCAAAGTTTGCATAAACGTAGTTTTTTCTGTAGGCTGGTAAATAGCAATTGTGTCCATGTAGAGGGACTCAATGTCAATAGTGAAAGCAGCCCACTACCCCCTACCCTTTTATTCTCATATTCCTTGTTTTTGGAGATAATACATCTCTAAAGCCTTTTTTTTTTTTTAAATTAGAGGAGTCTATGATTCATGTTTTCCTTGCCTACCAGATACAACCAACCTCTGTTACCCAATTTCTCTATGTCAGACATTAGGCTGAATGTTTTTACATAGTTTATCTCATTTAATTGAAACCTTGTGATGAAGATTTTATTATTCCCATTTTGCAGAGATATCTAAGGCTTGGAGTGCACAAGTAAAGCCACTAAATTGTTGATTTAGATACTTAAATTATTTTTTAATATGAGTAGTTTTCACACAACCATATCACACGGTCAGAATTTGGAAATACCAGCGTCACCATTCATAAGACCATGGACAATTTAAAACTTTTGGTCCTTCTGAATTAAACAGTCTTCTATAGATACAGCATGGAAACTCTGCAAACAGACTTTTGGCTTTATGAAGGGAAGCATTAATGTAAATATAATTGTTAATCGTAAATCAGAAAAACATAAGGGAGAGAGATGCAGTGAAAAGATCGTCAATCAAGCTTGTAAGTAGGTTCCACCTGTGAATAATAATCTATTGCTCAAACCATAAGAAATACAGGTATTAAAGATAATTTATCATGTATTCATCACCAGCTACATGTGCTACAAGTATAATTTTAAATATCAACATACTGTATGCCCTCAAAGGGAATTTGTTGTGTGACTGATGATAGAATTTCAGAGAGCCAAGAGCTTTGGGAATAAACTGGTTTTAAAAAATCCAGATATCATACCAAACATGTATTCTATCAAGTACATTTCTTTAAGGTATTTTTTAAAACTCTAATAGGCAGTAATGCGTACTGGAATTGCCTAGGTTACAGATTGTCACAAAAATATGTTTTATTAATTCTTAGGGTCAGTTGTAGTCCTTGCCATCAATATAACTATTTTTTAAAAGAAGGATAGTTTTTATTATGTCCTTTTTCTAGTAGATATTTCACTGTTAATTGTTCATGGCTGGTAAACTCATATTTATGAAGACTCAAACATTTATTTAACTCAATATGCTTTTGTTTCTTCCTGACATGTATGTAATCATATTTTATAAAGTACATTGGTCAGTGAGATTGTATGTATGACATCGGATTAAAAAATTTAATATGTAAAATAAACACATCGGGGGCGGTCATTAAATGATGGGTTTCTGTGCTACAACTCCTGATGCTATGATTTCACTGTTCCTGTGTAGGACCAAAAAATCAATTTAAAAAATAAGTCTTAGTAATTGTGATGCATGTCATTTACAGACTAGGTTTTAAGAGACACTAATCCATAAGTTAACAAAGTGAAAGTTGGTCGATTATTGATTCTTAAAGTGTGGCAAAGACTGATGTGAGGGAACAGGCAAGAAACAACCAAGGGCACAGTGCATTTGGGACTTAATAGAAAAATGAAGCAGTGGGGAGCGATGTGAGATGAGGGTGTAGGGGCAGTGTCTGCATAATTAAAGGCTTTAAATGCTATAATGAATTATCTTATACTAGAGTTTTCTTGTAGTCAGAGGTTCCCAAATGTTTTCACACTGTGGCCTGTAGAGAGAGGATAATATCTGTGCACCATACTTGCTCATGTAGTCAGGACTGTTGACAACCAGAGGTGATCACTTGGTGGCTTTTGCAGCTCTGGCACCCTTTAGCCTACTCTTCACGTGTTGGGAAGTGCCATGAAGGGGGGTTGAAAGCCACTGAAGGACTTTAAATAGGAACCCTGGCATGCTCAGACTTGGCCAGAATGAGAAGGGAATAAAGAAGGGAAAGCAAGGCTGTAGTTAGAGAGACCTAGCATGAAATGATGGAGACCTCAAACAGCGTGGTCCTGGTAAGGAAGAAGCAGAGTGGGCTTAGATACTTCAGGGGAACATTAACTTATTGTTTAATGAGAAATGGGTGAGAGCAAAAGGGAGGATAGCGAAGAATGATTTCCAGGCCCCTAGTTTATGTATCTTAAATAATGGTATGACTTTATCTAAAATAGTAATGCACGGAAAATATAGGATGAATTGTTACAATTTAAATCTCTTTATTTTGAAATATTGGAGGGACTTTCAGGTGAAAATATCCAGCAGGCAGTTGGATATATCCCTCCAAAGTTCAAAGGGGAGACCCAGTTAGAAGATAAAGAGTATAATAAAAAAAATTATAGACTATATAAAACTTGCGATATAAAATATTAACTTGCTGCTTGGGTTAATTACATTTTTATAAATAAAATATAAGCTATTCATAAAAATGAAAAAAAAAAGAAAATCAAGTCTCTGAAATTTCTACTGAGGTAAGAAATCATAATCATTCCTTTTAAAAATAATTTATTCCTTTAAAAAATAACTATGTCACATAATTGAATTTAAAATGTATTTGTTAGTTGTTTTTTAAATAAAATTTCAGAATAATAATAAAAAAAGAAGATAAAGAGTTGGGTCCTTACTTACAAATTCAGTAACTATCATCAAGTCCATCCTCTGGACTACTTATTAGAATAAGAAGAGAGAACACAAAAAATCTAGAGCGAAGTTCTATAAAATAATTTTACACTATGGATTCAAGGCTTAAATATGAGTGTTCCTACTCATTGGTCCAGTAACTCTTCTAGGAGAAATAGTTGAAAATGAGAGCAAAAAATAGCATGTGAAGGAAGCCGTATGTTATGTATAATAGTGAAAAATTAGAAATAACCTTAATGTTATTAACCAAATTTGCACGTTTATACTAATAAAATGTTTGAAACATAAATTGTGTTGCTTTGGGATCAAAGAAATAAACACAGTCCAGTAATCAAAAGTAAATTAAAGCAATTTAAATATTTCCTGCAGTCTCTTAAGAAACGCACACATATACACACATATACAATTAGAATATAAGGCACAGAGAAATATTATTTCTCCATTTTATGTTCTCAATGTCTTGTAAAACTATTATTTCTCAATTGTTATGTTCTCAATGTCTCTCACTACTTCCTAAGGTCTAACCTCTGAAAAAGGTTGGACCTTTCTCTTGAAATTCTCATAGGTTCTTTTCTTCTCTCAGAAATAAATCTCTACTCTTTCTTATATAAGTCCCCTCTCCTGGGTTCCCAAATTTTGTTTATTTCTTTCTGGTTGTCTTGATTCTGCATCACAAAAGCCCAGGAATAAAGCTAGTGAAGGTACATTTTTTAATATAGGTGTATGGAAGATGAGCAATCAGAGCCAAAGGTACACCAGTGGGCAAGGAAGGGGGAAAGAATCTCAACACTTAGTCAAAAGGTCATTTTTGTTTTCCAAAAAGGTTAAGCAAAAATAAAAAAAATAAAAATAAACACATCAGGATGTCAAATCTTATGTAATCTACAATATGCAATTTGTGGTGTAAAAAATATGCTTGGAAAAAACAAAGAAAAATTCTGGAGGGAAACATTTTAGAATTTTTTTTTCTTTTTTTTTCCTATGTTTTTTGGGGGGAACAGATGGTATTTGGTTACATGAGTAAGTTCTTTAGTGGTGATTGTGAGATTTTGGTGCACCCATCACCTCAGCAGTATACACTGAACCCAATGTGTAGTCTGTTATCCCGCATCCCCCTCCCGCCCTTTCCTGCCGAGTCCCCAAAGTCCGTTGTATCATTCTTATGCCTTTGCGTCCTCATAGCTTAGCTCCCACTTATGAGTGAGAACATATGATGTTTGGTTTTCCATTCCTGAGTTACTTCACTTAGAATAATGTTCTCTAATTCCACCCAAGTTGCTGCAAATGCCATTAATTCATTCCTTTTTATGGCTGAGTAGTATTCCATCATGTATCTATCTATCTAGATGGATAGATATATATCGATATACCACAGTTTCTTTATACCACAGTTTCTAGAAATTTAATAGCAATTATCACTGGACATTGAAATTACAAGGGATTGCAATATTTTTCTTTAATTTTGTTATAGGTTCTACATTTTCTGTAAGTAGGCCAAAAATCTTCAATAAACATAAAACAGATTATTATTTATATTAAAATAAATTTTATTTTAAAAATAATTTAGTTATTCAAACAATAAATTTTAAGTCACAGAGCTACTAACAGAAGTAGCTATATATAGACAGAAGTATTAAGTAAATATTTGCTATTTTTAAATACTGAAAAGTTATATTAGAAAAATACCAGTTTCAAAAATATTCAAGAAACGAAAGATAGTTTATTTCAATTATAAGCTATGTGGGTTTGAATCATTTTACTTAAATTCTATGTTTTCTCATCTGCCTAATGGGAATAATTATTTTAAACTGCATAGGAGTGTTGTGAGGATTAAATGAAAAATGAATGTGTGACACTCTATGACGTCTTAACTTGATTTGATTTATAGTCAGACTTGAGATTCACAATAGACTTCATCAAGCACCAATTTTACTTGTCTTGAAGAAAATGCACAGGACCAGTGTCATAGCATGCACAATGACAACACAGCAGAGGTCTCCTGATTCTCAGACACAGCTTTGGATGTCCCAGTCATTCTGCACCCTGGGTGTGTGTGGCCACAAGGAATAAAGCTGATTGAATACAACTTCAGCTCGGGAAAATCATCAGCTCTGAGATCCTCCCTTCAGTTTTTATATCAAGCCATGTGTTTGTGACTGAGTAGTCACATCTAATCAGGTTTATGTGATTAGCCCTATTTCTTCAGGGCAGCTCCATTTCATTAGTTCCCAATTACTCGTTAAACAACCTTGACAATGAGTTACACATGCTTAGTCATTTCCATGGAACTCTCATTTATCTTGCATCAATATAGGTAAATATCTAACTATTCCTCAGTTGCTGCTGCAAATCAGAGGTCTAGTCTTCAGCCATTTCCAGAGAGGAGGCCAAAGAAACAGCTGTTAGTCCTTTTTCGGTATATAAAATGCTCAGGATAGTGCCTGACACGTAGTAAGCAAACAAAAACTTCACAGAATCATTGAATTTGTTTTTTCAAAATTGACAAATAAAGTGCATATTCTGATATTGTAATTTAAAAAAATAATAGAACAAAGGAATCCACTGCTTGGTTGTAATATCTTTTCTTCATTGATAATTTTCAAAATGATTGTTGCTAAAATCATATGCCTCTGTCAAATTCCTTTCACGTCAAATAAAATTAAATCCTATGATGTCCTTGAAATCATGTTGTGTTACAGGTCAGTGGTTATCATAGATGACTTTAAATATTCATTACAGGAATATTGAGGGATGATGGCAAGTCATGGTCTTGAGAGTCGTTGCTGAAATAGGCTATTGGAGTGTGAGTTGGTCATTAAACTGTGAAGGATCATTCATGTCAACATGAAAGTCCCCTTGATTAGGAAGTTACCTAGTTGGTAACTGGGAATATTGGTTGAAGGAAGTGAAAGTGTAGTGAAAAGAGAAGTTTGTCCAAGAGCACGGCTTATAAGAGGGTTATGCAAGAAGATGGTAGCTAAACTATTTTTTATAATAAATAACCATGAATTTGGGGGTCAGAGAGTGAAAATAGAGAGATGATGGGGACAGAAATAAGGGATAAGAGAATAGATGAGGCAACTTGTTAGAAGGCCTTGCCCTTTAGAGAAAAATAGCCAGTAAAATACTCCTCTCAGTGGGATGTACAACAGACTAGTTAGAAGAATGTCAAATTCTCATTTTTAACACATCAGTGTTACTACTTATAAAGCCTCTCTGCCTTGCCAGATCTTCAGTTCGATTTTATTACTTTTATAGCTTAGGGAGTAGAATGGTAGCAAATATTACAACTGGGCTATGAACAGATATAACATGTCCCACATTGGCCTCTCTGTTGAAGCCAATGTGATAGAAACAACTCTTCTTGAGGCATCGCAGTCCAGACGTTTGATGTGGTGACTGACAGCAAAGTGAGGCTTAACCTGTGGTGTGGTGAAGCATTCTGTGCAGCAGTGGAGCACAGGTGGATGACTCAGGAGACTAAGCTCCTTCTCCCATATTTACCAAGGAAGGCCATGCCAGGGGAAACACACATGCTGAGTAAATAATGAAAGAGAATCAACTGGATAGAGTTGAAACATTCTCAATAAATATTAATTTTTAACAATTACTAGTTAATTTATTTAGTTATTCTTTGAATTTGAGCAGAATCTCTTTCTCTCCTTTTTTTAATTCCTTGGGCTTGTGTGTGCTCTCAAGACTTAGAATGTGAGGTCACAACGTTTCCTGTGATACAGACTTGAAAGAGTATAGGCCTTTCTCTGTACTCATTGTAGCTCAGTACTATTCCTAGCTTCTTAGCCCCTTCATGGCTTTTTAAAGGAAGGAAAAGCTAATTATTGGTGCTCCAGGACTGGGCAAAGCCGAGAAAAAAGAGATTTTTCTTTTCCTTCATGTGGCATCAGTTTGATTGCTTGTTTTCTAGAAAATAGAGAGAAGGTTACCTATCAAAGGGCACAGTCTTTTCCCAATAGCAATCGTAACAACCTCATTTATTGAGAACCGAATACTTAGAATTGTATACAAACTCTGAATCGTATAAAACTCCTGCAATGTACCTGTTATCTATACTTTAAAATAGCGCACAATTATTCTCATGGAAGTTAAGTGATTTGACAAGTTGGCAAAGTAAGTGACAGAGCTAGAACAGAATTAAAACTTCTTGTTATTCCCACTAAACCACCTATAGGTCTTGATAACCATAGACCTTAGAAAACTAAACATTTACTAATTGTTTATTTGTAATTTATCTTCCCAATACTAATGTAACAGATTTCAACTTTCTGTCCAAATTACCCTAATTACTAAAAGGCCTATACACCTGTAATGAAACATGAATTTTGAAATACATTTGCACAGAATATAATAAAGTTTTCTTAGAGTTAAACTTCAGTACTATTGTAGGCGCTTAGTGTCTGAAGACCACTGGCTGCCTTGGATGACCTCTAAATGCACCCTCCAGCTCTGTGATTTAATGAAGAAATCACTGACATAGTTCCCATGTTTTGCATTATAATTTCATAAAATTTTTGTTTATATCTGTAATTTAATGCAAAGCCATATGGTTATCAGAAATAATGGATATTTAATTTGATTATTTAAGCATTTGACTTATTTTGTTTCATTCAAGGGAAAAAGAAAAACTATTTTGAATTCTATTAATTTTCTGCTTCATAGAGAATTAGACATTTATGAAAAAAGTTCATAACAGAAGTTCTCAAAGTAAAGTTAGGTTGATAGATTCATTTAATGCACAATTCTTATACACTTATAAAATTTCAAAAATTCATATTTGTATCATATATTCATAGGTCACAGGAGAGGTAAAATGAGTACGTGGAATATGGCCTGAATATATAGGAGCTAATTAGAAAATAAAGTAATATGCTATATTTTAGAAATGAGAAAAGCAGAACTTGGTAATAAAGGGCTTAGTTTGATAAACCATGAGTTGAGAACCAAAAGTGGTTCTGGCCCTTGGAACTGCAAAATAGTTTCACCTACTGTAACCAGGCTAATATATTGCTCCTGGTAGCCTGCTGCCACTCCAAAATTTTCTCCTCAGAGTTTGTCATTTTTGTGAATTCAAGCTCTTCAGAATGTTTCAATTACAAAAGGACAATTTTACATTAACCCATCAACATAGACTTACTTTCAGTTTCCTAACTTAAAGTAGGGACTTGAAAGAAAAAGATCTAAAATAGGTCAACGGTAGAGAGTTTGTGGGGGATTGTAAGCATGTGAAATTGATGATGGTGGTCTCTGTAACGGGATCCCTGATGGATCCCACAGCAGCATGGAGGCTCTGACTTCTTGCAAGGGAGAGAGGCGCTAGGGAAAGAAGATGTTAGAGACAGTAACAAAGCAAAATTTCCTCATGTGCAGTTTATCCAAGGATGGCTCACAAATAGAATTATTCTACTCATGAAGGAAAAAGAAATACAACTAGCCAAATGATCCACCTGGAATTATTTCCTCCTTAGCTACACAAACAGGTAAAAACAAATCCATACATTACATTTTACAATTATATTCTGAAGAGGTGTCCACTTCTGAGCAAGATGGAGTAGGTGGGACTGGATTCACCCTCCAGCCTGAAGCAATAAAAAAAGCAACCTGGCAACACATATGAAACAATGGTTTCCGAGACATCAGCTATCAGAGAATGAAGAGTAGTCATCCCTAAGAAATGGAAAACAAACAAGGTGAGCCCTATTGCTTGAACTTACTACCATGAGAGAGTTTCCGGGCAACAGCACAGGGAGAGGGATTCATAGAGAGCCGAGTGTTTGAGGAGACCCAGACAGATGAAATTCATGAGACGGAGTACCTGAGGGGAGAGCTGCACAGAGACAGACCAGAGATCTGCAGAAGCTCCTTTTAGTATTCAGCTGAGTTTATATCAGCACATGCATGTAAGGAAAGTTCCCAAGACCTGGGAAAGAATAAAGCTGAAATGATTAGAGATAATAATGCCCAGCACTCACAGAGGGCCAAGAATTGTACCTGTGCCCAGTAGCCAGACTGAATAACTTCATGATTTATGAAACATTTGGTAGGATATTGCTTCGGTAGTTACAAATATTCTCCTCCAGATTCGATACGGTCTTGTGCTGCTTAACAAATCTTAAAAGCAAGACTTAAAAGAACCAAACTGTTTCTAAAAAACTGCATTGCAGAACACAGCTCAAGAAGGCATGCATAGAAACAGGAAAATAAGACCCAAATGAGGAGAAAAATAAATCAATCAAAACAGATCATAAATTGATCCAGATGTTAGAATTACCAGATAAGGGCACCAAAACAGTTATTACAACTGTATTCCAGATGTTCAAAAAGTTAAGTAGAATTATGAGATATGAGAAAGATTCAAATCAAACTTATAGAGAAAGAATCTACAAGGTATAAGACGAAAAGTACGTTGGAAGAGATGAATGACAAATTAGACGTTGAAGGGAAGGTTAGTGATTTGAAGACATAGCAATGGAAATGATCCAAAATTAAACATAAAGAGAAAAAAGGATTAGAAAACAAAACAAAGCAAAGCAAACGAAACACCCACAAAACTGTGACAACTTTACAAAGTCTAAGATATGCAAAATTGGACTCCCTGAAAAAGAGAGTGAGAATAAAAAGTTTTGAAGAAATAATGCCCAAACTTCTCTAAAAAGGATGAAAACTATGAATACATAGGTTAAAAAAAAAAAAAAACTTGAATTTCCAGCCAACAGCATGTGGAGAGTGATCCATGTAGAGCCTAATGTTTGAGGAGACCCGGACAGATGAAATTCTCGGGACAGAGTACCTGAGAGGAGAGCTGCAACGGGACAGACCAGAGACAGACCAAAAAAACAAAAGCAAAACAAAACAAAACAAAAAACAAATCCCAAGTACAAGAAACACACACACAAAACCATACCCATTTTCTTTCTTAATTATATCTCTTACTTTTCTCTCATTCTGTCAATAAGCAGGAAATGTTTTCCTGAAATATAATTATCTTCTCTAATTCTTGAATAATATTTTGTTTTTGAAAATATTTTGTCTGTCTTTTTTCTTCTATGGAAAATTGTGCTCTCATTTCACTCTAATTTTGGTTCCTCTGCAGGTGCTCCCTATTTTCTTTCTGGTTTCTTAATGCATTTTCTTTATCTTCAGTGTATTGTGATGTGCCTTGGTTGGGGATTTATATTTACTGTATCTTTATTTTTTCAAATGTTATTTATGATTCTTAAGACTTTTTGAGCTTCTTGAATGTGAAGTTTCACAAACCTCGTGGGTTTGGGGAAAATTTGAACCATTTATCACTTTGAATATGGTCTCTTCGCCATTCTCTCTGTTCTGTCTCAGTATTCCTATTAGATGAATATCAGAACCTTTTCTTCTATCATTGTTGTCTATTAATCTTACTAACATATTTTCCTTTCATCTATTTCTTTTCAGCTATGTCTAATATGCTCTAATTTGTTGATTTAGTTTTAAATGTCAGTGCCTACATTTTCCTTTTCAACAGATCTGTTTGCCTTTTAAAATGGACCTATTCTTTTTTATATAATGTGCTTTATTTTTCATATTACAATTTAAAATTTTATAAAGATATATATCTTACATAGTTATATATCTTCTCTAAAGTTATATATCTTATGTAGATGATTATATATCTGTAGCTATTTAAGTATATAGTTGTTATATATAGTTATTTTTATCTAGTTATATAAAAGTTATATTTGTCAGTCTATCTTAAGGGTTGGGGATCTAATCTATCTATGGTTTCTGCTAACTTGTTCCTTGTTTGTTTTTCTTATGACTTATAATTTTTTATTTTGAGTCTTTCTTCAAGAGGTTTTTAAAAACATTTGTTGTATTTATCCTATGAGTACCTTTTGGAACTGCATCCTGGTCATATCCCTGTAGAACATTTTTTGCTGTGCTTTTGCAAAGTAGCCAAGGATACCACTGGCTCAAAATCAGTTTTTTATGTTCCCTTTCGTGTGTGTGTGTGTGTGTGTGTGTGTGTGTGTGTGTGTGTTTGAAGAGAAGTGGATCTCAGATCATATGGGTACTGTAAATGGGATAGATGCAGAGTCTCAGGGTTTTGATTTCCTGGAGGTAGGATGTGAAAGGACAGGAAGTCATTAGCTTCATTGTTGCTCACCACATCCCTGACAGTAGGAAGATTATTTTTTAGGCCTTCTTTTTCCCTGAACAGCTCAGTTTCACATCCCCCCAGCTCCTTTCCATGACCATTAAAAACCAAACTCTTGATGCAAGGGATCCGTTTTTTCTTCTTCTCTCCCCTCTATCAGCCAACAGGACAGACACAGTATGAACGTCCATTGAGTGTCATGCTGATTTTCAGCTCTTTCATCCCCTGTGTTACCTGGTGATCTCCCTTTCCTTCACTTACATATTTAAATAATATTTGTTGTATTTGATTCATTATTTCTGATTATTTGTAATGGGAGGATTTTAAGTTTATGTACATTTGCCCTCTCACTAAAAATAGAAGTTAATTATCCATTCACTAAAATAAAGATATCTGTGTTAAAATGACATGCTTTTTGTCCATGCTTTTGCAGGACAATTTCCATGCTTTTGCAGGAAATTGTGTTTCTTGTGCCTGGCTCTCTGGTACTAAATGTATTTTTAATTGTAATGAGCTCTAATCAAGAAAGAATTTTTCTTTAAAATAAATGGCTTTCAAAATGAGAAATGAAACTAAAATATACTGTGGACATTAATCTTCTCGATTTTATACTTATATGACAATCTCACAGACTAGTTCAACGTTTGTAAACTTGCATTTGAATAGGTAATAAGTACTAAAAATAATAACTTCAAGAGCTAGGATGATGACATTTTAAAACTTAATTAGTAATATTTAAATTTCCATGCAAGATAATTCATTTCTTGGACAATATAGTCTTTAAAAACTTCATTTAAATAAAGATGTTAATAATGAAAATACTTAAATATATAAGTGAGTGGACATGTGTCTTTTATCCCATTCTAACGAATTGATTTTTACTTTATTCAACACTGTGGGATAATAAACATACGGCACTTTGCAAGTATTTTATTTTAGCTTTTAATTACATTGGGAAATTTAATATTTCAGTATTTCCTTAATTTTCTAAGATTAGTTGGTTACATGTTTTATCAAATTAATGTTTGTGATTACTGCGAAAATCTTATACTCAAAGTAGCTTCAAATTACTGTTCATGATAAAATTTCATTTGATTGACTTTTATCTCAATTCAATAATCAAAAATTCATGACACTGTTGGATTTTAGTTCATGCTGTTATCTTTCTACAGTAAAAGCAAAATTAGTTAGAGATTTTATATTTATTTCAAGATGTCACATATATTTGTCTTTTCAGTTTCCAGAGTCCTTAGCATGCATAGTGCTTAATAGAGCACATTCCTGGACAGCCTGTTATTATTCATTGAAATTTTAGATTGCATATATAATTATAATGCATTATATGTACATACATGTGTACATACAACATTGCAAGTTTCATTCCATAATGCTCTTTGCTTTCCCATCTATATTCTCCAGGAAGGCTTGCATTTAAGTTAAGATCTAAGTTTACAAAGACACAACTTACCAGAATCTCTGGGACACATTTAAAGCAGTGTGTAGAGGGAAATATATAGCACTAAATGCCCACAAGAGAAAGCAGGAAAGATCTAAAATTGACACCCTAACATCACAATTAAAACAACTAGAGAAGCAAGAGCAAACACATTCAAAAGCTAGCAGAAGGCAAGAAATAACTAAGATCAGAGCAGAACTGAAGGAGATAGTGACACAAAAAACCCTTTAAAAAATCAATGAATCCAGGAGCTGATTTTTTGAAAAGATCAACAAAATTGATAGACCGCTAGCAAGACTAATAAAGAAGAAAAGAGAGAAAAATCAAATGGACGCAATAAAAAATGATAAAGGGGATATCACCACCAATCCCACAGAAGTACAAACTACCGTCAGAGAATACTATAAACACCTCTATGCAAATAAACTAGAAAATCTAGAAGAAATGGATAAATTCCTATACAGCATCCCAAGACTAAGCCAGGAAGTTGAATCCCTGAATAGACCAATAACAGGCTCTGAAATTGAGGCAATAATTAATAGCCTACCACCCAAAATAAGTCCAGGACTAGACAGATTCACAGCCGAATTCTACCAGAGGTACAAGGAGGAGCTGGTACCATTCCTTATGAAGATATTCAAATCAATAGAAAAAGAGGGAATCCTCCCTAACTCATTTTATGAGGCCAGCATCATCCTGATACAAAAGCCTGGCACAGACACAACAAAAAAAAGAGAATTTTAGACCAATATCCCTGATGAACATCGATGAGAAAATCCTCAATAAAATACTGGCAAACCGAATCCAGCAGCACATCAAAAAGCTTATCCACCATGATCAAGTGGGCTTCATCCCTGGGATACAAGGCTGGTTCAGCATACAAATATCAATAAATGTAATCCAGCATATAAACAGAACCAAAGACAAAAACCACTTGATTATCTCAATAGATACAGAAAAGGCCTTTGACAAAATTCAACAGCACTTCATGCTAAAAAAACTCTCAATAAACTAGGTATTGATGGGACATATCTCAAAAAATAAGATCTGTTTATGACAAACCCACAGCCAATATCATACTGAATGGGCAAAAACTGGAAGCATTCCCTTTCAAAACTGACACAAGACAGAGATGCCCTCTCTCACCACTCCTTTTCAATATAGTGTTGGAAGTTCTGGCTAGGGCAATCAGGCAGGAGAAAGAAATAAATGGTATTCGATCAGGAAAAGAGGAAGTCAAATTGTCCCTGTTTGCAGATGATATGATTGTATATTTAGAAAACCCCATCGTCTCAGTGCAAAATCTCCTTAAGCTGATAAGAAACTTCAGCAAATTCTCAGGATGCAAAATCAATGTGCAAAAATCACAAGCATTCTTATACACCAATAACAGACAAACAGAGAGCCAAATCATGAGTGAACTCCCATTCACAATTGCTTCAAAGAGAATAAAATACCCAGGAAACCAACTTACAAAGGACGTGAAGGACCTCTTCAAGGAGAACTACAAACCACTGCTCAACAAAATAAAAGAGGACAAAAACAAATGAAAGAACATTCCATGCTCATGGATAGGAAGAATCAATATCGTGAAAATGGCCATACTGCCTAAGGTAATTTATAGATTCAATGCCATCCCCATCAAGCTACCAATGACTTTCTTCACAGAACTGGAAAAAACTACTTTAAAGTTCATATGGAACCAGAAAAGAGCCCGCGTCGCCAAGTCAATCCTAAGCCAAAAGAACAAAGCTGAAGGCATCATACTACCTGACTTCAGACTATACTACAAGCCTACAGTAACCAAAACAGCATGGTACTGGTTCCAAAACAGAGATATAGACCAATGGAACAGAACAGAGCCCTCAGAAATAATACCACACATCTACAACCATCTGATCTTTGACAAACCTGGCAAAAACAAGCAATGGGGAAAGGATTCCCTATTTCACAAATGGTGCTGGAAAAACTGGCTAGCCATATGTAGAAAGCTGAAACTGGATCCCTTCCTTACACCTTATACAAAAATTAATTCAAGATGGATTAAAGACTTTAATGTTAGACCTAAGACCATAAAAACCCTAGAAGAAAACTTAGGCAATACCATTCAGGACATAGGCATGGGCAAGGACTTGATGTCTAAAACACCAAAAGCAATGGCAACAAAAGCCAAAATTGACAAATGGGATCTAATTCAACTGAAGAGCTTCTGCACAGCAAAAGAAACTACCATCAGGGTGAAAAGGCAACCTAAAGAATGGGAGAAAATTTTTGCAATCTGCACATCTGACAAAGGGCTAATTTCCAGAATCTACAAAGAACTCAAACAAATTTACAAGAAAAAATCAAACAACCCCATCAAAAAGTGGGCAAAGGACATGAACAGACAGTTCTCAAAAGAAGACATTTCTGCAGCCAACAGACACACGAAAAAAAATATTCATCATCACTGGCCATCAGAGAAATGCAAATCAAAACCATAATGAGATACCATCTCACACCAGTTAGAATGGCGATCATCAGGAAATAACAGGTGCTGGAGAGGATGTGGAGAAATAGGAACACTTACACTGTTGGTGGGACTATAAACTAATTCAACCGTTGTGGAAGACAGTGTGGAAATTCCTCAAGGATCTAGAACTAGAAATACCATTTGACCCAGCCATCCCATTACTGAGTATATACCCAATGGATTATAAATCATGCTGCTATAAAGACACATGCACACATACGTTTATTGCGGCACTATTCACAATAGCAAAGACTTGGAACCAACCCAAATGTCCATCAATGATAGACAGGATTAAGAAAATGTGGCACATATACACCATGGAATACTATGCAGCCATAAAAAAGGTTGAATTCATGTCCTTTGTAGGGACATGGATGAAGCTGGAAACTATCATTCTCAGCAAACTGTCGCAAGGACAAAAAACCAAACACCGCATGTTCTCACTCATAGGCGGGAATTGAACAATGAGAACACTTGGACACAGGAAGGGGAACATCACACACCAGAGCCTGTCGTGGGGTAGAGGGAGAGGGGAGGGATAGCATTAGGAGATATACCTAATGTAAATGACGAGTTAATGGGTGCAGCACACCAAGATAGCACATGTATACATATGTAGCAAACCTGCACGTTGTGCACATGTACCCTAGAACTTAGAGTATAATAATAAAAGAAAAGACCTAAGTTTGTTTTACTTGAGTGTTTGGGAGGCAAGTATTTTTTTTCATAAATGATATGTAAGAACTCTAAATTCTCATAAAATCATAAACATTTTTCAACCTCTTGGCAGGCTATAGAATTGTTAATCCTTTTTCAATGGTCTTTAAATGTTGTCATGTTGCCTTCTAGCTTGTAGCTGGCCCAAGGCCTGAGTGAGGGTGGTGCTGGATTGTGTCGTCAGGGTACTAAACACCTGAGTCCTAAGGATCAAAGCTGAAAACCAAAGTAGTGTGTCAAAACCCAAGAGGCAGGCAAGAGCAAGGGTCAGAAGCAAAATAAGGACAACTGAGAGCAATGTGGGATATCCAGCAGGTTAGAGCAATTGAACTTGAAGAAGTAACTTGGGGCTTTGTCTTGTAGGATATAGATTCCGCAAGTAAAAAATTTTTGAGCCAAAGAAAGAGAGGAACCAGACACTCAAGAACTTCACAGTATCACTGAGTTGTGTGTCTCATCATGGTATATTTTGTAGTTTATATTTCACTGATAATGGAATGACACAACTCAAGCCTTTGTGTCTGCAGCACTTCAGCATTTAATAGCTGAAATATATTTGAGCAGCTTTATTTTGGTCACCCTCCTTTCTTCCACCCACATGATTAAGATTTGTTAATGGAGATATTTGTCAGACTGTACAAGATTGTGAATTAGATCTTCTCTGAAGTGCGACATATGGCTGAGGATCTAATCTTATTTCTGCCTGAGACCTTGTGTACCTAGGATGATCCTAATAAAGTATTATGTCTTCATAAAGACAAAAGCCAGGCTTACTGTGAAACACAGCATCACATAGCTGGAAGAGAGCTACTTTGGTCTCTACTATTAGATCTAAGAAAGATAGCATCTTAACTCTTCTAAGATTTAAAAAAAAATTTAAGACAAAGTAAGGCATAATCCTTCATTAATAGATTTTATAGACAGAAGACTATAAAAATATGAGCACTAGACTTGAGAACCTGAGTTCTAGAACTGTCTAAACTACAAAATACAAATTGTTTAAATCTCTCTTGGACTATTTTTCTATCTGCAAAATGGAGACACAAATAATGTTCATAGTATATTAACAAGAAACACTTTTTCATCACAGGTAAAATCAGGGGCTCTAGAGCCAGACTGCAGGCCTTGAATTCTATCTCCACTACTTACCAGATGTTTTGCCTCAGAAAATTACCTTTGCAAGCCTCACTTTCTTCATCTATAAGATGGAAATAATAATGGTACTTACACTATTTTATGAAGCTTAATTGACATCATCATGGTAAATGATTTAAAAAGTGCCAAACTGTACCTGGAATATAGTAAACAGTACATTTAAATTTCTACTTGTGTTATCCAACTAGATCACTGAATTTCCTTCATATTTTCTTGTATCAAAACTGTCTTGCTACAGATCCAGAAGTCAGTTGTATCTCCAGGTAAGAAGAGAGTGATAGACTTCAGAACTAAAGTGAAGTGATTTATCATTGAGATCCCATTTATCCGATATTGGAACTCCAGGCTTTTAGGAACTGATCTGTCTGGTAACCAAGTTGATATGGTTTGGCTGTGTCCCCACCCAAATATCATCTTGAATTGTAGCTCCGATAATTCCCACATGTTGTCGGAGGGGCCTGGTGGGAGATAATTGAATCATAGAGGCAGTTCCCCCATACTGTTCTCATGGTAGTGAATAAGTCTCACAAGATCTGATGGTTTCATAAGGGGGAACCCCTTTCACTTGGTCCTCATTTCTCTCTTGCCAGCCACCATGTAAGACGTCCCTTTTGCCTTCTGCCATGATTGTGAGGCCTCCCCAGGCATGGGAAATTGTGAGTCCATTAAACCTCTTTTTCTTTATAAATTACCCAGTCTCAGTTATGTCTTTACCAGCAGCATGAAAACGGACTAATACACAAGTCTCCTCCTTGATTGACTTCCTCTCTTTATTCTCTAGTCCTATTAGGTGAGTTTGTTCTTATTATCTTGTTCTTGCTATATTGGGCTTTTCTAATCCTGAGCTCTAGTTTTCCTATGACTGGGCCACTGAATCTTGTGGCATGGGTCATCTGAAACGCCATCAACTGCTTGCCATAATCTCAATTCTGTCCCGTGTTTGCACCTTGTCCAACACTCCTGATATCCATCCCCTTCTAATGATTTTCTTCATGTTGATTATCTGCTCCTAATTGTTCCTTTCTAGACTTGAAAAATATTAAATTGTGCTATTATACATATATTAGTTGTCTTTGGGAGTTAGAGTCCACAAGATTTTTTGGTTAATTGAATGTGTTAGGAAAAGATGAGGAAGGATCCACGATGAACCTGAGGATTCTGGCTTGATCAATTGTATGGCCAGTACTTCCATCAACTTTCTAGCTGAGGTATGGAGTATGGCAGGAGGAAAAGTACTGCATGGGAGTGCAGGATGAAAGATGACCAGTAGCGTTGCTATGTTTGCAAGTTGAGTTAGAATGGAGATGTCAGATAGTGTGATAGCCTTCATGCTGAGGAAAGAGGGATGTGCTAGAGATTACAACTTGGGGGATATCAATCTATACGTAGCAAGTAGAGATCTGATGATTGAGGATCACCCAGGTGAGAGTCCACAGGGAAAAGGGAAGAGGGCCCCTAAGGTCCAGTCATTTTAAATGACAACTGAGAAAAGAGAATTCACAAAGGAGCCTATAGAACTTAGAGGGGAAAAGAAAAAAGTCAGAAAAGTATGAAGCTATAAAAAAGAATAGCTTTTAAGAGATAGAGAGATAAGATAATTCAAATATCAAGACTTCAAGTAAGAAAATGACTCCAAATGTGTTATTACTGGGGACCCTGGCCAGTAGGTTCATGGGGTGGTGAGGACAGTAGCCAGATGGCAGTTGGCTGTGCACTGAGTGGAAACTGAGTGAGAATAGATGGTGAACATAGACAACTGTTCTGAGAAGTCTGGCTGTAAAGAGGGGAAGGCAGATACTACAGGAGCCATAGGGAAATAAAGGAGAGATAAAGAGGGTTATGTTATGTACTTTGCTTCTTTTCTTTTGTTCTATTTTTAGCAAAAATGTGAACATGCTTACATACTTACAGAGAAAAGAGAAATTGCAGATGGAAAATAAAGAGAGGCAAGACCCTACAGGGAAGTAAAAGAATCTTATTCTGAGCACGCTGAAATTTTATCCTTGGATAAAGAGACAAAACCTAGTAGCCTGGTTAATAGGAGGAAAACAGGAATAGATGTATATGGATGTAGATAAGTCTATATCACTGGTACAGGGAAATTAAAGAAGGTACCTCTAACAGGTTCTATTTACTCTGCAAGTAAATTGCAGACGATGAAAAAGTGGGGTAAGAGGATTAAATGCTTCAGGCGAGAGGAACCTTTAAGTAGTAGTTTTCTCCACAAATTTTGGAGGTTAATAATTTTCAGTGTTTTGGACAAAATGAACAAGTTGATTCTAAAATTGAGGAGAATAACAAAGAATAAAACTGGCTAAAACACTCCTGAGGAAGAATAATGACTTGGAGGGAATATGTCCTACCAGATAATATAGCAAGAATTATTATAATGCTATAACAATTTTAAAAGGATGACATTGGCTCAAGGGGTAAATATATAAAACAAAGACTCAGAAACGGCCATATATAAGTGGAAAATTATACATAAGAGAAATGGTATTGCCATCATTGGGAACAGAACAAATGGCATTAAAATTTTTTTGCCCAATTATTTATTGATATTGAAAACATAGAGTTGATCTTCTTCTCATTTATACATAAAAACTAATTCCAAATAAATTAATTACATGGGAAAAGCAAAAACTTTATACTTTACAAAAGCAAAAGAATATTTCATTACCTCAATGTAGGAATACATTTATTTAAGACAAAAGTGGTAATTATGAAAAAATTAAGGATAAATTCAATTACATTAAATTAACTATAATAGTCAAAAATACTGTAAGTAATGTAGAAAAAAAATCAACAAACTGGGAGAAGGAATTTGCATGGCATACAGTCAACAAGATAATGATGATCTTAGTATGTAAAGCACTCCTTCAAATCAATGAGAAAGTGACAATGGACCAATTAATAAAATGGAAATGAGACATGAAGAACTATTTCACAGAAGAGGAAGCACGAATGGTCAAAAACATAAGAAAATGCAGTCCATCTCACTAGTTATCAGGGAAATGCAAGTTCAGATCACAGATAAATGCCATTTTGCATCTAGATTGGTAAAAATGATTACATCTTACAAAGCCAACCTGACAGACATGTGGAACAACAAGTAAGAGTGACTCTTACATAGAACTAATGCATGTATCCATTGGCATAAGCTCTGGAAAGCAATTTGAAGTTATTTTATAAATTTGACCATAAATTTACTCTAAATTGACTAAGTAATTCCACTCCTACACACACACTAAAGGAAAAATCTTCAATGTGTATGTGCAATCGTGTACAAATCAAAATATGTAAAAAAAGTTCATACAGCAAAAAACTTGAAAAATAAAAGTATTTTTGCCTTGACAAGAAAAGGAAAAAAAAAACTGTAGTATATTTATATAACAGGTTGTTAGAGAATATTGAAAATGAATGAACTACTGTTATGTGCAACTACATGCATAAATTGTTAAAACCTAAGTTGAACCAAAAAAGGCAGGACTCCATAGACCATGATGTGCTATACAGACGTGCCTCATTTTATTGTACTTCACAGTAATGTGCTTCACAGATACTGCATTTTTTTTCACAAATTGAAAGTTTGTGGCAACTCAGCATCAAGCAATAGCATGTGCTCAGTTTGTGTCTCGGTGTCACATTCTGATAATTTTTGCAATATCTCAAACTTTTTCAGTATTTTGTTACATGTGTTAGGGTAATCTGTGATCAATGATCTTTGATGTTCCTATTGTAATTGTTTTTGGGCACCACAAACCATGCCCATATGGCAACCAACTTAATTGATAAATGTTCAGTATGTCTGACTGCTTCACTGATAGGCTGTTCCTCTGTTTCTCTCCCTATTCTCAGGCCTCCATATTCCCTGAGACTAAACAATATTGAAATTAGGCCAATTAATAACGCTTTCAATGTTCAAGTGAAAGTAAGGGTCACCCAACTATCACTTTAAATCAAAATCTAGAACTGATTAAGCTTATGGAGGAAGGCATATTGACTAAGATAGGCTGAAACTAATCCTGTTGTGCCAAACAGCCAAGATGTCAATGCAGAGGAAAAGTTCTTGAAGAAGGTTAAAATTGCTACTCCAGTTCACACACAAATGGTAAAAAAGTGAAAGAGCCTTTTTGCTGAGATGGTGAAAGTTTGAGTGGTCTGGATAGAAGATCAAACCAGCCACAACATTTCCTTAAGCCAAAGCCTAACCCGGAGCAAAGCCCCTACTCTCCTCAATTCTATGAAGGCTGAGAGAAATAAGGAAGCTGCAGAAGAAAAGTTGGAAGCTAGCAGAGGTTGGTTCATAAGGTTTAAGGGAAGAAGCCATCTCCATAACATAAGAGTGCAAGGTGAAGTAGCAGGTGCTAATGTAAAGGTGCAGCAAGTTATTCTTAAGATCTAGCTAAGATAATTGATTAAAGTGGCTACACTGAAAAGCACATTTTCAGTGTAGGCAAAACAACCTCCTGTTGGAAGAAAATGCCATCTAGGACTTTCATAGCTAGAAAGAAGTTGATGCCTGGCTTCACAGTTTCAAAGGACAGGCTGACTCTCTTGTTAGGGGCTAATGCAGCTGATGACTTTAACTGAAACTAGTGTTCATTTATCATTCAGAAAATTCTAGGCCCCTTACAAATGGTGCTAAATCTACTATGTCTGTGCTCCATAAATGGAACAATAAAGCCTGGATGACAGCACATCTGTTTACAGTATGGTTTACTGAATATTGTAAGCCCACTGTTGACAGCTAATGCTCAGGAAAAAAAAAAAAGATTTATTTCAAAACATTACTGCTCATTGACAATGCCCCTAGTCACCCAAGATCTCTGATGGAGATGGGCAAGGATGTGAATGTTTTTATCCAGCCCATCTATGAATCAGGGAGTAATTTCAGCTTTCAAGTCTTTTTTTTTTTTTTAAGACCGAGTATCACTCTATCACCCAGGCTGGAGTGCAGTGGCGCGACCTCGGCTCACTGCAACCTCTGCCTGCTGGGTTCAAATGATTCTCTTGCCTCAGCCTCCTGAGTAGCTGGGATTACAGGCATGTGCCACCATACCCGGCTAATTTTTGTATTTTTAGTAGAGACGGGGTTTCACCATGTTGGCCAGGATGGTCTCAAACTCTTGACCTCAGGTGATCCACCTGCCTCAACCTCCCAAAGTTCTGGGATTACAGGTGTGAGTTACCACACCCGGCTTCAAGTCTCATTATTTAAGAAATACATTTTATAAGGTGAACACTCCGTAGATAGTGATTCCTTTGGCGATTCTGGGAAAAATCCATTGCAAACCATCTGGGAAGGATTCATCATTCTAGGTGCCATTCAGAACATTTGTAGGTGCCTCATTAATGCAGTAGGTAGCATGGTAGTCTCATAATCTGAAGAAACATTCATGATTCATGGGAGGAGGTCAAAATAGCAACATTAACAAGAGTTGGAAGAAATTGATTCCAACCCTTATGGATGACTTTGAGGGGTTCAACACCTCAATGGAGGAAGTAACTGCGGATGTGGTGGAAATAGCAGGAGAAGTAGAATTAGAAGTGGACCTGAAGATGTGACTGAATAGCTGCCATCTCATGATCAAAGTTGAATGGATGCAAAGTTGCTTCTTATGGATGAAAAAAAAAAGAATTTTGTGAAATGAAATCTACTCCTGGTGAACACTGTCGAAATAGCAACAAAGATTTTAGAATATTACATAAACATAACTCATAAAACAGCAATGAGGTTTGAGAGGATTGACTCCAATTTTGAAAGAAGTTCTATTGTGGTTAAAATATTATCAAAAAGCACAGCATGTTACAAAGAAATCTTTCATGAAAGGAAGAGTCAATAGAAGCAACAAATTTTATTATTGTTTTGTTTTAAGAAATTGCCACAGCCATCTCAGCCTTCAGCAACCATCACCCTGATCAGTCAGCAGCTGTCAACATGGAGGCAAGACCCTCCACCAGCAAAAAGATTATGACTTGCTAAAGGCTGAGATGATCGTTAGCATTTTTTAGCAATACAGGTTTTTAAAATTAAGGTATGCACATTGTTTTTGCAGGCATAATGCAATGGTACACTTAATAGACTACAGTATAGTGTAAGTATAACTTTTATATGCACTAGGAAACCAAAAATATTGTGTGTCTCATTTCATTTTGATATTTGCTTTATTACAGTAGTCTGGAACTGAACCTACAATATCTCTGAGGTATGCCTATATTTGTAAATCTTAGGGATAAATAAAAAGTAAGCAATATAAAGACCTAAAAAAGGCTAATATACACAAGATGGGGCCAAAAAATGGAAGGCAAAGCCTGCAATGGTGAGCTAAATGTTAGGAGTGAAGTCTGAGTCTGTTCAACTGTCTCTGATAGAGTAATTGACAAAATAAAGAATAGAAAATTCAGAATAAAGTTGGCCAAAGAATAATATTTATGCCATAAAGTCGATGAAAGAATATAAGACAAGATCTCATGGCAAAATGTGGGGGAATATTAACTAGGGACACAAGAGCCCCTTTAGGTCAGCTTGGGCTAAAATCTGCTAGTGTTAGAAAACACATCAAATTAAAATCAGAAAAAACAAACACATTTGTGAAACTAAATACTCCTGTATGCAACTGAAGGGAAGTAAGAAGGTATGTCAAGTTCTCTTTAATAGTTCCAGATACTTTCCCAAGGCACCACAAATCACACATATTTCCTGAATGTCTCATCTTTAATGAAGCTGCACTAAGTAGAAGCATTTTGTGTGTCATCAACTTGGTTTCCAGCCATTCTACTTTTCCATTATCAGTTATTTGCTAAAATAAGACCCAGGCTCAAATTAAGAGGCCAATTATTCTTTTATTTATTTATTTATTTATTTATTATTTTATTATTATTATACTTTAAGTTTTAGGGTACATGTGCACAATGTGCAGGTTAGTTACATATGTATACATGTGCCATGCTGGTGTGCTGCACCCATTAACTCGTCATTTAGCATTAGGTATATCTCCTAATGCTATCCCTCCCCCCTCCCCCCACCCCACAACAGTCCCCAGAGTGTGATGTTCCCCTTCCTGTGTCCATGTGTTCTCATTGTTCAATTCCCACCTATGAGTGAGAATATGTGGTGTTTGGTTTTTTGTATGAAAAGAAGATCTTGTTCATTTTTCCTGTTTCTTTTTACTCTGAAGTAAAGGAGATATTACTAGTAGCAGTAGAATATAAAAATAACAAATAATTGTACCATCAGATGACTGTATCTAGCTTTTGACATTGTTTAATATTATCTACCATCTAGCTTTACTCTCCCCAACAAGTCTATTAAGTGTCAAGTCATCTCAAAGTCAAATATCATGAAATTCAGACCCTGAAAAAAAAATAAGCGACTTGTCCTAGCTAGATTGATGATAGAATCAAAACTAACATTCAGATCTTTTGACTCATGCTTTCCTTGAATCAATCTAAATAAGCCACTTTAGATTTCACATGTCTAGTTTGCCTTTATCTAATAGCTAAACTTATTTTTATTCTAACATTAAAAGAGAATATTATGCATTTGGAAAAAATGCTGTTGAAAACATACATTGAAGCTGAGAGTGTTGGTGTGTGCCTGTAGTTCCAGCTACTTGGGAGGCTGAGGCAGGAGTGTAGCATGAGCCCAGGAGTTCGAGGTTGTAATGAACTATGATCATGCCATTGCATGCCACCCTAGGTGACAGAGAGAGACGCCATCTCTTAAAAAAATAAAAACATAATATTTTAAATTAGACATTGTGTTTTGGAAAAATGGAAGAGTTATACTCTAAAGATCTTTCAACAAATCTTCAGTATGCCTTTACTAAATGGAGAAGCTATGTATTGATATGTGGTAATACTATTGGTGGATCAGAAAGTATTAGGTAATTCTAGGTCATTATGAATACCAACTGAAACAGTTCTTCCCCAAAATCTTCATAGCACATCTCTCAAAAATGGAATATAATATACTCTTTAATAAGATTATTGTCTAATTTTTTAACATAAGTTAAATGCAATTAGATATTTGATTTTCTAATGGTTACATTTTAAAATATATTGATTTTGATTTTGAATAACATTAAATGTTTTTCCACATCTAGGGAGGACACATCTATGACTAGCAGTGGCATGTGCTCAGGAAAGGTAAATGTATGTCCTGGTTCAGGTGTATTCTCACTTAACCTCTATGATTTTCATATTCTTCATCTAAAGTTAGAGGAGTTTATTTAGATGCCTCTGTGGTAGATACTATGGGTTGACTTGCTCAGCCTTCATCCCACCCTCCACCTATGTGGTTTTCTATATTGTAGATTCTGGAAGGCTAAAACTACATTTCTCACTTTCCTTGCAGTAGGGTTCTACACATAAATTAGGTTTCACCAATTAAAAACACTTGGAAGGCAGAAGTGAAGTGGAAATCATTTTCCTCTTTTGGCTACATCTACAGGCTTGCACAGTTATGATGACATGAGGATCTTGGCAACAGCATTCCATTGTCCACTCTCCAGCTACCTAAGTGTCAAGAGGCAGTTTTGACAAAGGCAGTGCCAATCCTACCCATTCACCAGTGTTCATTCACTTGCTTTGTGAATGTTCAGGGACCATGGCAATGGTGGCAGTGACACAGAGGCAGTCCTAATCCTTGGATCATAGCTATGACCTTGTGTTTTGTATTCGACAATTCCAGCTTCAGCCTGAGAGTTCTGTAGTGTTCTGTTAGTCATTACTGGAAGGCCCTGCAGAGCCTATTCTTTCAGCCATTCCAGGGATGCCTTTTGCATCTTATTCTCAATACTAAATTTATTTCTACTTAAAATACTTAGAGTTGGTTTTTATGTCCTGCTCTGAAACCTGATATCTAAGTTTGCTGTGTGCTCTAATGTTCTTAGGTTACTGGGGAACTTGGTGTGTTTTCTAAAACATAGTCTCCAATATTTATGGTAATTTCTTAAATAATTTAAGTTTCTTTCTATGTAGAGTCTATTTGTAATGTAATTTTATTACTATCCTATAATTATCCTTGTTGGTGTTGAGTACATGGGAGTCAAGTGTATAAACATATTTGTTAATGAATCAACAGCTTATATTTTCAGGAATTAGGATAGCTATTAGGTGCTATTAAAATAGAGTATACATATATGTTCCAAAAAATTTTATGTACTGATACAATGAATTAGAATGTCTGAAGTAGATATAAGAGTGTATAATTAACTGTATTTTCTAAAAGGATTTTTTGTATGAATATGAAAAAATATTATTTATATATACATATATATAGAGAGAGAAGAGAAATAATTATGCGGATGACTGCTAATAATCTGTGATTTTTTTATGAGCGTCCTTTTACAGCATTCATCTTGGGTTAACCATTACAACACCTGAATAACTATTTGATATTTGCCGTCACCTCCTTAACGTCTTGATAATCAATATTAACTGCACATGAACACTTTACATTCTTCTTGAGCTAAAACTATTCAAATACCTTCAATCCTTGTGAATATTTTCCCAAATTGCAAGGAGTTCTTGCAATTCCTCTATTCTTTATATTTTAAAGAATGTAATACAGAAAGATCTACATAATATAGGTGATAAATTACTCACTTTGGAAACTGATATTTGAGATCTAATTGAAAAAAAAAAAAACAAAAAGCAAGAACTGAGCAAGCCTGCAACATTATCAGTCTCAATTCTGGGAATATCTTTGTTACTGAATTGTAAGGAGTGCAACCAAGGATGGATGATAGGTGGGGAAAAGGAAGTATAGTGTTCAGTCCTAATATTGGTAAAGAGTGCCTGGAAACGAACAGCACCAAGGAATGTAAGCAGAGGAATAGGTCAGATCCAGGAAAGGAAGCAGGGTAGGGCACATACAAGAACATGTTTCAGAGGAAGCAGCTGGCCAGCAGCTGCTGAACACTCCAGAAACAGAGAGATTCAAATTGCTATATAGCAAGCTGTAAAGTCCAAAATGTAGGAGAATGGGTGGGTCCCAGGTGGTCTGAGGGAAATTGAATGGTCAAAGAAGAAAAGTCGTGAAAACAGTCCAGCCAATAATAAAAAGGATAAATTAGGATAAAACAAAGATAAGATATCTGAAGTATCAGGAATGAGTATCTTTTTGATATTGAAGGCAGATATCCTGTCCTAAATTTTGGGTTTTCTATTATACTTTGGAAGGAAGAACTTATCCTACAGTAAACAGTCCAGGCTGAGCAGAAAACTGAAAGTACTACGCTGAGATGGAATATATACTCAGAGGCAAAAAGCCTGTCATATCCATTGGGTGGCAAGCTTAGGATTGTAGTGGAGTGTTATGTGGAGCAGTCAGGCTCTGGGAAGATAATTTTGTGCTGAGAGCAAGACTTAGGCACAGAAACCTCAAGGGACAAGGATCAAAGAAGAGAGAAAAATTGGTCCTTTGCTGAAAATTCACTTGCACCAAAAAGAAAATCACACAGAAAGGCATGAAGTAAACATCCAAAGTCAAGTAGAGAGGGGTCTCTGTCTGTGCTTTCTTGCCATCTACAGTCATTTTCACAGCAGACAAAAGCCCACAGGTGCTCATTTCTGAAGCAGGGCAAATGCAATTAGCTATTACAACTCAATAGAATGATCTGTATTCTAGTCACATCATGTTGTTAGTTGTGTTTCTTAGCAGCACACTGAAAAAAGGAGTCGATTTGTGTGGCCTGACCATTTTTCCCTCTTATAGTAAAAACAAATGTTATGTCTGAAAATTTAGATATTTTTACCTTTATTTTATTTGTTCTATTCAAAGATATTTTGAATATAAGTGGTACCTGTAGGCAAAAATCAACTAACATTTATTAAGCACCTTTTTGCTTGCATTTTACATATAATAGTTTATGCAGAACTATATAGTTTTCACAGAACTTAGTAAGTTCTCATAGAACTGATAGTAAAACTTCAGACTAAGAATCAGTATTGCAGAGTTCAAGCTTCAGATGTATTTCTAAGCAGCTAAAACCTTGAGCAAATTACTTCCCCAGTCATTGGTTTTTACAACTGCAAATGAGGATGTTAAAAGCTGTTTTACAGCTTGTTTGGACAGGATTAAAGGGGTTTACATATGAAATTCTGTTAAGTTTAATGAATATTTATTAACAAAATAATGTTTGCCAAACAGCATGCAAAGGCTTTTGGGATGATACAAAGGAAATAAGCTGTGGTTTTGGCCATTGAGGTCTGAGTCTAAAGAGGGAGACTGAAATATACACTTTAAAATTAGAGAAAATGCAGGAACTGTGAGAGTACAGAGAAGTTCAGTATGAAAGTAACTAAAATAATAGCCACATCCAATCACTCTTGATGTTCAATGAGTTATTTTCTCTTTTTGTTTAAATTATTTCTAATCAAAAGGCAAGGAACAGAAATGTCCATTATCACTGACAGGTAGATGATTTACAGTTGTGAATGATGAGTTACTCATTAATGTATTAGTACTGGAGGTATTACGATGCAGTAGGTCAGAGCCCCAAGGCTCACAGCAGGCTCTTGTCCATTGTAACTTAACTATATAACTTGGAAACATTCCAGATCCTCTCTCTCCCTGGTCCTTCCACTTACTAGCTACGTGACCTTGAACAAGTTACTTAAACTCTCTTTTCGAGCTACCATTTAACCCAGCAATCTCATTACTGGGTATATATACCTCAAAGAGAATAAATCAGTCTACCAAAGAGACACATGCACTTGTATGTTCATTGCTTCACTATTCACAATAGTAAATACATGGAATCAATCCAAGTACCATTAATGGCAAATAGGATAAATAAAATGGGTATATATATACCATGGAATACTACACAGCCATTAAAAATGAAATCACGTTATTTGCAGCAACATGGATGGAGCTGGAGGCCGTAATCCTAAGCAAATGAATGTGGAAATAGAAAATAAAATACTGTATTTTCTCACTTATAAGTAGGAGCTAAACGTTAAGCACACATGGACATAAATATGGGAATAATAGACACTGTGGACTACTTGGAGGGGGGCATGGGCTAAAAGCTACCTATTGGGTACTATACTCACTATGTAGGTGATGGGATCCTTACTCCAGTCCTCAGCATCACGGAATATTCCCATGTAACAAACCTGCACATGTACTCCCTGTATCTAAACTAAAAGTTAAAAAACAAAACCTCTCTGTTCTAATTTATCATCTACAAAATAGGAGTAATGATAGGTTGTACATTGTAAGATTATTATGAAGATTAAATGAGCTAATCTATATAAAAATTTTTAAAAAGTGCTAGTAAACAGTTTGGACTTAATAAATGTTATCTATATTCATGAATGTCATTTTTACTATAATGATGGTGATGATGCTTTGGCATATCTTTTTGTAAAATAGAGAATAAAAAGATTTATCTATTAGTTGTATGATGAGGATTAAAATTTAAAATGTCTGGTTTAATAGGTCCTTAATAAATATGAACTATTATGATAATAGTGATTACTACTAAAAATCATTCCCTATATATGTTTAGCATTTCACAATATAATAAATGCTTTTATGTAAACAAATAAATAAAAAATATAAATTTATAAACATATAAAAATGTGTGTGTATATATAGGATTTACAGTATCTACATATATGTATATATGTGGGTATATATATGTGGGTATATATACATATATGTGGGTATATACATATATGTATATATGTGGGTATATATGCATGTATATATGCAGGTATATATAAATATACAGTATATATGTATATACACAAACGTGTATATGTATATATTTATGTTACATGTATATACTGTAAATCATATATACACATATACACACACACAATGACACACATATATTTATATATTTATACTCACATATATTCATCAGTGTGAGTATATATATTTATATAAATAATTCACAATTGCACAAGAGATGAACAGGCCAGATTGTTCTATTCCTATGTATTATTCACATTTCATAGTTTGTTCATTAGACTACTGTGGTCTTCTACAGAAGATCTTTGAATTTGAATGTCTTACTACGTCTTTGCTGACACACACACACACACATACACACAGTTTCTGGTTGGTATGTGGACTAACATAACACCTTCTGTTTAATTAATTCTGCATTCTTTTCTCCTTTCGTTTCTTCCATTGCTTTCCTACTTCCATAAGTATAACACTGGAATCCACATATTTAGAGAAATTTACGGCCAGGCGCTGTGGCTCACGCCTGTAATCCCAGCACTTTGGGAGGCCGAGGCGGGCGGATCAGGAGGTCAGGAGATCGAGACCTTCCTGGCTAACACGGTGAAAACCTGTCTCTACTAAAAATACAAAAAATTAGCTGGGCGTGGTGGCAGGCGCCTGTAGTCCCAGCTATGCGGGAGGCTGAGGCAGGAGAATGGCATGAACCCGGGAGGCAGAGCTTGCAGTGAGCCAAGATCGTGTCACTGCACTCCAGCCTGATAACAGAGCAAGACTACATCTCAAAATAAATAAATAAATAAATAAATAAATAAATAAATAAATAAATTTACTTATGTACTGTAGTTGTTCAAGATGAAGGTTACACACAGAGAACTGGGTATGTTATTTATGAGCATATTTGCATTCATGTAGCATCTTAAATGTAGTTGGCAACCCTCTTCTAGCACAATGGACACCTGCTGGACTAACAATATGTTTATACAAGGAAAGTGAAAAATATCTACGTTTGCACACTGGCTGATGAAATGAAAATAGTTTAAACCAGTGATTTTTGTGTATAGCTTTCTTTTAACTTTTTTATTTGGGCTGAGAACCATGTGTGCAATGGTATGATGTTTATAAACATTTGAATGATAAATTTCTCTATGCACAGAGTTACCCAACAGTGTAGGTTTACAAGAAGACACTACATTATTGAAAACAAAGTAATTAAATTTTCGAGGTCAAAGTTCAAGGAGGATCCTGCCCTTGAGACTCTCTTTCCCTCCTCAAGGAGAATGAGAAGCCTCACTGGGTTGGCAATTTTCGGAATAGAAAAATATAAAAAAAACCCTGACATCTTCCAGGCCTAGGAACACATCGTCTTTTGTCTTCGCCCTCACCAAACCTATGCAGAATGTTGTGGCACCTAAATCCCCGTTTCTGGGCTGGAGACTCAGCATTATCTCTTGTCAGGAAGTTGTCAGATCCCTGCATCTGCAGACCACAGATAATAGGGAAAAGGAACGTCAAGGTAAGATCTGTGTAATTAATTAGCTTGTTGAGCAAACAGTTGAAAGGGAAATGAATTTATTAATTTTTGAAATGTATTTTTACCAGATTAAGAGAAGCTTTAGAGTTCTATCAAAAAACTTCCAGATCAATCAACAAGTGATACATATCTATATCTATATAGATATAGATATAGAAAATTCAGTGAATAAAAAAGAAGTTACATACTAATAAATATATTAGCATATTCTATCTGGTTCACCTGATAACCATATTTGCATAGTCATATTAGTTCAATAATGACTTTTGTTTTTAATAGAAATTAAAATTACATAGGGCAGTTTAGGGGAGTAGGAAATATCATATGCTTCTCTTTGCATTATGTTTGTTAATATCCCATTGGCCAAAGCAGTCATGTAGCCAAACCTGACATCCACAGGGTAGAGAAATATATTCTCCCATGGAGATGAAGACACTAATGAATATTTTGATGAACAATAATCTCACCTATGACACCTGCCATTCATCTGACATAGAAATTTCCGATGAATTAAAAATCTAAACTTAAAAAGCTAAGCTAACTTTTAAATTTTAATGGTTTTATACTGACACAATTTCAGACTTCTAAAGTTGTTGCTTGCAGCATTAGTCACAGTAGCCAAGACATGGAAATAACTTAAATGTTCCTTGCTGGATTCATACAGAAAATATGATATACATATGCAATGGGATATTATTCAACCATCAAAAAGAATGAAATTCTGCCATCTGTGACAACATGGATGAACCTTGAGGGCATTATGCTAGGCGAAATAAGTCAGAAAGAGAAATGCAAATACTATATGATCTCATTTCTATGTGGAATTTTAAAAGTCAAACCCATGGAACATAGAATAGAATGGTGATTACCAGAGCCTGCAGGGTGAGGACATTTGAGAGATGTTGATCGAGGAAACAAACGTTCCGTTGTAAGATGAATAACCCCTGGAAATCTAATGTGCAAGAATAATTTTGCTTTCCAAGATTATACAAAATATTTCTTGTATTTCATTAAAAATTCATAGTTTTTAACTCTTGTTGCAACTACTTTATTTTTTTCCGGATTTATTGATGTACAATTGACAGATAATATTGTACACATTTAAGATGAACACTATGATGCTTAGATATATGTATATATTGTGAAATGATTACCACAATCAAGTTAGTTAACACATGCATCACCTCATATAGTTAGTGTGTGTGTGTGTGTGTGTGTGTGTGTGTGTGTGTGTGTGTGTGTGTTGAGAAGATTTAAGATCTACTCTCTCTGGAAATTTCAAGTATATAATACACTATTAATATTATTTATATCTTTTAATGGGAAATTCCCCAATTACCAGTGCTTATCTGTTTCTTATAGATTTGTAGGAGCTCTTTATCTGTTAAATATGCTGGATTCTTTTGCTCATCTTTTAAATTTTGAGTGATATATCTTTCTTTGTACAGAAACTTAAATTTCATATAGCCAAGTGTAAGTAAAACCTAAGGCTTTTCTCATAGTTTCTGCTATTCTTTTCTGTAAGTCGTAAGTAAATTATCACATCATAGATTTTCCCATAAACAACATAACTTAGGCATGTTGCTCCAGATTTGATGAGATGAAAAAATTTTTAATGTCCCTGAAAAAATATGTGTATATAATCAATATACAAATAAACCTTAGCAAGGAAAGATAACTACATAGTAACTGTTTATTAGTTGCTATTCACTGAAACAAAAGAAATCATAGAAACTGAATGAATATGCAACCTCTGTCAGTCATAAAACATTGTTAACAGGCTGGGTGCGGTGGCTCATGCCTGTAATCCCAGCAATTTAGGAGGCCGAGATGGATGAATCACCTGAGGTCAGGAGTTAGAGATAAGCCTGGCCAACATGGTGAAACCCAGTCTCTACTAAAAATACAAAAAAACAAAACAAACAAACAAAAAAGCTGGGCGTGGTGGCAGGCACTTGTAATCCGAGCCATCAGGAGGCTGAGGCAGGAGAACTGCCTGAACCCAGGATGGGGAGGTTGCAGTGAGTCGAGATGGCACCACTGCACTCCAGCCTGAGGGACAAGAGTGAAACTCCGTCTCAAAACAAACAAACAAACAAACACCCAAAAATAAAAACAATCTGTTAAGATAGAAAAAATATAATATGGCTACAAAATAATGACAATTATCTATTCAAATAAAATAAAAGAGAGCACTTTTATATTGTGTTTTTTACACATAGCAACATTTAATATTATTCTTGTATTTTTCATTATCTGTAATATATCAACTGCATTAATCCCTTTCCACAATATTTTATCCAGTTAAATTTTTTTACACATAGCAACATTTAATATTATTCTTGTATTTTTCATTCTCTGTAATATATCAAGTGCATTAATCCCTTTCAACAGTATTTTATCCAGTTAAGTTTTTTTATTTTTTAAATTGACACATCATTGTTTGTATTAGTCCATTCTCACACTGCTATAAAGAACTACCTGAGACTGGGTAACTTATGAAGGAAAGAGGTTTGATTGACTCACAGTTCTTCAGGCTTAACAAGAAACATGACTGGGAGGCCTCAGGAAACCTACAATCATGGCCAAAGGTGAAGGGGAACCAAGAACTTTCTTCACGTGGCAGCAGGGGAAAGAGAATGTGTGGTGGAGGGGAAGTGCCACACACTTTTAAACCATCAGATTTTGTGAGCACTCACTCACTATCACAAGAACATCATGGGGGAAATCTGCTCCCATGATCCAATCACCTGCCACCAGGTCCTTCCCCCAACACTGGGAATTACAATTCAACATAAGATTTGGGTGGGGACACAGAGCCAAACCATACTGTTGTACACATTTTTTGGGTGAATGTGATATTTTGATACATGTATACAATCTGTAATGATCAAATTAGGCCAATTGAGATATACATCACCTGAAACATTTATCTCTTCTTTGTGTTGGGAACATTACAATTCTTTCTCTTCTAGCTATCTAAAAATATGCAGTAAATTATGGTTAATTATAATATCCCTTATTTACTATCAAGTACTAGAATGTATTCCTTTTATCAAATTGCGTTTTTGTACCCATTGACCAACTTCTCTTTATACCTCTTTGCTTCCTTTCCCTTTCCAGCATCTGGTAACCATCAGTCTACCTCCATGATATCCACTTTTTTCACTCCCATGTATAAGTGAGAACATGTGATATTTGTCTTTCTGTGCCTGGCTTCTTTCACTTAACATAATGACCTCCAGTTCCATTCATGTTGCCGCAAATGACAGGATTTCATTCTTTTTGTGGTATATATACTACACTTAAAAATCCATTCATCTGTTGATGGACACAGGTTGATTCCATATCTCGCCTATTGTGAACAGTGCTTCAATAAACGTGGGAGTGCAAATATCTCAAGTCTTTAATCTATTTTGAGTTAGTATTTGTAGGTCTGGTTAAATTTTAAAAGGGTAACAGATTCATTAACTAGCACAGTTAAAACCAGTTTAAAAACGCCTGGCTAAGATTTGCTAAAAACCTGACTAAGATTTGCTAAGGTTCTTGGATCGACATCTTCCACCAAATTTGGGAAATATTTGGCCATTATTAATTCAGAATATTTTTCCTCCCTGTTCTTTTTCTCCTCTCCCTCTGGTACTGCAATTATATGGGAACCTACTTGGAATTATCCCACAGATCACTGCAGCTCTCTGCAGTTTTTTGAAATATTTTTTCTTTCCATTCTTCAGATTATGTAATTTCTGTTAATCGTCTTCAGATATGTGAATCCTTCCTTCTCTGGTTCCAATGTACTGTTCAGCCCATCAAGATTATTCTTCATTTCAGATATTTTACTTTTCAATTCTGAAATTCTCATTGGGTCCTTCTTATAGTTTTCATTTCTCTGCAAAGTTTTCTCATTGTTTACTCATATTCATTCTTTTATTTAAGTCCTTGAAAAATATTAAGTTCTTGCAAGCTAATTTCAACAGTTATGTCATTTCAATATTTATACTTTTTTCTTGATTATAGGTTAGATCTAATAATTTTTATTGTATATTGGACATTCAGACGATAATTAAAGGGGTTCCTGATTATGTTAACTTCCTTTAAAAGATTTGGAATTTTGTTCTGGCAGGCAGCTAAAATATGTTTTTTCCCTGTAAATCTTGATTTTATTCTTTGAATGCTTTTATTTTGTTTTTGAATGTATGGCATCTTTCTTTCTGTATAATGTGGTCTCTACTCCTAAAGAAAGGCCTTTCTGGTTTCTCAATGCTTGAGATGTTTAGTGTCATGTCTCTCCCTACTGGCTGAGCTGGAACTCCAACTCTCTAATTTCTGACAGTTTTGTTTATCTCTCAATCTCTCAGCAGATGATATCTGCTAGGCCCCTCAGAGACCCATGATGATTAATGAGTCTTTTGAGCCCATCCTCTGAGTGGCTCTTTCTTCTCTGGTGCTCTGGCCTATAAACTCTAATTGCTTCTGCTGCCTATGACTCTGACCTCATCCTCTTCAGCTCAGAAACATTGCTGCTCATCTCATTGTATTCCTTCTGTCTGCCCACAGCACAAAAGCCATTCCAAATCCAAATCCCAGGAGATCACTGGTGTATTTATGTGTGTTTCACATCTAGCAAAAATCATAGTTCTGCACTAACAGTGCTCAGTTCCCAAAAATAGAAACCTCATTTATTTCCTACCTTTTTTTTTAGTTGTTTACATCAGGAGGGCGAGTCTTGTACTAGCTACCCTGTCATTCCATCACAATGGCCAAACTAGTTTGGTTTCACAAAAGGCATCAAATATTTCCTGTGTGTCTTTGTGTTAAGCACTATTTTACACATATGAACTATTTATTATCTCATCATAACAAATTTCGGAAAAGCTTGGGGTTGACGGTAAATGCTATGTCAACACAGATCAGCCAAAGACACAGTTTCAGACACTTTCTTTCTCTCAGCTCCAAAGCTGTGCCTGCATAAAACTAAAATAAACAGATGGAAAGCAAAACATGCTGAGGGGTACAAAAATCCACATGTGTGGAGAAAAGTACCAGAAACAACATCTAATTTTTCCATTCATATAGACTCTCTAAGAGTGAAATTATACTTCATGAATATAAATATCCAAACAAAGACAACCAGCTGAAGCAAAGTAGTGTTTGCATCAACTTCCACATATTTGTTTAGACTTTCCCAAATAATGTGCTTAATTAAAAATAACCTTCAGGTGCAATGAGTTGAGTTGTTCAGTTTATTCAAAGTAACTTGCTCTTATTTGAGTGACTAGATGCATTTTTATTTTTGTTTTGGGTGAATTCAGTATCCTGAAAATGGCCAACACTTATTTGAATAATTTAAATTATTTCTTTTCAAATAAAATGTTTAAGATATAACAATTGCTTCTTACACTAACATTCTAAAAGGATAATCTTAGAGGTGAACTGAGGTCAATTGCCATGTATAAAGCTTATTCTGACTTCATATTTTTGAAGATTAGCCTTTTATTTACAACAATTTTTCTACTCAATGCATCATTGCTACAGGTTTTGGTTTAAGAAGTAACCCTAGATATATCTTAAGATCTTCACTAGGGGACAGGGGTTTTAAACATCATTGCCATCATCATTCTTGCATCATATCCTCATCACATGAGCTTTGGTTCAAAAATCAGATTTTAAACGATTTCAAAGTCAGACTTTTTTTTTTTTGAGACGGAGTCTCACTCTTTCGCCCAGGCCGGACTGCCGTGGCATGATCTTGGCTCACTGCAAGCTCCGCCTCCCGGGTTCACACCATTCTCCTGCCTCAGCCTCCTAAGTAGCTGGGACTACAGGCGCCCGCCACCGAGCCCGGCTGATTTTTTGTATTTTTAGTAGATACGGGGTTTCACCGTGTTAGCCAAGATGGTCTCATCTCCTGACCTCGTGATCCGCCCGCCTCGGCCTCCCAAAGTGCTGGGATTACAGGCGTGAGCCACCGCGCCCGTCCCAGATTTTTATATGTGTCTGTTGGAATATAAGAACCAAAGCACCATAAACTCCAGCTATAAAATTTGCTTGTTATTAATACACAAAGAAAGTGAATATTAAGAGACGAAGTCTGAGCCAAGAAAATAAAAAAAGTAATTATTTTTGGTTTAATTTATACATGCCATTTTTGCACAAAATAGTGCCAAAATTTAATGTCACATTCAAACTTTAAAATTCATTGAAGCAAACTCTCTCTGTTTAGAGATGCCATGATATTACATGGAGAACACCCCAATGACTTCACCAAAAAACCATTAAAATTAATAAACAAGTTCAGTAAAGTTTCAAGATATAAAATCAACATACAAAAATCAGTGATGTTTCTATACACCAATAGTGAATTGTCTGAAAAGAAAGCAAGAAAGCAATTTCACTTACAATGGCTACAAAAAAAAAAAACAAAAAAAAACCCAGAATGCCTAGTAATAAATTTAACCAAGGAGGTGAAAGATCTCTGCAATGAAAACCAAAAAACATTGAGGAGAGAAACTGAAGAAGACACATATATCTCATGTTCATGGATCAGAAGAAATAATATTGTTAAAATGTCCGTACAATGTACACCTCTGCACCTGCAGATTCAGTGCAATCTCTATCAAAATAGCAATGACAGGTGGGGCACGGTGGCTCACGCCTGTAATCCCAGCACTTTGGGAGGCCAAGGTGGGTGAATCACCCGAGGTCAAGAGTTCAAGACCAGCCTGACCAACATGGTGAAACCCCATCTCTACTAAAAATACAAAAATTAGCTTGGTGTGGTGGCACATGCCTGTAATCCCAGCTACTGGGGAGGCTGAGGCAGGACAATCACTTGAACTCGGGAAGCGGAGGTTGCAGTGAACCGAGATCACGCCTTTGCACTCCAGCCTGGGTGACAGAGTGAGACTCTGCCTCAAAAAAACAAAAAACAAAACAAAACAAACAAACAACAAAAAACCAATGACAATCTTCCCAAAATGAGAAAAAAAAAATCTTAAAATTTGTGTGCAACCACAGAAGGCCCCAAATTACCCAAGCAATCTTGAGCAAAAATAACACGGTTGGATACATCACATGACCTGACTTCAAAATATACCAAAAGGCTAGAGTAACCAAAACAGCATGGTAAATGGAATAAAAATAGACACATAGACTAATGAACTGAATAGAGGGCCCAGAAATAAATCCCTGCATCTACGGCCCACTAATTTTTGACAATGGTGCCAAGTATAGACAATGGGGAAAGGACAGCCTTTTCAATAAATGGTACTGGGTAAACTGCATATGCACATGCAGAACAATGAAACTAGACTCCTATCTCTCACCATATACAAAAATCAACTCAAAATTGATTAAAGACTTAAACATAAGACCTGAAATGAAACTACTAACAGAAAACATAGGGGAAAAGCTCTGTGACATTGGCCTAGGTAAGGATTTTTTTTTTTTGTAAAAAACCTCAAAAGTCTGAGCAACAAAAACAAATATAGACAAATAGGATTACATCAAACTAAAAAGCTTCTGCATAGCAAAGGGAACAATCAATAGAGCAAAGAGGCAACCTATAGAATGGGAGAAAATATTTGAAAACTCTACATCTAATAAGGGGTTAATATCCAAAATATATAAGAAACTCAACACCAACAACAAAAGTAAACCCATCAAAAAATGAGCGAAAGACTTGAGTAGATATTTCTCAAAAGAAGATATACAAATGGCCAACAGATAAATGAAAAAGAAGATGTTCAACATCAGAAATCATCAGGGAAAGGCAAATCAAGATGACAGAAATTTTCACCTCATTCCAATTAGAATGACTACTGTCAAAAAATCAGAAGATAACAAGTGTTGGTGAGGATGTGGAGAAAAGAGAAATTTTACACTCTGCTGGTGGGAATATAAATGAGTACAGCCATTTTGGAAAATATTAATAGTTTAGAGTTTCCTCAAAAAATAAAAATAGAACTACTGTATGATCCAGCAATCCCACTACTGTGTATACATCCAAAGGAAATGAAATAGGTACTTCGAAGAGATATCTGCACTCCTATGTTTATTGTAGTACCATTCACAATAACCAAAATATGGAATCAACCTCAATGCTCATCAATTTTTAAATGGATTTAAAAAGTACTATCACAAGGGAATGTTATTCAGTCATAAAACAATAAAATACTGTCATTTCCAGGAACATGGATGAACCTGGATGACATTATGTTAAGTAAAATAAGTCAGGCTTGGGAAGACAGTGCATGATCTCACTCACATGTGGAATCTAAAAAGTTGTTCTTGTGGAAGTAGACAGTGGAACAGTAGTTGCCACAAGATAGGGAGGTTAGGGAACAAGTGGGGATAGGAGAGATTGGCCAATGGGTGCAAAGTTATAGTTACACAGGAGGATAAGTTCTGGTGTTCTGTTGAATAGCAGGATGACTAGAGTTAACAACAATGTATTATATGTTCCAAAGAGAAGTTTTTGAACTCATTACAAGCAAATGATAAATGTTATCAGAAATTGACTTTTTAAATATGAGACTATAATAGGACCTGATAATATCTTCTAATAAATGAATATAGGAAAATCACCTTGATTTACACTAAAAAAGACAATATTAAACAAAGGTATATTATTGGGAAATTCTCTAAAATGCTCAATGATGGCTTTAAAAATAGAAGTTTGGGGGGCTGAGGTGGGCAAATCATGAGGTCAGGAGTTTGAGACCAGCCTGGCCAACATAGTGAAACCCTGTCTCTACTAAAAAAAAAAAAAAAAAAATTAGCCGGACGTGGTGGCGGGTGCCTGTAGTCCCAGCTACTTGGGAGGCTGAGGCAGGAGAATTGCCTGAACCTGGGAGGTAGAGGTTGCAATGAGCTGAGATCATGCCACTACACTACACTGCAGCCTGGGTGACAGAGTGAGACTCCATCTCAAAAAAAAAAAAAAAAAAAAAAAAAAGAAAGAACGGAGAATATTTTTTAAATATTCTCCTATTTGAAAATAGAATTTCTTAATACTTTTGAGTTCAAACAATGGAAGTAAAGAGATTTGGTCACCAATTTAAAAACTAGTTTGTCTGTGTAATTACAATTTCTTTTCTCTCTGAGTGTAAACAAAATATTTAGGATCAGTTTATTGCTTGTAATGTGTCATCATTTCTCTCTTTCTTTTTTTTTCTCACCCATTTAATTTGTTTACTCTTTTTTCCCCTGTGTTTCCAGCAACATAGGAGGATTTAGAAACAAAACTGTCTTGGGCAGAGGGAGATGATGGCAAATGGATGAAAAACTGGCTTCTTGTTTTTGGTGGTTACTATAGCAATAATCATGATGGGAGATTTTTAGCCGCAAGTGGTTTCTATAACAACATGATAGGGTGCTTTAGAAATAGACCTGAGGTAAACAGATTCTTTAAGGGCCTCTTAACCCCTTTTATCCCACAAAATTAGCATCCTCTTGGAGGATGAATATTAGTTGGCTTATTTGATGAAACGCTTAAAATCTTGCTTTTGTTTTGTAAAGATTAAATGGTTAATTATTCTATAAAGACCTGGCCTTAGCCAATCAGCTCTTAGGCTCCTTCACTTCAGGAAATAATTGATAGCATCCCTACTTTATTTCTGCACAGCAAATTCAAATAGCCTTAAAGATATGCATTTCATAGTATTCACCAAAAATTGGAAAACCATAAATAGTCCTCGTGAGAAAGTGTGTTCACTCTGACATAGATCACTCAAGGGCTCTTGCTTTACTAATACTTCATATACACTATGATTTCACCTATTGGGCTCCCTGACAGGTGGAGCTTTTCCTACTCTAACTAATGGAGTCTGAATACTCATCCTTTATTAGGCTATTCAGTGTGTGCCAGAATAGACCTGGTCCCTATTGAGTTATAATTCACTAGGTATTACATGGGGAAGTTTAGTAATTTTTTGAATTTATTAAATTTTAGTATCATAAAAACTGACATAGAAAAAAGCAAAGGCCTCCATTTCATACATAAGCATCCTTCAGGAGCCCTTATAAGTGAAAGATCAAGGGGAATTTATGACAGGAATGTGGTACAGGAGTAGATGGTGGTAGGCAGGAAATAATTTTTCAAGAGAAAGAAAGATGGAAGGCTTAAATTTAGTTAAGTAGTTAAACAGAGGAAGATGGGGATCAAGTTTGGTTGACTTTAATAGTGAGTTATTGATTATCTACTCTATGTTGTACACTATAGGTATATACAATGTTGAATAGTATATGGGATTTATTTTAAAAACTAAATTATCATATCAAGTAAAGCACTCTTATTAAACTATTAATTAAATTAATTGATTTGAAGTGGCCATATATTTACAAGAATGATTTCATTTATGTTATGATGTCTCATGCATTTTCTACAGTAGAGCCATCCTTATACTTTTATTCTTTTCTATTCAGTTAAGCTGCCAATTCAAAACATCAGATATTCTCTTTCAAATCTCAGAAGGATGTCAGCAACCATGCATCTCCTTCTCTCTGATTTCAAACAGTACAAGCTATTCCCATTTCCCTGGTGTTTTGTGCTCAGCAATGAAGCCTCGGAATTCATTACGTAATCACTTGCCATAGCCTTCTGGGGTGGAGTTTGCCAAATGGATCCCTGGGAGATCAAGACCCATTCTCCATGTGTGCCATAGGGCTATGCACATGAGCTGAGGCATGTCTGTATTCACCAAGGCCCTGCTCAGAACAGCATGTGCCAGAATACACTGGGCAAGGAGCCATTCATAAATTCTTGAAAAATCTTATCCAGACCAAAGGCACAATGGCATTGTAGTTGTTGTGCTCATTGCCATGGGGCTTTTAGCTGAATAAAAAGAAAATAAAAAATATATTCATGATGACTTCCAAGTTATCCAGTAACCACAGTAACCTAGGTTTTCCCCAAATTTGGTCCACAACTTTGAGTCACCTGACAGAAACAAATCATTCTGTCTTTGTTCAAGCATAGTGAGCCATAGAGTGAGTGAAACAAATTTCCCTGGGATAAAAACCAATGAATCAGCAAAGCAAACAATCATCATATATTTATTTTACTATTAGAAGGTGGTATTCAAAATGTCATCAAAACCAAATACATACCTCATACATACAGGCATACTGAAAAGCATATATTATAGTTCCTGAACTTAAAGAGTTTGTTTGCTAATTGTAAGGACAAGTCTTCATATATGGCATGAAGAACACTTTAGGTTGCATATAGATAAGTGTTCAATTGTATCTTAACAATAATAAATTCTGTGGCTGCTCAGGCCAGGAGCTCAAGGGGTATGTAAAAATATGAGGAGGATTAATGGGAAAAGTACACTTTGCATTGGACTTCTAACAATTTGAATATACATCACAGTTAAACTCTCAGAAAGTATTCTGAGATATTTTTATTCATGGCTACTATAAGAAGAATGTCATAAAGAAGATAATTTAAATTCTGGAGGAATAATGTCTTACTCATAACCACACATTATTTTTCTAGACTTTAGTTCTCTGTACAAAAATGCGAGAAAACTGTTGAGAGTTGCACTATCCAACACAGTAGCCATTAATCACATATGGCTTTTGAGCACTTGAAATGTGACTAAAATTAAGTGTGCTAGAAGTGTAAAATACACTAAGGATTTCAAAGGCTTAATGTTAAAAAGTGTAAATATTTCATTAATAGTTTTTACACTGGCCAGGTACGGTGGCTCATGCCTGTAATCCCAGCACATTGGGGGGCCGAGGTAGACAGATCACTTGAAACCAGGAGTTCGAGACAAGCCCCATCTCTACTAAAAATAGAAAAAATTAGCTGGGCATGGTGGCACATCCCTGGAATCCCAGCTACTCAGGAGGCTGAGGCATGAGAATACCTTGAACCCAGGAGGCAGAGGTTGCAGTGAGCCAAGATCGCACCACTGCACTCCAGCCTGGGTGACAGAGTGAGACTCTGTCTCAAATAATAATAATAATAATAATAATAATTTTTATACCAATTACATATTTAAATATAATGCTTTATCTATATTTGGTTAAATATTTAAAATTAATTTGCCTGTTTGTTTTTCGTTGTTAACATGGTTACAGAAGACTTAACATTCCATATGTAGCTCACATTATACTTCCATTAGACAGCACTGGTATAGGTGCTTGCTATTTAAGTGTAGTATGTGGACCAACAGCATCAGTATTACTTAGGAGCTTACCATAAATGCCAAGTCTGAGGCCCCACTCCTCCTGACTCTGCAAGGTTAACAAGATCCTCAGCAGTTCATATGAACATTAATGTTTAGAAAATGCTGATCTAGATAATGTTTTAGATGTTTCTTTTTATGACTCTGTCTTCCTTTTCATTTGGATTTTTTTCAAATAAATATTTTACAGTCTGGGCATCCTGACCTAGCACATATTAGATGCATAAACTTGGGGAAGTTATCTGACATTCCTGAAACTCAATTCCATATTTATAAAATGGATGTAATACCTCCAATCCCATAATTTTTCTATAGGGGTTAAATGAAACACAAGAATTATGAAAGGAACCAATAAATTGGAGAAATTTTTATAATATCAAAAATAATATTGAAAAATTAGATTATTCTAATTATTTTCATTCTTATATTGATTGCCAATACTATTTTGATGTACAGTGGAATGAACTAGAGTTCGAAGGGCTGTTTTCATTTATTTTACAAATGTCACTTTTTTAACATTAATTGTGTATAATAAAACTTAGCACACTGATAAGTCTCTAGTAGAGATATTAAAACTTTTGGATCTTCTTTTAGAACAAAAGTGTTGTGTAGCTAAATTTTCCTGCACCATCATTATATAATTGACATTGAAATTATATCTGTTCGTTGATCGATTCTGCAAAACATGGCTTTATGGAGCGGGAAAAAACTTTTTCGTCTTTGTTCAGAACACTTTTAGCTTTACTGTGAGAATTTCAATTTGCTAGAGGCAAATAAACTAGTAAAATATGTCTATTCCATAGTAAAAGGGGTCATTCAAAAGCCTGTCCTTATTAAAATATACATTGATTATAATAAGGTCAGTGATTTCAGGCCTGATTAGCTTTAAATAAATGTAATGTCAAAGGAATATAATTAGTTCCTCATTAAAATTTTTCATGATTGACAGTGAGTAAAAATGACCTTCACAACTTGCATCATTTAGTCATGTTCTAAGGATGACAAAGGGCAGGGCATCTTCTATGAGGTAAATGTGTATGATTGCAGCCTGAGGCACATGCACTTGGTCCCTTACCCTACCTAACCCTAACGCCCAAGACCTGATCCAAGCCAGACCCTGTGCTTAGGTGTGTAGGCTGTGTAAAGGAGGACCCAGAAGCTTTGATTCTCATGGGGATGCTTTGAGAGAAAAAGAAACCTTTGAACCGGCAGGACCTGATTTCATCTGTGATGATGCTGATGATCAGAAATTATATATAAAAGCAAATAGCAACGTGCCTATCAGATATAGGGGATTTAAAATATGTTGACAGAAAACTTTCTCAGTGAGGCCACTGACCTTCTAAAGAGGAGCTAATAGTAGAATAGGGATATTAAGATACAGGTGATGTCAATGAATTTTGGCCAAAACCAATCTTCTTACCTGGAGTAAGAAAGTCGTGTTTCAAGGAGTTTGCATGAGTATTAATTGTGGTTGATGATGATGGGAACCTGCCCTGATTATTAGGTATGATTCTCAGAGAATGTGTGCTGGTGCTAAGCTTGCATTTCTCAGAACCCCCAAAACTCTCTTTGCAATATTATATAGTTTCATTTTCTTGAACTTATTCATTTGTTAAATATGCATTTACTAAGCACCAACTATGTACATGGCACTCTGCTAGTCAATAGACAAATAATAAGATATATGTACTTTGGACCCTGCATTGAAAGAAAAAGCAAATAATGTTTTTTAAAAAACTACTTTATGCTTGATTGTTATAAGGAACTTTATGTGTATTATCTCTTTTATTCCTAATAATAATAAGAACAAGGATGATTGATAATGCTCACTCTGTGCCAAGCCCTGTTAGGCATTTTATGTTCATTAATTTAACCCTTTATAACAACTCTATGAGATAGGTGCCATTTTTACAAAAATGGAAACTGAGGCAGAGCGATGTTATCTTGATAAAACTCATAGACTTAGTAAGTGGCAGAGCCAGGATTTAAACCCAGGCACCAAACTTCATGCGCTTATCCACTATATATATGGCTCCACATCATTTTCTTTAGTAATCAGGACACTGAGGCTCAGTGAAAATGTTTTTTCTTAAAGTCACAGAGATGGTAAATACTAGAACCAAAATTTAAATCTCTGTCTACCATAAAAATGTCCTCTTCTCACTATATTAAATTGGCCTCAATTTAGTATTTAAGACAACGTGTACAGTAGGAATACAAAGGAAAAATGGTCTTAAAGGAGCCCATCTACTTCTTATTTTAACTGCTCCATGTGGATTCTATCACGCAGTACATCAAAGTAAGTGATTTAACCAATCATTTGTTCTGCTTGATTTTATCAAAAGAGGTCAAAGTAAGAATTTCACAGCAAGGCTTAAATGGGAATTCAGGTTTCCTTGCTCACTCATTCATTATTCAACAAATTTCTATTGACTGCCTTACCATGTGCAAGCCATTTTGGCTATGTCCTGATTAAAGATGTGCCCCTCCTGCACCGCCTCCCTCCCCACCCCAATCCTGGAACTAAATTTCATTCTCTGCAGAAAGCCAGGCTAAAGAGAATTCAGCAAACCACTTTATTCTCATAAATTGGCATTCTTAGACCTGGAAATTTTGAGTTCTATCTCCAGTAGCATTGTTTATACCTTCTATTTCATTCTGATTACATTTCATTAGCAAAACATAGCAAATGTTTATAAAATCGTCAGTCTTCTAGGTGAAACGATGTAAGACACCATTCATTTGATTTTTTGGAAATATCAAATTTTATGTTCACAATTCCTCTATTCTACTCTGATTATTTAGGTAAAATTAGGTTAAATATAGATAACTATAGAATTAAAATTTAAAAAACTGTGCCTTTACACGTTTGGAAAATTACTCAATTTTTTTTCAAATAACGCCAACCATATATATTGAAAATAACATTATTCCATACCACAGGTGACATATTCTTTTCCTATCCCTAGCAGCGACTTCCCCAAGTCCCTGCTTGTCTCAACAGTTTGAGGAAAAAAAACACCAGAAATATACATGTTCCAGAACAATGAATAAATTCCCAAATAACTTTATATACATTAGTGAGGATACAATGAGGAGTGTTTATCTAGCTAAATATGAGGCATATTAAAAATTGCTACTTTAACCCAGATATGAGCAATAATAGGAGTTTTATCTACGCCTCCTTCCTTTCCTTCTGCTGACAAAGGATACATTTAATTCTTGACGTTAATATCAGTTAAAATGAGATCTAGAGACAGATATAATTAGAGAGCTAGGGAGAGAATTAAGTTAGTAAATCTTAAGAAAAGACTGAGTATACTGATGATAAGAGGATATTTAAATAGAATTTTGAAAAAGATCAAGGATCAATAATTATACATTTAAATATACATATATGTATGCATATACATATGCATAGTTTTACATAAAGAAACTATTAAGGTAAGAGCTATGGCTTTGACAGTTAATACTCAAGAAATATTTACTGAGCACTTGGTATAAATAAATAGATATGGAGCACAATACAAAGATACAGCAGATGCTCTGAACAATTAAGTCCTTATCACAACTCAAATTCCATAGCTAGCATTTTGCTGAGCCAAGAATTTAAATGGTACTTAAAATTTATAGAGGCCGGGGACTGTGGCTCAAGCCTGTAATCCTAGCACTTTGGGAGGCCTGGATGGCTGAGGCGGGCAGATTGCCTGAGCTCAGGAGTTCGAGACCACCCTGGCGGCAACATGGTGAAACCCCCATCTCTACTAAAATACAAAAAATTAACCAGGCATGGTGGTGGGCTTCTGTCATCCCAGCTCTTTGGGAGGCTGAGGCAGGAGAATCACTTGAGCCTGGGAGATGGAGGTTGCAGTGAGCTGAGATCATGCTACTGTACTCCAGCCTGGGCGACAGAGCAAGACTCTGTCTCAAAATAATAATAATAATAATAAATAATTTAAAAATGTATAATCAGATGTTAAATATTTTCTTGCAAAAAACAAGGGAGCTGGGGAACAGAACCTTTTTAATTCAATTTCATAATTATTTTTGTCCGATCCTGACCATTCCCAGGTAATTTACAGGAAGGGCATAGTTGGCACCTTGAATTAGTCCATTGTTAGGCTTTCTATGTAAGGGTACTCGTGTTTTTTTGTTTGTTTATTTTGTTTCATTCTCTTTCTTAAAATAAAATTCCTTCAGTGAAAATTATTAGTGACTTGTACCTTTTTAATTATTTTTATTGCTATGTTTTGTACTTGTTCAGTAAATTTTCTATTAAGAACTCAAAACTATTTCTCAACATCTTATAAAGGTAAGAGCTAGCATTTACCAAACACTTACGATGTGTCTGCAAAGCATTTAAATTTAGTGACTTAATTCTCACACACCAAAAAAAAAAAAAAAAAAAAAAAAAAAAAAAAAAAAAAAAACAGAAACCAAGGCTGGGAGAGGCAGAGCAGGCCTGGTACCCATCTGTTGCCCCTTCCCACTGTATTATCCTGACTCGCTGGTAAATCTCCTATGATTGCTAAATAGAAAAGTCAATGAAAAGATTGATAATAAAAACCACTGAATACAACTTTCAGATTCTTGATTGATGATTTTAAATTAGAGAATTACCTGTTTCATAGAAAAGTGCAATAGAACTATCAAGGACAAAGGAATAAATACTACTTACAATAGAGAAATTAACATGTTCTTCCCTGAAAGTCTTGCACCTTGCACTGTTTCATTGCTCTAAATAAACATACTCGGCCTCATAATGAAACAAAATTACCAATATGGCTATTTTCCAAGTCAATTTAATTATTAGAAAATACATACACACAGATGCATACACACACACACAAGAAATATATTTACTGTTATTTGGGTCTTCATCTTCCTTAAAACTGGTCAAATTTGTTTTTACTTCTCAGCAGACAAAAAAACTTTATTTTAGCACTAGAAATACTTAATGCAAATATAGAAATAATTGCTTATAGTAACTATATAAAATCTTTTCTTTTCTCTTGTGCAGAGGTTTTCAAATTGCTGGTCTCAAACCCTAGCTCCTTGGAGGTGTCTCTAGGGGAGGCAGGAGACTGGTCTGACTGGGCTCCAAGGGACCTTCCCTGCTTCGACCTGAGCAGATCTGCTTTCCAATTGTGTACATTGGGATTCCTCATGACATTTTCCTTGAAGGAATTCTGCTGCTCTTAAAAAGAAAAAAGAAAGGAAAAGAGGGAAAACAAAAAGTCTGAAACTCACAGTGGTAGAATTTCTTAAAACAGCCAGTAGATGGCAAACTTTACTGCAAGGAAACAATTTTGCAGCCTATATAATTTGGTCTGAAAATAGCAATTAAACTCTACATCCAGTAAAATTTGCTATCCTGTATATAAGTCTTCTGTTAAATCAGGAAACAAAATTCTCTATGGTACTTTCTCTGGGAACTAAATTTCAATTATAATTTAAAATATCCTATAACTTCTTTCTGTGTCCATTTAAGTCTTGCTCTGAAGGTATTATCACTATGAAAATTATTGCATTGTTCACTGAAAGTACATACAATGTGCTAGGTATAGTAATGTAGATGACGTAGTTTTTTCATTAGGATGAACCCAACTATGTATTTTATTAATGAGTTTGGTTGAGGCAGCACAAAGGTCACAAAGAAAGATTTTTAACTTTGTCCTCATTTATAAATTTAATCTTGTTACTTTTTATTTCCTTGTAGATTCCTTTTGCAATAAAAACAACACCAGGTGCCTCTCAAATTCTTGCCAAAACAATTCTACATGCAAAGATTTTTCAAAAGACAATGATTGTTCTTGTTCAGACACAGCCAATAATTTGGACAAAGACTGTGACAACATGAAAGACCCTTGCTTCTCCAATCCCTGTCAAGGAAGTGCCACTTGTGTGAACACCCCAGGAGAAAGGAGCTTTCTGTGCAAATGTCCTCCTGGGTACAGTGGGACAATCTGTGAAACTACCATTGGTTCCTGTGGCAAGAACTCCTGCCAACATGGAGGTATTTGCCATCAGGACCCTATTTATCCTGTCTGCATCTGCCCTGCTGGATATGCTGGAAGATTCTGTGAGATAGATCACGATGAGTGTGCTTCCAGCCCTTGCCAAAATGGGGCCGTGTGCCAGGATGGAATTGATGGTTACTCCTGCTTCTGTGTCCCAGGATATCAAGGCAGACACTGCGACTTGGAAGTGGATGAATGTGCTTCAGATCCCTGCAAGAACGAGGCTACATGCCTCAATGAAATAGGAAGATATACTTGTATCTGTCCCCACAATTATTCTGGTAAGTGTGATCATATCTGAATCACAGATGGTGTAGTTAGCTCTTTCTAAGTGGCAGAAGCAGAGGTGACATTTTATTTTTCACACAATCATTTATGAAAATGGCCAAGTTCTTGACAGGAATCAATCACTAGATAGAAACTCCCTAAACTGCTGAAAATCCACTGAATGCACTGAATTCTAAGTGGTTGCCTGCTGTCACTGTTGCTGTTTTAAATGGAGCTCTACATGATTTAAAACTGGATTCAGTCTAGAATGAATGAGGTCCAAGAGAAACTCAAGGGCAGTTCAGGTTTCCTCATCAGTGCATGTTCCTTTCATTCCAGTTCAAGCCTGCTTTCTAATCCCCAAAGCCTGGCACTGCAACCTTCTGGGAAGGCAGTTTGGAAGTTGATGGGTTTCTAGTGCTGACTTGAGTATTATCAACAGATCAGTGGTAGTAAAGCTGATGGAGCATGGTATATCAGATAAACCACGATTTTTATTAAGAAAAAAAGCCTGTTCTTGTTTTACGTCTTAGAGCAAACAATTGTACCTCATATTTATCTATCTATTCTTTACAATGTTTCTGTTGATAGAATTTTATTTTAATAATAAAGTAACAAGTTGACAACTCATCATTACCAAGTTACATGCTATTCAGCCTCTTCACACTCAGTATTTATCCTCCCTATCCTTTTGAATCACTGTTACTGTTTTAGGTCAATTCTTCACGATGGCCACATTTCTTGCTTTGCTTTATTCTTTGGCTTTTCCATTTACTTGTAAGGGGGTAACTTACCTAGCCTATGCTTTCTCACATGCATTCATTCTAACTTCTGCTCACCACTTTCTTACAGTTCCTGACTCATATCTCTAAGACACCACACACATTTTAATACCATGTTCTCCCTTAGCACTTGCCGTTTTTGTACCTTCCTGAAAGCCTTCCTGAGGCTTTCAGCTTTTAAACTTGCCTTCTTCTCCCAACACTTTCACACTTAGTTCTTTATTTTGTCATTCTTTTTCCAAGTGTTAAGCAATATATCTATTTGGAAAATATTTCTCTTCAAAATTTGCACCAGAACCCTCCAGCATCATTTTACTTTTAAACATTCTAAAACTATATATTTTATAAAATAGACACATTCCTAGTTGCTCTAAAATGAAATTTTTCCCCTCTCCCTCCTCCTTTACATACAACCAGTCTTCAGAATCTGCTGTTTTGACATCTAAGATATGTTCCAAATTGAGCTCATCCATTCTTTTCCTTGGTTAGGTTTATTTCAACTCTTGTGTGTACTACTACACAACCTCCCAGACGTTCTACTTATAGCTTCTACCTTCTCGAAGTTGTTCTGAACACTGCCTTTGAAATAACTTTTCTAAAATAGACCTATGCCGTAGTTCTGAAGAGCCTTGAGAGCTTCCCACTACACAGAGAATAATTTTAGCCTCTCCCTGAAAGCACTTCACAATTTGGGCCCATGACAGTGGCCATGTCCTCACACATTCCACCGAAGCCTTCTATTTCCTCTAATAAATCTTCTTCATTTCTTATACAAGTCATTTCTTTCCCCCTGGAATGTCCTTCCTCACTTCACAATGTCTACTCTGAAGTTCTGCTATACTTTTTAAGACCTAGTTCAAATATCACCCAACACAAGAAGTGTTTCCAGGTTCCTTTCCAGCTGGAATAATAATTCCACACTGCTGCAGTAATTATATTCATTATGTTTGTACTAGTTGACACCTGTATTAAAGAATCCCCTATAATTCTTTCCTATTTTACATATATCTATGTTTTTGCACCCCCCCCCAAATGTTAGTTTCTAAAGGACAGAGTATTGTTTTATATTTATTCTTTAATTCATCAATACTTTCTGAGTTTCTATTAGATGTCAGTTAGTGGATTAAGAAGAGGAGTCCTCGGCCAGGCGCGGTGGCTCACGCCTGTAATCCCAGCACTTTGGGAGGCCGAGGCGGGAGGATCACGAGGTCAGGAGATCGAGACTACTGTGAAATCCCGTCTCTACTAAAAATACAAAAAATTAGCCAGGTGTGGTGGCGGGCGCCTGTAGTCGCAGCTACTCATGAACCCGGGAGGCAGAGCTTGCAGTGAGCCGAGATCGCGCCACTGCACTCCAGCCTGGGCAACACAGCCAGTCTCCGTCTCAAAAAAAAAAAGAGGAGCCCTCTTCCTCCAAGAGCCTGACTCAGTATTTGTGAGTAATGGCTGCTTAATCAACTGTTACTAAATTGTTCTAAGTTTTACAATTCTTCCATATATTTCTGGGCACCCTTCCCCATCCTGAAACTCAGGTAAATGAATATTAAATAAGAATTCACTTTTTGTATTATTTTATGTATACTCTATGATGCTAAAATGCTTATGTCAAATGGAAAATTATTTTATCAAGTGACTTAATTGTCAATACTATCTAAAAGTTATAGGAAATATTTTAAAAGCTTATAAAACAATAGTTGTATGAAAAGCTCCTTGTTTGTATGCCATACTGAGGTGTCTCTTTCTTTGGTGGAGTTATGGCAGGTGAATTTCAATATTTTTTAAATTTTTGAATAAAAATAAGAAATTTTTGTGGGGCTGGCTTGGAAGTGCTTTGTTTACAATGGTCACATTTAAAAATCAATACAGTTCATTAAGATAGTGTCTTCCATTTTCTGCTTCTATCTCAATATTGTGAATGGTGATTAAAAGGAATAGATATAAAATCAAATTAATGTTTCATTCATTTCAACTATAGTATTGTGTAATAGTCTTATATTTGTAAAAAAAACACAGCTTGCAAAACTATATTTTACAATGTATGTTTTTTAAATATCTTAATTAAATTGGATTTTAATGAATCCTTTCAGTCGTCTAAATTTAGGCATAAAAGATGGAAAGGGTGGCCAGGTGTGGTGGCTCACGCCTGTAATCCCAGCACTTTCGGAGGCTGAGGCCGGCAGATCACGAGGTCAGGAGATGGATACCACACTGGCCAACATGGTGAAACCACATCTCTACTAAAAATACAAGTCCCAGCTACTGGGAGGCTGAGGCAGGAGAATTGCTTGAATTGGGGAGGCAGAGGTTGCAGTGAGCTGAGATTGTGCCATTGCACTCCAGCCTGAGCGACAGGGTGAGACCCTGTCTCAAAAAAACAAAAAACAAAAAACAAAACAAACAAAAAAAACAGCTAGAAAGAGTATATTCTAAATGTGAAATGTAGTCAAATTCCATCATAAGGCACTTCACCTTACAATGAATTCATTTATACTGTAGGTTGTATCACATCCCTGTAGGGTCCAATGGGAATGAGTCCCCTTTTCTCACTATAACACTTAGGTCCACAATGAGGATGCTTTCCTTGTCAATCCCTGATATAATAGTGTTGTTCCCTATTTGACTATATTCTTCCCTTGTTTTCTATGAAATCAGCTACATGTTATTATTTCACCTTTTCAAGTGACATATATAAAACTTTCTTGAAAACAGAATTTAAACAAGAGACTCATAAGGCAGATAAAAATCGGGTCTATTATTAGCTGGTTAGGCTTGTTCGGGTAAAAAAAAAAATGCAGTCATAGGCTTGCTCACCAATCTCCTACACAAGTAGAATGGCCTGTGTTCTAGTAGCTCATGGGTGTTTCTCAGCCCTGACTACTCATTAGCAATTACCCAGGGAGCTCTGAAACAGAGGTGCTCAGACTCTACTTCCAGAGGGTCAAATTTAATTGATGAGTCTAATGTATAGCCAGGGCTGGCGGCCAAATATTAAGTTCATGTGAGCTTTATTTGGAAATTTTTCTTGCACCATACCATCATTTAGACACACAGGGAAGTGTGTTTATTTCATTGCTATCCCATGACCACCAGTGTTTGTGGCAGCCCAGGCCAACTAACGAGAACCCCAAAGAAGGTCTGTAGAACCAAGGGAAAAGCCAAAGTTGAGAAGGAAAGAAAAAAGACCATCAGCAATCAGCATGGATGTGCTGGAGTGCTCTGCCTCAACTTAGACCTCCTGATGAATCCTGGAAACTGTATTACAATGACCTAGCTGCTGTGCACCACATCCAAATTTAGAGTGATCATAAAGAACTCCTCTTACAGAAAAAAACCTGTGTTCCTCTGAGCAGCAAAGTAAGAAAAGGTAATAAATTTTAAAAGGCAGAGAGGTAGAAGGGGAAAAAGAGCTGTAGCACATAGAGAGGGTTCACACTGCGTGAATTCTCCTCTGTGCACTCCATTATGCTTCATGGGCAGTGATTCATGAACTACAGAAATGGTCTCAGAGAGAGCCACTGAAGAGGCTGGTGAGAATCTGCTGTGCATAAGCAAAAACTCCAATTGAAGCTGAAAGTAAGTGGATGCAAACTTTTTTAATGAAAAGAATATTAGCTCTAAGCATGTGACTGCTTTTAGTTCAATTTCATGCAATGAATCATTTCATAATTGAGGCCTTCTTTAAAATTAGCCAGATTGATTAATGTACATTTTTCTCATTCAGATGCCTGCAGTATGAGAAAAATAGGGCTGTAAGAGGGCAGAGAAAGGCCAGTTCAATGTATGTTGAAACAAATCAATGTAGAAAAATATCTTATTCCTCTATTACAAAATAGATCTTTGGTATAAAAGTAATCTTTTGGGAAATAAGAAAATGCACTATATTCAATGTACTTTTCAACTATATGATGAATTTCCTTGCAGAAATAAAAATGTACAAAAATTCATCATATAGTGAAGGAAATGTATTTGTACTTACAGAGTAGTTAGAAGACTAGTTAGTTCATGGAGACTAGTTAGGAGGCCATTGTGATAACCCAGGTATAAGGTTTTAGGACCTGGCCTGGGAGAGTGGCCATGGGCATGAAAGGAAAGAGAAAGTATAATGTCTCTAGAAACAAGACTCACTTAACATTTATCAAGGTCAGAGTATTTTCAAACTTATTGTATCCAAGGAAAACTTGAAAACTCTGATATGAAACAAATGCATTAAAAGTTTAACTGGCATTGTCAACTTAATAAGCTTACAATGTAGATCAATGGGTCTCAAGTGTTGGCATGCATCAGACTCACCTATACAGCTTATCAATAAAATACTGTTTTCAGTTCAACAGATCTGAGGTGGGGGTCCAAGAATATGCATTTAAAACAAGTTCCCATGTGATGCTGATGCTGTTAGTTTGGGGACTACACTTTGAGAACCACTGACATAGACAGTTATGTGGATTTCCATGTGACATCCTTGACTGTTATTTCACAAAGTCCATGAGGCAAGGAAACACAAATCAATAAAAGCAGGCTTTTATATAAAGCACTTATTGCTAGTAACAGTTCTAGGTACTTGATGATATGATTTGAGTGATTGCCTCCTCCAATACTCATGTGTTGGAGACATAATCACCAATGCAATAGTATTGGGAGGTGGGAACTAAGAGGAGGTATTTAGGCCATGAGGATGGAACCTTCAGGAATGGATTAATACCATAATAAAAAGGGCTTTTTGGAGTGGGTTCACCCCCTTCCACTCTTATGCCATGTGAGGAACAATGTTCCTATCCTCTGGAGGATGCAGCCTTCATGGCACCATCTTGGATGTGGGGATTTACCAGACACCAAGCCCACTGGAACCTTGGTCTTGAACTTTTAAACATCCGGAGCTAAGAGAAATAAATTTCTGTTCTTTATAAATTACCCAGTCCTATATATTCTGTTATACCAGCACCAGATGGACTATAAGACACATGATATGGATTTTTTAAATATTTGTCGAATTCATTAGATCATTAATTTATTCAACACATATATATTGAGTACCTCAATGAATTGGGCATTGTTCTATGTTCTGAAAATGAAAGCGTAAAGAGAAGTGATGACAAAGTCTCTTACATTCTGCAAGGAAGAGATAGATGTCTATAAAACAAGTAATAGATATACTGTATATAGTAGGTTAGAGGGTAATAACTGCATGGAGAAAAGTAAAACAAAATAATGGTATTAGGGATTAACTTTAGGTAGAATGATCAAGAAAGTCTTCACTGAGAAGGTGACATGTGAATAAAGTTCTAAAGAGGAGAGGATGGGAACCAAGGAAATGTCTTGTGGAATAGCATTCCAGGCAGAGGAACAGCAGATGCAAAGGCCCTGAGGTAAAGAGTCCTTGCAATGTTTGAGGAGCAGCAATAAAGTTAGTGTGACTGGAGTGAAGGAGGAAGGAGATAGGTCAGAGCAATAATGAGGTCAGACTGTTTGGGACCTTGTAGGCCATTGTAAGGACTTTGGCTTTTACTTTAAGTGAGATGGGATGTTATTGGAGAGTTCTGAGCAGAGAACTGAAATGATTTGACTTACATTTTAACAAGGTCACTCTGCTTATTATGTTGAAGATACACTGCAGGGGGCGATAAGCATGGAATTCAAGTGTCTAAGGGAGGTTAATACAATAGTCCAAGAAAATCCACTCCTTGTGGGAGAGAAGAGTGAAAGAGACCTATCAAGTTTTTTGTTTCTTTTTGTTTTAATTTTTTTTTTCAGATGGAGTCTCTCTCTGTTGCCCAGGCTGGAGTGCAGTGGTGCAATCTCGGCTCGCTGCAACCTCCACCTCCCAGGTTCAAGCAATTCTCCTGCCTCAGCCTCCTTAGTAGCTGGGAGTACAGGAGCGTGCCACCACGCCCAGCTAATTTTTTGCATTTTTAGTAGAGATGGCATTTCACCATGTTAGCCAGGGTGGCCTCGATCTCCGGAGCCTGTGATCCGCCGCCTAGGCCTCCCAGAGTGGTGGGATTACAGGCATGAGCCACCTCGCCCGGCCCCTATCAAGTTTTAACAGTAACTTTCTCCCCTCCCTGTTCCACCCTTAACATTTAAGATGGAAATTAACAAAGAAGGATCATGGATCATGCAAACAAAATGAAAGCATGCCTTTCTCTCTCTGCCCTCTATTGCCCTCTGATGGCAATGTCTAGATTATTCAGAACAAATCTGTCCTTTAGAATATTCTAACAAGAATGCAGTCTTTCTTAGTAGCTTCTGTCCACCATATTGCCATGCAGTGTCTTTCACGTACACAACTGCAACATATTTTACCTCCCTGGGTTACATGATGGTTACTCATTTAAAGTGTCCTATCAGCACTTCTTTTACTTTTAATGATAATTCCTGTTCCTCTTGGGCCTTCTCCAATAGTCCTCATCCATGCTGATGCATAAGTCTAAGAGGTATGATGTAACTGACACTGCCATTACAGTGGCACATATCAAAGACATAATTCGAATTTCAGTCGTTGTGGAGGTTTGAATCTGGGCTTGGTGTTCTATCTTTTCTAAATATATTTTGATCAACTAAATCACTTTGAAGGCATCTGTGGCAAATAATATAGATAATTTAATGGTCATGGGAAATAATTTGAGGAAAATAAAATATGTTATTAAATATAAGCTTATTTCATGAGAAATAATATTATTATATCAAAGAAAAATGGTTGTTTTTATATGCGCTTAATTATGAAATTGATAATGTTTTATGGTGTCTTATAAAGAAAATTAAACACTTGTTCAGGCTTTTGCTCAGAACTAGAGTCATTTGAAGTAGTTTTTATGAATAAATGAAGTTTCCAGGTTTTGACAAATGTTTGTTGAATGAGTGCACAAAATAACAAATATTCACTCAGCAAATACTTATATTTGCAATGCACTGGGCATTGTGCGGACTTCGGAGATGTAAAAGTGACTAAGATAAAATGTATTCCTGACAAAATGCTCACAAATTATTCTGGGATCAGGAATGTAAACAACAATTACCATCTGTCTATAAACATCATGCTGTGGAAGAACAAAGAAAGAAGCTGGTAATGTTGGTTGGAGTCAGGAAATGTTCCTAGGAAAAAAAATGGCCTATGAGTAGAGCAAAAATGCATCCCTTTCAGAATGTAAAACTGAAACTTGTATCTTCCTCCTACATTTACTATTATTATTTGAACAATAACATGTTGAATATCAAGGGAGAAGGACTGCAGAGATATTTTGGAAAGGTGTTGCTATGATCTGAAAAGTTTGGTCCTTCCAAAATGTATATGTTGAAATGCTGTCCAAGGCGATGAAAAGGTGAGGCTTTTGGGAGGTAATTTGGTCATTGCGGGGAAGCTCTCATAAATAGGCTATGTGCCCTTATAAAAGAGGTCCAAGAGAGATCCCTCACCCCTTCTACCATGTGAGGACATAGAAAGAAATTATAATCTATGAGCCAGAACGACAGCTTTCTCTCTGACATGTGACTGCTATTTCTCCTAGTGCCTACCTAGTTATCAGCAGGGTGTGTGTGCCAGTCCGAATGCAAAGGGGATGAGCCAAAAAATATATAGTAATATAAAGAACGGATGTGGTGGAAAGACAAATTTGGAAGTAGAAGACAGGGATTCCAGGCTCAGCCTAGATGTTCTCTAGTGGTTTGGTACTGATAAATAACAATTATGAACTTCCATTTCCTCATTCAAAGATTGGCATGGTAATACAACCTAACTTTTAGGGTCATGATGAGAATGAAATGGATTAACAAAAGTTTTTCCATAGACTATTTAGGCTATGAAAGAGTTAATTGCCAATATTTCTGTCTCTTAAAACATTGCTACTAATGAATACCTATGGTATCTAAACAATGTTTGCCTTTGTTTTTTACAGGTATCATTTTCTTATATTTGAATTGCATTCAAGTAATCTTATACCTGATTACTTGAAAGTATTATTTTTTGAATACTGTTAGAACCCAACTCAGGAATAGATTAACTGAAGTTCGGTCAAAATCTCTCTGCCACACTTATAAATTTAAAGTGTAATATTTTAATATGTGTAGGCAAGAATTCAACTTCTAAAATGGCCATATCATAAAATAAAGAACTAAGAAATTACTACTATTTTAACAATTTCATATATTTAGGAATAGTAATTATCCTAATGAAGAGAAACATAAGAAAGTAATTTGCTATGATTAAAACATAATTATGGAAGTACGAAAATATATAATGTTTAATACTGATGTATTTAACATAAAATGAGAATGTTGTAATTTTTCTATAATCTTTCAAAAAAACATAAAATTAAAGCATAAACCATTCATAAAAGTAGTGTATTTTTCAAACATAGCATCTTGGAGTCTCTGAAATGGGTTACTCCAGCTTTTAAAATTTGATATATATTTTGCTATTTTCATAATTCTTTTAAAAAGTGTGGGTGTATATATATGTATAAAATATAGAAAGTGTAGGGGGAAAGTCATTCGTTTAACTTGGGAAAATAATATATTACTATCTTGTAAATTTTATGATATTTATGATGCAAGTGAAGTGGGAGAAATGGCATACAGATGGATTTAGAGAAAAATGGCTGGAGAAGAGGAATGAAGAATGAGCTCACAGAATTAGAAGAAACTGTTCTCCAAACAGACAACTGTAATCATTAGATACAAGGAAGTAGGAGAATTTCCTCCCAATGCCCCACTCCTAGGGCTGACAAAGAGAAGACATTCTTTCTCTTCCTAGAATTAGTTTCAGCCTCCATGATATTCTGGGAAGATGGTTTTGAAACTGTCAAGAACATTCTTAAACTTTCACTGATGGTAAAATGGTACCAAAGAGGACACAATGTGAAAAGGATTAAGAAAACCTGAAAAAAATGTTTAATATGGAAACCACAGGTTATTACAGTTTTGTCTAGCAGTAAAGCAAAACTTGTAGAAACAAAAAGGATTATAATAGTCACAATAACAAAATAATAAAATATAATCAAATAGTTAAATAAAATAATGACAAAGCATTAATAATATTTATAAAGACAAATTTTCTGTATCATCAGATTTAATACATCATCAGTCTTACATACATTTCAGATATCATTAAGAAAGAAAAATTATTTGGTTAAGTTGTAACAAGAGGCTAAGGCACTGCTGATTGTAAAGTGCATCTCGGTTCTAGAGAGTTAAAAATGTGAGGGAGTAAAAAAGGAGTCAGAATTGACAAAATTCGGCAGTCCTTCAGAGATAGAATCCTGGGCTTGTAAAATCTGCTTTAAGTGAATGATTCAAAAAGAGAATTTTGTTATTTTTGGTGTCCTTAGGAAAGGTGTGTCTAAATTCACAAGCCAGAAATCTCATTGGCTAAAACGCCAAAGATGTTCCCACTGAAAATAATAATTATCCACGTTTAATCTCTTACAACATCTTGCTAAACATTGTTATGCTTATGTTATTAATCAGAGCAGGAAGTCATCCAGCCTCTCCTTATTGCTTTAGGATGTTAAACAGATTGACTATAATATCTAGGAGGAGAACTTACTGTAAATCTATCACTATAATGAAAACCGAATGCTACAGTTCCACATTGCTCTGATACTTGTGTCACCGACTTGCACTGATAACTGTTGTACTTGATATACATAAAAAGCCCCAAAATAGCATACATAATTATTATTCAAAAGAAAAATATTATGCATAGAGGCCTGTTAGGCATCACATACATTGAATGGAATTTGAAATTTAAGATGATAGTCTGAAGCCAGACTACAATTATTTCCAAAGCGTGGACTCTGCAGATAATGAGAAAGGCATTCAGAATGGTTTATCAACACCTTGCTGCGTGCATGGTGTGCTCCCTGCCCACTGTAAAGAATGATGAAGACAGCGTCAAAGTCAAGACCTGTTCCATCCTGATAGGATATAATGTCCATTATCTTGTGGCACGGAATCTTAACATGGATCTCTAAATGCCGAAAGATGCCAATTGGAGTGCAAAGTCTCTAAATACTGATCACAAGTTTGGGGCACAATCATTCTGAAACCATAATAGGTTTTAAACATTTGCCAAAGCCACAAATTTGACTTTTGGGCTTTTGATTTATGGCTTGTGGAAGCACTGAGAAGCTCTGTTTGGCATACAGTTTGCCTTCCTGTAGAGGTGGTTGATTATTCCATAGCTGTGACTTGATTATTCATGCATTCAACATTTATTGAGCACTTTTTAAATATTCAAGAATATGTGCTAAATGCCACAGATATTGGTGTTAAAGGTCAAAGGCCCTGACCTCAAGGAGCTCACAATTTTGTAGATAAAATAGAAAAATAAGCAATTGAGGACAATATATATAGACATTTATATTAAGGGGAATTTTGAGAGCACAGTGAAGCAGCATTAGAGGCAAATATAAGTAACTATAGTTTCCAGAATCATGGGATACACAAACTGGATATTTGGGAACTAACTGGAGCTAGCCTGGGGAAGGAGGGAGTGAGGAGTGGGGCATTACAAGTAAGGGAAATACCTATATGCAGCCTGGAGTCTTGAGATACAGTGGAGCTGTGAGGCCACTGCTGTGGGTGGCACCAGTAGAATCTACATCTTTTAGAAGCTTCTACTGCATTACAAGGCAATTATGCTTTATTTCAGAGACAGGGAGATAGAGAGGGGATGATGTCAAAAATTTAAGCAGACGAGGGTACAATTATATTTGTACTTTATAGTGATCACATTTCTATAGAAATGTAGAGAGTGATTGCGAAAAGAGAAGTCAATAATAGTGAGAGCAGATGAGACATGATGAGGGTTGAATTAAGGTCACAGCAATAAGGATGGCACCTTAGATCCATTTCTAAGAGAGAGATGATGAGATCTGATGACTAATTAGGACACGGGGAATAGTGGCAAATAAGATGATAACTCCTAGAACTATGGCTTGGATGACCTGGATGATAATACCATTCACTGAGAGGAGAGTTTTGGCAGGGATGGGGGTGGCGCAAATCAGCACAGGTGGGGAGATGAAGGTTATCATTATTTGGAATTGTGGAATGATGCCTGTATTAGTCCATTTTCACTCTGCTAATAAAGACATACCCTAGACTGGGTGATTTATTTAGGAAAAAGGTTTAATTAACTCACAGTTCCACATGGCTGGGGAGGTCTCGCAATCATGGCAGGAGGTAAGGAGGAACAAGTTGCGTCTTACATGGATGGCAGCAGGCAAAGAGAGAGCTTGTGCAGGGAAACTCCCCCTAATAAAACCATCAGATCTTGTGAGACTTATTCACTATCACAAGAACAGCACAGGAAAGACCTGCCCCCATGATTCAATTACCTCCCACAGGGTCCATCCCATAACACCTGGGAATTCAAGATGGGATTTGGATGGGGACACAGCCAATGCCTGTGAGATAACTCAATGCCATTGAGATCTCAATGCCTGTGAGATAACTGAAGAAGACATTCTAGACGGTATCAGGAGGATGATCTGGGCCAGACGCAGTGGCTCATGCCTGTAATCCCAGCACTTTGGGAGGCTGAGGCAGGCGGATCACTTGAGGTCAGGAGTTTGAGACCAGCCTGACCAACATGGTGAAACCCCATCTCTACAAAAAATACAAAAATTAGCCAAGCATGATGGCATGCGCCTGTAGTCTCAGCTACTTGGAAGGCTGAGGCATGAGAATTGCTTAAACCTGGGAGGCAGAGGTTGCAGCGAGCCAAGAAAGCACCACTGGTGGCAAAGTGAGATGAGTGAGACTCCATCTCAGAAAAAAAAAAGAAAAGGGTGATCTGGTCTGGAGGTACAGAATGCTAATGTATATCTACATTCGCTTATGTGAAAACGTCACAGGGAAAAATCTTTCTGACTTCTGTGAGAATGATCACCTGTTTCTCTACCTATAGTCTCTTCTCAACTACGAATAGATAAACCAAACATTTTTTTTCCCAATGCACCTTTAATCCCATGGCTTTTGCTGAAACTTGGCATTTATTCAATGAAACCACTTTCCACACAATCCTCTTTGAAGAGTCCTTATCTCCATGATTCATTCTTAAGGCCAAGAGGGAAGGTTGGCTTTCTTGCTGAAACCACTGTTCCCATGAGTCCACTAGTGGGACATTTAACTTCAGTTTTAAAAGGATGGCTTCCTTGGGTGGACAAGGGGGAAAAAGCATTCCAGACAGAGATCAGTGTATACAAAAACTTTGAGTGGTAGAGGTATATGGTAGGTTTGAGGAAAAGCAAACAGTCTGGTATGACATATGACTAGCATGTAGAATGATGACAGAATTTTAATAGGAGCCATTGGAATTGTATGGACCATGCTTTTGGAATTCTGTGAGCTTCTTATTCTCAGTCACCTTCATCTTTATTCCACTGCAGCCATACATTGATCCAATTTCAAGTTAGACCCTGGCGTCATTCAAACCTGCTTTACAACAGAAATTGTCACCACATCCTGAGGCTTCTCATTTCCTTTCTACTATTGAATTTTTAGCAGAACCTCTGTCGCCTGGCCTTTCCATACCCATACTCTCTCTCACTCCTTCTCTATCTTGACATCTCCCCAACAATCATGGACTTAATGAGAAGCATCTCAAGAATGTGTCTGTCATTGCTCTCTAAACATTCTTGTTTTTGACCTTCAACTTTCCAGTAGTGGAAAGCCCCATTTTCTACCTTCTTCTCGTCTAGCTGTAAAGCTATTAATCCACTTCAAATATTTATTACCTAATTTTAGCTATATATTTGCTATTGCTTTGTGGCTTTTTCTACATTAATTGTTGATTTTTTTAAATGGTATTTGACACGCTGGCTGCTCCAAATTTTTCCAGTCTCTATATTTTATACTCCCAGTAATGTCATTTATATTTATTGATAAGTGAATTTAAGGTTATTCTAAATTCTCTTTTAGAGTTGTCTTTGCTTCCAGTCACTTTTCAAACATTTTTTATTCTACCTACCCTGAAGAATTAAGGGTGGAATGCAGGAAATGACAAACACACTATAGTAATACCTACCATTGATGTAGCATTTACTGTATCCAACCTCGTTGTTAGTAGTGATAGAGCAGAGCTCAGTCCTGGATGGTCTGTCAAAAAAATTTATGTTCTTTCCACTCTTCCATGACCTTAGTTATGCCAAGTAAAATAGCCATGGAAAATCTCATTCACAGACTGCAGTAGAAATAGCTAAGCCTCAAAGAGCAAGCCACTTACCTAGAAACAAGTGCTATTGCAAAAATTTCCATTTTCACCGACATAAATTTAGAGTTTTTTATTTTTTAAAAAACAATCAAATTTAATATGCTAGCTTCTCTTTTAAGTTGGTTATTTGTTGAATCTAGTAACAGTTGTAAATAATAGATGGTGTTAGAATATCCTGCTGCATTTTCTGTAGAGAAAAATGGGCACAAATCAATTGAACTACTACTGACTTCTGAGTTTTTTGAAAGTCTTTTAATACCATTTTAATATATAATTTATTATTTGGGGTTAGAAACAAAGAAATAAAGATGGATAAGTATAGATATTCTTCCTTTTGTGTCTTTTAAAACCTGTATGCAAATGCAATTATTGCATATCAAATACTATTTTGGCACTTAATAAAATAGTTTGTTATTTAAATACTACTACAACTTGTATAAATCATAAACTTATTTTGCTTAGCAAATAATACCTACTAATTTTGGGGGGATAAGTACAGTTTTTTTTTAACATAACATTACCTTAAAATGAAGTGTTAATAGCTTCTAATGATGCCATTAATTACATTGTCACCAGTTTTTGTATTTAAGGGTAGTATTTTACAAAAAGAAAAATTAAGATAAAAATGTCTATGCAAAATGAGCACTTAGATCAATAATTGCACATTATATTTGTACAATAGATTTTTTGTGGAAAAAAGTGTTTTTTCTCTAGCAAATACTTAGTATGTATCAGGTACTGCTATAAGTACTTTTGAACACATTTAATTAGACTAAGAGTCCTATGAGATAATTACCACTATCGTCTTTTTCACATGAGGAAGCTGAAACATGGAAAGGCTGAGAAGCTTGCCCAAGGTCATACAGCTAATAAGTGGCTGTGCCAGGATCCCGACCCAACTGTCTGGCTTTGGAGTCTGAGCTCTTACCCACTGTTCTCTCTGCTCCTTTACTAAATTAAGTGTTTAAAAATAATGGAAAAACATCGACCAGCCACTTTTAGGCTTCCAACAAAAGTGCAGTTAACAATAAACTTTGTTCTAAAAATGACTTATTTGTTTTCACGGACTAAACACCACAAGCTGTTGTATGCAATAATTCTTTGTAACAGCTGCTCTGCCTTGTGCAACTTCCCACAAGCACACCAAAAGTTAATATCAATTACAATTAAGGGGGAAAGTTATTTTGGGTAACAGAACATTTGACAAGTGCTCTGGTAAACAAAGCATTGTCAAATTGCTAAATTATGAACACTTTGCTAAAACTTTTTCTGTTTTTTCTGTGCTGACTTTTTTAAAAGGTGTAAACTGTGAATTGGAAATTGACGAATGTTGGTCCCAGCCTTGTTTAAATGGTGCAACTTGTCAGGATGCTCTGGGGGCCTATTTCTGCGACTGTGCCCCTGGATTCCTGGGGGATCACTGTGAACTCAACACTGATGAGTGTGCCAGTCAACCTTGTCTCCATGGAGGGCTGTGTGTGGATGGAGAAAACAGGTACATTTTCTCTGGCGTTGGGTGATTGGCTTAGAACTCCCTGACCATGAACTATTTTACCACTCTGTTGAATTTAGAGCTCTCACGTTCTCGGCTTAAAATTTGGGGTGTAACTTTATACTTTAACTGATGAAAACATTCAGATTTCACTAAAAAGGGTATTCTTGGAGACCATCTGTCTCAAGAGGGAAGATTTTACAAGTCATTCTTGTAATAGTTTAGAACTGCTTATCCTATGGAAAATGGCCAATTTTTCAATTCCATGAAATAAAGCTGTTGTAGATAGGAAAGGTGCAAAAACAGAGCTAGAGATTATTATATATGTGTACATAAGTTTGTATCTATATGTCAAGGATATAAATCAGATGACAGCAATAAATCCTTTTAAAGTGTTATATAAACCATGTTGGAAAAGGCAGTGATATTTAATTACTTATATCTTGAATTAATTTCCATGTGTTCAGGGAATTGGGTGAATATTTTTGAGAAAGCATAATGGCGAGAAATAGCCATGTGATTCTGCTTCAAATTGAAGTCTATCATTGGCTTTCAGGCAAAATAGAACAGCAATAAATTACATCTCAATATGATGAATATAATAAATGTGTGTAACAGTAATTGAGCTCATATAAAACATTTTTAAAAGAACTTTCTAATACTTATTTAAGCCACGACACTGAAGAACTTTCTAATCTTTATTTAAGCCACGATGCTGAGTTACCAAATACATAACAATTTTTAACAAGATTAGCACTTAAAATTATCGTTTGATTCTTCGACAGCTCAGTGGAAGGCAAGATAAGTATTTATGTTTCCATATTACAATAAGGAGTCTAAAGTTTAGGGAAATGAGAAGACGCCCGCAAGTTCACACAATTAATTCTTTGCAAAAGGAAGACCAGAATGGTTTTCCTTTATTTAGTAAATAAGACATAATTTATGCCAAATCTAATTTCAAAGTGAATCAGAGTCAAAAGGAGAGCAATAAAAGGCACATATGCTTCAAAAATTTGCAAAAATAATGACTTTTTTTTTTTTTTTTTTTTTTTTGAGATGGAGTCTTGCTGTGTCACCCAGGCTGGAGTGCAGTGGTGTGATCTTGGTTCACCGCAACCTCCGCCTTCCGGTTCAAGCAATTCTCCTGCCTCAGTCTCCTGAGTAGCTGGTATTACATATGCCCACCACCATGCCTGGCTAATTTTGCTATTTTTAGTAGAGATAGGGTTTCACCATGTTGGCGAGGCTGGTCTCGAACTCCTGACCGCAGGTGATCTACCTGCCTCTGCCTCCTGAAGTGTTGCGATTACAGGTGTGAGCCACTGCACCTGGCTCTCAAATTTTAATAGAACAATGTGGTTGTACATTCTTTTTAAAATATAACTTTTAATTACATTCCATGTCTTGCCTTTGACTTTTAGTTGTACCCCAATAATGCTCTAGGGGCATAAATCTACATTCCTGGAGACAGGTAACTGGCCAACACAGAGACAGACAGGTCACAATGGAAGTTTCCACACAAGGCCTCCTAGAGGAAAAGGAGGCTTACCCTTCCATACTTCACTGTTTCCAGAAAGCATCAGGACAGAAACGACACAACTTTTTGATTCCAATGGAAATGTAAACAAGGCTGAAACTTTGCTATCTTTTATTCTCCTCACTTGAATATGCCATGAATAATTTCCCTATTGTACCATTATCTCTTATTGCCTAAATGTTGAGATGATAGTCATAAGATCAATCCAATATAACCTGACTTTATGTTCCCACAAAAATTTAAAATGTTTGCTATGAGATACATTGGAAAATCAGAACTGAAAAAAAAAAAAAGAACTTCTTGCATACCAAAGGAATTATGCAAATGGAGCTTCTAATTCCGTGAGGTCCACTAGTCAGCCAGCCAAGCCCTTTGGCAACAGGGTTTTTGTCGCTAATGTTTTACCTATACTAGATTTTTAGTAGGTATTTTTTAATTGAACAAATGGAATACTGAATAGATTTCTAACAACACATATGAAGATTACAGTCACTTACAATATTTGGTTTGGTGATAAAAACACACACAGCCATAGCGAAGAGGACTCTACCTGCCTTATAAATTCATAGATATTCTTTTCCCAAGACCCTCATTTTGCCTAAGCTGAGTGTGCAGGTACATTTTTTACAATACTAAATCCTTGAGGAGACCCCGACCTAAATTAAAAGTCTCCTCTTAATAAAATCAACAACTTTCTTCATTAGATTTGTATTTTGGGGCTATTTGATAATTCCAGTCATTCCGTTAATAATTAGAAATAGTAAGGCCTAAATATTCTTGCAATCTAAAAATAAGAGAACATCGTAAGTCACAATTCATTTAATAAAGGCTTTTCCTGAGTTTTTCATAATTTATGGTTTCACTTTTCATATGGAACCTTATTAATGGGCTCTCTGTATAACAGAGTGCCATGATGGTATAAATCATTCTCTACCACCTTAAAAAATATTAACAATTTTATTAAGTGCTATTTAGTAGCAACATATTTAGTACTTCAGATATGTGGAATACTGTGTCTATTCTTTATATGCATACTTAATTGTCACAATAACCTTGTAATATAGGTACTATATTCAATTTATGAATGAAGAAACTGAACTAAATAGTCATGGTTTGCATGACCCTGTACTTTAAATTTTTTAAAGTTAATAAGACATTAATATGGAAATAAATCATGCATTCAGTCCTGTATAGATAATTCCCCAGAGTTTTTGAGGTAGTAAGATGATGCCATGGGTCTTGGGTTGATAGACAGTTGAAGAAACAGTATAAAGATATCTGATCTCAATATGACTAAGAGTTGACATGAAAATTTCATTTACTTTCCAGATATAGCTGTAACTGCACGGGTAGTGGATTCACAGGGACACACTGTGAGACCTTGATGCCTCTTTGTTGGTCAAAACCTTGTCACAATAATGCTACATGTGAGGACAGTGTTGACAATTACACTTGTCACTGCTGGCCTGGTGAGTGACAAAATACCTTCCACCAATTATTTTTCATTTGTTTAGAATACACATATCGCTTATAGCAAATGAAATGAAAAATTATTGTTGTTAAATGTTTTAAATCAATTTCTTCTAGCTAATATTGTTTAGTTTTATTCTTCAGTGCTCACACATATTTACTGCTATACTAAATGTTGTCTGAAGTAGGTTACCAAGCTGCCCAATGATCATAACCCTCTAGAGGAATAGAAGGGAAAAATCAATGGAAAGATGAAATTCAGCATGATCTTCATGGAGAAAAATTCACTGGAAGATGCTCTTTTCTTCCAAGATGTTCTCTTATATGGCAGGAATATATAGAAATCCATGAAATAATGTTAAACTATTAGAAACTTGTATTCTCTTAGGCATTTGTAAAGAGTTATATTTGTTAATATAATAAAAAGTTAATTATCTATAAACCATAATTAAAGTTTACATATAGAGGATAATTAGACGAGTATAGAGGTGATACAAGAATCAATAGAAAACAGTATGTAACATTTGTGTTACATTACAGGCCATAGGCAAATATTGATGCTAATTTTGCAAAACAAACTGCCTGACATACAGCTTTGCATTGCATAACAACATTTTGGTCAATGACGGACCACATATACAACCGTGGTCCTGTAAGATTACAATAGAGCTGAACAATTCCTACTGCCTAGTGATGTCATGGCTGTCTTAACATTGTAGTATCACTCACTATCCATGGGATTGTGGTGGTCCCTCAGGAAGTATTCCAAAAGAACGCATTGTTGTCATAGGAGATGACAGCTTCATGTGTGTTATTGTTGCTGAAGACATTTCAGTGGGACAAGATGTGGAGGTAGAAGACAGTGATATTGATAATCCTGACTCCATGTAGGCCTAGACTATGGTGTGTGCTTGGTTCTTAATTTTTAATAAAAGGTTTAAAAGCTTAAAAAATTCAAAATAGAATAAGATGTAAAGAAATTATTTATTGTTTATTTATTTATTTTTATTTTTTGAAACGGAGTCTCTCTCTGTCGCCCAGGCTGGAATGCAGTGGTGTGATCTCCGCTCACTATAAGCTCCGCCTCCCGGGTTCACACCATTTTCCTGCCTCAGCCTCCCGAGTAGCTGGTACTACAGGTGCCTGCCACCATGCCCGGCTAATTTTTTGTATTTTTAGTAGAGACGGGGTTTCACTGTGTTAGCCAGGATGGGCTCAATCTCCTAACCTTGTGATCCGCCCGCCTCAGCCTCCCAAAGTGCTGGGATTACAGGCATAAGCCACTGCGCCTGGCCCATAAAGAAATTATTTTATACAGCTGTACATGTGTTTGTGATTTAAGCTAAGCATTATTTAAGAGCCAAAAGGTTTAAAAATTTGAAAAATTTATAAAGTAAAAAAGTTCTAGTACACTAAGGTTAGTTTTTAAGACAGAAAATTTTCTAATAAACCTAGAGTAGCCTAAGCATACAGTATTTATAAAATCTACAGTAGTATACAATAATGTTGTAGGCTTTCACATTCATTCATTACTCATTGACTCTCAAGAGCAACTTCCAGACCTCCAAGCTCTATTCATGTTAGTACCCTACACAGGTGTACCACTTAAAAAAATCTTTTATACTGTGTTTTTATTGTACCTTTTGTATGTTTAAGTATGTTTAGATACACAAATACCATTGTGTTTCAATTGCCTACAGTATTCAGTACAGTAACATGCTGTACAGGTTTGTAGCCTAGCAGCAATAGACTATACCCTATAGCCTAGGTATGTAGTCAGCTATAACATTTAGGTCTGTATAAGTACACTCTATGATTTTCACACCATGATGAAATTGTGTAATGACTTACTTCTCAGAACAAATGTTTGTCTTTAAGTGATGCATGACTCTTTTTTAAAATCTAATTCTCATTAGGATTTTTTGATAAAAATAAAAGACACAGCATCTCCTATCTCCTCTTGCTTTATTTACTGGGAAAAAATGATAAACTTATGATTACTCAAGGCCTAGTTATATAAGCTTACTGATCATCTGTCTCTCTCTCCCCACTAACTTTATTGTCTAAGAAAATGATAATCTTGTGGGTGGAAAGGAAACCTGGAGACTAGTCAATCTAATCAGTAGTAGCTTCTGGTTGAAAGATATCCTATTGCCTAAGAGACATTTAACATCTTTGGTTAAATACATTTTATAGGAAAAATAAATGAAAATATAAAATGAAGTTTGGAATGCTGTGGCTTGGAAATCTATATATGTTATGTCTTCCCACTTGCAGATAATAAATGAGGAATATTTGCTAACCTTTGGTCATCAACTTGACTTAAAACTGAAAATTTGGCTGGGCGCGGTGGCTCACGCCTGTAATCCCAGCACTTTGGGAGGCCGAGGCGGGTGGATCATGAGGTCAGGAGATCGAGACCATCCTGGCTAACAAGGTGAAACCCCGTCTCTACTAAAAATACAAAAAATTAGCCGGGCGCGGTGGCGGGCGCCTGTAGTCCCAGCTACTCGGGAGGCTGAGGCAGGAGAATGGCGTGAACCCGGGAAGCGGAGCTTGCAGTGAGCCGAGATTGCGCCACTGCAGTCCGCAGTCCGGCCTGGGCGACAGAGCGAGACTCCGTCTCAAAAAAAAAAAAAAAAAACCTGAAAATTTTCCAAACTATGTAGTTTCATGTTCTTGTCACCAACCAACACTCATGAAAGATCTCTGTCCAGAAGCAGAGGGCGGAGTGGATGGTTTAGGAGTAGGATATGTTTCCTGTTTATTAACTGAGTGAACTCGGGTGAGTTTCCTCTTCATCTCTAAGTTCCTCATCTGCAAAAGAGGGATAAAAATACTTTACTTGTAGTATTATTATGAAAAGTAAAATTGTAAAAATAGAGCCTTGCACATATTAAGCACTCAAAAAAGGGCAACTATGTAGCAAATTCTATACCATGAGGTGGAAATTATGTAGGAGGGCGAGAGTTTGTAATGGAGTCAGGCAGTTAAGAACATCTACCTCAAGAAACCCAATTAGTACATGTTCCATTCATTCATGGATTCAAGCATTTAAGCCACATGGATTTCAGTGGCTAATACAATAGGGATCTGGGAATATAAAAGGTATCGTCCCTTCCTCCAAGGAGCCTAAATTCTAGTAGCGAGACATATGTCAAAACGTATATAGTACAATTTTTGGTACAATAAGAGGCTATACTAAATTCTGTAAAAATGAATAGAGAAGAAGTGCAGGGATAGCTTGATCAAAGAGGCACCATTTTAGATAAGCTAAAGATGACTAAGTTCCATAAATGTATTCACTAGCTGTGTGACTTTGGACAAATTACTGCTCTGAGCCTCAGTTTCCTCATTTATAATATCCACAGGATGGAGCTGTTTCAGAGATAAATCCAGTAATGTATATAAAACTCCTGGCTTATCCTGGACCACAGTAAGCACTAAGTAAAAGTTAAATAAATATCAAAATTAGGAAGTTGTGTAGTCCATTACTTATTTAATAAATGAAGAACGGAAGGAGAAGAGGAAAGAAAGAAGCAAGAAAGGTGGCAGGCACCCATAGAAAAGAGCATGTCTGGCTGGGCGCCTTGGCTCACACCTGTAATGCCAGCACTTTGGGAGACCAAAGCAAGCAGATCACTTGAGGTCAGGAGTTTGAGACCAGCCTGGCCAACATGGTGAAACCCCATCTCTACTAAAAATACAAAAAAAAAAAAAAAAAAAAAAATTAGCCGGGTGTGGTGTTGCATGCCTGTAGTCCCAGCTACTCAGGAGGCTGAGGCAGGAGAATCACTTGAACCTGGGAGGCGGAGGTTGCAGTGAGCCGAGATCGCGCCACTGCACTCCAGCCTGTACTCCAGGGCGAGAGGGTGAGACTTGGCAAAAAAAAAAAAAAAAAAAAAAGGAGAAGAAAAGAAAAGAGAAAAAAAGAAAAGAGCATGTCCAATTGTGGAACTTTGAATGATTGCAAAAATACTGGACTGTGTAGGGCTGGAGGTAGAAACATTGAACTGGGGAGCAGGACTAAAGCCAGATCACAAAACTCCATATCTGCCCTGCCAACTACGGGGCAGAGAAATAACAAAATTTGCTTTGTTAATTTCAAAAGAGTTCCCTGGCTTCATGGCAGATGATCAAAGAAAATAACACTAAAGGCAGGGAAATCTAGTGAGTAGATTCCTAGGTAGTTTGAAGAGATGAGCCTGTTTGCTAGAACGAAGACAACAGTGGTTAAGGTTGGGGCGAGGGGTAGTCCTGAGAGTCACATAGGAGCTGGAAATGATGTGGGGAGTGAGAAAAGGGCACAGGTTTAGGACAGTTCTGCCTCTGGGTTTCTGCCTTGGGTTACTGCATGGATGGTAATTTTGCCTAGATAGAACATCCTGAATACCCTTGTAACCTATCTTGCTGTTGTATACAAAGATAAAAGTTAACACTACAAACTACTCTATATCTAAGAAAAGGAGACCATTTCTTCAGCTCATGACTTCACTGCCACAGAACACAATGGCAAGAATCCACTGATGTAATTGCCTAGGGTCCTCATTTCAGAAGTAATTAATAATTACAAGAAGTGTCAGTCACCTTAAATGCTTACTTTCAAAGATTTCCTGATGCCCAGATGTGATTGGAATTGTTAACAAACATAATATAAGAACCCCAGGGATGTGACTCAGTATCATGTTGTTTATTTGTTCAGAGTTTTACAGAAAAATTTGTTAAAACTATTGAATACAGTCTTGACTGAAGGAGTCTATTTATATACATGGTTAAAGAAAGCAGCAAATAAAATCCCCACAGGGCCTCAGTGTTGGGGACAGGACTGGCAAGACTATAAATCAGAATCTTCCTAATGTTCACGATTGGAATGAGATAATGCATGAGCCAGAAAAGCAAAAAAAGGATTTATGATGATTCTAAATTACTCCCTAACCTGGCTTATGTGTGTCTCGAGTCTTAGAATGAGAAGAAAATTGAAAATAGTCCAGCCTTTCTTCAATAAGTCCATTGTGGCACAACAAATACCAGTTAATAAAAACTTATTGTAAAAACTATTATTTAATGTATTTGAAGAACCTTAAGTATGAAATAATAATATTCAAAAGGTAGACATTCAAGTTTAAGAGACTCTGAATGATCTTTGTTGCGGGGGGTCACTACAAAGGATTGTTGGGTCTTGATCTGACATGTTATTTTACTTTCCTTTTTTTTTTTTTTTTTAACTTTTTGACTCTAAGTTTCTTCTTCAGATTGTTGAGAAAGGCCCCAAGGGTCTTTTTGTAAAAAATATATTACACTGTTGAGCTGCAGAATTTATGTTGTGGTTATGATTTAACATATGATCTCATTTAGGTGTTTATTAAAACTAATACAAAATGAGCAAACACATTACAATCTCATTATTTGCTTATTAATAGTCAATTCCCTGGTTTATGTGCTAAACTAGGATTATAATCTAAATTGTTATTTTCAATCTTTGAGTAGTACTAGTGATTGAAGGTCTACTGCTTACATATTGCTCAGTCCTGGACTGGTAAATAAAATGAACACAGTCTCTGTTTTGTGAAGCACACAGCCTGCTGAGGGAGGAAACCATATACACAAATCAATATATATTTAAAATTACAATGAGAGCAATGAAAGAAAAGAATTGGGTGGCATGAGAGAAAATAAGGGGATCTTATTTATATCTGCCCATGATGGAAAGTTATTCTGAGAAAGCAATACAAGATAAAGTCTGAAAATTGAGTAAGAGTTAGCCAAGAAAACACTTGAAGGAGAGTTTTCTAGAAGAGAGAAAAACATCACGAAGGCTGTGGGAATGCAGGGAGTTTTTACAGTTATGTTAAGGATGTTGAATTCCTTTCTATGTGAAAGGGGAAGTTGTTGAATGATTTTAAAGTAAACACATACTATGATTTAGTTTACAAGTTTTATAATTCTCAACTGTAAATTGTTTCCAAAACATTTCTCAGCAGAGTTAAATGATATTGCAAAGGGCCTTAGGCGACTGTGAAGTTGAATTGTGTTTCTTTAAAAATATGAGGTGGCTCACGCCTGTAATCCTAGCACTTTGGGAGGCCGAGGCGCGTGGATCACCTAAGGTCAGGAGCTCGAGACTAGACTGGCCAACATGGTGAAACTTCGTCTCTACTAAACATGCAAAAATTAGCCGGGCATGGTGGCACACGCCTGTAATCCCAGCTACTTGGGAGGCTGAGGCAGGAGAATCACTTGAACCCAGCAGATGGAGGCTGCAGTCAGCCAAGATCACACCAATGCCCTGCACCCTGGGCTACAGAGTGAGACTCCGTCTCAAAAATATATAAATAAAAAAAAAAAAAAAAAAAAAAACTTTATACATTTCTTTTACCACGTTACAAAACACTTGATATTATCCTATTGACCATCAGTGTTATATGTGCATCCTACTAAATTTACATTTTGGGGCGAGCAGTATACATAGTATATAAATACTCTTACAAATCAATATGGAAAACAACCTAATGAAAAAAACAGGAAAAAATATGAAATGGTAAAAAAAAAAAAAAACACCCCCAAAATGTTCAGCTCAATATTAACTGGGGAAAACGTAAACCAAAGTAACAGTGAGATACTATATTTTATCCAACCAGCTGGTAAAATTTATATATTTGGTGATAGCAAAGGTTGGCAAACGTTTTGAGCCACATTCACAATCATCCACTGCTGGTAATGTGCAAATGGTACAACTAGAGATGTTTGGCAGCTTTTATTAAAATTAAAAATGTACATTACTTATGACCCACAAATTCCATCTCTAGGCATAAACTGTAGGGTTAAACTCAAAACGCTTACACAGACAGCCATGTATAATTGTGTCCGAAATTGGTGGGTTGTTGGTCTGATTGACTCTTCAAGAATGAAGCCACAGACCCTCGCAGTGAGTGTTACAGTTCTTAAAGATGGGGTGTCCGCAGTCTGTTCTTTCTGATGTTCGGACGTGTTCAGAGTTTCTTCTTTCTGGTGGGTTCGTGGTCTTACTGGCTTCAAGAGTGAAGCCGCAGACCTTTGCAGTGAGTGTTACAACTCTTAAGATGGCACGTCTGGCCGCGTCTGGAGAGTTGTTTATTCCTCCTGGAGGGTTCGTGGTCTTGTTGGTCTCAGGAGTGAAGCTGCAGACCTTCATGGTGAGTGCTACAGCTCATAAAGTCAGTGTGGACCCAAACAGTGGGCAACAGCAAGAGTTATTTCAACAAGCAAAAGCACAAAGCCTCCACAGTGTACAACATGACCTCAGCACGTTGCCACTGCTGGCTCCAGCAGCCTGCTTTTATTCCCTTATCTGCCCCCCGCCCCCCCACCCCCCCCCCCCGCCCACCCCCCCCCCCCCGCCCACCCACCCACATCCTGCTGATTGGTCCATTTTACAGCGAGCCAATTGGTCTGTTTTACAGAGAGCTGATTGGTCCATTTTGACAGAGCACTGATTGGTGCATTTTCAAACCTCGAGCTAGACACAGAGTGCTGATTGGTGTATTTACAATCCCTTAGCCATAAAGATTCTCCAAGTCCCACTAGATTAGCTAGATACAGAGTGCCTATTGTTGCATCCACAAACCTTGAGCTAGACACAGGGTGCTGATTGATGTGTTTACAAACCTTAAGCTAGACACAGAGTGCTGGTTGGTGTATTTACAATCCCTTAGCTAGACATAAATATTCTTCAAGTCCCCACCAGATTAGCTAGATACAGAGTGCCCATTGGGCATCCACAAACCTTGAGCTAGACACAGGGTGCTGATTGGTGCATCCACAATCCCTTAGCTAGACATAATCCGTACTAGACTCAGGAGCCCAGCTAGCTTCAGCTAGTGGATCCCACGCAGGGGCCGCAGGTGGAGCTGCCCGCCAGTCCCGCGCAGTGCGCTGGCACTCCTCAGCCCTTGGGCGGTTGATGGGACCCGGCGCCGCGGAGCAGGGGGTGGTGCTCATCCTGGAAGCTGGGGCTGCTCAGGAGCCCTGGGGGATTGCGGGGGGCTCAGGCATGGCGGGCTGCAGGTTCCGAGCCCTGTCCTGAGGGGAGGCAGCTGAGGCCTGGCGAGAATTCCAGAGCAGCACTGGTGTGCTGGCACTGCTGGGGGCTCCTGCGTACCCTCCACAGCTGCTGGCCCGGGTGCTAAGCCCCTCAATGCCGTGGGCAGCGGCGCCCACCGGCCGCTCTGAGTTTTGGGCCGGCAAGCCCACGCCCACCCAGAACTCACGCAGCCCCGCAAGCGCCCGTGCAGCCTCGGTTCCCACACACATCTGTCCCTCCACACCTCCCCGCAGGCTGAGGGAGCCGACTCCATTCTCGGCCAGCCCATAGAGGGGCTCCCACAATGCAACGGTGGGCTGAAGGGCTCCTCAAGCGTGGCCAGAGTGGGTGCCCAGGCCCAGGAGGCGCCCAGAGCGAGCGAGGGCTGCGAGGGCTGCCAGCACACTGTCACCTCTCATAATGATATTAATTGCAACATCACAATAGCAAAAATGTACATAAAACAAAGGTTAAACTGTAAGACAATGGTTAAGGCATGGCACATCTATATTCTGAAATACTTGGCAGTAGTTATAAATTGTGAGTTAGATCTATATTACTAACATGGCTAGACTGTGCAAGGGAGTGAATAAAGCAAGTTGCTAAAGAATGCAGATAATACAGTTCCAGTTATGTTAAAACAGTCACATACACTAAAACTGTATGTATTTCTTACAGTTGCTCGTATTTATAAAAGCAAAGAAAAAGTTCAAGTAGAGAACTTTCATTGATATTTAATGTTTTAATTATCTATAAAGTGACAAATCATGTTTTACTGTTCTTATTCCTGGTCCTAATAAAATAATCCAGCTAAGTCCATGCAAATTTAAAACAACCTCTTATTCTGTTTCATTGAATGCTATGAAATAAGGATTTACCTTTACTTTGAGTTTTAAGAGAATTTAGTTTGGTTTTGTGGATATTTGCTGACTTTTCAGCTATTGAAATATTTTTAAATACAAATTCACAAATGAGTATTTGAAAAATTGGAGGCTTTCATTAAAATGTTCAGGTTAAATCCAGGTTATCCTGACATCTAATTTTATTTCAAGTCTTATTAATCAAATTTTTCTTTAAAATTTTTTGGTCAAAATTATTTAAGTGATTTTACTGATACTAGTACTTGTTTCCACTAAGCCTCCTCTTACCAGATTCCCCTTACCAGCTCCTTGAGGGCAGGCACATCAACTTGCTAAATCAATGCCAGTATAGCAGTCAACCTCCTTTTAGGCAAATGCTCTATAATTCAACACCTTTGACTTAGCAGCTTCTCTGAATTTTCATCATGCAGGATACACAGGTGCCCAGTGTGAGATCGACCTCAATGAATGCAATAGTAACCCCTGCCAGTCCAATGGGGAATGTGTGGAGCTGTCCTCAGAGAAACAATATGGACGCATCACTGGACTGCCTTCTTCTTTCAGCTACCATGAAGCCTCAGGTTATGTCTGTATCTGTCAGCCTGGATTCACAGGTGAGGCCAAGGAGATGGGATATGACTTGACTTTCTGGTATTTTATGGCAGACCATGGCTTTAACCAAATGGTGTATTAGCAGGAAGAGCTGTACTGTGTAAACTCTGCTGCTGTGGTGCAAAGGGTCCCCCTTGTGGGCATGAAAAGTATCTTGTTTCACATTTCAGAATTCCTCAAATCACGAGAGAAATATTAAAGAGGGATAAAGGAGGAATGAAAGGGATGACATTTTTATATGCTATACTGGGAACTGGAGTGCATCTCAAGTTCTTTACGTTACACACAGAAAATGTTGAAATTTTTATGCTATCAAATTTGATAATGATGTTAAATTTTATGTTATTCAAATTTGCTAGAAAAGTTATTGTACTTATATTTACACTGGGAAAAATGACCTAGTCTCAAGTAATCTTCCTCAACGATTCTGTAGCTAAAGTCATTCCACATATCAAATTTAAATTACTCTTTTTTTTTCACAACTTGCTTACCTAAAACCCAGAGGAAATTTGCATGTATGTTATCCAATGAACAGTTTTGTATTGTCTGCTTTCTGTTCTGAAAATTTTCAGAATTATTGAGGCATTCCCCAATTCATTAATGGCTAGCAATTTACCTACAATTGCATTGATATCACTGAGAAAACCAATTACAATCTAGATCTCTATCATATTTCTTTCTCAATAGATTAAGTGATGCCTCTGGAAAATATATCAGTTGTTGTTGAGGATTTCTGAGAAAAGTAAATGAGAAATAAGAAAAGAAGGGGGTGTCTATTTACACTTAGGATTCTCTTTCAATGTTTCAGTTTTGAAATTTAATGGTCTTTGATTTGTGGCAGTGTTTGCTGCAAGGTCGATAAAAAAAATGTTTATTTCCTTATTCACTGACCTTTCAAGGAGAACATACAGTAAAAAAATTCCCCAGGTGTCAATATCAGGAAAGTGGTATTTTCCCTGAACAACTTCTATCATGCATGCTTTCCACCCTAGTTTAAAAAATGCATCCAAATAAATCTTGATGTGACTCAACTGATTAAATGCATGAAATAAATCTTGTAATATATAATATTTCCCAATTATGTAAGCTGCTAGAAATAAATATGAGATCTGCAAACATACAGGTCTTTCTGAAATATATTTGTGTATTTACCTCACCTCTGGGGATATTTAAATTTCCTGTTTCTGTTTCTTACTATTGCCTCTTTTCAAAAATTTGTTTCTAAATTATTTGATTTTGGTCTAGTGTATGCATTTTCGTCAGCTACTTTATATTTTTCTTGGAATAAGGTGAAGGCATTATAAATTATTTTTTAAATATTGGTTTTAGGGTCATAAAGGGGTGATTCTGTGAAAGTCAAAGGACATTGCTAATATTACCTCATCAAATAAAAGGAAATGGGTGACCCCTTGAATCTGCAGATCTAAAAGGAGAGACAGTAGAATGTTCCAGAAAAGTGTTGGGCTTGATTTCTGAAGAGCTGCCAGGAATGACTATATGAGTTAAGATGTCCTGACTGCCCCAAATCTCTGTGGCTTAATGCAATGGTTTATGTTTTACTCATGTGAATTCCAAAACTGGGTTCCCATCATCAGTTGTCCTACAAATGGCAATTCAGGGTCACAGGCTCCTCTATGTTTTTCCCCCGCTTCAAAATGTTACTTCCAAATTTGCTGTGCTCTTATGAAGCAAGCTACTGGAGAAGGAAAGAAAATGGAGTGTGACACCTGCAGATTTTATGGGCCAACCACTACAAGTAATGAATATCTCTTTTACCCACATATTACTGGTCAAATGTAATCATGTAACTACATTTAATTGCAGAAAAGACGAGAAAATCTAGTCTTTCTGTGTACCTAAAATAAAGAGAAAATAAGTTTTGCAAACAGATAACCAATTTGACACAATAGCTAGAACTGGTACACTGGGGATACGAACCTAGATCTTCTGATTCTAAGTTTATCCTCCTGCCTACTATGTCACATATTTTTATGTCTACACGTTTTTCTATATTTTGTTTTTAAATAACTTTTTAAATGATAATAGTATATTTATGTGCAGTTTTAAGAAATACAGGGAGGCCCATGTATGCTTTACCTAATTTTCCCAATAGTACCATGTTGCAAAACTATAGTTCAGCTATCAGACTTGCATATTGACATTGACAAAGTCCACATCCAGAACAATTATCATCACAAGGATGCCACCTCTCTCCTTCCCTGCCTCCTCATCCCTTATCCCTGGCAAATACTAATCTGTTCTGCACTTGTATAATTTTGTCATTCCAAGAATGTTATATAAATGGAATCATGCAATATGTAAAGTTTTAGAATAAGAGTTTTTTTTTTTTTCCACTCAGCATCATTCTTTGGAGATTTATTGAGGTTGTGTGTATCAATAGTTTGTTCCTTTTCATTGCTAAGTAAAATTCGATGGTATGTATATATCAAAGATTTTTTAACCATTCAGCCATTGAAGGGCATCTAGATTGTTTCAGTTTTCGGCTATTAATTCATAACAGCCGCTGAATAAAGCTGCTAGAAACATTGTTGTACAGGCTTTTGTGTGAATATAAATATTCACTTCTCTAAGGTAAATGCCCAGGAGTAAAATTGCTGGTTCCTATGATAGTTTCAGGTTTAGTTTTCTAAGAAACTGTCAAACTGTTTTCCAGTGTGTCTGTACCATTTTGCATTCCCACCAGCAATGTACGAGTGATCCAATTTCTTTGCATTCTCACCAGCATTTAATGTTATCACTGTTTTTTTTAATAGTCATGTTGATAGGTATGCAGTGATATATCACTGTGGTTTTAATTTGCATTTACCTAATGCCTAGTGATGTTGAACATCTTATATGTGCTTGTTTGACATCTGTTTGTCTTTTGCAGGAAAATGTCACCCCATGTTTTTTGCCTATTTCCTAGTTGAGTTGTTTTTATTTTTTTAACTGTTGAGTAATTTTCCACATACAGACCCTGGGCGTTTTTTGTGAGGTTATACCTAAGTATTTCATTTTCTTTTGAGGGATAGTAAATAGTATTCTGTTTTTAATTCAGTTTCTACATATTCATTATTAGTGTTGGGAAAGGCAGTATTGTGCATGTGGCCTTTGAAACCCCTACTCAGCCACATAAGAATGGGCCTTGGGCCTAGAACACTTCCTTCCCAAGAGATAAAGCGTCCTCGCAGACCATGCTGGAGTTATCACCTTGTGTGGGAATATCTTTCCCTGTTTCAGACTCAATATGTACTCCCTCGTTCTGCTTAAACATATGTATCATATGGCACCTAGCCAGCCCCACTGCTGTAACTTTCTTCTGCGGGGAGGGCAAAAGGTTCTTCTGCTGCAGCATGAAATGGTTGCATGCTGCCAACTGCCCCGCATCTGCTGAAAGGAGGCCCTGCTGTTTATGGGGACTGCTTATGGGGTCACCACATAGCTGACCTTGCTCTGTCTCTTCTCTATGTGAGTAAAGCATTGTTCCATCTAGTACTTGACTGTGTTGTGTTTTCCTTGGTAACTCCAATACTAAAATGCAGTGGCCAAACGTGTCCAGACTTTTACTCCTGGTAATAAGCAACAGATGCCACTTGCCAAAGAGCTAGAACATAAAAATATGATTGTTTCTTGGTTGTTGATTGTGTATAGTGAGACTTTGTTTAACTCACCTATGAGATCTAGGAATTTTCTTTTTGTAGATTCCAGGGCATTGTCTGCATGGACAACTATGCCATCTGCAAAGAGGACTGGTGTTATTTCTTCCTTTACAATATACATGCTGTTTATTTTACTGTGTTGAGTACGAGTTGTGAGAGCAGACGTCTTGCTTCATTCACCATTTTAGAGGGAAAGCATTCAGTCTTTTACCATTAGCTATGAATTTTTATCGATGCTCTTTTTCAAGTTGAAGTAGTTCCTCTCTACTCCTAACTTGCTAAGAGTTTTTAATCATAAATGGGTATTGCATTTGGTCAGATGCATTTTCTGCAATTGATTTATCATGTAAGTTTCTTATTTAGCCTATTGATGTGGTAGATTGCTCTGGTTCATTTTCAAATATTGAACCAGACTTGCACATCTGAAATAAATCCCACTTGGTGTATTTTTTTTCAGTTTGCTAATATTTTATGACTTTTTTGCTTCTAAGTTCATGAAAGTTATTGGTCTATAGTTTTCTTTCTCTCTCTTTTTTTTTTTGTACTGTCTTTGTCTGGTTTTAAGATCAAGGTAGTATTGACCTCATAAAATAAGTTGGAAAATGTTTCTTAATTTTCTATTTTCTGGAAGAGAGTATGTAAAATTGATGTTAATTATTCTTTAAATATGTAGTAGACATATTCAGGGAAATCAGCTGATCCTGGAGATTCCATTTTCTGGATCTTTTGAATTGCAAATTTAATTTCAGTATTGTTATGAGACTATCAAGAATACTTATTTTCGGCAATTTGTGGATTTCAAGGGATTGGTCCTTTTTTTTTCTAAAAATTGTGTATTTTGCTGTCGTTGGATGGAGTATTTCTATATATGTCAATTAGATCATGTTGGATGATTGTAGTGATCGGATCTTCTATATTGCTGATTTTTCTGTTGAACTTCTGAGCATAATGTTGCTCATAATATTGCCTTATTACTCTTTTAATGGCTACAGAATCTGTAATGATTTCTCTGTTTTATTCCTAATTTTGACTATTTATATCTTTTCTCCCCTTTTATGTCCACCTTTTTACAGGTTTATCAATTTTACTGATTTTTTTTAAAAAAATAGCTTTTGGTTTCATTTATTTTCTCTGTTTTCCTATTTGCAATTTTATTGATTTCTGTTCTTTTTTATATCCTTATTTCTGTTTGCTTTGGGTTTATTTTCTGTTTTTTAAATTTATTTTTATTTTTCTAGCTTCTTGAGGTAGGAAGTTTTATTACTGATTTAAGACCTTTTCTTTTTTCTAATATATAAGCATTATAAATTTAACTCTCAATAGTGCTTCAGTAGCTGCATCCCACATATTTTGATATGCCATACTTCCATCTTAATACTGTTCTGTGTATTTTTAAAATTCCTTTTTGACATCCTTTTTGACCTATGGATGATTTAGAAATAAGAATTGAATTGTTTAATTTCTGTTTAGAAATTTTTCTCTTGTCTTTCTGTTATTGATTTTCAGTTTGATGCCATTATGATTAGAGAACACATTCTGTATAATTTCAAATAATTCAAATTATTTCAAATTTGTTGGGGTTTGTTTTTTGGCACAGGATACAATCTATCTTGGTAAATGTTCCATGGTTGCCTGAATAAAAATTAAAAAACAACATGTGTTCTGCTATTGTTTAGAGGCGATTTCTATATATGTCAATTAAATCCCATTGACTGATGGTGTTGTTCACATTTTGTATATCCTTACTGATACAGAATAGCACTGTCTAGCAGTCCATTACTTGTTTAGAGGAGAGGTGTTAAAGTCCCCACCTATAATTATGGATTTGTCTCTTTCTTCTTTCAGTTCTATCAATTTTTCTTCACGTATTTTGAGGCTCTGTTGTTTGATATATACACATTTAGGGTCATTATGTCTTCCTGGTGTGCTGATCCTTTTATCATTAGGCAATGATTTTTTTTCTCATATTCTTTTCTTGCTTTGAAATCTAGTTCATTTGATATTGTTATAGCCATTCCTGCCTTTAAAAAAATTATATTTACACAGCATATATTTTTCCACCCTTATATTTCCAACCCACTTATGTCATTAAATTTGAAATGATTTTCTTGTAAACAGTATATCAAACAGCAAATTGTTGGGTCATGCTTTTTTAATTCATCTTGCCAATTTCTGCCTTTTAATTGATGTATTTAGACCATTTATGTTTAAGTAATTATTAATATTGTAGGGCTTAGCTCTATGATTTTATTATGTGTTTTCTGTTTGATTCCTTTCTTTCTCTTTACTTCCTATGAATTAGTTGACTATTTTTGGGATTTCATCTTGATTTCTGTATAGTGTTTTTAAATATATTACTCTGTGTAATTTTCATAGTGATTGCTCTGGGTATGACTGATCACAGCCTATTGGTTTCAGTATTTTACCACTTCAAGTGAAGTATAGGAATTTCACTTCTATTTAGGTTTTTTTTTTTTGCCTTCTTCACTTTAAAATATCCTTGTTTTGAGGATCAGATGGTGTTATAATTTTTATTTTAATCATTACATATAATTTAGAAAACTCATGAAAAGAAGGATACTCCATTGTGTTTACTTATGTGTCTATTCTCCATTGTTTGTCCTCCCCACCTTAGGCCTCAAGAGTCTTTCTTTTTTTTTTTAAATCATTTTATTTAGGTTTACAGAGCTTTCTTTAGCCATTCTATGAGGGTAGGTATGCTAGTGACAATTTCTTTTGGTTTTCCTTTGAGAATGTGTTTATTGCACATTCATTCCTGATAAGTAGTTTTATTCAATGTGGAATTCATGGTTGACAGTTCTTTTCTCATGGAACTTGAAAAATTCTACACAACTTTTTTTTCTGCACCCCATGGTTTCAAATGAGAAATCTGCTATCATTGTAAAGTGGTGCTGGGTGCAGGGTTTGGGGGAAGGAAGGCCGGCTCGGCAGGAAGGCAGGTTTGCAGGCTTTTGCTCCCTTTTCCAAAGACCAACAAAGAGAACTTTCCCAACTCCCAACCCAAGCCCTTTTGGAACTGTGTGTGGTTGTTGGCATCCTGTGGTGCCTCCTTGCCATCCCTGCCCTTTCCATGCCTGGCAACGGGTCTTTGTGGCTCTGCAGAATGGAGATTTAAACCCAAGTTCATGGCAAAACATCTGAAGTTCATCACCAGGACTGTGATGGTATAGGAAGGGAACGTGGAAGGTGCATAGAGGACCCTAAACAGAATCCTCACTACGGATGGGCTCACTGAGGACATTAAGCTTCGGCGGTATTATGAGAAGCCATGCGGCCGGCGACAGAGGGAAAGCTATGAAAAGTGCCGGCGGATCTACAGTATGGAAATGGCTCACAAGATCAACTTCTTGATGCGAAAGAATCAGGCAGATCCGTGGCGGGGCTGCTGAGGCGGGCAGATCCGTGGGTGGGCTGCTGAGGCTTGTGGATGGGACACCCAGTATGAAACCCTCATCCAGTTTTGTCTCCATCTCTTTTTTTTATACAATCCCATTTCCTATTACAGTTCTGCAATAAACTCAGTAAACTCAAAATAAACTCAATATGTTTGCAAAAAAGAAAAAGAAAAGTGGCGTTGCCCTATAGGTAATAGATTATTTCTATCTAACTGCTTTCAGTATTTTTTCTTTGTCTAATTTTCAGCAATTTATTTGTAATATGACTTGGTGTTAACTTATTTGGGTTTATCCTATTTGAGATAGTCTCACCTTTTAAAATCAGTAGATTTATGTCTTTTGGCAAATTTGGGGGCTTGTCAGCCAATTTTTCTTTGCATATTCTTTCAGATCCTTTTTTATTTTTCCCCACTTCTGGGACTCTAATCATACAAATATTGGGTCTTTTGCTATGCTTCCAGAGGTTTCTGAGGCTCTGTTTTTATTTTTGTTTCAGTCTATTTTCTGCCTTTTGCTCAGAATGAGCAAATTCTTTTGATCTGTACTCAAGTTCATTGATTCTGTTCTTTTTTGTCTCCCATCTAGTATTGAGCCCATTCAGGGAGTTACTTCATCTATTGTTTTTTACAAGTCTATAATTTCCATTTTGTTCTTTTAAGCAACATATGTTTTTGCTGATACTTCTGTTTTTTCTTCATCTCAGGAGAATTTGTAATTGCTTTTTAAATCATTTTTATGCTGGTTGTTTTAAAATTCTTGTTAGATAATTCCAATATCTGATTTATCTCTGGGTTGACATCATTTCATTTTATTTTCTCATTCAAGTTATGGTTTTACTGATCCTTGTGATGACATGATTTTGAATTGTATGCTGGACATTTTAGATATTAAGTTAGGAGACTCCATGTCTTCTTTGAATTTTTGAATTTAGCAGACAATCACCTTTTTAGGTTTTAAGAACAGGTCCTGGCCTACTTATGTGGACTGTGGGTCCAATGATCAGTTTATTTTCTGATTCTTTGCTGTGTTGTTTTGACCTCCTTGGCTTACCTTGTGCCATTGGGCCTCCCAGGATCTCTACTGATGATCCCTGAGTGGTCAGAAGGTGTTTCCTTAGGTGAGAATGTTCCATGTCCTTCTGAGAAATGGGAGTCTTTGATTTATGGAGATGAAGAGGCTCCTTTAGTGGGTGTTGTGGTGAGCTTCTCCCTGTCTCTGGGGGTAGAGAGCATTTCCTAGGCTGAATACCTGTTGTGGCATAATCCCCTTTACTGATCCCCCACTCACAGGGTATCTCTTGATGGAAGTGGGGAGTCTCACAACTGCTAAGGAAGGAAAACACTTCACATAACAGGCCATTGTGGTAGCATAATTCCTTTTGCCATGGCCCCCTTGCCTATGATGCCTCTGGGGAGGGGGGGAGAAGGGAGGCTCAGCAACAGAGGAGGTAAGCTCTTTCTCTGGCTGCTCTTTTTTCTTTTCTTTTCTTTTTTTCTCCTTCTCCTTCTCCTCCTTCTCCTTCTCCTTCTTCTTCTTCTTCTTTTTTTTTTTTTTTTATCAGTAGGGCTTTGTTTAATTCTCTTTGCCCATTCTTCCAGGCTCGCCTTGTGTTGTAGGTGGGACTCTCGTTCAATCTGGGGAAAGAAAGAGCCAACCTCGGCCACCTTCTCTTGTTTCTGTTGCTGACCGGGGATCAGCAAACACCAGGACGGAGGCACCTCCTTGTGTTATGCTGGAGGTTATAAAAAGCCCTGATGCTTTGCTGTTAGTCCTGGGGCGTCTAACCAGTTCACCTTCCTCTTCCACCTTTCAGAGTTCTGTTTGGTTGTTACATGTAGTTTTTAGTCATGCTTAGTGGGGAGAAACAGGGAGAGAGAAGTCTATGCTCTCTTGTCCAGTCTAAAAGTCCCTATGTAACATTTGTTAAAAACACTTGTGTTATAGTAGTATAAAGAAAAAAAATTTTTTTAATGGCTTCAGGTAGAAAAGCAAGTGTTAACTTTCTCTTTATCTTCCTGATAGTACCAAGAAGTTCAAAATATCATTTATTTTTATCAATGACTATATTTATAATTAATTATTAATAAATAACTTACTATTTCCCTTGCCTTTCTTCCATCCCGAATAGTTGGATATTCAACTTTATTTTTATTTGTTATACGTCCATTTTATATTCTGCAGATAGAAAACATACAGTTTACTTTTTTACATGCTATGTGTATTTATAGCTCTATTGGTTGTTAGATTAAAATAAAATTTCCATTATGTTGAAAAATGTATTTGTGCATAGTACATTTACTGACAGCTCCATTCAAAAGAACCTTTCCAAGTGTTAAATACAGGTATAAACTGTTCTTTTTTTGTATTATAATTAAGAATGTATTTATTACTCTTCACTACTTGTGTAATTACCTTCTATATTGAAAATATTTGCATATGTAACGTAATTTTTCTAACTTTTTATAATGTAAAAATGATATATACCAGAGTAGAAAATTAACTGACAGTCTCAGAATTATACTCAGGGAGTTAGAAATAGAGAGAGCATGAGACCATGGAAGATGACAAATGAAAACAGGAACTCAAGGAGGCAGAGAATCCTAGTGAGAGGAATCAAGACCCCCTGAAGGAGGATTAACTTTTATTCAAGGTTTCTTCTAGAATTTCCAGCCGGTAAAGCAAGTTACCATGGCCCAGAGAAACCAAAAGTCTCATTTGGTAAGGTAATTGAGAAAAATCTAAAGATCCATTTAGATATTTTAATGACTAGAATTGAACCATGCCTCTAGAGGCAGTAGTGGTTACTATTCTCTAATTCTCCAAAATCATTTCAAAAAAAAATTTGGCAAAATATGCTCATATCTTGTCATAACTATTTGTGACCATAGTTGCAACACTCAAATTAAAATGAGAATGGGACATTGCCACTTGATTTAAATGTCTGTGCATTTACTTAAACCTGCACATCCACATAATTTTAATGGTAAGCAAAATAAATTTATAATTGGAGAAGGCCTGTAGTTGAATAATACTATTCAGTCCATTCCAAAGTCAGTAAATTATCTTTATTTTGTATGACCACCCTTGACCACTACTAGAAGGAATGTTGGCTGCTTCTTTGTATTCTGTTTGAGCTTTCCAGTCCGGGGCACTGGGCTCAGTTCTGGGGATAAAATGATGAGAGTACATGGTCTCTTCCCAAGGGAAAATGAAAGAACAAGAGGAAAATGATGCGCAAAGTGTAAGACAATATGATAACTGTCACAGTGGAGCCATAAAAAGGCACCATTAGATAAATCAATAAAGAGGAACTTTTGTGCTGTTTATGCCAGATAGAAGTTAGTGGAAATTATAAGAACCCAAACAGCTTGATAAATTCACATTTTGAAGTACAAATCAACGTTACTACTGAAACTTTTACAAGGATCTCATGACCTGTGTGCTTACCCTTGAACCATCCTGTTCTAACCAGCCAAGTGAAATTGGAAACAATTGATATGTCTTTCACGTGAACATTTCATTTCTATTTATCAAACTATACTCATGATAATACCCTTAACAAGTTTCCAAACCATCTCATCCAAGTCCAATTTTCATTTCTAACTTTCCCTCACCAACTCCAATTAGCATGTACTCCAACTCAGAGGAACACCCTCCCTGGTCTCTGGAACGCTACATTGTTGCCTCTGAGGCTGGGATTTTATTCTACTTCACCCATCTGCTCTCTGTATGGAAAGAACTGAGTGCAGCAGGGGATCCTATGAAGTCCTGGCTTCAAACCTCGGGCAAAAATATCGGGTTTCTTAACAATAAACACCCCGATGAGAGCCACCTGGCAAAGTGACTGCACACAGGGCTTTCGTTCTCAAGTTCATCCGCTTCAAGCACAATGTTGCTAAAAATGAAGCGTTCACTTTTCCTTAAAAGTCAAATCCTGTCACTTTACCTAAATCCAACTAAAATAGCCATAGAGGGCCAAGCATATATCATTCAAAGCTTCATATAGTCATGAAGGAATTAGGCAATGGTACAGTCAATATCTCCTGCTGGAAGAGAAATTTTCAATAGAATTTTTTCATTTGCTGACTTCACATTTCAGGAGCATTGTTCCTAGAAATGCACTTTTTTTTCTTACTTACAATTTCAAATTTGAGAATATAAATCCTAGGACTCTCAAACAGATATTTGATATGCATAAATAACTGTAACTCTAAAAGATGAAACTTTGCTTCTATCCTCGTTTACTTCATAAAACATCTTTTCAAGATTCATCTGATTCATTTACCTTTGCCTTTACCATGCATGTTAATTTCTATGAACAAAACTATTCATAGTGTGTATAACTATTTACGCTTGTACTCCTTTTGATTTTACTATGTTAGCTGCAATAACTAGGACAGGTATACCACGTTATACATACATTAATTTAAAAAATGATTTTTGTTGATTGCTTACTGCCTATTATTTAGAAAGATATTATAGCAAGGAGGAAAATTTAAAGGCTAATATTTGGAAGACCACATACAGACCAAAACAGAGGCAGATATGTTTGTAGACCCTATGACAGAGATAGATAACTATGGCATCAAGGGCCTTGGCTGCTGTCTCAGGTTGGCATTCCTCTGTTGACTTGTAATCACACAAGTAAGGGAAAAGCTCTCAAATGAATAATCAGCAGACAGGTGCCAACTCTTCAACTTAAGTATGCTGACCAATACGTATTAGAAAAAATTTCTGAAACTAAAGAACAAAGCCAGGAAATCCATCATTAAAGTCTTGAGGTGCTGTCCTGGCAACTTAGAAGACCTGAAAGGTAGATTTTCATACCAGAGTTCTATTTTGATGAGAGAGATGTGGGCCTCACCCATTTAAAAGAGCTTTCAGGAGAGTAATGTTTCCTGAGAATAGCCAAACGTTTGTTAGAGTAAGAAGCTGATGAAAATGTTCATTGGGGAGGTTGAGGATATTGGGAGTTGTCCTCACAGTAGACCATCCTGCGAGCTCTCATATGACGTGGTCTAGTGTGTGTTTACTACTCATGAGGATGCCCATCTTGACATCCCATGCTTTTTTTCTAACTACCCAAGATCCCAAAATGTTTTTTATTAAGCATGTTAATCATTAAGTACAATATTATTGACCTACACCTGACCTAATAAATGATTAATTATAGCTCTTTTCCCAATGTCTACTACTTAGTTTGTTGAGAGAGTCTGTCTTCTGATATTAACACAGAAGACCCTCAGAAACACCCCTCTCCTCCTGCATCCCCTCCCCAACCACCATGACACGCACATTCACCTAGAGCTTCACTTCAGTCCCAAGCAACCCAGTTGCGAGGGCAAGAAAAAGTATCCAAAACCTCTTCCTGAGACCAACCAATCCTCTTCCTGAAGAATTACATATCCCTTTCTCAAAAGAGGTTTTATTATACCTGCCATTGGCAAAAAAAACTACCCCCTTAGTCATTACTTAGGAAACAATTAATTTCTGAAGAAGCTATAATCAGCATTGATTACAACTTTCCCTAAAGTACATCAGGAACAATACCACTATGACTTATAAGTCTGCTTACTTCAGTCACCCACTGAAGTCCCAGCGTCCCAGTTCATCATTTCTGGTCTTTATCCCAGAATGCTCTCTACATACCCTAATTTCATGCAATTTTCTACCCCATTCTGAACTTCTCTCTGTATGCTGAAGATTTAATAAGCCCAATTACCAATATCCTCAACTTTTTTTCTAAATGTTTCCTTCACCTGCTTGCTTAAGCTCAAATCATGCTATATTCTCAGGGTACCATTTCTTCTGCAATCTTCTTGAATGGTGGTTGTCTTTTATTCTTCTTCCAAATCTCATGTTTGACTAGTCCCAAAGGTAAGCTAAATGTCCTCATGTCATTGCTTCATCTAGGAAATTAGTCTTCCATCCTCATTCAGAATTTTGTATCCAGCGAAACTGAGCCTCATAAATGAAGGAAAGACACAATCTTTTTCAGACAAACAAACGCTGAGAGATTTCTCCACTTCCAAGCCAGGACTACAAGAACTGCTAAAAAGCAGCTCTAAATCTTGAAACAGAACTTCAAAATACACCAAAATAGAGCATTCTTAAAGCATAAATCTCACAGGACCCATAAAACAATAACACAATGAAAAAAAACCGCAAGGTATTTATACTTTTGTTGACAGAAAATCAACAAAGAAACAATGGACTTAAACTATACTCTAAAACAAATGGACTTAGCAGATATTTACAGAACGTTCTACCCAACAACTGCAGAATATACATTCTACTCATCAGCACATGGAACATTCTCCAAGATAGACCATATGATAGGCCACAAAACAAGTCTCGAGAAATTTTAAAAAGTAGAAATTGTATCAAGTACACTCTCAGACCACAGTGGAATAAAACAAAATCAACTCCAAAAGGAACTCTCAAAACCATGGAAATTAAATAACCTGCTCCTGAATGATCATTGGATCAACAATGAAATCAAGAAGGAAATTTAAAAATTCCTTGAACTGAATGATAATGGTGACATAACCTATCAAAACCTCTGGGATACAGCAAAAGCAATGTTAAGAGGAAAGTTTATAGCATTAAATGCCTACATCAAAAACCCACCTCATGTTGAAGTACATGTCTTTGAACTGCACTGCTCACTACCTCTTTTGGTTGCAACATTCTTCCTACCTCACGGTACCTTCTCCTCAGTCACTGATTACCTTAATATCTTACTCCTGTCATCATTTTGAGGATTTCAGCATCCGTGTAGACAACCGATACAAACCATTATCTCTGTTATTTGAAATCCTTATTTCCAATGACTGTGACTGCCATGCCACACACACTTCTGCCCACTTCTTTGGTCATAACTTAGGCCTTATTATCGCTGATAACCTTCCTAAAAACATCACTTTAAATCATTCTGTTTTATGACCAGAACCTCCAATTATTCCAGTTCATATACTTTAGAACTTTTTCCGTTGAGCCTAGTCTGTTGTCTTAACCACTTTTTTTCCAGTCATTGCCTCACTTACCTTCTGTCTCAGCTAAGGTTTCAAGGTCCAGCACTATAATTATTCCCTTGCATATACCTTCGGCTCACCTGATTCTTTCTCTCTTCATTGTACTTGCCTGACAAAGGTACAATTATGGTTAAATCAATCCTCTACCTTCTCCACACTTACAACCAATTTGAATGTGGTTGGAGAAAAACTCACAAGCCACACACTGAACTGTTGAGTGTCACTTTAAATTTATGGTGCCAAATCTCATGGGGCCTTTAGCACTAGATAAAAATCCTTCTAGAGCTCTACTTCCCAAGATGAGCCTTTTTAAATCTTCTATTTCTTCAAACTTCCAATACCTCCTCCCTCATTGTTACCCTAAGTTGATCATCAAGTCTAATTTCATCAGGAAAATAGTATCTTCCTGCCACCAAAAGTGTTGTCAGTTCTGAGGTTTGATTTTTATCCTTTTTACAAGCTCATACGTTATCCTGTTCCTGTTTTGTGAATGCTGGCAAAAGACATAAAACTTTGTGTCAGGAAAAAATGCACAACCAGCAGCATGAGCCTCAGGTTTACATGAATTACCCTTGCACCCAACTCCCACAGGGTTGGTACTACATGGGCCCAGATGAGTACTGCACAGACAGATTTTTGTCGCAACTGATGAACATCAAGTTGGGGAATTCATCGCTTTTACGGTAAGCAGTAAGAAGCCTGCTCCTTGTCCCAGAGGGAGACATTACTTCATTCTTCAGAGATGCTTGCTGCAAAACCAACCCCAAGAAATGGGCAGGTAAAGATCAGTCAGGGCCTTGCATTCTTAGGATTCCCAGTAAGAAACTGCCAGGACACACAGGGCCCATGATGAGTTGCTTCTTCCAGCAATCCATCCCATGACCCCACTTGTTCTTGGCTGAACTCGAATTTTCATATGAATATGCCACTCCATGAGCCACCCTGCTTAATGTGACTGACAGAGACTGGGATTAAATCTGTTCAATTTGCCTCATGCAGCATTTAATTAAGGAGACTATCAAGAGGACTCTAAGCAATAAGATGAAGTCAACCTGTAGTATACATTTCAACTCTACTCCCCAGGGCCCTGGACTCAGCCAATTGTACATAAGTCCCAGGGGCACCAATCATCATCTTAACTTTAGATAGCCAGAAAGTAGTCTAAAGCCAGTCAGTTATCCATTGTGACCCACGTAAGGGAGCTTAGATTGACATACTGATCTTTGATGTCATTACCAATAATGACAGGGGCAATAAACGAGCAACACTAACCCCCAAAGGAGAGACATTCCCCCACATACAAACATATAACACAAAGGGACAGACTCTAGTTCAGAATTTCTGGTTAAAATTGATTTATACCTTTGTTACATTGGTTTGGTTAATTCAGTACAACAGAAGCATCGCTTGCAGCTCCCATTGCCATTTATGGCAACACTTAAGCTGCCTGAGTATTAGGAAAAGCGTATGAATATATGTTATTAAGATTGAGGTTGGGCACAGTGGTTCACACCTGAAATCTCAGTGCTTTGGGAGGCCAAGGCAGGAGGTTTGAGACCAGGTTAGGCAATATAATGAGACTCTGTCTCTTTAAAAAAAAAAAACAAATAAAAAAACTGAAACAAAGTTGTGGGACCTATCTCTTTGTACGCATACAAGGCTGAGGAGGAGGCAGTTCAGGAGCTTCCATTAGTGGTGTCAGCTATGGTGAAGTAGTTTAGGACCAGCCAAGTTTGCAAGACTTTTGGTGTTTTTATAACACCTGGACAGGGATGACAAATCCTGTAGTGAGTTTAGATTGTCAACTGCAGCTGCTCCTAGATTCAGCTAGACCATACAATTGTTTTGCCAGCCTGCATTGCTGAATCTAAGGAATAAGAAGCCTAAGTGCCTCTCTCCCCTGAACTGCCTGGGGTTTAAAGTGATCTGTGCTCGGGTGCTAGAATTGTTATTCTCCCTCCATGGCCATGAAACTAGGGTGTCCCAACCCAGTAGCTATAACTTTACCTCTTCTCCAATCATCTGCTCATACCAATACCTTTTGTCCAGAGAGGTCAGACATGAATAGGAATAGGTCACTTTAAAAAATATTTACTGAGATTCATTCATTATATTTCCCACTTAGTCCAGTTAGGTTACTATAAGTAATTATACTAGTTGGTGAATAGTATATTCAACCAGTGTTCATTGTCTTTATGATCTAAGACCATGTTAATTCAATAAAAGAATCCAGGTAGCTACATCAAGTTAAGTTTGAATCTCTTAGTCTCCCCTTTAGATGTGGCTGCCCTTCAAAGTGTGTACAAATCAGGCTGACATGAGGTTGTCACTAGGGGAAGAAAATACACTTCAGGTTCATAAATGGTCAAGGCATAATCATGAATTTTCAAAATAAGTTTACATAATTTTTCTACCCATCCATCTTGATCATTACCTAGGAGTTGGCCAACAGGAGACAAATCTTTCCTGCCCATGGCCATATTTAATGCTCAAACAGCCTTAATAAACTGTTTTAATAAAATCTGTGGGCCAGAAAGAGGCAAAGAAGGTAGATACAGAAAGGAGGGAGAGTCAGAAATCTTCAGGATTGGTTTCCAAAAAGTCTATTCCATATCTCAATGATGCCAGCAGCCTTATCAGAGAATGATAAGAGTGTGGAATGTCCATTGAATATGTTTACTACTGGCCCATTGCTAGGTGGCCTTTATGACAAAAATACACCATTGTCAGATTGTAGATGGTCTTGAAAACTGAAAATAAGAATCAGATTATCAAACTGAAATAGCAGCAAAATAATCTAAAAATATGTCAATATTAGCAAGGCACCAATGGTAGTCCCAAGAGAGGGTCAGAGATCTGACACAGCCAATTTTCTAGAAGTGAGCAGGGAAAATGCTCCTTGTAATGTGGCCTCCTTTACTGCAAAACAATCAGGCCAATTTTTGGCAGGAGTCTCCTTTGGTATGCAGTTTCTAGATTAGAAACATATAGTCCTTTGCTGTAGTTCGTGGTAGTGGATATGTTTTCTGGTAAGAGGATGGATCCAGATAATGATGGAAGCCATCTAGATAGATGCTGGGTAATCCATTTGATTCTAGTTGTTCTCATTAGGGGTTATAGCAACAGCCACCAGAAAACCATACTATCCCCCAGTTGGGAGTGCAAGGAATGGAGGATGATGGGGAGATTAGCCTATGGGAGTGGACGTGGGAAAAGGCTTGGTCCTTTCTAAGGGGCTGGTGACCAAGTGCCAGAGCTGCTTCCTATCCATGTATATCCTGATATCTGATGAGTGTCAGGGCCCAGAGGACCCCTTTTTTCTTGCCCCCCCTGCATGCCATTGTGCTCTGCCCTGTCAAAGGGTAGTCACCAAGCAAGAACAGTGCCACACCTGAGTAAGCTAGTAACTTGAGATCTCATATAACAATGTTATTTCTTCTTAAAGAAGTTGATGTTGTGGAATAGGGAGGGGGAGGAATCAGGGGTCATAGAGGGAGAGAGCAGCTCGACACTAGTAAACAAGGTTTTACATTCAATTTCACTTTCAATTCAATTTCTCTTGCTTGTGGCTCAATCAAATAAACTCATCATCATCAAATAAAATCATCATTTTTTTTTCTAACTAAAGTTCTATATTGAATTGAAATGATGTCATTGTTGACTCCATTTATTTCATCTTTCAGTACTCCTTGACTCAGCTGTCACAGATACGTTGCCTTCTGGCTGGAGCCACAGGGCTTGCTGCCCTATTGTCATAATAATGTTTTTTCCTCCTCCCACCTAGAGGAGAGCTAGAAACAACCAAGGCACCATATAAGGCTGTTTGTTTTAATCCCAATCTGATTGATGGGCAGGACCTTGGGGGTCTTTTGCTTCCCTCTTTCACCTACCATTTCAGTGGGAGTCCAGGGAACTCATCTTCTACATCTGAACCCATCCCAAAGGCTCTTAACATTTTTCTTCCAGAAAGACATGTCTCTTTCAGGATCTCATCTTTGTTGCCATAACTGTTGGGTCTGAGATTTAATTTTACCCTGTTTATAAAGGAATGAGTTAGCCTGTTACTGTTTCATGGATGCTGGCAGAAGACACTAAACTCTTGGGTCAAAGACAAATGACTATATTACTCACAGCACAGCAGACTGCATGAGTATCATGTTTATGTAGGTTTCTTTTGCATTCAAGTCTTACAGGGGTGATTTGCTAGATGGATGGTGTACCTGCAGTGGATTTGCATCACAGCTGAGGAACAATAGCTTGATAAATTATCTGTTTTCATAGCAGGCAGTAAGCCAATCTGTTTTTTGTCCCAACTTTGAACCTCATGTTTCAAAGTTGCTTGCTGCAAAAACCAATCCTGAGAGATGGCCTGGGTAGAATGGTAAGGATCTTGCATTCTTGGTACAACCAACAAGAATTGCAGTGATCCTCAGTGCCCATGGTATATGGACTCTCCCAACACCTACCTATCTATCTGTCACTCATTTACTTGCCGCCTCCCAATTCCTGCCTATGTTTGGACTACTTTTCCATTACAACATTCCCACCTGAAGTTTACTTATGCATGGCACCCTGTTCATTCTCTATGATTCAGGATCTTTAGCAATTATTCTTTATACATCTTGCATCATTGATTTTCCACTCTATTCTAAATCATTCTAATTGGCTTGCCTATCTATCCTCTGGAAAAAAAATGCTCCTTAGAATGCATACACCTCCTCAGATATCCTCTTCTGTATTCCACCCTCCTCTAAAGAGATGTGTATACTTACTCTCTACTTTTTCACTTCCCGGTAACCTCCCCATTAAGGCAGTTTTTGTTACTTCGGTGAAAACTTCCCTGTCAACAATTTCCATTTGCTAATCTAAAACTTAATTTTAAGTCCTTATCTTAACTGGCCTCTAGTTTACAGTTGTTCTCTCTGACCTGCTGGATATAATTTCTTTATTTAACATCTGCCCCCTTTTCTTCTTGTTCACTATCATTCTATTGCTAGCATATCCTCTATTTTCTAGACTCTAAATGCTGGAGTCCCCTAGGATTCAATCCTTAAACATATTTTTTCACCCCTTGGAAAATCTCATGTAATCTCTTGACTTTAAATTTTAGATAGATGTTTACAACATCTAAATTTTTGTCTCCAGCCCTAGCTCCTCTCTTGAACTTCCCTTAACTTTTGTATTTAGATAGCTAAAATGATTTTCAAACATAACATAACCCAGGCAAAACTTTTTATTTTTTTATCTTCATGAAACCCAAAAGAAAAAAATTAAGCTAAAGCAAACAAACAAAATAATCACAAAACAAAACAAAAATTCACAAAACGACAAAAACACTTCTTCCCCATCTCAGTAAGTGGTAACAGCATATTCACCCAGTTGGTCAGGCCATAAATTCAAAGCCGTATTTGGTTTCTCTCTTTCTTTAATATCCCACATCTGATTCCTCCACACAGTTTGTTGGCTTCTCCTTTAAGCTGTGTTTCAAGCACGATCATACTTCCCACCTCTACCATTTCTACTCTAGACCAAGCCACTGTCATGTCTCACCTCAACTACTTCAATAGCCTAATGTTTTGGTGTTCTTCCATTCTTGACTTTCTAAATCAGTTCTCCACACAGCTTTGGTAGTAACATAATATGCATCAGATCATGTGAGTCTTCCATTCAAACAGTCCAGTGGCTCACATGTTCTCAATAAAACTTGTACTCCTTAACATATTCTTGGAAGCCCTTGTGTGATCTGTCCTTGGTTATCCTCTCCAAAATCACCTCCTGAGTCCTCACTCTCTTCACTGTAGCTAGGCTGGGGGTCTTAAAGTTACTTGGTTAGGCCAAACTCATTTCTGCCTTAGGGGTTTTACATTTATTTTTCCCTTTACCTAAAAGACTACAGATTTTTGCATGGTGATTCCCTCTTTTAAATCTTTATTCAAAGACCACTTTTCCAGAGAGGTCTATCTAAACCTCCCACAAAAATGCCACCTCTCTCTGCACCCCAACACATACAAACACATGCTCTATTTCCTTACCCTTATTAATTTCTTCATATTACTTATCACTGTGTGATCTTACGCACACACACAGACACACACACTTCCATTAATTTTTAATCTCCCCTCTCTCAGTCCTTACTAGAATTGTCCACCATGAAATAGACTTTGAACATCTTGACTACTATAGCTCCAGGACCTAGCACAGTGCCTAGCCCATAACAGGAGGCCCAACCAATATTTCATGAATATCAAAATGCTGAAATCAATCAGTTGAAGCTTGAGAGAAATCTCAGGACTCTCAGTTGTAAGCATTGATCATCAACCCACATGTCAGGTAAAGTTTTGCCCTTAGCAGCTAAAAACTTTAATAAACCTTTTGAAGATTCTTTCATTCTCCTAATCCGGAAGTAACTAGATGAGCCTCAGAATTCTTGCTCTAATTATAGTGTATGCCATATTTTGATAAATTAAGTTTTCCATGCCACTTGACATATCATAATTTGAAAAATGTGTTCTCCTTATTTCAGATTGATCTTCCATTTTCAAGAGTATCTAACACCTTATCTTTAAGTTTCTCAGTTCCATTTTCTTCCTATCAAGAATCTAAGGATTTATTTATTCAAAAATTCAAAGATATTATATGAGCTTACATTTTTATGAGAAAGGCTTTTGTTAAAAATGAAACCTTTTTTTATGAACTCTTTTTTTAATGGATCATGACAAACCTATAGGGGTCATTACTGGAAATGTGATTAGGATCATTTGTGCAATGAAGCACTTCCTAGCTTAAGGCAAATTTGGCCTAGCTCTAGCCTGCTGTATCCTCCCGGCACTATCTTTGAGTCAAGCGTATGTTCTTAGTTAATTGGCTTATGGCAAAAGTAATTTTGTCAGTTAGATGTTTCCGTAGAGCTGCCCTTGCTGAGTTAGTGTCTTAAGACAGAGCCACAAGGTTTTGTTGACATGTAAGTTTTCTGGTTGTTTTTTCCATTTTTACTTCCTGACATCTCCCATAGTGTTTTAAAAAAGAGGAATGGTGGCTAGAATAAAGTTATGTATGGGCAAGCCATTTTTGGCACATGCGAAACCATCAATTCTTCAAGTATCAAACAATGATATAGATGTCAGCCAATAGCGTAAGATTTTTCAAATTCGATCAAACAAAATGTCCTGCTCTCCACAATCTAATATTTCTTCAGATTGAATTTAGAGTTTAGATCAAGATGGGATTACTATTACATTTTCCCAGGTGGCTATATTGATATCTTACAGCTACAGATTAATCTTTCTCCATTTTTTCCTCTCTTTTCTCTTCCTTGTTTGCTCTTACCTCCTCTTTCTCTCAATTATAATGGTTCTTAATGAATTCATTATGTAAAGGATTCTCATATCCAAAACTCTATGAACCCTTTCCAACAAAAGGGAACTAGACCTACTTTTGATGCCTCTAAGATGCAGCTATATAAATTTCAGACCTGTTTTTCACTCCTCTCATGGTAGTCTGACCCCAATAAGGAAGAGGGTCTGAATGAAACATTTCATAAGTGTCACAGATAATCTACTGCTGAAGCTGTATATGTTTATTGCTTTTTTCAAAGAGTTTCTTCAGAATTACCCCTTTCAAAATAACAGTTTACTCTCTACTGATAAAACTGTAATCAAGATCTGGTTATCATCTTTTGTTAACATTTTATTGAAGTATCACACACAGATAAAAGTGTACACATAATATATTTATAGCTCAATACATGTGTTATAAAGAGAACATGCTCATGTATCTAGTACCCAGAGCAAGAGCATGGTTAAATGGATGCTACTTTCTTTTGAAGGAGATGACTAGTGCCAGTGTAGTTAGTGACAGAGGCAAAATTCAGTTCAATCATCAAAACATTTTCAGATAATTAAAACTGTCTACAAATGAGACAGGCATCCTTGCAAAGAAAAAAGATTCTATGTGATTAGAGTTGTTTGTGGATAGGAAAGATGGAATTCTTGAGTGGTTGGTTGGACTGGATGACTTCCTTGGGTCTTTCCAACCAAAGATGTACGTAAAATCAAACTCTGAAGATCAATGTTCTAATGGTAACATCAAGGCAATTATAAATGTACATAATAAAATAGTATTTTCTAAAGATCAGTGAAAATGATTCTTAGGAGATATTTAAAAATCATTTTTCTTTTCTTTTCTTTCCTTTTTTTTTGAGATGGAGTCTCGCTTTGTCGCCCAGGCTGGAATATAGTGCCACGATCTCAGCTCACTGCAAGCTTTGCCTCCTGAGTTCACGCCATTCTCCTGTCTCAGCCTCCCGAGTAGCTGGGACTACAGGCTCCCGCCACCACGCCTGGCAAATTTTTTTGTATTTTTAGTGGAGACAGGGTTTCACCGTGTTAGCCAGGATGGTCTCAATCTCCTGACCTCGTGATCCGCCCACCTCAGCCTCCCAAAGTGCTGGGATTACAGGCGTGAGCCACCAAGCCCGGCCCCGGCCAAAAAAAAAAAAAAAAAAAAAAAACCATTTTTCTAGCTCATTCAGGAAGTAAATTAAAAGAATGGTGGAATGGGCTTTTTGCTTTCCATATCATAGACTATTTTAAGTTAAGGATACTATCAGTGAAGTCTGGATGAAAGGATATAATAAGTTTCATAAGATGGAAGATTTATATCTAAGCTTGTTCCTTGCACTGGGTAAGCTTTGGCAAACAGTGAAATTGTTACATCTCTTCCTGCTAATGATAACATAATTTTATTTCAGCACAAAGGAGTTACCTAGATAATTAGTATAACAAAATTTTTATAACTGTTGCCCTCAAATTCAACAACTGAATTAAGGATTCATCTTTGTGCACTTTTTCATGAGAAAGTTTGTTTCTTTCATATTCTTTAATACATGACCATCTCACTTTGTGATTTAAATGTTTTAATTACTGCAGTGATTTAATACGTCGAAAAAGAGGCAGATAAAGAAAAAAATGATCGAGATTTTCTACTTAACACCTCGGTTCTGCAGAGCCCAAGGTGATTAAATTGAAGGCAGCATTCCTTTAGAGTCACCTATGAGACAATAGTCTGGAATATTATCAAAAGTTTTGGCAAAGAAAATCATTTTTGGGGTGGGAGGTTAAACAGAGGATAGGGCTTCAAAATTTATCTATTTATTTGAGTGAGTTTTAGCATCATTGACCTGGCCAAACTCCAACACAATTCATTATATTTTGCCTGTCTCAAATGCCCTTGAAATTCTAATGAGGCCCTATATTTCTCATCTTAACCTACTTTCATAATATTGCTTGAAGCGGCCATCCAGCTGTGGTCATTCACTTAAGAAGAATCTAGATTTATCTAGCAGCTAAGGGTATCCAGTATCTCTGATTTCCCCACAGAAGCAGGAAGGTCAGTGAATTCGTTCCAGTGAAAAGATTTGAACAGCTTACACAAATAGGTAAGAACATCCAAATAAGATAATCCAATTTCTCAAGCATTTCTCATAGTGCTCTTAGTAGGAAAAATGAGAGACACAAGCACCAAGCTGGGCACTTAACTTCAATCATAGTTAAATTTTGTAAAGCCCCCAAAAGGTAAAATGCTACAAGAAATTAAAACACCAGGAAGCTCTACACCAAGATGCTTTCCTGATCATCTGAAGCCTTTTTTGCCTTTGAATTCTCATAGTTGGCTCTTGTGTGCTTTGATCCATCCTGTCTGAGTGCATCTCCATGCCAAATTACACAAAGCAGCCCTGCAGGACTGACAAGGCCCAGGAGCCAGCGCAAGTGTGTCTGGCGCATCTCTCGTTGTTGAACTGTCCTTGTTGGTGAGGATTTTTTAGCATGCAAAGTGTGTCCTTAGAAGCAGTAGGAAAAGGGAAGAGATTCCTCAGCTCTTCATATGTTTTCTTTCATGACCCCAATATCGTATCTGACAACCATTCCCATTTGAATTATTACTCTTAGATCCTGAACAATCATTAATTAATACCATCTTTGTGAGCGTTCATTTAAGCAATACCACTCTAGGGCCTTCAATACCACTCTAGGGCCTTCAGCCAGCTTCTATTAAATGGGTTCCTCATTCTGGTTTACTCTCATTCTCCTCCTTTTAATATTTTAGCCTGTTCAGGCATTATGCATTGGGAGAATAAGAGAATTTTTCAGTGATTTAAAGGAATATATATAATAGAAAAATAAAAGGAGACTAGATTATTACTATACTTGAATCATTCAAATTGGCATAATCCTCACTTACTTCGTATCTCATAGGTAAATTCAAATTATAATAAACATGCAGACATAATCATCAAACATAGAATTCTCCTTTCAGTGGCACAGAATTGGTAATTATTTTCTTTAAGTCCTTACAGTGATATCTTACAAAGATTTCCTCCGTGAAGCATTCAGGCATCAATTTAATCTGCATATGTGTAACTAAACGTGTTTCCTCAATGAACACAATTACTTTTGTTCTTTGTAGTAAATTCTCTCACTATAATACACATAGTTTGGTCAAATTAAGAACCTATAGAAAATGATTAAAGACACAAGAGGTTACACATGCAGCCTTCAATTTGACAGATGACAGCATAACTCATTGCAATAGTAATAATGAGTATTGTTCCTATCTTAATTTAATATGAAAACTTTCCACATCCACTTAACTAACATGAAAAATTTTAGAAATTTACACACTGATTGGTGAAGTCAACTACATACCAACCATTAAGATAATTGACTTCCTTAAAAATGTAAGTTCTGCACTCCTTATTGTGAGGAAGCCAAATAATTTATGGGCTTTAAGCAGTAAATTCTTCCCTTGCAGATGTGTTTGATGCTTTCCAAAGGGTCTCTCCTCCTTTAGACTGGAAGAGGTTTGGCTCAGGATGTAATTTTCGAACACATAAGGTGTGCCTAGCACTGAGCTGGGCAGTCCCTTAGGAAGCAAAGTGAGGAGAAACTGTGATGGTGACGGGGAGTAGGGACTGTGGATTCAGAATTCTTAGTGTAACAGCCAATTATTAATATTATCTGTGGCCCTATATTTCTTCATCTACAAAATATAGACAATAACAGTAACCTAACTTACAGGGTGGCTGGTAATGGGATAAATGAGTTAATATATTCAAAATGCCTAGAACAGCACCTGGTGCAAAGAAAGTTCAGTGTAAGTATTTGCCATCATTAAATATCCCCCTAGAGGGCAGGTACTTAGGGCTCATGACTGTATTTCCAATACCTTATACTGCTCCTGGAATAGACTTGATAACCAATAAAATGTGATAAACTAGTGATGAAGGAATAGATAAATGAATTCAGAGAAAAACTCTTCTTTTGAATAATATACAGCTATTTTAATTTGATAATTCATCCAGTAATTTATTTATTTACTGATAAGAAAGGAAATCTCAGAAAATATACTATAATAATTATTCAAAGACAGCAAGACGTTTTTCAAAGAAACATCTGGGTTTAAATCAGTCTGCTTTAAGTATCAAATGAATGTGTTTATTCATTATGTCCACCAGAAGCTGCAAAATAGAAAATATGCCCAAAGTAAAATTGTCATAGAAAAAAATCAGACACATATAGGTATCCAGATGTCCAATAACAAAAAATTCTGGTCACATATTCAGCAAAGATTTATTAGGAGCAGACTCTGTGCCAGGCACTGTTGCATGCCCTGAAAATAATAAGCAGACAATAATCCCTGCCTTTGCACAGTTTACAGTCTTGGGAAGGAGAGAGACAAGAAAGGTACACACATAAAAACTCACTTTCAGGGCACGTTTTGCAGCTCTCCTAACCTCACTGACCTCTCAGGATGCAGACCTGCTCCAAATCATCCATTCTGCAGGAACTAAATTAAGGTTCTTCTAAAACAGAAGTACAAAATTGGTAACTACCCTCAAAAATCATAGGTTAAAATTATTTGTCCTCTACTTTTGGTGCAGAATTCTGGACTTCTGTTCGAGAATCACTCAAGGGCTTGAATGGGCCCAAAGTTACATTTTGAGAATTCTTGGCCCTCCTGTGCTATTTTCTTTCACCAGTTCACCCTTCATCCCACACATATCCCTGGCTTGTAGGATCTTTTAGTCAAAACACAAGATGTCTATAATAGAGTTTCCATAGGAACTCAAACTAAAATTGTTGATATTGGGGAAAGCTAAAATAGGGATCATACTAACAATTCTTTACTCGAGATTTTCTAAGCTTCATCTCTGAATCATCAGATAACCTCAAGCAGAATGCAACTGGACCCGCTACGCTCTCCATTCTCTGCCTCTTGCAAATGCCTTTACATGACTATGAATAAGTGTACCTGGAGCTGGTCCTGAAGCAAGAATTAAGGAGCTGCTACATACACGATTTCTCCACTTTTTCAATAGAACTGCTACTTAAGATACTCTTTGTTGAATTCTCAAATGTCCCTTATACAAAGACCCTTTTCAGAAATTTCACAGTTAAAAGTTGAAAGAAATGTCTTTTGACAACCTGATATGCAGCTTCCTCCTGTTGAACACTGTGACGTAAACAGACTCATGATATTTCTCTTTCTGTCTTGGCTACCATGAAGCTCGGAGTTTAGTTTTTCTTCCTCCATGCCAGTGTTTCCTGAGCTTTGGTTTTCTGGAACATTTTCTCTCCTCTTTATACATCTTCAACTCTATTAAACTGCTCTGGTATTTTTATTTTGTTTTACTGACTACCAGTTTAATTGGAACTATACCATTTAGTGTAAACTACCACAAGTCCTTTGGGCAAATAAAGAGAATATATAAGCAAATAAATAATTATGAACAATGGCTACTGAGCCTTAAAACCAGTGGAAGGTTATAAGAGCTTTTTAATAGACTCAAATAAGTTTAATGCAGAAGTTACAACCTGAGGGCCTTGGGCCAGATTTTGCTCTTGGATATGGTTTATTCAGCAGATGTAATAATTTTAAAAGAAAAATTAGTTACCAACATCCTTAAGTTAGAAAATTTCCAATAAAAACCTGAATTGCTTACCTCTCTACTTTCTGTGCCAGACCTTGTTTTAATACTGAATCTTCTAAAAAATCCTCTAAGGTATCACCATTCTCATCATCCCAAATCTCACAAATGAGGAAACAAAGGCATGGAGAAGTTCAATAACTTATTTTACAGGCTCACACAGCTTGCAAATGGTAAAGCTGGAACCTAAACTTGGACCACCAGGCTCCAAACACTCCCAGGTGGTCGTGCTATTACCTGGAAAGAATGATCCAAAGGCTTGGACCCACATTTCCCCCTGACAACAATGGATCCACTTTCCAACCTGGCATCAATAGCTGGAAGTGAAAACAGCATGTCTCTTTCAACAGTCACCTGGTGTTTGCAAGCGTTTCCGTTTAAGACCCTTGTCTTAATTCTAAGCTGAGAGCATATTATCCTGAGATGGGAGCTGCATCTTAAATGTATTTTCGACATCCTGTAGGTTTAGTCTTTGCTTGAAGTTAATTAACATTGATGAGTCCCACAGGTCTCTATAGCTTCCTGTGAAGTCCTCAACATTGACAATAAAATGGCCAAATGAGAACCGAAATACATTTCACTGTAGCACAGCCCATAAAAGCAGTTTTACCTAAATTATTCCCCAAAGCATTTCCCACTTAATTGTTTAGCATTTACGGATAATAAGGACATGAATGACCACATTTGCATATTTATATTGCTCATTTGCCCTGTGTGCCGTAGTCAGTGCTTTAGAAAGATTTGTGTGCCACCTGTTCTCTGTCAGTTATCTCTTCTCTCTGTTAAAGATTCTTGGATAGAAAAAAGTAAAACTAAAGCTAATCTCCTTCATTAAAGGTAGAGAGACTTTTAATAAAACGAGACTTGCTCTGCACTTCAGAGGATAAGCAGAAACCTTTGAAGGATTTTCTGTCTGAGGAGTTTCCAGGGAGGAAAGGATATGATTTAGTCAGCTAGTCAGCTAAGCTCATTAATTCTGGTAACTTGTTTCTGAAAAAAGGGAATTTTCCTGTGAAATGCTGCTACTGCAAACTACCCTCCCCCAGCTCATATCACAACTTCTAACCCTTGAGACAAACCTGCTATTGTTAATTAGTCGAATTAGTTGTACAACTGTACATTATCATTTTTTAAAGTTGTCTTACTGATTCTCAAATTGTATTTTCTTAAAAAGTAGTTGAGAATTGCTTTTCCAAAACAATATATCTTTAAAAGAACAATGTAAATAGACAAATGAGGCATTTCTTGAAGCTGCTTTTTGGTATTCCCTTTGATATTCTATCAGGAAACTATATGTCTAATATGTAAGAATATATGTCTAATATGTAAGATATTAAATTGTGGAGTGAGAAGTAGGTTTTCAGATTTTTCTCCTCCTCCAGAGTCTTTCTCCTCATACTTCTCCTCCTGACTCCTCAGGGTGCCAAGTTCAATAGTACAAGTGATATATACATGTACAATATACAAGTAATAATAACATGTTAGAATATGTATTATTGTTATACTATTATATCCTTGTTATTATTAGGGTTATTATGATTACTATTATAATCTTTTGGTGACCTTTAATTCTGGATTGCAGGGGACTATAGAGAGTTGGAGGAGACTACTCAGAGGCATTGGCAGGTATACTGAACGCCTCAAGAGCTCCTAGAGCTGACATTCATAATAATCACTTTAGGTATGAAAATACATAGTTAACATTTAAGATTCTCTTTTTAATGACCCAAAAATGATAGAGAACAGTTCAGAGCTTTAAAAAAAGAAGTTAACTACAATCAGAAGTGGTTAAAAAACAATCTAAGGGCTTGAAATTGTAATTGAGTTAGATTCAATTACCTTGAAAATTATCAAAAAGGAACTATCCATTTCCCAGCAAAGTTGTTGATCTTTATTCTTCTAAAGCAATTTGTACAGGAATAAATTCTAACATTCATATGTCTAGGGGCTAAAACCGACATGCGGATGTTAGAATTTATTCCTGTACAAATTCCCCCAGTAGTGGGGGGTAAAACACTACCCCTGAAATCACATACCCCTGGATTGTGTTCACCAATGTTCAAATACCAGCTCTTGCCAGTTTCTTGCTATGTAACCAAGAACTGGTTACGTAATTGTTCTGTGCTAATAATGGATCTATTAATAAAGGATCAAACGATATGGTAAATATACAGCTCCTAGAACACCCTGGCACATAGTAAGAGCTTTGCAAATATCTGTTATTATTATTCCACATCTTTGTATCTCTTATCATACTCTTTAAGATTTAGAAACTGTTGAGATTTTTCAAACTTGTGAGGACCCAGTTACCAATCTCTCAGTCAATTTAGATTGCAGACCAAAGATGGAGTCTCCCTTAGCAGAGCTAAAAGTCCCTGCATCTCTGCATGCAAAGTAGACAGCACTTCCCTGAATTCATATCTGTCCCAGAACTTTGATTTAAAAAACAACATGATCTGGAAGTTGCATTAATTCATTTTTCCACATTTTATTTCTCAGAATTTAATCACATGGTCAAAACGGACTGCAAGAAATAATAGTCTATATCGTCTTAATATAGCCATCACGTGCTCCTCTTTAACTCTGGAGGTTCTTTATACAATCTAAGAAGGGGAGAATATACATGGGGGAAAATAAGTCATCTCTATTATGTTGAGTGTTATTGCATTCTCTCTTTGAAATATTTTCAGGGATATGATATTAAGCTCTTTTAAGAAAATCGGAGCGAATATTTTCCCTGCTTTTATCCTAGTAACTGTCAATTGTTAATAATTTTATAGTTATTATAAAAAGCAATTCCATAGTAATAGCTATGTTTTTCTATAGCCATGAGTATTGGCTACGACAATTTCATTTGTTTACTTTCTCCATCCAAGTTAACAGTCTTCCCTGATAGAAACATTTAGATCACAAGTAGCTCGCTTTCTCTCACTCAACAGTTGACATCACTCCATTGGTCCTTGGCAGTAGAACCATCATGTTCACATTCTTGTTCCCAACATAATCTTTTTCTTTTTTTGAGACAGTCTCTCTGTTGCCCAGGCTGGAGGGCAGTGGTGTATTCTGGGCTCACTTCAACCTCCACCTCCCTGGTTCAAGCAATTCTCCTGCCTCAGCCTCCGGAAATATAATCTTTAAAGCACAAAGTCTGGAGTATTTTGGCAAATGTAGCTCAATGTAGCTAATGTAGCTACATTATGTTAATAAAGCTAATGTAGCTAATGTAGCTACATTCAGCAAATATAGCTAATCAGGAACTTAATTCTTTTGGACACTGTTTGTAGAGAGGCATGTTTTCCTCTGCCATTTGTCTTTGGTAATTCTCCCTTTCTTCTAGATTTTTGTATATCTTTTTAAGTGTGAATTTAACAGAAAGTTCCCTGTGCCGCTCCATAGAATTCTCTAAATCTCTCTACATCTTTTTTGGAGCTATATTTGATTTTGGCACCTGGCGTACTAAAAATGACTTGACCTTAGATGTATTATAAATAATTTAATAATGTTTCCAGGAACCTTCAGTTAAAGGAAATGAATGATTATTTTATTTAATTTTATCCATTTATTCTACAATTTTTTATTGGGTGCAACAATTTTTTTCTAAAAAGTTTGTTTACATGAATACAAGAGCCTTCTAGTTATTTTTTAAACTGTTTTTACTACAAAAAGAATACAAGTTTATTAAAGGAAAATTTGAAAAATACAGAAAGGAAAAAAACACAAAAGCGTGGGGAGGCTATTTCTATTGCCACCAAACGAAAATAATATATGTAATATATTAGCAGATTCTCTTCTGAAATTGTATCTTCTTTTTTCCCCAACCTCCCCTCACCAAACTGAGTATTAGTATGTATTTATATAATTGAAACTGTTGTGTAAACTCATCTCTCTCTCTCTCTATATATATATATATATGCACACACATAGTATTTAAGACATGATCAAATTACATAAACATCATTTTAATGTCTCCATAATATTCCTCCTTATGGATTTGCTTTATTATCCCCTATTCTTGGACATTTAGGTAGAACCTACTACTCGATATTATATATAACACTGCAATGAACATCTGAAATGAAAATTATTTTTTGATGGATTTCTGGAAGACAAATTACTAAGGCACAGGATATGAGCTACTTTAAGTTTCTTAGGATCAAATAAATGGCAAAAGCACATTTTAAAGGAGATAATAGTAGGGCAAATGAATTTTCTCAAAATAAGCCACTTAACCTAAACAATGTCATCATTATATCCTAAACATTTTCGGGAGACTAAGAAAAAAAACTCAATTTCACAGCATTACAATAAAGCCTGAGTTTTTAAGAATGTCAAAAATCTCATGTTTTTCTCTCTTCCCTATTCATCAAGTTTCCTCTTCACTGGTCCAATGAAATAGAGCCACAGCACTTTTATTTAAATCTCTATTTCTCCTGCATTCCCATTAGTGAGGAAATCAATCAGCAGTTAAGAAATCAATCAGTTAAAAGAATAATTAAATAGCCATTCCGAAAAGAAAAGAAGTAGAAGATAAGATGGCTATGGAAGAGTTTATAATCTAATAATGTAGAAATCAATCACACATTTAAAAACAAACAAACATAACCATGAAATTCACCCCTGAAATGCTTCATGAGAGAATTGCTACATTTCTTTATTTTTAAAATGAAATTAAATATTACTCTTATTAATTTTCTCTTTATCTGTCCCAGGGATGGCAACTGTCCTTAAAATTTAGAAAGGACAATGGCAGCAACAACAAATAAAAACCTGATTTTAAAATAGGCAAAGGACTTGAATTAGACATTTCTCCAAAGAAGACATTCAAATGACCAATAAGCACATGAAAAGATGCTGAACATGACTAGTTATTAGAGGAATGCAAATCAAAACCACAGTGAGATACCGCTTCATTCCCATTAGGATGGCTATTATCAAACAGAAAAGTTACAAATATCAAGTGTTGGTGAGGATGTGGAGAAAATGGAACCCTTGTGCATTGCTGTTGGCAAGGTATCATGGTGAAATGCTGTGGAAAACAGCATTTGACTCCTCAGAAAATTAAACATAGTTATTACCACATGATTCCACAATTCTGCTGGATACACACCTTAAAGAGGGGCAGCATTATTCACAATAGCCAAAGATAAAAGCAACTCATGTCCATCAATAGATGACTGGCTAAACAAAATATGATATATATGGTATGAATACTATATAAATATACCATACATATATCATGGAATATAATTCAGGCTTAAAAAGCAAGGACATTTTGACATATGCTACAACATAGATGAACCTTGAGGAAATATGTTAAGTGAAATAATCCAGTAACAAAAGACACAGATTTTATTATTCCTTTTATAAAGTTCCTGGAGTAGTTAATTTCATAGAGTCAGAAATTAGAATGGCGACTGCCAGGGGCTGAGGGGAAGGGAAGCGAGAATTTGGTGCTTAATGAGTAGTTTTTCATTTGGAAAGATGAAAAAGTTCTGGAGATGGATGGTGGTGACGGTTACACAGCAACGTGAATGTAGTTAATGCCACAGAACTCTATACTTAAAATGATGAAATGTCAATTTTATGTTATGTATATTTTACCACAATAAAAAAATTGGATAGGGCTATTGGTTTCAGTTCATCAATAGTTGTTTAAGTGGTCTCTCAGAGGTCTAGGTGGCATGTCTTCAATCTTTTTATGTTAGACATAGGAGCTGAGGCATTTTGTTGCAGTTTCTAAAGTCTTGAAAACTTAGTTTTCAGTGCCCTGGCATCCAGGAGCCACTCCACCAAACTCCCTGCCACCCTGCTGCGTGCTGAATGAAAATGATGTGAGATCTGCCACAGCTTTGTTTTTGTCTCTGGTACATCAAATGTGCAACTCAAAACAAAAACAACTGTGAACTTCCTTTTATTATGGTATTATTAAAGGATTGGGGAGGAGTGGCAGGTGGGACTGAGAAGGGGAACAGGAGACACTGTAGAAAGGAAGTCAAATCTTTAAAAGAGATAATGTTAGCTTCTGCTTCCTGAAAGAAGTATAGGAAGAAGAGCCCAGAGAAGGGGTGTTTGTGTGGGGGGGAGGGGGTGGGGCGGGAAATATACCAGATATAATTGTGTTCTTTTATTAAGTCACTACATTATAAACACATTTATAAAAATGTGTTTTAAATAACAATAGAGAAGTTCAAACATAGCTATAACAATTAAATATTCTGTGCTCAGAGGAGGTAAATGGATGAATAGACAGCAGACATTTTTCCCATATGCCCTCGCTTAGTGCCAGCAGTGGGAAGGGTGCTTATATTTGAATTAGAGACTCTGAGCAAGCCAAGAAAGCTGAACAATAGCTCCCAACATTCTCCTGGGCAGTAGAAAGATGACAAGGTCAGAAGGCACATTTGATTGTTTTTCATATCATAGGTATGTTCAGCTTTTCCAGGGCTCCAAGGTTTGACCCAGCATACAGAATAGAAAGTGAGGCAGAAGTTACTCGGTTCCCTTCATTGTGCATAACATGATACCTTGTTTTGTTTACCCATAAAGGTCCTCTGTTGACATTTTAAACCAGAGTAAATATAATACAAAAAAATTTTAAAGACGTGAATTTTTTTAATTGTAGCTAAAATAGCAAATCAAAATATTTAAAATTTTCCTTCCTCATCCCATGAAAAAGATAACTCTAGGAGCTTCTATTTGATTCTTGGTGATTGATCTCTTTTTAGGTAGAGACATTTCCTGTTAAAACTTCCATTTCTAGCCCGAGGCCCTTAAGAATAGGCTATAATAGGCATTAATAAGGTTATACAAATATACTCACTTATGCATTGTAGCTTCATATATTTTGTGACAACATTAAAAAAAATTCTAAGGATTGCTGAAATACTTTCTCAAGAAACTATTTCTCCAGGCAAAGAGTTGCAAGCAGAAAGTTTCATGGTAGACAGCACAAAGGAGTACATGCCAATTGTAATTAGAACAAGCAGGAGAATTCGCTTGGAGACCAGAAACACAATTCCTTTTATGGCATATTAGAAGCATCCCAATCTTCCTCAATAGTGGTGTTCATCAAACAGACAACATTCTGAAATTCCCTTAAGAGATTGCTGGAGTGAAAATAAATTTGTTTTTAGTGTGATATCCTCAGGACAGAAACCTTATAAAATCATTTGCCTTGTTGGCCTGTCCACCTCCTATAATAACCATTGATCCCACAGGCTAATTTCAACCAACTTTGATAGAGGGGCAAAGAGTCTATAGCTAGACAGAGGCTCATAAATTTCTTGTGGTTTCTTCTGTTTCTTTCAGAAGAGTTGTTTAATGGTATCATTTTGAAGAGTATAAAAAAGCAAACCAAGTTTCTGCTGTGAAGTTGTCACTGTAATGGAAGATGATTACATCAGAAGAAGTTCAAATGGAAAAAAAATGTTTGTAGTTGCCTTGTGGTTTCCTGATAACAAGCAAAGCAAGCACCATATATAACACCACACAGTGGCAGGCATCTTTACTTCTGATAGTTGCATCCTGGAACTTTATAATAAATTCGACTCTTGGGTTTTGCACATCCAAGTGGCTGAGTTTTTCTTGTTTATTGGAGTTGAACTTAACCAGTTCTCAGTTCTCAGAAGTGTGCTGACATAATTGAAAGGCTTTCAAAGAGCTGATGGTGAGTTAGTGAAGGAAAAAATAAGAATTCAGAAAAAAATATTAAGAAGGAAGCAACAGACCCTCCTACAGTAATATACAGCAGGGTGACAACTCAAGTTCAAGTCTAGGATAGAGTCAGTATCTGAGAGGGTCCAGGTCTCGATGTGGTAGGAGATCTGCTTACAGAATTTGTAGCTGAAACTTGGGGGGCCCAGTGCAAAAACAGGTTTTATTCTGAGGAATGTATTCAAGAAACTATGAGAAATTAGGAATGAGGCCAGCAGAGGGCTTACAAGGCTGGTACAGCATCTCGTGGTGTCTAAATCCTAGGGAAAAGGGGAACTCAAGCAGCTGGGTAGCTTCTCACTACATGCAATTAGAGGTACCAGGGTGGTGCTGCTAGTACCTGAAGGCCTTTTGGTCCTTACTCTACACTTCCTCTACACCTGAGGTCCTAAGTTTTCACTCTGGTGACAAGGCAAAAAAACAAAGATATACATACACACACACATACACACACACACATATATATATAATTTCCTTCTTTAAAGTGAGAAAAGGGCTCAAAATCTGAGTCTAGCTAAGACCTCAAAGATTGTATGGCTGAATGAGAAAACCAGGTTAACAGGATCATAATTATAGACAGCTGGAATAAGTCTTGTGTTGAATAGGAACTGATACTATAAAGGTAACTCAGATAATTTGTTTCCATAATTTTCATCTTTCAATTCTTTTTACTTGAACATGCTCTGAGCTGTAAAGAAATAGGTTACACAGCACTGGGTATTCATTTTCCAAACTCTGCTAGCAATATTGTTCAATCTCAAGAAAAGACCCAAGGAACTAAAAGGGAAAAGAGAAACAGGATAAATATTTTTTGATGAAACTCCTATTTTATAAGATGCAAAACATAAAACTATGGGGCTCTAAAGCCTCACCTAAGTGAATCAATATGACTACAGAGCTTGTAATAAAATACAACACTAAAAATACTATGAATCAAACATAAAATATGCAAAGTTCACCAGATCTTCAGTGGACTAGGGAAGCTGTCCTTGCAAAGGAATTAAGTATTATTTGAAATGAGAAAGTGTAACTGAAGAGTTGGGAATTTCATTTTCTGGAGCTGCCACAACAGTGCCCAAGTAGGGAATCAGCTTATAAATGCAGGTAGCTTGTAAATTCGGCACTTGATGAAGTAATATCCAGGGAAAAGGTACTTAATGTTCCCAGGGGAATATATGTTGTATGAATGCATATACTGTGCAATAATAACAAAATATATACTACATAATTAGACTGAGTATATATTTTACAACATAAATATAGTTAGGGCTGTTAATCAAATTAAACAGGACATTTTAAAACACAGTTAAGAATGCAGAGAGGAAAAAATAGATTAACATCTAAAAGCACATGCAAAAGAGGCACAGCAATGAATGCAGGACCAAAAAGTACCAAAAAATAGTATTGCATGCACAATGTGTTATCTTTCTTTCTAGAAGTAGTCATGGAAACTAATATAAACAATGACTTCTGAAAGCTAGGTTTGCTCCTCCTACCTTAATGGCTTCAGAATCTCAGCTTCTACTATATAGTAGATGGAAAATTCTCAAGTGAAGCCCAGCAACAGCATAGCAAGAGAAGGGCTGGCTACAGTGGCTCAGTAGCTAATATTTCCAGTGAAATAGCGAGGCTGTTTTCAGTCTTCCTTTACAAATCTAGATGAATATGCCAGGCACTCTCATTAATTTCTTGAAAAGTAGTCATTTTTTTTGAAAGATAAAACATTCAGTAAGAGGTGAAATTAATGGAGAAATATTCTCACTATTATTTTACTAGAAAAGGTATAAGGATTTAAATGATTTGAATGACCAAACTCTCTACCAAAAAAAGTATCACCCAATTAGTTCAAACTAATACTATAGACCATGCTTCACCCGATGTAATTTACATATTATTCCAATCATAGCCCACTATAACCTCTGCTTTCATCAACAAGAATAGAGTTTTTATAAAGATTAAGGCACATTTATCTGTTCTTCTGCTTTTTTCAAAACTGCTTAAATCTATAAATGTATTTCAATATGTATCGAGAAAACAGAATAAAGTTAAGTGAATGTATAGGAATAAAAGGTGCTTCTGTTAAATTTTTTACAAAAACTACGATAATGATCTTAAGACTAGTTTTAGAATCTCCCTATATATAAATAGTGTTTAGTCATCGTTTCTTAAACTTTCCACAAAATTTATAGCGGTTTGGGTGGCACTATATATAGTTGACCCTAGAACAACATGGGTTTGAACTGCATGGGTCCAACTATATGCAGATTTTCTTCTGCCTGTGCCCAACTATGTGCAGATTTTCTTTTGCCTGTGCCATGCTGGAGACAACAAGACCAACCCTTCTACTTCCACTTCCTCTGTAGCCTACTTATTGTAAAGATGCTGAGGATGAAGACCTCTATGATGATCCACTTTCACTTAATGAATAATCAGTATATTGTCTCTTCCTTATGATTTTCTTAATAACATGTTTTCCTCTGAATTACTTTATTTTGATAATATAGTGTATAATACATATAACATGCAAAATATGTGTTAATCATTTATGTTATCAATAAGGCTTCCAGTCAACTGTAGGCTATTAGTAGTTATGTTTTGGGATAGTTGCAAGTTATATGTGGATTTTCTACTCTTCAGGGGTCGGCATCCCAGCCCCCATGATGTTCAAGGGTCAACTGTATACCTTTTATATCTACATACCATAGATATTGTAAAACTACCTACATTCACAATGATTAAAATAAGTTATAATTATGTATTAATTTATACACTCAAATTATAATTAATGCAATTATGATACAAATTTAAATTATATAATTTTAATTTATTTCTTTAATTTTTATAGATTTATTATGTTTTTTGCCATTCCTTTTCAAGGAATCTTTTCTGATTTCAGTTTTATTAAAGTCACTTTCAACACAGGGACACTATTTCTGTTTAATGACAGGATTAGCTGCCAGTCCCTATTTCTCCAGATGTGGAGATAACATTTTTATTCAGCAGGGAGTCTAAACCATTCACAGAAATCCCATTTTATACCATAAGAGCAAGCATATTAGGTTGCACTCAAATAAGATGGGGTATCTCCAAGTTATTTCTCTATTTTATGCCTCGGTTAGTTCCTAAGGCAACTAAATAAATAAATAACTCTGACTTAATAGGCAATCAAGGAGCATCGTTTGTACCATATGGTTGGCATAGTAACCCTGGGGTATTGTTACTGCTACCACCTTCTAGAGAGGAGGAAGGCTGGGCCTCAGAGGTTAAGTAACTTGCTTGAGATTACAGTTTCCACATTAAGCTGGAATCTAAATACAGCTGCTAATGGATGTCTCCAGAGTACATGCAGCAGAAAAACTAAAAGAAATTACTGTTCTATCTCCATCAGTGAAAATTTTATGTAAATTAGTAAATGTTATGTAACCCAAGATTATTGAGAGTGAGAGTTGAATGAAATAACTTTCTACAAGTTTCTTCTGACCTCCAAGTAATGTACATAATATCTGAAACTATTTGAAACCCTGATATTTACCGTACAAGGAAGCAAAAAAACAAATTATTCATAAGCCAGAAATGTTCCCACCTTAGGTGCATGCTTTTGGCAGCCTGCTTAGAAGATTGCATGATATGCACTAAAGAAATGTAAAAAATTAACAGAGCAGATTACCTGGAAATAAGTCCCAAGTTGGAACATGAGATAAATACTGTATAAAAGTTAGGTGGTGATTCAACATACCCCTCTCCCTATAATTTTTAGTCTTTAAGGAACCCCAGGTCTTCTCTGTGCTCCAGTGCTCCCTCCTTATGCCCATGACTCAACACCTACTGTGTGCCAGCACGGACCTCCCTGGTTCATTGAATGCAAGGTTCATTCAGCATTTAAAATTCAATTAATGTAATTCACCATGATAAAACAAAGAAGGAAATCTATGTGATCATCTCCATAGATACAGAAAAAAATGCATTTAACAAAACTCAACATTCATATGATAAAAACGTTCAGCAAACAGAATTAAAGGAAACTTCCTCAGCCTGAAAATGACCATCTACAAAAAAACCTAGAGCTAACATAGTAATGGTGAAAGACTGAATGCTTTTCCCCAGAGATCAAGATTAACACAAAGGTGTTCATTCTTACCACTTCTATTCTACATTGTATTGGTGATCCTGGTCAGTGCAACATGGTAAGAAAAAGAAATAGCAGTTACATATATTGGAAAAAAGTAATTAAAACCCCCTCTATTAACAGATGACATGATTGTTTATACAGAAAATTTCAAAGAATTTGCCAAAAAGAGACTAGAACAAATAACTTTAACATGGTCACAGGATACAAAGTAAATATAAAAAATTAGTTGTTTTTATACGCTAGCATTGAACAATTTGAAACTGAAATTTTTAAAGTACTATTAATTTTTTTAAATGAAATAATTAGGTATACATTTAACAATAGTAGCAAGATTAGAATGCCAAAAACTACAAAACACTGATAAAAGAAATTACATAAGCCCAAATAAATGAGCTATATTTCACGTTCACTGATTGAAATACTCAACGTTGCTAAAATGTTAATTTTTGCAAATTTAATCTCTGCATTCAATGTAATCCAAATGAAAATATCAATAGGATTTTTTTTTGTAGAAATTGATAGGCTGATTCTAAAATTTGTATGGAAAGCCAAAGGAAATAAAACAATAAAAACCAATTTGGAAAAGATGAACAAAGTTGAAGGACTCACACTATCTGACTTCAAGATCTGTTATAGAAGCACAGCAATCAAGATAATGTAGAGTTGGCAAAGGATAGAAATAAACACAATAAAGAATGCAGAAATAGGCTCACACACTTATGATTAATTCATTTTAAACAAAGGTGTAAAGCGAATCTCTGGAGAAAAGGAAGTCCTCTCAACAAACAAAGCTAGCACAATGCATGCAGCCATATTGCAGGGAAATGAACTTCAACTCAAATTTTATACAATCAAATGCAAAAACTAACTCCATTAAAACTCAGATTTAATATAAAACTTCGAAGAGAACACAGAAAATATCTGGGATCTTGGGCTCAGCAAAGATTTTTAAAATTATACCTAAAAAAGTACAAATGATATAAGGGAATCTGATAAATTGCACTTCACCAAAATTAAAAGTTTCAGCTCTTTGAAAGACACTTAAAAAAATAAGAAGACAAACCACAGAATGTGAAAATATTGCAAAACATGTTTTTTCTTACATATTGATATTCAGAATATTTAAAGAGCTCTCAAAACTCAAGAATGTAAACAAACCAGTTTAAAAATATACAAAAAATTTAAATAAATACTTCATCACATAAGATAGCAAATAAGCACATGAAAAGATACTCAATATCAATAACATGTCCATTGAAACCACATGAGATATCACTATGCAACTATTAACTATTTTATATACATGTATTAGTGTATGTGTTGAGAGAGAGAAGGAAGGAGAGAGAGTAGGTTATATGTAATAATCGACAATACCAAATGCTGGAGAGGATGTGGAATAACTCTGATGCTTTGGTGGCAGGGATGTAAAATGGAAAACAGTTGGGCATTTTTTTCTTATAAAACTAAAAATACACTTACTGTAACACACTGAGCAATCTCACTCCCAATTCATACATATTACCCATGAGAATGAAAACATACTTCTACCCAAAAGCCTGTACACAAATGATTATTTCTTCTTTACTCATAATTTCGAAAACCTGATAAGAACCCAAATCTTCATCAGTTACTGAATGGATAAACAGTCTTACCTTCTTGCAATTGAATGCTACTCAGCAATAAAAAGACCCAAACCATTAACACATGCAACAACAAAGAATAATCTCAAAATCATTTTTCTAAGTGAAAGTAGCAAGGTTCAAAAGGCTATATATTGTATGACTCCATTCATATTGCATCTGGAAAGGGTAAAATTCTAGGGACAGTGAAGAGATGGAGTGTTGCTGGGAGCTGGAATTAGGGCATGGTATTGAAAACAAAGAGCATTGAGAACTGTTTTGGAGGGGAAGGAAGTGTTCTACAGCTCGATTGTGGTGGTAGTCGCACAGTGTATACCTTTGTACACCTAACATGATGAATTATAAGTGAATTACATATCAATAAACTCAACTTTAAAAAAGTGGAAGTGACCTGGACCTCTGTTGCCTCTGAGATGTCCATCCTAACCCCAGTTTCTCACTCTTCACCCTACTGTAATCCAGTTTCTATCTCCACCACTGCACAAAAAACTCATTTTGTTAAGGTCAGCAAAAACATTCTGATTGCAAAATTCATCCTCAGTTCTTCTTATGACTTCTCACAACTTTTAGCATAATCAATAACTTCTCCTTTGAAATATTTTCCCTTTCTCTTCCACAATGCTGCTCTCTCCTAATCATGCATTCTTAGCGTGATGAAAAGTTCCTCAACCCCCTAAATATTGGTGCTGCTTAGATTCCCATATTTAGAATACCTTTCTCATTTTCTATTTACTTATGACTCGTTTGTTTTAAAGTAAAGTTGAGCATTGTAAACAAGGGCATCACTTTTGTATTTTAGGGTATTTACCTTTGTATCAATTGGAAGATAAATTTGAAAAAGGCAAAACTGAAGGAAGGCGGGTAGGTTGGGAGATGATATGGAGAAGTGATGGATATCCAAATAGTAGGGCTTTGGAAGATAAGGATAGATTAAAGAGATGTAGAAGAAAGAATCAGTAGGGCTTGGCAATACATTGAACACAGCTAGGACAGGGAAATAGAATTGTTAGATGAATGGTCAAATTTATGGTCAATTTATACAATCTGAATAATGGTGGAGTCATTCGGCAAGTCAGCGAACATAAGAAAAGGAAGAGGTTTGGGTATAAAGTGATTATTTCAGCTTGGAAAATAATAAGTTTGATAATCCTATCAGGAAGATATTTAAAGAAATCAATCTGTATCCCAGGGAAGGAGTAGAGGCACTATATATACATATTTCCATTTATATGACATTCTGGAAGGGGTAAAATCCCAAGGACAACAGAGATAATAGATTGCCAGGAGCTGGGGTCAGGAAATGATTGTGTGTGTGTGTGTGTGTGTGTGTGTGTGTGTGTGTGTGTGTAATATGCAGATATAGACTATATATGTGACTATATATATGTATAATAGTTGTCTATTTCTTTCAGAAGTAAAGAAGGATTCAAGTCTCCATGTATTTCTCTATGTTATTCTCTCCACTTGCAATGCTCACCTTCTTCATCTGTTATTTCCAATTCATCCTCCATGAAATGATTCAGATGCCATCTACTTGAGGAAATCTTCCTTGATTAGCCCCATTCCCTCAAGCCCACCTTTATCCCCTAACTCCACGCTGTTAGATGCACATTTTTGGACATTTTAATGTCACATTTATAACACTCTAATGAATGTAGCATTTAGGGTACTTTAATGCAACTGTTGATTAGTTTAGTTGTCATTTTCCCACAAAAGATTGTCAGCTCCTTGATGTCTTTCATCTGTGGAACATGAGTGTTTTTTACAGTGCCTGGCTTATAGGAAATAGTCAAATAGGGTTGCAGCATTACACTGTTGGAAAGAACATGGTGTAAGAAATCAAGTAGATATGAGTTTGAATTTTGACTCTGCTAGCCATAGTCTGTGTGCTTGGTTAAATCGTTCAATCTCTTTGAGTTTAGGTTTCTATAAAATAGAGATTATAATGCTACTTTCCTCATCAAGTTTTTGTCATGTATTAGTAAACTACTGCCGCATAACAAATTTTCCCAAAACTCTGCAACTTAAAATAATGTCCATTTATTATCTCACAGTTTCAGTGGATAATGGCTTAGCTGTATTCTCTGCTTCAGAGTCTCTCACATGGCTACAATCAAAGTGTCCTCCAGGGCTGGGGTCTCCTCTGATGGCTCAACAGGGAATTAGTCCACTTCAAAGTTCATGTGTGTGGTTTTTGGCAGGTACAAATTCCTTCAGGGTGGTTAGACTGAGGATCTCAGTTTCTTGGTGGCAGTGAGCCTTCTCTAACAATGGCAGTTTGACCACAGTCATTATGAAACAGAGTCTTCTGGCAAGGTGGAAGTCAAGATCTTTTGTTACATAATCACTGAAGTGATATCTCACGACCTTTGCCATATTCTGTTGATTAGAAGCAAGTTGCTAGTTCCAGTCCAGACTCAAGGGGAGGGGCTTATCCAAGGATGTGAATGCCTGGACATGGGGATCATTGGGAGCTATAGAGTCATATAGAACTCTGCCTACTACATGTGAGGACCAAGTCAATAAAACCAAAAGATTCACTAGATGCCTAATATTATACATGGCAAGTGCTCAAACAGCTATTTATGTCCAATGGATAAATGAACTCATCCATCAATCAATTGTTCTGCAATTAACCGGAGTAACCACTAGATGGTGGTGCATCCTTCACAGCATTGTGCCATAAAAGTAGGGTCAGAGATTTTGAATGTAAGAGCTTTTTTTTTTTTTTTTTTTTTAAAACAGATAAGGTCTTGCTCTGTCACCCAGGCTGGAGAGCAGTGGCGCAATCTTGGCTCACTGCAGCCTGCAGCCTCGACATCCTAGGCTCCAGCAATCCTCCCATCTTGGCCTCTAGAGTAGCAGAACCAGAAGTAAAAGAGCATTTTTTTTTTTTTGATGATGATGATGATGATGTAATACACAAAGACACATTTTAAAAACAGAAACTATACACTCCTAACTAAATCTCTTTTGTATCTCTGGAACTCTTACAAAACCTATCCTGCTTCTTCCTTCCAGAGTAAATTATAAAATGTGCAAACAAAATAAACAGAAACTCCTCTCCTCACTTTGATGTACAAGGTTTCTCACTCGGATACTATCCAGCCCTGATTTAAGGTTTCTCACTCAGATACTATCCAGCCCTGATTTAAGTTTCCTTTTGACTCTTAAAGACTTAAAAGCTTTTGTGTTTCTGTTTTGAAATATGTCTGTTATCTTTTTCTAAATTAAAGTAAAACATATTCATTGTAGAAAATTTGGAAAATATAGAAAAGAAATAAAGGAAGTTAAAAATTCTAATCGCACACCTAAAAATACTTTAGTATATCTATTCTGCTTTCCTTCCCTTCTTTTCCTCTCTGTTTTTCTCTATTCTTCCCTTCCCCAACACACACATACATATACACAGAGAAATTGAAATTATATTATATATAGTTTTGTATCCGAATAAATTGCTACCTCACAATATCTTTAAACTTCCTTTTTGTAATACAATTTTTGAGTCCTTGCCTTTTACTGCTGTGTTTAAGCATATATATAGCTATTATTATACCATTTGTAGTGCCTTGCTCCTACCTTCTCATTTTCTGTTATTGTAGAGTGTGGGTTTTTTTAAATTGGTGTTTTAAAAATAATTTTTGTATTTTTTGTATATTATTTTGTTGATGTTTATCTCCACCAGTGTTCTGGAATTTCCATATTTTGTTTTCATTAGGCTACTTTTAAACTTAAAAACATTTTTTAAATGTTTTAATCTATTCTCCTCTAATTACCAAGGTCAAAGTGAAATCATATTGTTTTGATTGCCCACTATGTAAGACAAAGAATTTAGCATGTTTTAAATAAAATTTCATCTTTTCCATGATAGCATGGTCTTTGCTAACATAATCATGAGCTTGGGAACAAATTGTTGTCATCCAATTATTATTTTAACATTTTGGAAATTTATTTTTGAAGAATAACCTTGAACAATTTGTCGTATTTTGTGTCTTCTGTTTTGCAAAATGATTTAGCCATACTTTCAAATTGAACTGGTTTTAATGTTTATGACCAGTTCTTTAATAATCTGCCCACTAATATTTGATAATGTACTATTTTATGCTATTTAACTAATATTCTTCCCAATGATATTATAATTTTTCCCTTAGTCACATGAAGTTTATCTTTAAGTATTTTTAGGCTATGCACTTATCATAAGTAGTATCTCTTTCTGTTATCTACAAATTTGAATGACAGTTTCTCTGTGCACAGAATTTCAGGGTCTCAGTCTTTTATATTCAAAATGTTTTAACTTTAATTCTATTATTTTGATATTCTTTTGGCATTTATTTGTATCTTTTAAATTTGTTTATTTTTATGTCTTTTAAAATATTTTAATATAAATTAATATTTTTATGTTTTCCTTGTATCCACAGTTAATTTTTATTATTGTTTTTCTTCTTTTTGTTTTGTTTTCTTTTTAACTTTTATTTTGGGATTAGGAGTACATGTGCAGGTTTGTTATACAGTTAAACTCGTGTCACAGGAGTTTGTCGCACAGATTATTTTGTCATGCAGGTGCTAAGCCTAGTACTCAATAGTTATTTAGTTATTTTTTTCTGCTCCTCTCCCTCAACTTACCCTCCATCCCCAAGGAGTCCTCAGTGTCTGTTGTTCCCTTCTTTGCGTTCATGAGTTCTCATCATTTAGCTCTCACTTATATGTGAGAACATGCAGTATTTGGTTTTCTGTTCCTGCATTAGTTTCCTAAGGACAATGGCCTCCTGCTCCATCCATGTTCTCACAAAAGACATTACCTTGTTCTTTTTTATGGCTGCATAGTATTCCATGGTGTATATGTACCACATTTTCTTTATCCAATCACAGTTAATTATTTCATCATTATTTAGATGTATGTCGTTTAAAATTAATGTTGACTAAAAGATAGTCATCCATTTTAATATGCTGTCTCCTGTCTTATTCAACAAGAAAAATAGGTCAGCTGTCTTTTATTGTTAATCCACTTCAAAGTATTTTGATTTCTCTCTCAGTTACATTTGAAATTTTAAGGTCTAATTTCTGTTCTCTAGTCCCTTTATCTCTGGGATAGTTTCTCAGTTTTGTTCTCTTATCACAGATGCAGTTTTAAAATTTTTATTGAAGTACAATAAACAAAAAATTACATAAACCAAGTATTTAGCTTAATGAGTTCTCATCAACTAAACATATCTGTATAACTAATTCCTAGATCATACTGCTTTGATTATCTGCAGTACCAGTTTTCCACTTTTCTGCCCCCAATGTAGATTTTAATAGCACTATTGCAATGCTAGTTTTAGTTTATTCTTGTTATTTTACACTGCATCCTTTTCTTCTCTGTCTGTAGTCCTTAATCCCATCCTGTTGTCTTTTCAGTTATTGTTTTCATTTTTGTGTCTTTTTACTTTATTTCCACAGAAATCAAGTTTTCACACATATTGTCATGAAAATAATGTAGTATTCTAAAATGTTCTTGATGTTTTGTTATAAGCCAGATTTTGGGTTTTCTTCCTTTAGCTCTTTAGCGTTATGTTCCCTTTCTTTTGTGGAGCACTAGGAATACATAATGTATGTATGTATATGTATAGATACTCAAACACACAACATGTGTCTGTCCAATCATCATGTATTCCCTCTTGCTTTACCTCTTCATAAAAGAACAGTGGTTTCTTTAATAACCTTCTTTTCCTAGCAGCCAGGTACATTAGAGGAGGCTGACTTCATTCTCAGTTCCAAAGAATAATCCTCTTTCCTCCCACTTCTTGCCATTGATCCATTTAGAGATGAATATGAGTAAAGGTTTGCTGATGGCTTCTCGGGAAGTTCTCATTTGTTCTTTAGGTAGAGACATCAGGGGGACGTGAATGAGGAAGCATGTAGATAGAGTGCTACTTGCAACCATCCTATAACTTCAAAAATGTCTTTGAGGTAAAGCTGAAACTTTGACCAGTGAAGTGAAGAAGTGGTAGATATCTGAGTTCTTGATCTTTTTGAGTCTTCAAGATAACCCTGCTGATGTTTTTTTTTTCTTGGACTTTCTCCTTATATGAGCCAATAAATTTTAATATTTAGGGAAGCTTCATTTAGGTTCTCTATTGCTTGCTGCCAGATCATCCTAACTTACACATAACTACAATCTGATGTTGAAAGGAATTAGTTTTCTCTTTCTCTCTCTCTCCCTCTCTCCCCCTGCCCCGCTCTTCCCCACATCTCCTTAGCAAGTGCACAACCAGACCTAGTGTTTGCTAACAAAATAAATCTGTGAGCTGTCATTAGCCAGGTTCACTGACCACCTTGAGGAACAGTCAAAGCTCCACCTCAGATACATAGTAGAAATTGCTGTTCAAGTTCCGGTAGTTGGTAACCATCTGTTGTAATAATACTAAACTGTACTAGGATCTAACCAGTTTCACAGATACTTCAAACCAAGCAGATATCTTCTCTGTCACTTGTAAGATAAATAAAATATAGTCCTCTGTTGCTTTTGCCTTGTTTTGTTCTGCAAGTTGTCATTTCTCAAAGCATGGAGAAGACAGAGTATAAGAATGACAAGGAAAATAGTATTCAGACTAGCTCTGTAAAGCAACTGAGTGACCATCAGCTGGCTCTCTCATTAGTGCAGACCCAGGGCTCTGAGCCTAATTGCATATTGCAGGATATGAAAACCACGTCTCTGTACTTTCCTAAAAGTAGTGGAACTTCGGACGCCTGTAGTCCCAGCTACTCGGGAGGCTGAGGCAGGAGAATGGCATGAACCCGGGAGGCGGAGCTTGCAGTGAGCCGAGATCCCGCCACTGCACTCCAGCCTGGGCGACAGAGCGAGACTCCGTCTCAAAAAAAAAAAAAAAAAAAAAAAAAAAAGTAGTGGAACTTGTCAGATGACGTTAGTCACCATTTCTGTTGCTACTTTCTTGTTTCACACTGGTTTTGTTTAATTCAGCACCTTTGGTTTTATGGTTAAGCATTTTCTCCAATTCAGACAGTAAGTTATCTTTTCATTTTATCTGTTACTATTGTGTTACCTCTCATCTTTTTCTTGTCTTCATACACATTTTAATGGGATATTGACAGTAACTGTTAAATAGATGATGCTATAGAGTGGATATGTGCCCCTGCTAAACAGCAATTATTATTGTTGTTTACATGTTTCAAACTTGTTTACATTGCTTCAATATAGCTAAACTTGTGATAGATATAACTGTAACTAATTTGTATTTGGGCACTGCCAGATCTAAATTTAAGTTCTGGCACTACCACTGTCTAATTCTGTGACTTTTGGCAAGTTTCATAAGCTGTCAAAGTTTCAATTTATTCAGCTTAATTACCTCACTGTGAGGTTGTGAGAAATGAATAATACAGTAAAATACTTAGCAAAGTGAGCTGCACACCATACCTACGCAATAGCAGTAGCTATTGTTAATAATGTGCTCGCCCTCGCCCTCTCCCTCTCCCTCTCCCTCTCCCTCTCCCCACGGTCTCCCTCTCCCTCTCTTTCCACGGTCTCCCTCTGATGCCGAGCCGAAGCTGGACTGTACTGCTGCCATCTCGGCTCACTGCAACCTCCCTGCCTGATTCTCCTGCCTTAGCCTGCCGAGTGCCTGCGATTGCAGGCGCGCGCCGCCACGCCTGACTGGTTTTCTTATTTTTTTGGTGGAGACGGGGTTTCGCTGTGTTGGCCGGGCTGGTCTCCAGCTCCTAACCGCGAGTGATCCGCCAGCCTCGGCCTCCCGAGGTGCCGGGATTGCAGATGGAGTCTGGTTCACTCAGTGCTCAATGGTGCCCAGGCTGGAGTGCAGTGGTGTGATCTCGGCTCGCTACAACCTCCACCTCCCAGCCGCCTGCCTTGGCCTCCCAAAGTGCCGAGAGTGCAGCCTCTGCCCGGCCGCCACCCCGTCTGGGAAGTGAGGAGCGTCTCTGCCTGGCCGCCCATCGTCTGGGACGTGAGGAACCCCTCTGCCTGGCTTGCCCAGTCTGGAAAGTGAGGAGCGTCTCTGCCCGGCCGCCATCCCATCTAGGAAGTGAGGAGTGTCTCTGCCCGGCCGCCCATCGTCTGAGATGTGGGGAGCGCCTCTGCCCTGCCGCCCCGTCTGGGAGGTGAGGAGCGTCTCTGCCCAGCCGCCCTGTCTGAGAAGTGAGGAGACCCTCCGCCTGGCAACCGCCCCATCTGAGAAGTGAGGAGCCCCTCCGCCCGGTAGCTGCCCCGTCTGAGAAGTGAGGAGCCCCTCCACCTGGCAGCCACCCCGTCTGGGAAGTGAGGAGCGTCTCCGCCCCGCAGCCACCCCGTCTGGGAAGGAGGTGGGGGTCAGCCCCCGCCAGGCCAGCCGTCCCGTCCGGGAGGGAGGTGGGGGGGTCAGCCCCCCGCCCGGCCAGCCGCCCCGTCCGGGAGGTGAGGGGCGCCTCTGCCCGGCCGCCCCTACTGGGAAGTGAGGAGCCCCTCTGCCCGGCCACCACCCCGTCTGGGAGGTGTACCCAACAGCTCATTGAGAACGGGCCATGATGACAATGGCGGTTTTGTGGAATGGAAAGGGGAGAAAGGTGGGGAAAAGATTGAGAAATCGGATGGTTGCCTTGTCTGTGTAGAAAGAAGTAGACATGGGAGACTTTTCATTTTGTTCTGTACTAAGAAAAATTCTTCTGCCTTGGGATCTTCTTGATCTGTGACCTTACCCCCAACCCTGTGCTCTCTGAAACATGTGCTGTGTCCACTCAGGGTTAAATGGATTAAGGGTGGTGCAAGATGTGCTTTGTTAAACAGATGCTTGAAGGCAGCATGCTCGTTAAGAGTCATCACCACTCCTTAATCTCAAGTACCCAGTGACACAGACACTGCGGAGGGCCGCAGGGTCCTCTGCCTAGGAAAACCAGAGACCTTTGTTCACTTGTTTATCTGCTGACCTTCCCTCCACTATTGTCCTGTGACCCTGCCAAATCCCCCTCTGCGAGAAACACCCAAGAATGATCAATAAAAAAATAAATAAATAAAAAATAATGTGCTCAATATTCTGCATATTTTAATTAAATAGCTGTTAGAATTTATATTTACAAAATGAATGGATCTCTAACATAAATTTAACATTTCAAATATTTCTTTTATTAACTTAACTTTAAAATTAGAGGGATTTTTATTTTTTTTAACCAAATGACAAATTCCAGACATTTAGAGAAACATATTACCCTATAGTTGTATAGTGCTTTATATTTTGCCGAATAGAGCACTTTATATTTTCTAAAATATTTACATATTAATTACCTTTTCCAGTTCTCACAACAACTAAAGGTAGGTGGTGCAAAGGTGCTTACTCCCATTTCACCATGAACAAAGTTAAAACTCAGAGAAACTACATGGCTCCTGTAGGATCACATATTTAACTGGAGCCATTGCTGGGACATTTGACCTCCAAACACCTCCTCTCTCTTCCATATTTATTAAATTGGCTTGCCAATTAATATATGTAAACCTAGTAATTAAGAAGCTAAGTCAGCCTATGTTTGCTACAATATGCCACAGGTAACTTTTTAATCTTAAGATTGTACTAAGAAAGAATGAAGTGGAAAAATGGTTAAAGCAAAGACAAAATATGGAGGAAAATTTCTTGTTGCATATTTAAGATATTCTTTTTATTCTATGAAGGACATAATGAAATCTACTCAGTTAATAGGCAGCATATGGTATAATCCAAGTATGTTAGAGATTTCGGGTTTTGGCCAAATAGAAGTTTTAAAGAAATATTTTGGTGAAGTAGTTTCTGCCTTTTATCAAGAAACCTCTATCAACTAAAGTTATTTCTTCTAAAAGTCACTGCCATTTTTTAGGAACAGTTTAAATGCCAATCCAAAGCCAGCTTCTTTGAACTGACACATTTACATGGGTAGATAAAATTTGTGTCTCTGAAAGTGTTTTATTTCCTGCGATCAGAGCTTCTTAGCTTTTCCAGATCAAATATTCCTGTGAAAATTTGTTGAAATTTTAGACCAGTTCTGAGGAAGAGTGCTAACAGAATTACCTGGTATGCTCATAAAAAATGCAGCTATCTGAGCCCGATCTTGATTCACAGAATCAGAATTTCTAGTGATGTGTCCTAAGATTTTGCATTTTAATCACACCCACTCCCACTAAGGGACTCTTATGATATTATATTTTATAGAGTCAATACTATAAATTCTTCCCCCAGAAAATGCAAAACAACAAATCAAAAAATATTACATATATTTTCAAATGATTTACAGACCTGTCATGTCCATTCATGGATACATTAGATATCTGCAAATGCCAGGTTTACAACCTTTGCATTGAATAAAGACTAAAGTTGTCTTCCAATACATTAGGCTCTTTATGCAGGAGAAAAGACTGAATGCATGTTCATTTTGATTACAGCATTTCACACATTTCATCAAGATATATACTTTATAGCAGTACTGTATTATATAATACCGTACACTAGGAAGTAAACATAGAAAGAGGTATTCACACTTATAAGAGTTACCATGCAGTTGAGGAAAGTAAATCACAAATATTAAAAAAAAGAATACAATGTACTCTGTGCTGGGTTCCATATGGATAAGCTCAGATGTTCAAGGACAAACATGAGTGAGAGTTACCAATAGAAGGCATTTCAATATGGGTAAGTAACAATTGGGCAGAACTGTGAAAGAAAGTTGGGATTTTTAAAAAACTGAAGAGAAAGTAGCAGTTGAGCAGAACTCTGAAAGAAAGTTGGGATTTTGAAAAAACGAAAGAGAGAGAGAAAACTTTGAATGTGTTTTAAATTTTATTCTACTAAAATATATTTTAATACAACCATTTATGCAGTAAGCAATGGGAAATAATGCTGGGAGATGAATAAAAGCCAGATTGTGGAGGGCCTTGAATGTCGGGCCTTACCAGGTCAATAATATACTTGGCCTTTGATATTTTCATGGCTGTACAAAATTAAAGTATTAATAAATTTGCAAAAAATGACAAACAGCACTGCTAAAGAATGTAAAGCCAGTTCTTACCATGGCAGAGAGAAAGCCAACATTTCTTAGAACAGCAACATCCAACTCCATACAAGACAGGTTTTTATAATTCACTTTAACTTAAGTGTTTAATCATTCACTTTTGACAAGACAAGGGAAAAAAGGACCAAGCAAGAGCAGAGCCCTTTCTGATGATTTACTGATCAAAGCCAATTAGGATAGTTCTGGTTGAACTGGGTTGAGTTTCTCTGAAATTACTTTTCAAAGTAAAGTCAACAAGAGTGAGCATGTGCAGTGCTGTACTTTCTACTTGTTAGTCCGTAAAATAACTAAAAATCACTTACCTATATCCACTGAGCTTCAAAGTATGACTTTTGAAGTGCAAAATCAAGTGAAATGTGAAACTGAAATGCAAGGCTTTTTGCAGCTATTTTGTCTTTCGTTTGAAGATCTCAGAATACTTTCCACACAATAGACTGAATCAAATCTTCCTCTGGGCTCAGTATTTTTTTTATCTGAGCTACCATATGGTTTTGAACAAATATCAGGTCTGGAGAGTGTGTATATGTATCTCTTGCATCAGAACTTTAGAATAGTATAATCATAAAGTAGAGCAAAGAATGGATGCTGAAGAAACAATTCCATGCTATACGCTGTACACACACAATCTTAATATACAAAATAAGTTACCAACATAGTAACACCACATTTTTCTGATATTAAGGTTGACAGTGACCCACATAAAAGAGCTTTTGGCATAACACATTTTTATAATTCTTGTGGGAAAAATGTTTTTTTTAATCATTTCACATTTAAATATTTCAGAAATATATTACACATTTTCTTGCATTTCTGGTTTAAAAATGTTGCATACAATTTTGTATCTTATTGACGACAATGTTATTATTTATTGTCCTATGCTCTATAGATTTTGATTTTGTTCCTATTTTCAATATCTTCAAGGTACTATACTTTTTAATATTATTTTATGCCAGCTCATCATATTATTTTTTCGGAGGGAGCATGTTGTAGAGAACAAATGACTTATCTCAGGAGTCAGGCAGACTGAGTACCAACCACAAGTTGGCTTGGTTTCATCATCTGTGAAATGCAGGTAGCAATACATGCTTCATCATTCATTAGAATGATTAAATGGCCACATAAATAAAGCACTTACCACAGTGACTGGCACAGATCTGAGACTCAGGAAGTGTTAGTTCTTTCTCTTTTTTTTTGAGACGGAGTCGTTCTGTCGCGCAGGCTGGAGTGCAGTGGCGCAATCTCGGCTCACTGCAAGCTCCGCCTCCAGGGGTTCATGCCACACACCTGCCTCAGCCTCCTCAGTAGCTGGGATTACAGGCGCCCGCCACCATGCCCGGCTACTTTTTTTGTATTTTTTAGTAGAGACGGGGTTTCACCGTGTTAGCCAGAATGATCTCGATCTCCTGACCTCGTGATCCGCCCTCCTCGGCCTCCCAAAGTGCTGGCATTACAGGCGTGAGCCACTGCGCCCGGCCAGTAAGTGTTAGTTCTATCCACTCACATTCATTTTCTAGTTCTCAGCTGTCATTTCCTGCTGGCTGAAAAGGTACACAAAGTTATCCCTTATCCTTTTCTTTTGCTGATTCTATTCCACTGCAAGCTGAAATATTTGATAATCAAGCTTGCTTTAATTGTATCTAAAATAGTAATGAATGATGGATTAAGGCCTGAGGAAATAGTTAACAAACTTCGCCATCTCCAGTTTTAAACATAGACACTTTTAGGACACATCTTCGTTCTTGATTATGTTCTGCATAGTTGAGGTCACGTACAGGGACTGACCTCCAGAAAAGTAAAATTTAATGGTAATCAATACGGAGAAAAATTGTGGACATGATGAAATCTAACTATGTTTTTAAGCAAATAAAAATAGAGTTAGTGAATTATGGCAAGACAAGCAACATTTGATAAGCACCTATGACCTGGAACCACATGCTATGAACAATTGCCTCATTTAATCCTTATTAGTGGCCTTCTAAAGAAGTTACTGCTCTTCCCTTTTTACAGATTTTTTAAACTGTGACAAAATTATGAATTTATGAAAATGTCAACTCTTATATTCAGCATATTTTCCACTTATAAATTCTCTACTTAGAAATTATTCATGCGGCATATTCTTTACTTAAAATTATGATAGAATCTTAGGACTGGGAGAATCACTAGAGGCCATTGAAATACATAACATACCTTTTCTTAAATTTCGATGATAATATCCATGCTGAATGATGATTCTCTCTAAATCTGCACAGCTTCAATGTCAGGAAACATACTGTCTCCCAAGACAGCTGGTTCTATGCTTGATGAGCATCAACTGCTAGAAGATTCTGCACAGTGAGCATAAATAAACCATCCAAAGGCTTCTTACTGTTGGTACTAGTTTTCACAGTTAGAAACAAATAAAACATAAAATTCCATGTGTTAGACCTTTAGCTACATGAAGACCCTTCTGATATGCCCTGGTATCTGCTTTTCTCCTGGTTAAACATTCAATTTTCTCCAATAATTTCTCTAATGACATGATTTCAAGTAAAATCACTATCATATTAGCTTTCTTTATTGGAGTGTCCATATCTTATCGCTGTCTCCTAAAACAAAAATATTTCGAGTTCAAATTGGGAGTTAGAAAGGGATTTTCATTTCCTTTGCCCCAGATACTATCATCGGTCATGACAGCCCCAATGTCACATAAAATTTGGAAAGTCACATCACCATGGATCCATATTTCAAAGATAAGTTGAGGTAATACAGAATAAAGTAAACCATAGGCTGCTGTACATTATGTAAGTGTTAATAATAATTATTAGTAAATTATTATCAATTGAAACTCATAGGTCTTCACCCAATAAGTTGTATCTCTTCTATCCAGTTTTGTGGTTTCTTCACCTCAAGTGAAAAGAGTTAACTCTTTACTTCAGATTATAGAAAACTGTCTTCTTTAGTTGACATGAGATCCCTGGCTTGCCTGCTTTATATCTATTCCATTCTGTCCCAACCAATCCTATTCTATAGTTTCCCCCATTCCTCATTCATTTTTCTCCTTTCCTTTTGTACATCACTCTGATATATTAGCTATATAGACTCATTTACATGTATTCATGTAAATTATTAAGGTTTGTGTATAAGTATATATTGTGTTAAAGTTCTCATTTTCTTTCTTCCTTTTTTAACTTTTAGTTTAAGTTCAAGGGTACAAGTACAGATTTTTTTACATAGGCAAACTTCTGTCATGGGGGGCTGTTGTACAGATTATTTCATCACCCAGATGTTAAGCCTAGTACCCATTAGTTATTTTTCCTGATCCTCTCCCTCCTCCAAGCCCTCTAAAGGTACATCTCTTTGTTGTATTGGAGAAGAAAACCTTTTTCAGCCTCCCCCTAGCAGAGCACCCCTCAAGTCCTATTGACCAGGATTGGGTCACATGCCCATGACCCAGCTGTAAAGGAGTGTGTGAAAGAATATATTTGACATGTGTATTCTATACGGTGGAACACATTTCTCTCTGTAAGGAACAGGCATGGGACATGCTGGGGAATGACTACTAGAGGTAACCATAATTTCTGCCTAAGGATGGTCATTATTTTTAACAGGTTCATGTTGCCTATAAATTCAATAAGTATGCCTTATATATTTTTATTCAAGTAATATTTATCCAAGTTCACTTATGCTGTCTACAAAAAAGTTGGTGAAACTCCTTTGAATGACTAGCATGCTCCAAGCATTTATAGTTATCTCATTTGGTTCACACAAAAATAATTGTTTCATAGGCTTTATTATTTCTACTTTATAAGAAATTTCAGCTTAAATAAATTAGCTAATTTACCCAAGTTCTCATAGCCTAGTATCAAAGCTCCGATTAATATAAAAGTCAGTGTCATAGTCTGACTCCAAGTCCATGTTTATTCTACTTCATTATTTTGATTCCCTGAGGGCTATTAGAAATGCCTCTCCAAGTAGGTCCATTGATCAGAACCCTGAATATGTTCCCTCTCCTTCTTACACCACCTTCACCCTGTAGCCCCCAATAGATACATTTCCTCCTTTGGTCCTCAAGGCTGTTGTCTGCTTAGGCTTCCCCACTACTATAAGCTTGGATAAACTGTATGCTTCAAAAAGCAAGATTATATCTATTTTTCTTCACTATCATATCTCCTGCACTCACATAGTGGCAGTCAAACTAAGGCCTTGATAAATAAGTTTTAAATATGAATGAATAATAAATGAATGAATACATGCACTATTGCAATGTCTCTTGCATCACACGTTTTCTGCCTTATTACTGGTTTCCATCACAACTTATCTGACCTCAGTTACCTGGCGATTATTTTTTTTAACTTGGCATACACTGCCCATGATAAGGCACTAATGACTATTTCATGATACAGTTACTGCCCCTCTCAGGTAACATTTTCACCTTTACTGAGGCTTCTAAGAGACAAGGTCTCAACCTAAAGGAATTGCTCTGATTGTGAGAATTTTAGGGAGTATGGTAGTTCTAGGGGCTTCATGACCTCTCAGCTTATACTGCCTATGTGAAACCTCTCTAGGTCCTCAGGTTCCCCTTTAAGAAAATGTTAAAAAGAAACAAAAAAGAATCACTTTTTTTGTTTGTACTCTAAGTGTATCTCAAACACCTCACATATTCAAATTATTCTCTTGTACAAAATTAAATGCCATTGGATGTAGAAGGAGTGGAGCATAACTGGTCTTTCATAGAGGCTGGAATTTCTCTGAGAGCACCACACAAGTAACTCTTGCCACAGTCTCAATTAATAAAAGCCTTTACTCTTTTTTCTTAATTTTTCTTTCCTTTCTATCCCTTGCATAGATACTTAATAGATTTGAAGTTGCCATTAATTTCTTAACCACTATTCAAAAGGAAAACAAACAAAAGAAAACAAAAACAAAAACAGCATTTCCTTTGTTGTAAAGCAAAATAAAATCAGGCCCTAATTTTCCACAACAGAAGTTGTCCAAAATACTTATCTGTGTTTAGATTTCCCAAAATTCATTTCTTCATAATAATACTGTCAGCGTTCAGTGTTGTGATCATAACATTCACTAGTGTGACTTAAAAAGGGGAGGCACCATGTGTTAAGCAGGGATAGGATCTAAGAATAACAAATCTGCCTGGTAAGCAGCACAAATGAGTCTTACACTAAGCCACACTGATCCAGCTTGGAGGGAAATGAGTCAAAACCAAGTCCCCATACTCTCTACCTGCGAGAAAGAGGTGACATTGAAGAACAAGCCCACACTTCTGGATATGGTCCAAAATGATCAGAAACTCACTCTGTCAACCTAGTAGGTGTTTGGATGGATACCTCTTTTTTAACAGAAAGATGTTTGGAGCCAGGACACATGGTTTTCACATTTTAATGGCAATGCTCATAGGTAACTAACTCTCTTCTTATATACGCTAATTTGCAACATGCTTAGTGTTTTTAAGATGTTTATTTAGCAACTATTGTTTAATGCTATAACAGATATTACTATCAAATGAAAATTCAAACTTTTGAGAAAGGAAAAGTGGATATATTTATGCATTGAGTTTTTGGCTTTAGATAATTTCTACTTTGATTTCTATTTATTAAAATTTTTAAAATCCTAAGTCAATCAAAACAGATCAAGATGAAACTTCCTCATTTGTATATGTCTTTGTATATATGTCTAGTATATATATATCTAGGGTAAATTATATAACTTCATATTAGATATTTCATTAACCATGGCTTCAGCAAAGTGAGAATTATGACAAAAATCATCTTCATATCCAATGATATTAATTCTAAATATAAAGTCTACGTTCCTTTTATCCATTAATATGATTTATTCTCAAGGAAATATGAGATATACCAAGTGGTAGAAATTTTTGCTATCATGATTATTTTTGAAATACAGTATTATTATGGAATCAGATACTGAACTAAAAAAATTTTAGGAAAGTAAAATGAGGTGACAGTTTTTAATTAATTAAATTAATTGACTTTAAGCAAATAACAATAAGCTTCAAGTAATCCATCCCATACTATAAATAATTGCACATAAATAAGCAATTTGTATTCAACTAAAATACCCAATTAAGAAGACTGAATGGCCCCAATGGTCCCATAAATATGTCCTAATCCTTTTATCTTGATTGACAACAGATCTTGTTCTTTGCCCAGCTCCTCCAATAACCAATAGGAGACATTTTTATCTTTTTTCCCACTTTTAGTTTTCTGGGTTCATCAAATAAATATGTTGGACTTTATTTTACATTGGACATGTCAATAGAATTGATTTTAAGTGAAGTAAAAGCATAAATCGCTGTTTATCATTCTACTTTTCATACCTAATTCTGTTTGCTGTTCTTCGGACTATTGATCTTAATACAGGCTTTCTCTCCTTTTTTTGTTCTTTTTAAAGTGATGGTAAAATTTAAAACTTGCTTTTCTGTTTATATTTAAAGAAACACATAATCAAATTATTGACATTTTATGAAAGATCAAATGCATAAATTTTAGCAATCATAAGAAAAAAAACAGTAGGCAATGGTATAGAAAGCATGACCATCTGCACTTATTTGCCCACAAAGGATAAATGAGAGTGTACTGTAAATTGTAAAGAAATAAACATCTTATTTCAAGCTCTAATAAGCTTATGTGTCAATAGTTTTAATAGCTGCCTAGTTGGTCTTCCTGTCTCTACTTTCTTCCCACTTCATTCTGTTACATATCCCTGTGAAGGTGATCTTTATGAGAAACCATGTTGGTTTTCTGTCCAACAATTACGTATGACTCCCCACTGCCAGAAAATAAATAAATACAGCTAAAAACCTCGTAAGTTCCCAGACCTTCTCCACTCTGGCTACATTTAACCTTTGTGTGTTTATTTTTCTAGGTAAATTGTACATGCCAACCAGATTGCCAAACTCATTGTCACCTCTAAATGTTAAGCTTTCCCATCGATGAGTGTTTTGTTTATTCACTTATTTACACACACAAAGACCTCTTTTTCTTTTTTCTTTTTTTTTTCTTTTTCTTTTTTCTTTTCTTTTTTTTTTTTTTTTTTTGAGACAGAGTCTCACTCTGTCGCCCAGGCTGGAGTGCAGTGGTTTGATCTCGGCTCACTGCGAGCTCCGCCTCCCGGGTTGACGCCATTCTCCTGCCTCAGCCTCCTGAGTAGCTGGGACTACAGGCGCCCACCACCACACCTGGCTAATTTTTTGTATTTTTAATAGAGATGGGGTTTCACCGTGTTAGCCAGGATGGTCTCGATCTCCTGATCTCGTGATCCGCCCACCTCGGCTTCCCAAGGTTCTGGCATTACAAGCATGAGCCACTGCGTCCGCCCACAAGGACCTCTTTATCAACTTGACCTATATTTGAAAACCTATATTAAATTCTATTTCTATAAGACCTTCCCAGCCAGGCCTGAAGAGATACCCTTCTCCAGAGGCTCTGCAGCAGCTACTGCCCAAACTATTCACTTAGAATCTATTGTGTACTGTCTAGTGAAATCTCTTCAGTATTGTCTTGACTTGCACTATCATTTAGTTTTTCACAAATTTGTCTTACTTTTCCTTTATTAAATTCATTGAGGACAGGGACTAGTTCGAACTTCATGTTATCTGCAATATTTTATACATGATATGTAATCAATATTTATTGATTTGACTTAAATTTAATATGAAGATTTCATATCTAAAGATGTTTCATTATCTATCATTCAAAGTATTTTTCCTAAAACTTTCCTAAATATGCTCTAATGTTGCCTGAGTTTTATTCTCATATATTATCGACATCTGCTGGGAACATACTATGTACAATGCATTTTCATAAATATATATTTTGTCCTTCCATTATATTGTAAATACATTCAGGCTAGGTCTACGTCTTCTAGTTTGTAGTCTGAGAGTACTCTGAGAGTACATCATAGAGTAGCTATTCTATAAATTGAGAAAATGGTCAATTGAAATTTCATCTAAGGGGTCAAGATATGGTTGCTGTCAGGTACCAAAGTGAATTATGAAAGAAATAAAAACACAAGATGTTAAAGTAAATACAGATAACAGACTTTAGGTTTTTGAAAGGTTTATACTTTTTTATTTTTTATTTTATTTTATTTATTTATTATTTTGAGACAGAGTCTCGCTCTGTTGCCCCGGCTGGAGTGCAGTGGCACAATCTCAGCTCACTGCAACCTCCGCCTCCCAGATTCAAGCTATTCTCCCACCTCAGCCTCTTGAGTAGCTGGGATTACAGGCACACGCCACCACGCCTGGCTAATTTTTGTATCTTTAGTAGAGACAGGGTTTCACCATATTGGTCAAGCTGGTCTCAAACTCCTGACCTCATGATCCACCCGCCTGGGCCTCCAAAGTGCTGGGATTACAGGTGTGAGCCACCGTGCCTGGCCAAAAGGTTTATACTTATGTCAGGGATGTGTGAAAATTCTTCAGAGGCAATTTGAAGGAGTGGGTCTATAAGGAGATTTCGTTGGAGAGGCTTGCTGCTGTGTTGTGAGTTGAACCTTACTCATCAAATTGAGGGCTGGATGCCACATTCTAAACCAGAGTGACCATAGCTTCCAGGAGTGCTCCAGTGTCATCTAAAGTTGGTGGAAGGGAAGGAACAGGAAACTTAGACTAGATTCTCCACCTGCCTGAGGAATCCAAAGATGAAAAAGCGTGATGACTCTTAACCCGAGGTGTCAGGAAAGAGAGAGAAAGAATTGCTGCTGTGCTGTGTTGGAAAGTAAATGTGCTCCCCTCCTACTGCAGGTTAAGGGTACGTGAATCCTGTGGTCTAGATGGGGAACCCATGGTAGGAGCATTAGTAGGCAGTTTGTGTAAAAATAGTTCTTCCCAATAGGCCTCTGTTGGAAGGTCAAAGAATCCCACTAAAAGAGTTGATAAAGAAGGAAGAAGGAGTAAACGTCAGTAAACCAATAGCAAAGGGGTTGAGGAAGGAGCAAATATGAGCCGCCAGTAAAAAGAGAGGCAACGTCTGCCTGCCTTCACAGTTCTCTAGAGTGAGTCTCAGCTGCAGGAATAGAGTGGGCTCCAAGGAAGTCATAAGTGTCCCTTATAACAAATACCAACTTTAAACACCTCCCAGTCTCAGAAACCATGGAGCCATATTGTATCAGTCAAGTGAATAATTTCTGTGCCCCCTTCCCCCTTTTTTTGCCACCAAGTTCAGTCTTCTAGGGGACAAAACACATAAATCTGAAGATGGAGACAATGGAAGGATAGAAAGAGGGAAGAAGGCTTCCAAATCTTCCTTCAAGACAGCCTGAAGTTAGCCTAGCAGACAAAGACGATTTTATTCTAAATTGCATTGAAATTTTTGATCATTATATGTGACTGACCATTCTTATTGCTTTGTTTTTTTTTTTAAGAGATCGTGACACTACTATCTAATAGTGAGCCGAAAAGTCCTGGGGTCTGCTGAAGACTTATCTAGAGGCAATGAAACCCTTCCCCAGTTAAATATGTTTCAAGATAGGGTAGGAGAAAAAATCGTGTTTTGCTTTTGTTATGCCATATCAGTTGTTCAATAGTTTTACCCTCAATCAAATACTTGTTATTAATTTTTTTGTTCTTAAAATCCTTTGAAAATCAAGTTTAAGTAAAATATCTTCTAATACAAAAGTTTCAACTTTTCATATTCAGTTATATTAAACTTGTATTGGAACACCCCTTTAGAATATACTGTAGTTTACCTGTAATTCCTGTGTCAGTTTTCTGTGCTTCCCAGGATAATTGTATAACAAATAGATTACTTCCATTCAGTTCTATTCTTTCTATCCATCAAACATTTAATCATTCATACCCTTAGCACTGTACAGGTGCTGTGGGCGTCTCTAAGAAAGATTATAATATGTCCACGGTTTTCACAGAGCTTGAAATATTTTTGAATTGACAAAGCTTGTATGAAAGTAATCCCAGTACAGTAAAATATAAGTACAGTAGAGTCCAATCAAGTGCCTAGACGTGTAGATCATAAATGGCAGTACATCGTCAGATTAACATTTCATACGTTTGTCTAAAAGTTTACACAAAAAGATCACTTTGGTTTTGGATCAGATTAAATGCATTATATAAATATTTAATCACTTTAGGAAGGTCATGATGAATTCATTCATTCCAAAATTAATTACTAAATGGTGAATACAAGCCAGGTACTATGCTATGTTTTAGACATATATTGGTGAATAAAACAGGCATTTTCCTTCCTTCATGGAAAGCACAACTTGATGAGATTCTAGACTAATATGCTGTCCAAGTAAATTTCTCATATAAAATTACGCAATTTACAGGACACTACACATGCCCACACTTTCTAAATAGTCTCTCTCAATGACTACAGTACTATTTGAATTTTGTCATTAGAGGGTAATTCTTTCCTACTACTTTTTAGTATTGGCCAAAACTTATTGAGAACTTGTTATATACCAAACAATGTTATGAATATTTACATGTCTTAACTGGTTTAATCTTTAAAAGAGCCTCGTGATGTAAATACTATTATTAATCCCATTCATAGATGAGGAAACAAATATAGAAAGTATATGTGACCTGCTCACAATCAAGCAGCATAGCTGGGGTTCTGATCCAACATTATCAATATAGGAATCTTTGGTTTAAATTTTTAAAAACACACATTTGGGCATAGAGTTAAATGGAAAAATAAGACATGCATATTAATAACAAACAATAAATGAGAATACACTAAATTATTAATTAAAAAACTGTGTGTCAGATTGGATTCTTTTTTTTTTTTTTTTGAGACAAGAGTCTCGCTTTGTTGCCCAGGCTGGAGAGCAGTGGCATGATCTTGGCTCACTGCAATCTTCACCTCCTGAGTTCAAGAGATTGTCCTGCCTCAGCCTTCAGAGTAGCTGGGATTACAGGCATGCGCCACCATGCTTGGCCAGTTTTTGTATTTTTAGTAAAGATAGGATTTCACCATGTTGGCCAGGCTGATCTGAAACTCCTGGCCTTAAGCAATCCACCCAGCTAGGCCCCCTAAAGTGCTGGGATTACAGTTGTGAGCTACCGAGCATGGCCAGGTTGGATTTTTAAAACCTAGTTAATTTAGGCCAGGTGTGGTGGCTCACACCTGTAATCCCAGCACTTTGGGAGGCCGAGGCGGGTGGATCACGAGGTCAGGAGATCGAGACCATCCTGGCTAATATGGTGAAACCCCATCTCTACAAAAAAAAAAAAAAAATTAACCAGGCGTGGTGGCGGGCGCCTGTAGTCCAAGCTACTCGGGAGGCTGAGGCAGGAGAATGGTGTAAACCCGGGAGGCAGAGCTTGCAGTGAGCCAAGATTGAGATTGCACCACTGCCCTCCAGCCTGGGCGACAGAGCGAGACACGATCTCAAAAACGAAAAAAAAAAAACAAACAAAAAAAACTAGTTAATGTAGGGTCTGATGTTAGAAGTGCTTTGGAACTTAGACTTCACTCTTTCTACACCTCAATTTACTCTGTGAAAGAGAACTAAGAATATCTGCTTTGAAAACCTCAGAAAATTGTAGTGAGCACAAATATAATAATTTGAATGAAGATGTTGGGGAAACCATAAAGTCCTACGCATATGTCTGTTCTTATTGTTACTCTTTGTTCATTTGAATCTCCCTGGAAAAGCAACAGCCACGCTTATTAAAAGGTGTTATACGTATTCATATTACTTTTTTTAAATGAATTCTAATAATTCCCTAATTAGATATATTTTTTGACTTGGAATCAGAAAAAAAAAGTAGAAAGTGAAGTTAAAATAATAAACAGGAAAGGAGCTTGTTATGGTATAGACATCATGTTTTACACTGGCATTGCAGGGAAGGAGGAAATGGGGCCTTCCATTCACCTTAGAAGTCCTTCATGGTGAGAGTTGTTTGGACTATTTATATTTCTGGCAAACTTTTAGGAATTATGGGGAAGTATAAACAAGATATAAGGCAAAATCACTGTTTCCAAGTAGAATAGAGTGAAATCTGCAGCCAGGGACAGAATATACAATGTCTGAGAAAAAAGTCTCGAAATAAATAAATTGTATCTTACATCAGTGCCAAGAGCGATCTTTTTTCTTGTTTTTGTTTGTATGATATTCAGTGCTGCATGTATATCTGACAGTGATAGTTGGAATCAATCACAGTATTTGGCAAATTATTCCTAGAGGAAGAATACAAAGCCTGCCATGACTGCATCTTTTTTCTTCATGACACAGGTGGAATATAGAATTGATTTTACTTTTCCTTATTAAGTGTTTACATTTTACTCCATTACAGTCCTAAACCTGAGCTATTCATGCACTTCTGCAAGATTATACAAGTAAATTACGTGAAACTTCTATTTTTGATGTGAATATATATAATTTTAGCCCTTTTTTATTATTTAACAGGAATCCACTGCGAAGAAGACGTCAATGAATGTTCTTCAAACCCTTGCCAAAATGGTGGTACTTGTGAGAACTTGCCTGGGAATTATACTTGCCATTGCCCATTTGATAACCTTTCTAGAACTTTTTATGGAGGAAGGGACTGTTCTGATATTCTCCTGGGCTGTACCCATCAGCAATGTCTAAATAATGGAACATGCATCCCTCACTTCCAAGATGGCCAGCATGGATTCAGCTGCCTATGTCCATCTGGCTACACCGGGTCCCTGTGTGAAATCGCAACCACACTTTCATTTGAGGGCGATGGCTTCCTGTGGGTCAAAAGTGGCTCAGTGACAACCAAGGGCTCAGTTTGTAACATAGCCCTCAGGTTTCAGACTGTTCAGCCAATGGCTCTTCTACTTTTCCGAAGCAACAGGGATGTGTTTGTGAAGCTGGAGCTGCTAAGTGGCTACATTCACTTATCAATTCAGGTCAATAATCAGTCAAAGGTGCTTCTGTTCATTTCCCACAACACCAGCGATGGAGAGTGGCATTTCGTGGAGGTAATATTTGCAGAGGCTGTGACCCTTACCTTAATCGACGACTCCTGTAAGGAGAAATGCATCGCGAAAGCTCCTACTCCACTTGAAAGTGATCAATCAATATGTGCTTTTCAGAACTCCTTTTTGGGTGGTTTACCAGTGGGAATGACCAGCAATGGTGTTGCTCTGCTTAACTTCTATAATATGCCATCCACACCTTCGTTTGTAGGCTGTCTCCAAGACATTAAAATTGATTGGAATCACATTACCCTGGAGAACATCTCGTCTGGCTCATCATTAAATGTCAAGGCAGGCTGTGTGAGAAAGGATTGGTGTGAAAGCCAACCTTGTCAAAGCAGAGGACGCTGCATCAACTTGTGGCTGAGTTACCAGTGTGACTGCCACAGGCCCTATGAAGGCCCCAACTGTCTGAGAGGTGAGAGAAAGCTGAGTGCTATGGCTAGGAGTGCCATGCCTCAGAGCAGAGCAGAAACAGCAAAAACAGCCAGACTGCTTCTGCCTGCTATGAAACATAATGACCCCACAAGACTTCTGCTGCTGGTTGCCCACTGATGAGAAAGAAAAGAAGAGGGCAGTGATGTGCGTTAATTAATTTTGAGTGGATTCATAGGACATCAGTTTCACTCATACAGAGAAGTAAAAAAAATAAGCAGATAGCTCTTTTCCAAAGAGGTTTTCATCTTTGTGTTTGCAAAATGCTACTGCAATTTTACCATTGGTCACATATCAGAAATTTATTGTAAATCTTATTTGAAAGAGAAATAATCTTTTGAAAAAAAAAAACCTTAGACATAAAATTTGTCAGTGCCACATACTAGCATGATATCTTGTGCATAGTAAATTCTCGGTAAATATTCATTTCCTTGCTCTCCTTTCCATGCAATTCACACTTGCTCCACAATCATAATTAAGCATAGCGTTTTTATAAAACGCCAATTTTATTCAAAGGTATCTTTTCCAAGGTTGCCCTGGAGAAGACAGATAATATACTAGGTGTCTTAAGAAAAAAAAAAAAGAAAAAAAAATGTGGAAAGTAACAATAGTAGAACTTGGTAGATGCCATAAACTAATTGATCTAATTTCTCTAGTAAACCACAGTTTGCAAAGTATTTCAAAATCCTTAACTTCCAACATTGTTCTAGAGATTGCTGTTGATAGTGATCAATATATACCTGTTTCTTTTTATTATTATTATCATACATTGAAAAAGTCTGAGAGGTAATTGTAACGGACTGCTTTGAAGTTCAGCTGTAATTTACCCCAAGATTTTAGAGTAACTTGAAGTAGGACAACATCTGGTAAGTAGTCTTCTCTGCTTTATATGAAGTAAAATTAAAACCAGTCTTAGCCTATACTCTATTCCATGTTCAAATGTCTAAGAATTATTAGAAACTACTCAAGGGTTTCCCCCGACCACAATATTCATTACAAATCACGGACCTGTTTGACAATGAAGTATGGTATCTACTAGCTCTACGTAATATTTTAAGTAGAATGGCAAGTTGTTTTGTGATTTTTTTTAAGGAGAAAAAGGGAAATTATGCTGAGGCAATGTTCACTTTTTGAAGAAAAATTTAATTGACCTAAGGCAATATTTTTACTACATATACAAAATAACAAACAGATGCTGACTCATTTTGACTGGCTTCCAGATGCAGTGACCCATGAGGTTAATACTGACCATGGTGATGTTAACTGTCCTAGTAAATAGATTCAAGAGATGCCAATCCACTGGGTTCTGGTTTTCTTTATTTTATCCAACTTGGAAAACCATGAACTTTTCAAACCAAGTTCCTGAATTGGTTACCCTTCCCCCACTTCTCCCAGTTTCCTTATACTCCAACATTATTTGAAACTGCTTAACCCTCAAGAAAATATTTGACTTCAAAAGATCACTTTACAGACAGAGAGAGTTCTGTGAAATCTTTTCTTTCTGAAAATTCTTGGTATAAATTTAAGGAAAATTATATTTTTCATATCACCTCTTCATTATAAAATTAAAATATTCTGTATTTTCTGTTATCTTGAAGGAATGTTTCCTGGAGAGTTTATTCCCACTAAAAACTGCTTTTAAGTGGTAATGAGAACATGGAGTCTTTCTGCTACTGTACATATACGTGCAAGAGGGAGGAGACATACTAAAAAGCACAAAGGCAAACTTCAGCCCATTCATGACTTGCACTCATATTTGGCTCAATGTTTTCCAACCATGGTATACATTTTAATGAACAAGGAGACTGGATAGAGGATTTTGGTGGCTGACTAAACACAAAAGACATAGTGATTTCCAATGTATCAAGGTTGATCTTTTTTAAATAATCTAATTTCTCAACAGAAAGAGTGCTGAAAAGGATTTAACTAAGCTTAGGTCACAGAAGTGTCCATAAGGTTCTCTCAGCATATCTTGTGTTGACTGTTTGTAAGAACATGCAGCATTCAAGATACTACTACTCAGAATAAATGGCATCACCTACCTCTTGCTCTCTGGTGAACATTTGACTTACAAAAGCAATTTACATATCTCTTCTTTTCAGCCATATACCTAGATTTTGAGAATTTTATTCTCTTAGAATTATAGTTTCCTAGATATAGAAAAAGATTCATTCTATGACTGAATTTTTAACACAATTGTACCTGCCAAATGTAGTGGCTCAAATCTCTGCTCAAACACCTTCACAAATAGAGAGATCACTCACTCCATCTTGCCAAAAATTGCCCAAAAGTTATTTCCTTATATTGAAATAGAATAGGATTTGCCCGTAGCTTTCCTTCATTGACCTTGTTGCATTTCTGGAACACATGCAAATAAAAATCTCAACTTGCCTGCTGCTTGAGAATACTTAATATCTGAAGAAAAGTATCTCGAGCCATCTAAACCATCACTTCTATTCAGGCTAAACATCCTGTTTCTTCTAATGTTTGCCATATGACATAGTTTTCCGACACTTCATCAGCTGCTTGCAGGTTTTGGAATATATTTGCTTCTTTGTATTCCTTCTAAGATGTGATGTCTGTATGTGCTGGATGATACAGTGACACACAGGGCCATAACCTCCCTTATTCTAGATAATGTGCTTCTGTTTTTCAGCTTAATACAACATTGACTTTTTGGCAGCCACACTTCGTGATTGCGTCACTTTGTATCATTGTCACTCATGATGCCACATAGTCCTGTTTCTCCCACTCTAATCTTATAAACGCACATTTAGATCGAAGTGGCTCTTATTTATTCTTGTTAAATTTCATCTTGTTGTATTCCATCAATCATTAAAGCTTGCCAAAATTGTTTTTTATCTGTATGTGTTGTTCCTCTTCATGACATGTCAACCACTTGTATGAGTATCACCCTTCCAAATCCACAGCCAAGTCATATGTCTTCAGGTGTTTCTAAAGTCATGTAGCAAATCACACATGCTGATTAGTTGCTTGTGATTTCTGAGAAATAGGATTGCTGAAGAATCAGGCTTCTGAGAAAAAAAAATACTCTGCATTTTGGCTTTTAATCCAGATCCACAAAGTGATGCTGAAGGCATCCTGGGATGACCAGCAGGCACCCCGCTACCCCTGAGGTTGAGTGATTCTGGGCATATCTTCAAACCTCAGGGGCTTCAAGGGCCAAATTTTCTTATTAAGCATTTTATCTCATATGAAAGTGCTGCAGTGTATTCAGAGATGTTAACCTCTTCAAAGGGGTTATTTTATCTAACAGTACACTTTTGAAAGCTACCGGTAGTTGCCTGGAGCAGGTGGTCTCCAAATGCAGATTCAAAATGCAATGTTCCTGTATTAAATCAAGTCAGAGTTCTGAAAATATAGCCTTTTATGCAGAAGATCTTCAAACACAGTTGATTGTCTAAGCAAGTTTTACTATAGTTAAGCTAAACTAAAATGTGTCTTACCTTTGCCCAAACTTCAGCTGGGCCATATGATGACATTTAGACATGCTGAAATATGCTCTTTTTTTCTGGTTAGTACTGGGATATAAAATCTTGAAGACAGCAATATCTTGAAGACAGTGATCTTGTCAAGTTATCAATGCTTTCTAGACTGCAAAATCAATGGTCAATTCTGTCCCCATCTTACTTGATTTCTCAATACCAGTTAACACAATTAAACACTCCCTCCTCCTGAAAAACTATTTTCTCACTAGGCTTATGGGACACCACACTCCCTTGGTTCTCCTCTTATCTTACTGGCTACTCTTGCATCATTTCCTTTACCTCTACTTGTCTAATGCCCAAGGACTTACTTCTTGGACCTCTCATTTTCTCTATATATACTCATTCTCTTGGTGATCTCATCCAGTCTTGTGGCTCTAAATATCTAATATGGTTTGGATGTATGCCCCCTCCAAATCTCATGTTGAAATGTGATTCCCAATGTTGAAGGTGGGGCCGATGGAAGGTGGTATATACTAACAAATCCCACATTATCAGAACATCCTGCCTGAACCTCTATATCAACTGCCCACTAGTCACTTCTGCTTGGATATCCAAAAAGGCATCTCAAATTTAATATGGACTCCCACCTCACCCAAAAATCTTTTCCTCCAGTTTTCTTCCGTATCTCTGCAAATAGAAAGTCCATGCTTCCAGTTGCTTAGGCCCAAAGCCTTAGAGATGAACTTGCTCCAGAAAATTCTGTTGTATCTACCTTCAAAATATTTTGAAAATCTGACCACTTTTGACCACTTTCACATTACCACTGATCCAAGCCATTATCATTTCTCTCTTGAGTTGCTACAATAATGTAGTATAACTTTGGGCTTTTGCTCAGATATCACTTTCTCAGAGTTCCTCCCTGATTGTTCTATTTAAAATTACAATTCCACCCCTCCAAATCGCCCTATTCCCTTTCTCTACCTGACATTTTATACTAAAGGATTTCTCACCATCTGACATATTATATAGTTTGCTTCCTTGTCTGTGTCTGGTGTCTTTCCTCCAACTAGAATGTAAGCTTGATGAGGATGGGAAGTTTTCTTCCTACTATGTCACCCATATTTTACAATGTCAGTTTTTATTTTTATACATCTCAAGAGTTTTCTTGAGGTGATGCACATCAATAGCATTGCCACAGATGAGCATCACTAACTCCTCTGACCACAGGAAATGCAGGGTGGGTTTAATACTCAGCTTTGCCCCAAGTTCTCTGTTTCCTGTGCCTTTCCTACTCCCAACCAGGACCACAGAAGGAAGGGTCCTTCTTTTTCCTTGTTCAACTGCCTTGCTTCTTATGTGAGATGTCATCCCAAGAGAAGATTTAATCATCTAATTCTTGATTTCTGTTGTCCCAATTTATGTTATTTACAGACTAAAAACCTGAAGTTTAGAAAGGTTATGTAACTAGCCTAAATCACATGTTAATAGCAGACCTGGGACAAATACATTCCAGGCTCTAAAAAATTTCTTTACAAAGAATAATTAGGTTTAATGACATGTTTGCTTCAGCATGCCTCTAAGTAGCAAAGATTATGACTCCCTGCACAGTCCACTTGCAGAGGGTTGCATGAAGTGCCCTTGTCCAAAAATTTCTTCCACCAGGTTGGAGTATAGTAGTGTCTGATATACCACCATTAAGGCCCATATTTTAGGGCAGCAAAGGGGAGATTCTTTAGTTTATCAGTGCAGAGATCTTTTTGGTCTGTTTTGTGATCAATATGCCTGAAGTGTAAACTACAAACCAAAATATAGTTATTTTAGGGTTAAAGTAAACTCAGAAGTCCAGAAAGAGGCCAAATCATTATTCTATTTAATAAACCTGTCCTGAACTTTAAAAGCTATGTATGAGTGTGTATGCTTGTGTGCATGTGTGTGTGTGAAATGTATAATTTTCGTCTTCCATCCCTTCTGTCTTTTGAGCCTTAAGATGTTTCTTTTTTTTTCTCCTCCTCCTCTATTTTGACATTGAAGAGTATGTGGCAGGCAGATTTGGCCAGGATGACTCCACTGGTTATGTCATCTTTACTCTTGATGAGAGCTATGGAGACACCATCAGCCTCTCCATGTTTGTCCGAACGCTTCAACCATCAGGCTTACTTCTAGCTTTGGAAAACAGCACTTATCAATATATCCGTGTCTGGCTAGAGCGCGGCAGACTAGCAATGCTGACTCCAAACTCTCCCAAATTAGTAGTAAAATTTGTTCTTAATGATGGAAATGTCCACTTGATATCTTTGAAAATCAAGCCATATAAAATTGAACTGTATCAGTCTTCACAAAACCTAGGATTTATTTCTGCTTCTACGTGGAAAATCGAAAAGGGAGATGTCATCTACATTGGTGGCCTACCTGACAAGCAAGAGACTGAACTTAATGGTGGATTCTTCAAAGGCTGTATCCAAGATGTAAGACTAAACAACCAAAATCTGGAATTCTTTCCAAATCCAACAAACAATGCATCTCTCAATCCAGTTCTTGTCAATGTAACCCAAGGCTGTGCTGGAGACAACAGCTGCAAGGTAATGATTACTCATACAAACTAGGTATATACTGTATGCTAAACTTTTACTTTATTAAAAAGATAACTTATTAAAACCATTCTTTGTATATAAAGATGATGTTACTGACCCACCAGTATAGAATAATATTTCATCTATATTGTTCCAACAAGACTGTGAAATTTACATTGAGCCATAGAAATGAGGCCTTGATCTTACTGGTATCAGGATCTATTTAACTAACCAAAGTAACTTCGGCTATAGGCTTCTCTCACCCTCACAGCAATCAAATTACTTAGGTATAATAATATTTCAATTCCTAAACTCCTAATGGCACACCAGAGGTTTAACTGAATTAACTCTTTTTGGATGATATTGTTAACTTTATTTTAAATGCCCAACTACTATTGTTTTGAACTTTTATTAAGTCAGAAACAACAAGAGAAATCTGAGAGGTAATTTCCTTCTGGTAGTTGAAATCTTCCGAAATATAATTTCTCAAAGCCCAAGCTTTACTTTAAATATTCTATGTGCTCTTCTAAGAGCTGCTTAAATACAAGAACTTGTCAGCTCTGCATGACCTTTCAAAGGAAAAAAAGGAAACGCATTTCTGTGTGTTGAGCGTTTGTTGAGCTCCAACTATGGCCCTACACTAAGCTTGGTTCTAAATATACACAAATGAATTATTGTAACATAGTTATGGAACATTTTCAATGTACTAGGCACTATTTTACATGGATTAATCCACTTAGTTCTATTGAAGGACTACTGTGGAAAGCAAGCATTATTGTTGTCCCAATTTACATTATTTACAGATGAAGTAACTGAAGTTTAGAAAGGTTATGTAACTAGCCTAAATCATATGTTAATAGTAGACCCAGGACAAACACAGTTCATGCTCTAATAAATTTCTTTTTAAATACTTTCATTTTGAATACTTTTTGTGAGCAACCTTGTGAGAACTCAAATAATAATACTATGTCTCTGATTCAGAGGCAGACCAATGTGGGAAGGGCACTCACTGAGTTGGGATCCAGAGGACCTAAGTACCAAGTTTCACTGTTTCGCTTCTGTGTAGGATCTTGGGCAACTGGAAACACCTTCTTTTTATCATCTATAAAACCAGGAGTAAGAATCCCTTCCTCAAATGATAATTAGTGCATGTGAAAAAGTGCCTGGTAATTTGTAAATTACAGAGGACACTGCTATACTTGAAAAACCCTCCTTGTGCTATGGATCAATTTTATATCTTTTCTCTCTCTCTGCCACCACTCTGCCCTTTTAGAAAGGAGTTGGTAATGGCAGTAGTCATTTTTATTCTATTTAGTTAACAATGGATCTTAAAAGTTTAAAATGTAAAGATGCAGGGAAATTAGCATTTTAAAAAAACAGATATGTGGTTTCACCGTCAACATTTTTCTATTTAGTTGCCAGTGCTTTTTATACCTTTGATTTCTTTTCTGCTCAGTCCAACCCCTGTCACAATGGAGGTGTTTGCCATTCCCGGTGGGATGACTTCTCCTGTTCCTGTCCTGCCCTCACAAGTGGGAAAGCCTGTGAGGAGGTTCAGTGGTGTGGATTCAGCCCGTGTCCTCACGGAGCCCAGTGCCAGCCGGTGCTTCAAGGATTTGAATGTAGGTAGAGTTCAAACCTACCATCTCACCAGTTAAGTTGCGACATTTGAGTTGTTCCAAGAGCAAACACAGAAAAAGAGTATAGACAAAGCCAGTTTATTAAATTAATCTATGGTTGTTTCCCCTATGCGAGTAGGCTAATACTGACTGGCCTCTTGCCTCATCCTGCCCTTGGTGGCTGTCTGGATAGGAAATGGAGGTCACAGCAACACTAAACCTAGATGCTTAATCATTTAAAACTGATTTCCTGAAAAAGAATTAACAAGGCAATATTTGAATTTCCTTCCCTCATTACTGGGAACACAGAATAAATATGTGCATGTTACGCATTGCCATTTATTAACTATGAGGCCTCAGGCAATTCATGTGATCTCCATCATCTAAAGCTTCCTCACCTGTAAAATAGGGAGAACACTTTCTACTTCTTCGGTTTCTTTGTGATGATTCTATGACCTTATCTGTAAATAATCAAACATGTTAGGCACTCAATTAATGATATCTATGAGAATTTCCCTCACTGTGAAAAGTTTTCCTGTCCATCTTCTGTACTACAAAAAACAATTTTCCAAATGTTAGCAATTTGAATACTATACAGTATTCACAATTTTGACATATCCACCCACTAACTATACTGTTATTTATATTCTGTCTTCTCACCTACTTCAAATAATTCACAGTCCAGTTAATAGCCAACCCTCTAAGTTTGCACTGAATTCTAATTTCTTCCCCTTATTCAAAGATTGTGCTCCTAAAACTTTTCTCTCACACACCAGTATCAATTTTTCCATCATTACAAAAAATTTCTTTTGACACTTCCTCACTCCTATTCCTACCAGTTACCATCCCATTTCTCTGCCTTAAAGAATAGGGAGTAAAAAACCCTTTAATGTGTTGTCCGCAATATGCTTCTGATATTCTCACTCCATTCTCTCTTTTGCTCCATACAGTCAGGCCCACACACCACCACCTCCCTCCTGAACTCTCTTAACCCAGAGATTCACAGGTCACCTTTGTCACTTCATTCAGGTTTCTACACAAACATCCTCCAACTTGGCTTTATTTTTATTTTTATCTCTTATTGTTCCTTGATATTTTGTTACATATGCATTGATATATTTGTCTATCATCTCTTTCATCATGAGAATATAAGCTTCACAAGGCAAGAAACTTTTCTATGTGGTTTCTTGCTCATAAATATTTGTAAAATAAATAAATTGATATTATTTTCTTCAAATTTACTTAATATTTTCACTTAACTGCTGTGGACATTAAGTACATTATCAGCTTACTATAAAAAAAATACATGCTGGATGCAGTGACTGACACCTATAATCCCAGCACTTTAGGAGGCAGAAGTGGGAGGACTGCTTGAGCCCAAGAATTTGAGTCTGCAGTAAGCTAGGATCACACCACTGCACTATAGCCTGTGCAACAAAACAAGACCCTGTCTCAAAAAAAAATAAAAATAAAAATAAAAATAAAAATACTGCACTAAAATAATGGAATGGAACTAGAGGATAGTTTGGCTTAAGGTCAGTAGCAATGACATACTATCTAGACTGGGCCCCGAAGTAACTGAGAAAAAGAGAAAAATGAATTTACTTTTATGTTTCTGTACTTCAAAATCATATTATTTAAAAGACCTGTATGAAATACATTACACTGTATATACACTTGGGGAAGTTCTCTAGAAAAACGTATATACTTTTATGTTTCATACTTAAGAAATAGGTACCACACATGTATAGAAAACATGATGCGTTGGCATAAATAAGGTAAATTGGTTTTTAATGGGGCACTAAATTTTAAATGATACTTTTTCATTCTACTTCTTTAATTATTCTAAAATAATTTCTTAATTATTAATTTTACTGTTGATCTTTTGATAGAAATACTAAAGTTGTTAGTCTCAGCTATGTTCTACCTGGTGTCCGAATTGTTTTGAATATTTTCACAGGAAAAATGAATAGGATTTCTAAAAACAGTGGCAGCCCCAAAACAGTATGCACACTGCTCTGCAATCTACACATCAAACAGTTTAGGAGCTGGACAAACATGTGTCAGAAGGAAGTGAAGTGAACTTTTACTGCTACAACATTGCCAATAGCAAAAGACTAGTAAGTCCAGCTCTGACACCCCCAGAAAGTCCCAGTAGCATTTTTTAAGTATAGCTTATCTTAGTGTAGAGAGAAAACGTAAATAAATAGGTGTACAATAGGAATTATAAATCAATTTTCTAATTGACAGGTATGAACCCAGAATTCACTTTTACTACTCTCATAATTTTAATTTTATGTAATCTTATGACTCTATTATATTTTCTTTCCAACTAAAATATATTGAAAAGATTAAGTCTAATGGAACAAGATACTCTTGAGAGTACAGCTGATAAATTGCTCTGAGTTTGCCTTTAGGACTTTAATCATCTCTGTATCGTACCAAGATTTAAACATTTACAACTCACCTTAAATACAGGTGTGCTTATTATGGTAAAGTTCCCCAAAGAAAAGGTGAAGTACAAAAGTGATTAGGTATATCGTGGTTTTTACCCAGATCAGAAGACATGATTTCAGTGTGCTCAGCAGAGTTAGTAAATATATTTATATAGCATTATAGACCATAGTCTTCATTTCAGAGTTGGAGAATTTTGGAGATTTTTTATTTTAACATTTACTTAAAAACATGTAATGAAACACTTGTTGCTCTTTTTTTCCCTAAATTCCCAACTCCAAACCTGGTTGAAACACACACACACACACACACACACACACACACACACACACACACACATAGTAAAAAACAATAAGATCAAAGGAATTGATTTATTTAATTAAGTCAAATAATACACTTGAATGATACACTGAAATTTTCTCCTGCTGTGGTTTCTAATCATTATCTCACTTTTCAGGATACAGGATGGAGTTATTTTCATAGAGTATTCATTTAATTATGTTTACTGAGCACCTACTATACATCAGGGACACACAGGCTTAGGCATAAGGATTTAGTGATAACCTAGACACAGAGGATCCTTGGTTTCATAAAGCTTATGTCCTAGTGCAGAAAGACAGTGAAGGAACAAGTAAACAAATAAACGTAATTTTAAGTGGTAATGGGAGCTATGAAGAAAATTAAGCATAGACAGTGAATGCAGGGAGGCGGTTTTTTTAACTTGGATAGTCAGGGAAAAGCTTCTCAGAGGAGGTGACATTTGAGCGATATTAACACTAAGAAAAGCCAAGTATAAGAAGATCTGGGGAAATAATATTCTTGGTATAAGTAACAGCAAGTATAAAAGGCCTGCGCTGGGAACAAGCTTGGTGTATCTTCAATGAATGGCAAGAAATTGTGGCTGTGGCCTGTGAATGAATTGGAATTGGAGAGTTAATCAGGGGCCAGATCATGTAGATGCTTTTTTTTTTAACATGGCAAAATTTTGTCATGAATTTTTTTTTTTTTTGAAGAGAGACGGGGTCTTATTATGTTGCCCAGGATAGTCTCAAACTGCTGACTTCAAGCTATCCACCCTCCTCAGCCTCCCAGATAGCTGAGATTATACCCACAACTGGCTCAGATCATGTACACTCTTGTGGTTATGTTTAGAATTTAGGATTTCTTTTAAAGATGATAACTAATGGAGCTTGACTAAGGAGTGGTTGTTATATTGATCTGCAGAGCAGTAGAAGCAGGGACACTAAGAAGTAATTAGTCTTAATGAAAGATGATGGTGGTTGGGTGTAGTGCCTGATAATGTATTAATAGTGTTTTCAGGTCATTTGCTACTGAAAAGTGTGATACAATAAAAGTAGATAATTGGCCACTGCATTGAGTAACATGGAGGTCATTCATTGTAACCATGAAAGTGGTTTTAGTGAAGTGACTGGGACAAAAGCTTGAGTGGCATATATAAAAGAGAAAAATGAGGAATAATAGAGTGAGACCATGGGGATATAAAATTAGTAAGTTTTGCTGGTAAAGAAAATAGACAAAAAAGCAGCAGGATTGGGGGATGTCAGGATACTGTTTCGTGTGTATTTTTATTTTTTAAGATTAAAGCAATTACACATATTTGTATATTGATGGGAAACAACAAAATGGAAGGGGAAATGATGATGCAAGAAAGAAAAAGAATGCATAGAGGAATAATATGTTTAAAAGGTGAAAAGCAGTAGGACCCAGTTTATAACTGGTAGAGTTGACCTTGGTGGGAATACAGACAATACGTCTATTATAGCAGGATAGAATGCAGTGTGGATCCAAATAATATTAGGTTTACAGATTTGATGGATATCTGAGGTAGCTCTGTTTTTTCAAGAAAATATTAGGTGAGATCATAAGCTGAGACAGAATTAGATATTTTAAGAGACAGAACAAGTTGTTTGTTAATCATCTTATAGAATGGGGAAAAAAGTTTTTAATAGAGAAATGCAATAGGATTGCCCAAAGTGCTCTGCTCACATATAGCATGAGAGCAATTGATATGGTTGTATATGAAAGTACTTGGGTGTAGATACAGAATTTGCAGCTTGTCACATAATTGGAGTTTTACCAGGTAAGTAAATCAGTCATTTGGAATGCTACTTTTAACTGCCTACTCATCAGCTTAATCAGAAGCCAGACTCCACTGTTAATTTTCTGGGTCACCATAGCTAGATTTGTGATTTCTTTTTGCTCAATTTATTTATGTGTAAAATGAATTATCAATGCTTTATTTGTGGGAGCAAATGCAAAATAAAAATTGGCATGCATTAGGATTTCACTGGAAAAGAAATGTATAGTTTTGGTTTTGCTATCAGACCATCCCAGTTTGATATTCTGGCTTTGTTATTTATTAATTACATGACCATGAACAAAATTACTTAAATTCTGTGAGTCTCAACTTCTTCTTCCATAAAATGGGGATAATAATAATACCTGTATTCAAAAGTTTGATATTAGAAATAATATAAAAGCAACTAGCACAGTATGTAACATGTATCAAATAGTCAATATGCAATGTTATTAACACAATGATCATTACTATTAATAACGGTAATTAAGCAAACTATAGATTTAATAAAGTTATTGATTATTATCACCTTCTCTCATTAGGTATTGCAAATGCTGTTTTTAATGGACAAAGCGGTCAAATATTATTCAGAAGCAATGGGAATATTACCAGAGAACTCACCAATATCACATTTGGTTTCAGAACAAGGGATGCAAATGTAATAATATTGCATGCAGAAAAAGAGCCTGAATTTCTTAATATTAGCATTCAAGATTCCAGATTATTCTTTCAATTGCAAAGTGGCAACAGCTTTTATATGCTAAGTCTGACAAGTTTGCAGTCAGTGAATGATGGCACATGGCACGAAGTGACCCTTTCCATGACAGACCCACTGTCCCAGACCTCCAGGTGGCAAATGGAAGTGGACAACGAAACACCTTTTGTGACCAGCACAATTGCTACTGGAAGCCTCAACTTTTTGAAGGATAATACAGATATTTATGTGGGAGACAGAGCTATTGACAATATAAAGGGCCTGCAAGGGTGTCTAAGTACAATAGAAATCGGAGGCATTTATCTCTCTTACTTTGAAAATGTTCATGGTTTCATTAATAAACCTCAGGAAGAGCAATTTCTCAAAATCTCTACCAATTCAGTGGTCACTGGCTGTTTGCAGTTAAATGTCTGCAACTCCAACCCCTGTTTGCATGGAGGAAACTGTGAAGACATCTATAGCTCTTATCATTGCTCCTGTCCCTTGGGATGGTCAGGGAAACACTGTGAACTCAACATCGATGAATGCTTTTCAAACCCCTGTATCCATGGCAACTGCTCTGACAGAGTTGCAGCCTACCACTGCACATGTGAGCCTGGATACACTGGTGTGAACTGTGAAGTGGATATAGACAACTGCCAGAGTCACCAGTGTGCAAATGGAGCCACCTGCATTAGTCATACTAATGGCTATTCTTGCCTCTGTTTTGGAAATTTTACAGGAAAATTTTGCAGGTGAGCATAAAGTCCATATGAAGCTTGGTCTTTGAAGCTATACTCTGCATCACTGTTCTTGTCAAATTGGAAAGCTCTCTCCTCAAGGTATACATATATACTGTGCTGAACAGGGTGACACTGGTAGCTTCTGTCACAATTTGGTCATGTTCAGATGGGATCTCACTTACCAGGATATTCTACAGGTCAGAAAGGTAGTGTTTAAATCAGATTTTCAGCAAAATATTTTCTCAGTCATCTGTGTGAAAATATGTCTCATGAACTGTAGCCCCAGGGTCTAACAGTTTCAAGGCCTCGGGAAACAAATGCATTTACAATAAATGCAAAAGCTGAAATGTAGTATTGTTAGGGAAGGCATGACTTCTATTGCTAAAATAATGCCTTGAGCTATTTCAGGCAGGTAAATACTCTAAAATCCCGAAAACAGTACATTAAAGTATACAGCTGACTCTTGAACAACGCAGGGGTTAGAGGTGCTGATGTGCAGTTGAAAATCCACATTTAACTTTTAACTCTCCCAAAACATAACAACTATCAGCCTGGTTGACCACAAACCTTAACAATAACATAGTCAATTAACACATATTTTGTATGTCATATTCTGTCTTCTTACTATAAAGCAAGCTAGAGAAAATAAAATGTTATTAAGAAAATCATAGGAAAGAAAAAATAAATTTACTATTCATTAGTGGAAATTGATCATCAAAGATCTTTATCTTGATTGTCTTCATGTTGATTAGGATGAAGAGGAAGAGAAGGGGTTGGTTTTGCTGTCTCAGTGGTGGCAGAGGTGAAAGAACATCCACATATAAGTGAATCCACACCATTCAAACATGTGTTGTTCAAGGGTCAACTGTAATTTCAAAACAGTGGAATTATAATTCTCAGACAAATATAAAATAAACATGTTTTAATTATTCTGTCATTAATGAGGAAACTAGTAAGATATAAAAACTAATTCAAAGGACAATCTAAAGAATATGTATACGTATATATACAAACAAGAATGAGTGAATGAATTTATTAATAAATACAAAACTGTTTAATATCCCATAGGGCAAGAAAACTAGTATTTGAAGTCATCTTCAATACTGTGATAATCATTTGTATGGCTCACTACAGATAAACTAATTTGCATTTTGACGAACAAGATTTTCATATTAATATTGTTTTCTACAACTTACAGAATTGTAATAAGGCACAGACCACTGCAAAAGTGGATAATCCTGGATAGTCCTTTATGTAAACCCAGCAGTGCATTGAAAGAATATGCAGTGATTTTTTTTGCCCATTTCAAAGTATTTCACATTTTTCTACAACTACAAAAGCAGTATTTTAGTTCTTGTAACTACCTCCATTTCAAGCTATATAAACAGAGATAAGAAAGACTATTTTTCTTCTAAGTCACATTGCTTCAGTATTTCCATGTAAGAAGTTATTATTGTTTTTACAACTTACACCGCTTTAAATTTACTAAATAATTGAGTCATTATGGGGAGGTGAGAGGGTTATTATTAACAAGTAATACATTCCAGAACTTCGGCAAGAACACCTGGAATGGGTTGGCAGCCTGTAGACATTACACTAATTCAGAGGTGGTACCTTAATTGCATGAATCTCCTAGCAAACATAACATGTAGGCATACCTATAAGAAGTTGTACATCTCTCCTTAACAGTTACTGTTCTGAGCCTGTGAAAGCAAGGCACTGTTGTAGGTGCTAAGTGTTCCCAACAGGTAACCTGCCTGTTTAAAAGCAAGAAGAATTCAGGATCAAATTTAGTATATTTCACTGTGAATTTTGATAAGTAAAATAAACACATAGGCCCTAGTAACTACTTCTCCAGAATTTTTTTCTGCCTAATTCATTAAAGTCAAGTTCTGAAAGATGAAAGCCCTCAAAAATACCTTCTAATGAGATTCAGGAATTGTTTATTAAAACCAAGATGTATACAAAGCTTCATATTTGCATTGCTAATTGACCTCTTTCAAAGCTGGTTGACATTTTTGGCTCTTTTGAAAAGTCTTTATGATATCCTTCTTTTTAAAGTAGAATTGATTAGCTCTTGCGGGAAGAGACACACTTAGCATCATATAAGCTAGTCTATCCACATTAGCTGCAGCACACACAACAGAACAAAATTCAATTCATTTTACACTTCCTGAATATTTATTAGTTATCTGATACCATGCACATACACAGTGGGTCAAAGGGCCTAAGCAACACTATTAAACTCTTTAAATATCAGTCCCTTCACATTACTAGATTTTGTCTTACAGTGAAGTTCCGCTTAGCTTCTAATACTTGTTCCGCCTTTTATGAGGATTCTTTAACATGTAAAGCTTTGTTGCCATATCAGAGAGCCACACTCTGAATTCACATGCAGTTACCATCGTGTGCTATATACAAAGCTCCTGGACAGCATTTGGCTTGCATTCTTCGAAGCTATGAATTATTACATAGGGAGCAGCAAGTCTTGGCAGGGCAACTGGAGTTCAGCTCTGAAAGCCAATAGAGAAATCACATGAGTGCTTGGGTAGTAGAGTGCTGTCCTTGCTTCCTGGCCTTTATAGAGATGCAATTTTCCTATGGCCTTTATTGATTTATTAGCAAAGCAGCAGCAAATCTAGTTATAGCAAGTTCTTTTCCAACCCAAAATTTATTGCCACCCCATGGCATAGATCTTATCTCACAAACGAAAACTGTGTAGAAATGGAAGATGTATAGCCATGCTTGTCACAGAACCCTCCAGCAGGAGCTTTTTACTGGAGAAAGTGATTCTTGCATAATGCAGCACAATTAAGCATTTGTAGCTCCTCCAGCCTGAGTACTTAATTAGCTTGGCATTGACTACATACATGAATTTATCAGAAAACTTTTCTTGAATGAGATGAACAAGATGAACAGCTGTGGCTCTTGCTTTTATCTCTCTAGACAGAGCAGATTACCCTCAACAGTCTGTGGGAATGAGAAGACAAATCTCACTTGCTACAATGGAGGCAACTGCACAGAGTTCCAGACTGAATTAAAATGTATGTGCCGGCCAGGTTTTACTGGAGAATGGTGAGTCACATTAGAGCCTTCTGGAAGAGAATTCTGAGCTAAAGAATGATGGGATTACTCAAAGTTCATTTTCTCCTCTAATTTTTTATCTCAGTTCCCATAGGAAAATCTATGCTGAAATAGAGGTTCAGACAGAATGAAACAATAAAAAAGAAGAAAAACTACAGTTTAGGTCAAAGGGGAGAACATTTTATTAGACAAAACTTCAAATAGGGAAAAATGATTTTTAAAAAATGTATAATGTGCTATTTTTCTTTCTTATAAGTACTTCTGAATTCATGTCTCTTTTTTGTTGCTAACTCTAATACATGATGCAAATATGGTTGCTGTCGAGGTAAAATAAATTACAACTAAAAGATTGCCTCATAGAATTGCCTACAACCCAAAAGTATATATACCTTATCCATATGAGTCTACTTTTCCCAGAGAAACTCTTCAACTGTTCTTCACCTCATACAGGAATTCTTAAAATGGAGTTGGTCAATGGCTTCAGGCAATCTGTGACCTGCTGAAAATACAGGAAAATTAGAATATGTATTTGAGTGGCTAGGGGTAAGTTCAGGGGTAGAAATAATGCATACTGAATAGCTTTTATCAGCTGCTTAAAGGGATTTATGTCCCCAAAACAGTTATGAACTGGGGCTCTATAGAATACAGATACTATATAAGCAGATAATTGTTAACCTTTTGTTTTAGCACTGTGCCATGCACCTTACAAATACCATCTCTAATTCTTATAGCTCTGTAAAGAAGGTTTCATGATTTTTATTTTGCATATGTGTAAACTGAGGCTGAGAGGTTGAGTGACGTATAAAGGGCCTATCCACACGTTTGCTGCAGTAAGGTTGAGCTGCCTTCAAAGCCTCTGCTCTTCTATTTGATGTGCCAGCATAACTGTATGAATAAATCTTTGCTCAACACAATTTCTTTTTTTTTAATGAGAAAGGTGTTCTTCCATCTCATGTATCATCGAGGGTAAGATAAGTGATCTCTGATCAAACTTCCTACATTGAAAAAATTAAATAAACTGAGCTCAGACATATTTGACAAAGATATTTTGACTGACTCAATATTTCCCATAAGCATAGTTAATAAAATAATGGATATGTGAGTGCTCCCTGGCAAGTGCCCTTTGGATTAATTGGAATTTTCTGTTTTCTAGCTGGCCTCTTTTGCATCACAAAGACACAGGTCTTTTGCCATTTTTACAAAACAGCGGGGAGTCTAGGGTATACCTGAATTTGACCCTTTTAACGTTCATTTTCATTTGCAGCCTGCCTTCTGTGGTTGGTTCTTTGTGGTACAGGCATTCCAAGTCTATATGTGCATGAAAGGAGATAGCCTTGAGTCACATTCTGCTTTCTGTTGCACCAATTTTGGTTCTGCAACTTATTAACTGAGATCGTTTAGTTGTATTCCAATTCCATGTATCTTTCAAAATATTGCAAATATTTTCTTGTCATTAATTTTGAGTAATCCAACTATTGTCAAGGGTGGGTTGCTTCCTGGTTGAACGTCACACTTTCTGCCTAATGGCACAATGCATGGAACTCATCCAAAACCCTGGATTATTTTTCTCTGCCACTCACACATTGTTTCTATTTACAACAAATATCTCCCTGTCTTCTGATATTTATTAGTTTACAAAATTTATATTTGACATTTAAATTCAGATATATTTGAAATATAGAAAGAAAAGAAAGCTTAGAGTTTTCCTTCTTTTCCCAGGAGACTTTTCAACTGGAAAAACTTACATGATGCTAGATATTTCTAAAACATTGAACCTGTGTTCAGTAGATTCTATGCTTTCAAAGTCCTTAACCATCATTACTTAATTGACTAGATGTTAATGGATTTATTTTTACTTTTCATGCATTAATTAACCTCTAATAAAAATGCCAATGATGCTGATAATACATGTGTATCTATTGTTGACTGTTTAGTTCAACAGAGAAATAGGTGAGAAAGTGATGGAGTAGTTAGAGGAAGACAGAAAATAGTGGGCTATCTCCCATGGCCTAGGGAAATGTGACTTCCATCACATCCAAGGATATTGAAAAGCTATCCTCAAATAAATTGGCTTCTCTCCTGCCTTGGTTAAACCTTCAGCTTAATAGTGTCATCCTGGCAGGTTTTGAATGATGGATGGTGTGAACACTCTGGCCCACCCAAGACCGAGAATGCTTGGCAGGCTCCTGAGGGTTGTCAAGTTTTGCTCAGATCTAATCAGAGAAGTCTCCCTCCAGTCCAGAAGCATAAGCCAAAAAAGGAAAACAAAATGTCTCAGCTATGCTTGGTATCCAAAGGGATAAGGAGCTGTTTTTCTTGGAAGAAATCTTTGTTTTCCTTTATACCTTGGGCTGGCCTTGCCCCACTACCTCACCCCCTTTCATTTTGAGCCTAGTGATTAGTCTCTGACCCATACGTGCAAGTTTTACATTTTGGAAGGTGAGGGAAAGAATAAGGGAAAATTAAAAATTGTTTACATACAATTTCAACATTATAAGCTGCACTATAGAGATCTTGGAGCTAAGATTTTATATAAATTTTCAAAAGTAAAATAGCCGCCTTAGTTGCTGTTCTATCCCAAGGTCTTAGCAGAGTGTTTGTCACATAGTATGTGTTAAATAAATATCCACTGTGTGACTGAATACATGATTGGTGACTTAATCCATGAATATACAGAAAAACAAATTCTTGCTGGAAAATTAGTTTAAAAAAATGACAATATCCCAGGAAGAAGAAAACTTCAATTTACCTGAGACTTGATGTCACTTGTCTTGGAAAATTTGGCTTTTGAAAGTCATTCTACCTCAACATTTCAGAAATTATGCTTGGCTATTGGAACACAGATTTATTAGCAAGTACAATCTTCTAATTATTGATTTTTGCTTTTGTTATAAAAAAAGGATTTCCACAGAAAATAATTCAAAATCTCTCAGAATAAACCTCTCCTCTTCCTCCTCCTCCTCCTTCCCTCCTTCTTTTTTTTTTTTTTTTTTTTTTTTGGTTTCTCTTTGGTGGGCTTTTTCCTTAGCCTGAGGGCTCTGATGCATGAGGATCCTGATAGCCTGAATGTAGGTCTGCCCTGCAGACTCCAGATGGCAAAATACAGCCTCTCTCCTTGTGCCCCTAATAAACTGAACATTTATATAAGGTGGCAACCACACTAATGCTCTTGAGCATTGACACTGGTGTAGGCATGGCCCACTTTTCTCTTGGTTTCTAAATATTTGCATCTATTTTCTCATTCTAATTAATTCCGTGTGTATATGTATATATATGTGTACAGATTATTTCCATTAAACCCCAAATGTGTTAAAGAAATTTTAAGAAACATCTCCGACATTATCAAGTATGTATAAAGTATGTGTGGATGGGTAGATAAGACTGTGCTGTTCCAGAGAGATAAGGCAAACTTTTTCTTCCCATTTCACAACCAATGTATTCAACAGGGACCTGGGTTTCTGCTGTTCTGTTTATTTTGAAGGTGTGAAAAGGACATTGATGAGTGTGCCTCTGATCCGTGTGTCAATGGAGGTCTGTGCCAGGACTTACTCAACAAATTCCAGTGCCTCTGTGATGTTGCCTTTGCTGGCGAGCGCTGCGAGGTGGACGTAAGCAGCCTCTCCTTTTATGTCTCTCTCTTATTCTGGCAGAATCTTTTTCAGCTTCTTTCTTACCTCATTTTGCGTATGAATGACGAGCCAGTTGTTGAGTGGGGTGAACAGGAAGATTATTAACATACATTTGAACATTCCCAAATGAAAAAAAAAGCCATTGAATTTCAAGAAATGCCTTGATTCATTTTAGATCTCTGGGGAAGAAAAAGGAAATAAAAACCATCTCAATAATTAAGGTAAATTCAAGGCTTATTTTAAACATATCAGAAGCACTTTGTCTGTGTATAAAATATTTTCCTATTCTAACTTTAAATATGAAAAAAGTGTTCTTAATATAACTAGAAATATCTCCTTATTGTGTGTATTTAGTACAAACATATTATCATTCTCAACACTTCTATATGTGAATGACCACTGCAATTTCTTCCCACTCCATTTCTGGGTATTTTCACATTTTAAGTTGCCCTCCATCACTATGATTCTATTTTCATTTCTGTTCTTTCATTCTTATCTATTATTTATGACACAAAAATTGAGAATTACAGGCCAGGTGTGGTGGTTCACTCCTATAATCCCAGCACTATGGGAGGCTGAAGTGGGCGGAACACCTGAGGCCAGGAGTTTGAGACCAGCCTAGCCAACGTGGTGAAAACCTGTCTCTACTAAAAATACAAAAGTAACTGGGAGTGGTGGCACATGCCTGTAATCCCAGCTACTCAGGAGGGTGAAGCAGGAGACTTGCTTGAACCCAGGAGGCGGCCGTTGCAATGAGCCAAGATTGTGCCACTGCACTCCAGCCTGGGCGACAGGTGAGATTCTGTCTAAAAAAAAAAAAAAAAAAAGAGAGAATTACCGATTAAAATTACTGATTATATTCATCTATGTTTTTACATGAAGCTATTCAAATGAATTGTTACGTTTTCTCTGATATATGATTAAATATATAAAGAGAAATCAGGAATTTACATCGAGTCCCTAAATTGTAGAAAAACAATTATCTAGTATCAGTACTCAAATTATACCTCCCTGGTATAATTTCTGATTCCATAAAACTGTCTCTCTAACAAAGTTACAAATAATCCTTTCTCTATTTCCTTTCCTGCAATACTTTCCCTTTTCCTAACAAATAGAACAATTTTTCTGTTGTTTCTAAATTTATGAGCTCCTTGACTTTTCTATCAAATGGACTAATTTCAGTTGCTTTTCAATGAATATTTAATAAAAATAAGCACTGTAGTTTATACATAAATTTAAAAGTATATATTGTAAAACTTGAATTTTCTTAGAAGCATGGTTTTCTAAGATTTGCAAGTAAATTTATTTTCTTAAGTATCTTTCAGAAAAAAATATGAAAGCATAGTATACATCATAACCAAAATATATTTGACATTATGATTTTTTAAAATAAATGTATACCTGAAATAATGGATCTATAAAGTATACTAAGATATGCAAAAATTAATATATTCTTTATTATAAATATTTCAGAGATTATAAAATAATAATTTAAAAAAACTTTCTTAATGTTTTTATTGTTTCCACCAGTACGTTATCATTTATGCTAAATATCTTTGTGTAGATATACCCTTCCAAAGAAGACGTTATTTGTGTTCATTTAAAGGAAAAATAGTTTGATCCTATGAATTAATTCAGAAAGCAACTAAAATAACAATGGCCTGCCAAATGTCATTTTGTAAATATACGTCTATGACTTTAGGAGCTGTCCTGGTTTGAAAACATGAGGACAGTTTATCCATTGGATGCCATCTATTTAGTCCCAATTAAGAAAGTTGTTTTTTTGTGAGAATGACCAAGGTAAATTTAAATATACCATTCAAACAAACAAGGACAAAATAATATCCTTGTTATAGAGTACATGTAGCATATAGTATGAAGTAATATACTACAAAAGCAAAGAAAGTGTATTCTATCTTGCAATAGTAATAGACAATTTTTATATAGCAAATTCATATCCTTTGGAGTAGTGACAATCATTTCAAACTGGGAGCAACTAATTGTGAAGATTTTCCTTCTTACTCATCCATTTTCTTCACATCCAAGGCTGAACGTGTGATGCTGCTGCTTCAGATGATTTGTTCCAAAGTTAAATTTTGTGACAAAAGACATGGGGAAAACCTTCCCATCAATATTTACATTCACAAGTATTTGCAATAAGCATAAAATAGATTATAGCCAGACCATATGTATAGTTTTCACATTTACTCCCTTCTAGACATACCTGTACTTATGTACTTACAGGCTGTTCCAAATGTAATATGTTCTCTACCAAATGTGGTTAAGAAATATTCACTCACAATTTCTTTCTGTGTACAATTCTGATGCCTCTGTTGTCACTGTAATTGTCAGTTGCTTTTCTGTTTTCCAAATGTCTTCTTGTCATAAGGTATCTGACTTTAAAAAATGTTTTCCCTTTTCTTTTTATTCTTCTGTATTTTCCAGCTGCATGTGTGTGACTATGGCTTTTACATATTTGCACAGAAAAATAAAACCTTTGTTTCTGTATCTTCTCTTTCTCATCTTCTAATGGTACTTGTACTTGTTTGCCTTGACTATGTCTTGTATGATAAAATTTCCACCAGCCATGCATACACACACACACACACACACACACACACCACAGAAGTACTGGTACTGATCTTCCTGAATCGTGATCTCTTTCTGTGAAAGTGTCACTGTGAGTAAACACTGTGGTATCCAAGTAAAGTTGCATGTACTCTGGCAAGTAATCCTCTAGTTGGCATTCTAAAGTTGATTACAACCCTAATTGTTCTTATTATTGGTTTACATTGTCCCTGCCAAAGCTAGCCATAGTTCAACCTGGTTCTAAAGAGGGGCTGTTTTACCTAAATGACAGAAATTTACACTAACTCCTCTGGACCAAGCTTCTAAAACATAGCCTATATTTACTTGAATAAAAACTAATTCCATTTTGCTGCGTTTTTCAGATTTAACATTAAACTAAACAGGGCTATGTCTCTATGTTTGGCCATGCCTCCTTTTTTGTGTGCGTACGTGGCAAGTGGGTTTTTATCACCCTCCCTTTTGCAAAATAGGAAAATAGAGAGAATAGGCAAATTTGGAAAAATCAGTGTTTGAGGAGGAGAGACAACTAAGTTCAATTAACACCACTGAGGACTTACTCTATGCCAGGAACTGTGATAAGCCTTTTTAAATACTTTATCTTTTCAATTATCTTTTTTCAATACAAGGTCAACCAAAATCTTTTTATCTTCCAAATTCTTCACTAAATTTTCTTAAAATATCTTTTGGCCATTTGTAGGTTTAAAAATAGAAACTGTTAAGCTTTAATTTTGCAATATTAAAATTAAACTTCTTCTGCAAATGGTGCTGCATAAAATTTGAGTTTAGTGAGTTAGGCAGGAAATCAGTGAAGAAATCTGTTTCTCAACTGCCAGTATTATTACTAATATAAACTATTTTACTTCTCTGCTTTTGTACTTATTCAACAAATGTTTAATGTATGTCTACTATTTGCCATACTGTATACTAGGTCCTGGGAATAGAACTATGATTTAGACACAATGCTTGCTCAAAATAAGCTGAAGTTATGGTAAGGAATGTGGGTTAGACTGGGTGTGGTGGCTCACACCTGTAATCCCAGCACTTTGGGAAGCCGAGGTGGGTGGATGACCTGCAGTCAGGAGTTCAAGATCAGCCTGACAAACATGGTGAAACCTTGTCTATACTAAAAATACAAAAATTAGCTGGGCATGGTGGCGCATGCCTGTAATCCCAGCCACTCAGGAGGCCGAGGAAGGAGAATCACTTTAACCCGGGAGGTGGAGGTTGCAGTGAGCTGAGATCACACCATTACACTCCAGCCTGGGTGACAGAGTGAGACTTTGTCTCAAAAAAAAAAAAATGTGATTAAACAAATAGTCTTAGGATGTAACTAGGATGTAACTGAGTGCCAGCTGTAAGGGAGCATATAAGAGAGGCATTTTGTCCAGTCTTACAGGTGGGTATAGAAGGTCAAGGAAAGTTTCCTGAAGCCTAAGCTAAGACTTGAGGGAGTTAGGCTGTGGAAGAAGCAATGGCACAGTACTGTGTGTTTCAGGCAGAAGGGGCTGGAGAGGTTGTGCACTGTGACAGGGATATCACAGGGTGGCAGTGCTGAAAGATGGGGCTGTCGAAAGAAGCAGGAGTAAGCCCTTATACACCTTGGCAGAGGCCTTGGTTTTTCATCATAAGAGAAATGGAGAATCCTTGAAGGGTTTCAAACAAGAAAAATGTCATGATTATACTTGCACTTTAGAAAGATCACTTGGGCTTCTACATAGAGAATGGCTTAAAAGAAAGGCAAGACTGGACCCAGAAAGACACAGCTAGGAGGCTGCTGCAGTGATAAAGAAAGAAGGAGAATTTGCACTACCATATATAGTTGTAGAGAAGATAGATTTTAAAAGTTTGAAGCATGATTTTTTGGGAGAAGCTGTGGGTCTAAGGGGGTGATAACTTAAATTTGGTGGATAATATTTTTAATATCTTTGTTGATTGGATAAATGAATGAATTTAAGATCTGTTGGATATCTAAATACAGTTATTAATCAGTGTGCATATTCCATTCTGGAGTTCAAGAGGCATATCAGGGTGTATATATTTGGGATATATATTATAGATCTATTGAGTGTTATATTCCATTCTTTGTATATGTAATCCATTTGTATTATTTATTTATTGTTCTGCAACAATATTACTTCAAACTTGGCAACTTAAAACAACACACATTTATTATCTCACAGTTTCTGTGTTCAGGAGCCCAGGCATGGCTTAACTAGGTCCTCTGCTCAGGGTCTCACAAGACAGCATTCAAGGTGTCAGCCAGAGATGTGGTCTCATCTGAGCTGAACCAGGGAGGGATCCACTTCCAGAGTGAACTCAGTGATCAAGTTCACTGAGGCTGATGGCAGAGGTAGCCTTCGATTCCTGAAGGCAGCCCTCAGCTCCTTGCCACTTGGGGCTCCCCAACATGGTTGCTTACTTCCTCAAAGCCAAAAAAGGAGGGAGAGATGCCAGCAAGATGGATGTTACCATTTTATATAACATAATTATGCAATTGTGTACATATAATCGCATACTTCTCCTCACCTTTGTCATAGTCTGTTGGTTAAGAACAAGTCACAGGTTCTATCTACACTGAAAGCGAGAGGGGCACACAAGGTGTAAACACCAGGAGGTGGGGACCAACCATGGGGGGTTCACTTAAAAGGGTGTCTGCCAGCTGGTTGCAGTGGCTCACATCTGTAATCCCAGCATTTTGGGAGGCCTATGCAGTAAGATCACTTGAGTCTAGGATTTCCAGGCCAGCTAGGAAGCATGGTAAAATCCCCTTTCTGACAAAAAAAAAGAAAAGAAAAAATACAAAAATTAGTTTGGCATGTGCCTGTAGTCCCAGCTACTAAGGAGGCTGAGGCTAGGTGGGAAGATCACCTGAGCCTGGGAAGTCGAGGCTGCCATGAGCCATGATGGCACCACTGCACTCCAGCCTGGGCAACAGAGCAAGAACCTGTCTCAAAAAAAAAAAAAAAAAAAAAAGTCTGTCTGCCAAACCTTCTCTCACAGTATCTTTTTTTACTGTCTGTGCTGTATTCTGCATATATTCCCTATTGCTATCTTCCAAGCACTGATAGTCCACATATAATCCACTGATAGATTTTTCAATTTTAAATTACTTTAAAAAATTCTGACTTTTTTAAATCTTACAAATCAATCTTTTCTCCTGTTTGTGTCCTGTTTTTTTTTCTCTATAATTGCTACCTTCATTTTACTTTCACATAATTAGGAACTTATTTAATAGTGTCTTTCAGACTGTTGTGTTATTTCAAGCTCTTGGAGTGCTCACCCTCCTATTTTTGTTTCTGGGGAATTTTACTCACAACAGAGTTTTTCTTCATGTGGTTTGTTATTTTTTTATGAGCAAAAACAACTTTAAGAGGATTTTTCTTTTTCCTGGGGGGTCTTTGTGTGCTGAGTTGCGTAAATGCCCCTGACTACAGTCTTAGCTTTAGATTTTTGCTAGGATGCCAGGAGTTCCACTGGTCTAGTGCCTGTTTTTGTGCTCTTAGTTTGGGGATTCCCACAACATCTGGATAGTGTAAATTTGGTCTCCATATACAATTTGGGTTCAAGCCCTTTATAAATGTGACACAAACTGTCTCCAACTTCATTTCTTACCTGTGCTCTCACAAACTCCACTCTCCAGCCACATGAAACTTTGCACCTCCCTTTGAACTTTTCACAGCTGCCACAGCTCTTCCCTTACGTGCTGTTCCTCCCACCTAACCTGTCATTCCCTTCTTCTCTGTTTGACATACTTTTGTCCTTCCAGAAATTTCAGATCTTGTATAGACTCTTCTAGGATCCTTTCCCTGATTGCCCCAGGAAAAGCTTACTATTTTATTCCTGCACTTTTTTGCTATTTTGTACTTCTTTTTCTAGTGCTTATTATTTGGTAATTATCTATGCATGTACACACAAAAACAGCATCCAATAATAAACTGCTCAAGGCCAGAGGCCATCTAACATATCTAACTCAGCTCTACAAATGTCTGTAAAAGAATGATCACTTTACAGTAACATGGAGATCTTGAGAAGAAATTATATTGCTTCCTTATTTTAATATTTTTATTTTAATGAGGATAAATGCATAGTGTAGCTAGAATAAAATTTATCATGATACACTTATAGCTAAGTGAGAAACTGCAGGCTATTTAAGAATACAAATTCATAGTGGTATTTACAACAATGTCAAAAGAATAGCAACTATGTCAGTGTGCATTTTTATTTTCCCTTAGTTGTAACATCATAGTTATGACAGCTGCTTTAAAATCCTTTTCAGTTAATTCCAACACCTAGGTCATTTTGTGATTGGTCACCATTTATTGAATTTCCTTTTGTATATAAGTTTCATTTTTCTGTTTCTTTATCCAGTAATTTTGGATTGCATCCTGGTCATTGTAGCTTATACAATGCAGAGATTATGAATGAATTCTTTTATGTTTTTCAGAAAAATATTATTATTATTTTATTTTATTTTATATTTTTGAGATGGAGTCTCGCACTGTCGCCCAGGCTGGAGTGCAGTGGCGCAATCTCGGCTCACTGCAAGCTCCGCCTGCCGGGTTCATGCCATTCTCCTGCCTCAGCCTCTCAAGTAGGTGGGATTACAGGCGCCGGCCACCACGCCCGGCTAATTTTTTGTATTTTTAGTAGAGACGGGATTTCACCGTGTTAGCCAGGATGGTCTCGATCTCCTGACCTCGTGATCCGCCCGCCTCGGCCTCCCAAAGTGCTGGAATTACAAGCGTGAGCCACCACGCCTGGCCCAGAAAAATATTATTTTATTTTGGCAGGCAGTCTCTTAGCTGAATCAAACTTCTAGTCCTGTAGCAGTGCCCTCTGTGGTGTGTCACAGCTGCAATCTCTGCTCAGTTATTTTGTCTTTAGCTGGGTGACTTGGAGTGTACGCTACATGGGCATATTACAAGGGTGAACCAGAGATTTGAGCAGAAATCATTTTCAGAAGTTGAGGCTCCACCTCTGTAGCTGTCTCCTTTCTAGAATTTTTCCTTCACTTTCTAGCTGCTGTGGTGAACCCTCTTTTCTCTGGTTCTTCAAGCCTGTAAGATTGCAAACGTCTCTCCTAGTTTTAGTTAACTGGCATGGTGCTGAGCAGAGACTGCACTCCAAAAAAATAAAAATCACATAGTGCCCTCCGCTCTGCTTAGTTCAAATTCTCATACAGGTCGATGCATACTTTTGGTTATTATCTGAGTGCCCTCAGATTGTTGTTTTTTGCTATTCCATCTGGATTTTATTGCTGTTATATGCCGAAGGGTTACTCTAGTAGAAGCTACTTTGTCCACAGAAGTGGAAACTGTAATTTTAAGAAGGTAATCTGAGATTGTAATCGCATAGGTATTTGGTCCCAGAACAAGATACATGGTTTTCCTTCTGATTTCTGCACTGACCACATCAATTCAGAAGCGCAGGTTTTACTTCTGGGCACTACATTCCGGGGAAAACATTGATGAATGCCAGGGCCTAGAAAAGGGCATTTTAGCTTATTTTAGCAGGTTTGTTACATAGGTATATTGTGTGATGCGTGATGCTGAAGTTTGGCATATGAATGATCCTGTCACCAGGTAGTGAGCATAGTAACCCAACAGTTAGTTTTTTTTGTAAACATTATAAGGATAAACGGATATTTTGTCTAGAAAGGGAAGACTTAAGGAAAGCATGAAACTGCCTTCACATATTTGAAACGTTATCATGAGAATGGAAAAATAGATTTGTTCTATATTAATACAGAAAGCATAGGCCGGGCGCGGTGGCTCATGCCTGTAATCCCAGCACTTTGGGAGGCCGAGGTGGGCGGATCACGAGGTCAAGAGATCGAGACCATCCTGGCTAACATGGTGAAACCCCGTCTCTACTAAAAATACAAAAAAAAAAAAAAAAAAAAAAAAAATTAGCTGGGCGTGGTGGCCAGCGCCTGTAGTCCCAGCTACTTGGGAGGCTGAGGCAGGAGAATGGCGTGAACCCGGGGGGCGGAGCTTGCGGTGAGCTGAGATCGTGCCACTGCACTCCAGCCTGGAAGACAGCGAGACTCCGTCCCAAAAAAAAAAAAAAAAAAAAAAAAGAAAGCATAAATAAGACAAAGGGATAGAATTTATTGAAAGAAGATTTCAAGTCAGCATAAGAGGAAGCAAGTTAACATTAGAAGTACTCAATAATGTAATGCATTGATTTGCACCAAACAGGACTCCCATCCCTGGAAACATTCCAATAGAATCTGAATGACCGTATTTCAGAAATAGTGTAGAGAATACTTAAGCACTGATTGAAAGAGAGACATGGACCTGACATTTCTTAAGCATCTGTGATTAGCTGATTAGCACAATTCATGCATTTTCTATGTATAACATTTCTCAAGATTATGGCATAGATTACTCATGATAACAAAATTATGGGCCAGGTGGAAAAATGACATTTGCGAATTTTAGTTGAGCAAAGTGTAGTACACAGGGCTAAATAATTGGCCGAGATCACCTGATACTTTGGAGAAAGGGAGGACTGGGAATGATTCATCTAGATTTTTCAGGTCATTAATACGTTGGACCATGTTATAGTAAAGAAATGTTTGAGAATGAGACATTTCCCTAAGAATGTGATATTTTTAAATGCATTGATTTATTATGCTGCTTTCTCTGAAACTGAACCTAACACTGTCGATTCTGCCCCATTCAGAGCAAGGATGGGCTGGGCCTGGATGTTTGCCATGTGCTTCATATACACTTACAGGATTTTCTGAGCAAACTTAGAGGTCTACATTGCTTCATCCTCAATCATTTCCAAACAAGATCTGAAACAGAATCGAGGCATATAGCCAGACAATAGCAAGAGAGCAATTGGGAAAGTTTGTTTAAATTGCGCTTTTCTTCTTAATGTCATATGGTAAAATACTAACATTAGAAAAACATTCCATTATAAATTGTAGGATGTCCCTTATAGGAAGATTAAGTGAATGCTATTTCCACCACTACATATGCCACTGAAACATTAGATTGAATCATATGAACTTGCAAATATTTGACATTTTGACTGATAAAAATGACAATTTAATACGGTTAAACTGACTCCATAATAGATGCCTGATATTTGCAAGGATGCTTCTTCTAAAGTTTAGGTTGTTAATGCAGAAGGGAGAATTAAAGAGTTAAAAAGGATTTCGGGAATCATCTAATCCAACTTCTTTATGTATGAGATGAAGAATCTAAAGCTCAGAGAGAGAGAGTGCTTTATTTAGACTCTACAAGTATCCCGGTCTGTCAACCCACAGTTCAATATTCTTCCTGCTGTTCTAAGACGACGAAGGAAATTCCCTATCCCATTTGCCAGAGAGATTGTGAATGAGAGTCTCAGAGTACTCTAGGCCACTGCAGAGTCCCTGCATACGTGACCTATTTTAAAGCTACAAATTTATAAAACCCAATCAACATCAGCACTGCATTCATCAAAATGTAGTCTTAGTCTAATGATATTAAAAGTACTTTAAAGAAATATGATGACGAATATCAATTGTCATTATATAGGCCTAGGATCTTAGAGGATGTAGGAGACAAGGCTGAGTCTGGCTTGATTTCGTGATGGAAAAATGAAAGCATGTATGAGATGAAGGGACCTTACATATCAATTTTAGTAATAAATATTCACAGAAACCTTATGGGATAAATATTATAATGCCCATCTTATAGACGGGGGAAATAAGATTTAGAAGGGCTAGTTACCTGCCCCAGGGCCACACAACAAATAGGGATCAGAGCAAGGTTTAGAACCTGGGAGTACTTACTTCCAAGCCACAGGTCTTCCTAGGATGCAGCACTATCTTTAGTAACAAACCCTGTAAGTTGATTCCTAAATAAGTTACACATATGTAGAAATGGTTCAGCCACTATAAAAACCTGTATGAAGTTTCCCCAAAAAATTAAAAATAGAACTATCATATAATTTGTTAACTGTCATATGATTCATGATTCTGAGTATATATACAAAATAATTGAAATCAGGATTTCAAAGACATATCTGCATTCCCATATTCATTTCAGCATTATTCATAATAGCCAATAGATGGAAACAGGCTACATGTTCAGCGAAGGATAAATGAATAAAGAAAATAAAAATGGAATATTATTCAGCCTTAAAAAGAACAAAATTCTGACACATGCTGCAATAGGAATGAACCAGAAGTACATTATGCTAAGTGAAATTACCCAATTATAGAAGGACAAATATTGTTTGAGTTCACTTATATGAGATATCTAGAAGAGTCAAACTCCTAGAAGCAGAGGGTAGAATTATGAGTGCTAGGAGCTAGGGGGAAGTGGAAATGGGGAGATGTCATTAAATAAGTATGTGTGTATACTTGTGTATATATATATATATAATTAAATTAGTATATAAGTATATATATTTATATATAATAAGTATATATAATTAAATTAGTATAATTAAATTAATATACATAATTAAATTATATATAATTAAATTATATAACATACTTATATACTAATTTAGCATACTTACAAGTATAGTAGTATACTAATTATAAATATATTGGTATATAAATATATACATTAAATAACTGTGTGTGTATATATATGTGTATATATATGTGTGTGTGTGTATATATATATATATAGAGAGAGAGACAGAGAGAGAGAGAGAGAGGGAGAGGGAGAGAGAGAGAGAGAGAGAGACAAGGTCTTGCTCTGTTGCCCAGGCTAGAGTCCAGGGGTGTGATCACAACTCATTGCAGCCTCAAACTTCTAGGTTCAGGCAATACTCCTTCCTCAGCCTCCTGAGTAGCTGGGACTACAGCCATGTGCCACCACACCTGGCTAATTTTCTTCTTCTACTTCCTCTTCTTCTTATTATTATTATTATATTATTAATATATTAATAATAATATATTGTTAATTATTAATTATTAATATATTATCAATATTATTATTAATATATATTAATATTATTAATAATATATATTATTAATATTATTATATTATTAATATATATTATTGATATTATTATATTATTAATAATATATATTATTGATATTATTATATTATTAATAATATATATTATTGATATTATTATATTATTATTTGTAGAGATGAGGTCTCACTCATGTTGCCGAGGCTGGTCTCAAGCTCCCAGGCTCAAGCAATCCTCCTGCCCTGGCCTCCCAAAGTGCTGGGATTACAGGCATGAGCCACTCTACCCAGTGGTATAAAATTTTAATTATACAAGATGAATAAGTTTTAAAGAACAGCTGTACAACAATTGTGCCTACAGATAATAATACTGTACTGTGCACTTGAAATCTTGTTAGCAGAATCTTATGTAAAATGATCTTACCACAATTTTTTAAAAAGTTACTTACTTAAGACAGAATTTAAAATACTTCAAATGGAGGAAAAATAAATAAAATAAGAAATTGTTCATAAATGTTATTTTGATGCATTATCAAGCACCAAAATTAGGTCTAATTTGGTTCACTAATCTCTTTTCCTTTCATCTTTTCATACATTATTAAGATTTCTGCTTCACCAAGTATAATTAATGTTCTTCATTTCTTAACGTGAGGTCATTGCTGCAGGCTTCACGGAAATCATGCAACATAGGTTTTTCCCGTCAGAACACATTTTTTCATGTGTTCTGAATAGAATGGAAACAGGCAACATACAGAGTGGAGCTCCTGGATTATAGATGCAACCAACTAAATTGGTTGGTTTGTTAAGCCATAGACAACTGTGGGAAATAACTAGGTTGATGTTTGCTACTGAGTTGACTAGCTAACCAAATCATGCAGCATTTTTGTTAGCTGTCAAATCAATCTCATCATCTACTAAAATCTCCCTAAAATGATCACTGCCTTGGTACGATACTGGACTTACGGAAACCGGTTTTTAAAATAATGCATTTATTCATTCATCCACCATTTATCAAAGGCCTTTTTCAGGCAAAGCTCTGAGCTAGGCATGGTAAGCAACTAAAATATACACAAAAAAGTGTGTTTGTGCTTTCAAAGAACTTAGGTAAGAAAATCAGGTACATAGCTTCGTACATAAGAGTTCTCTAATTTCGTGAATCATAAAGATATTTTTAATGTGTCTATAATGACATATGTTGGTTATGACAAGGTTGGCCATATTATTTCTTGTCCAATTTGGAGCATTTTCAAAGTGAAAGAGAGCAACACTATTAATAATTATTCTAGGACAGCAGCCTAAACTGATACTGTTCTGGGCAAACTAGGACATATCCTAGTTATTACCCACCCAGGAGAATGCATTATGTTTTACTTGATTCTCTTTAAAATGCCATTGACATCTATCACAGATCATTCAGAAATCAAGTCTACATGTTCCAAACCAATTAACTGACAAAAATAACTCAAACAATAAAGTTGACAGCATCGTGTTAGTTACCAATTTTCTTGAATTATTTTCCTTATTTTTTGCTCAAGGAGAACTTTTGGCATCAGTTCCATCTATGAAAAATAGAGCTGTCAACCAAACCGAAAACTGCCAGTATGCACCCAGATACCATGCCGTTGTCTTGTTTAACATGACATGAATTTAGTTTCTACTAATTTTTAATTTTAAGAATGGTGTGTATACATTTTTTTCTTTTATAACTTACATTGCCTTTAGGAAATGCAGTTGCACCTCATTGAATTCATTGCTAAATTTTTTCTTGTGAGAACAAATTGAATAGCATGTAGAAGACTGTAGGAATTTACTATCTGAACAATTTTAAATACCAAGATAATTGACTTGAAATTGGCAATTGCTTTAATATTGTTTCTACTTAAAACTTCCATGAATCATAATACTTATTCATGGATTATATGTGTATAATTTTCCTAAATTTCTTTAAATTAAAAATGATTTTTCATCCTAAAAGGTTATAAAGATCATGGCTGTTATATTTTTCTCACAATTGTAATTACTGAAACACAGGTTTGTTTCATGTAAACCGTAGAAATATTTTGGAGACTAATTATAGACAGAAAGGAAGCCACATATTAAATATAATATCCAAAACCAAATAGGCTATTTGCAATGAAAGTTATTTGATGTTTTGGAAATTATATTCATGATTATTTCATTGTCTATTTGAATGTATTTTAATTTAGTTTCACAAATAGCTACAAATATGTTACTTTTATCCACTTCCCTTAACATTTCTTTGATAATCCTATGCTGATAACAACAGTTATAAAGGAAAACTGAAGTACTTCTATATTTGTTATTTAAAGTGGGAAAATATGTATTAATGACTGATAAATGGCTGAAATTACTCTAGTTGATACCTAGAACTCAGGAAAAAAATTATATTTTGAAACCAGTTCATTTCCTTGACTTTTTCAGTAGCCAGCATCATCCTGAGTAAGTATATACTCAATAAATATTACCTAAGTGATTGAGATAATGAATGAGGTATTTTTGAGGTAATTTTGAAGTGTCAATTTCCAGCTTTGAGAATTTTGTTTTTGTGTGTGTGAATGTTTTTATTCATCCTGCCCCATAGTTACTGAAATTAAGATGAAAATGATAGTATATAGTAAGTACAAAATTGTCCCATTTCCCTTTCAAATTTACAGGATGAAAAAGGCAAGGCTTGACCATTAGTCACCACTTTGTTGATGACAGTGTCTTGGAGACAAGTGAGCCACACTGTCCATTAGGAAAACATTTCCATCTAAGAACCCAATGCACAGAAACCCCATTATTCATCTTGAATTAGAATTTGATATAAATTTACCCTTTCCCGAACCAATCCCAGATGCAGTCAAGATCCATAAAGACATATATTGCTTACCATGCCTAGCTCAGAGCTTTGCCTGAAAAAGGCCCTTGATAAATGGTGGATGAATGAATAAATGTATTATTTTAAAAACCGGTTTCTGTAAGTCCATAATCACATGGACACAGCCAAGGACACTCTCAAGGCAGTCCTGCAGGTTATACTCAATTTGCTTAAAAATCGTAGTGGTTTGAGAGGAGGAGTGGATTTTCTCTTCAAAGTAAGATAAGTATGGTTGAATTGTAGAAAATCATGTCCTTTTCTTCCATTTGCTCTAAAGCCAGTAAGAGTTGACCACTGCTGCAATATTGAAAAGACATTTTAAAGAATATGTTGCTCATTGTTCTTCGACCCTAAAACCCTCATTTCATTCTCCTTTGCCTAGTCAAATACATTTGTTCTCATAATGTTCCAGTAAAGATTTCCTTGCTTCCCTCCCCCACACAATCAGCATTTGGAGTGTCTTGTTGCCATACAATCCTAAGTACGCCTCTATCATAGCATCGTATAATAATACTAATAGTGGCTAATATTTGTCGTGTGCTTACTCTGAGCCCGAAACTATGCTCAGGTCATTATAAGCATTATTTTATTTATTATTCACAAAATCCCAAGAGTTAAGTAATATTATTTTCCTCATTTTATTGATGAGAACTCAAAATCAGAGAGAGGATAAGTATCTTTTCCAAGGCTCTCCAATTCAGAAGTTGGAGCCACGCTTTCAGATCCCGGAGCATCTGCATCTATTACCAATTAGCTATACTGCAAAAGCCTTCATTTGTCTGCCTCATCCTCCATCCTGAGAGCTATAGGAAGGTGGAGAAAATGTCTTGTTTATCTTTATAACTTCAGTACCTGGCAATCATTCCTGGCAGAGTAGTGCTTCACTATTTACCAAAGGACTAAATGAACGAATGAAAGAATTGTATGTGGTGTGCACAGAAGAAATTAGAACATTCCCAGGGCTGGCGGTAGGGTAGAAAAAGCTTCGTGCAGAAGATATTTGATCCAGCTCTTAAAGAATAAGCAAGCATTATCTCAGAAGAACAAAAAGCACATTTCTCCTTGACATGTTTTTTTGTATTGTTGATTGTTTATTTGCTACCAAAGTGTTAATTTTTAATTTAAACAGTTTTTCACTGGAGAAATTAGTTCACAAATAAGTTGTATACCTGTCAGCAAAGAGAGCTTAGAATGTCAGAATGCCCATGTTTTTATTGATAGTGTAAGTGCCACACTGTGTTTATAATTATCCCTTGCTTTTGTTGATTATTAGTTCTTCTTAACATAACTGCATTTTAAATTTGTGAGAGTAGAAAAGGGAAATTCTGGAAAACAACCATTAAAGCCATAACCTTCCTCAGGGATCACCGAACGAGGGTTATAGACAAAAGGGAAGAAAGGAAACTTAAGGCACTGGTCCCAAAAGATAATCAACGTCAACACACATTTTTGAAGGGGCCCTAAGCAATGAGAGCAGAAATATGCCAAGGAAAAATGGGTGGTACCAGAAGAAAAGGAGGATCCAGGAAAGAGCTAGTAGAGTTTACAAGTAGAAGGAGCCCTACAGCAGCCACAGGAGTTTAGGGACATGGATGAAGATTTCTGCATTTGCCCCAAAAGTGCCATTAAGAACACTAAAGCTTATCTTTTTTTTTACAAATCTAGTTGTCAGAAAAGCCTTACAACAAATTTTCTAAATGTTCTCTTCTTTCCAAATTCAGTTGAGCCTGAAGGGTTTATGCTGTCCACTCCCACCTATTCATTGCCAATTCATCTTCCCTATAAGCCACCTTCATCTGCAATAACTGCTCCCCACAGGATAAGCTGACATTCTGGGCTTCTAGGCAGGAAATCCAATGTTCTGTCCTTTCATAAGTCCCATGGCAATGCAGAGAGCTGCTGGAGTCAGTGCCTTCCACATATTCTCTACAGCTGAAAGAATGCAAGCATCTTCCCAAAGTCACCATTCCATCCACACGTTTGTTTCTTCAATACATCTGGCAATGGGTAGTACACAGGGAGAGAAGAAGGAGAGCAGGGAATCTGTAAAAGATAACATATAATTCTTATGACAATACTTTCAAGGAAACTATAATCTAGCTGTCAAGAAAAAAGAAACTACAAAACATCCTGAAAACAATTAATCCCTAATTTATGTTACTGAGTAAAAGCACAGTATAAATTCACAGAAGTCTGATCGCTATGAGCTATTGCAAGAGGGAAAGTTTTCATGGAGGATACGGAAATTAAAGTAGGCCATGACATATGAGAAAGATTATTTATAGAACAGAAAATGGGAGCACATTCAAGAGAGAAAAATGTCGCAAGTAAAGATGTGATAGTGGGAAAAAAAAGTTTGGATGGGATGAAGAACAGAGACTAGGTAGGCCTGATTTTAATAGATAAAGAATGTCAGGAAATAGTAGGATATAGAAGTGGATAAATTAAGAGAAAGATTAGATGATGGATTCCCTCGACCAAACTTTGGTAAAAATCCAGCCAGAGAAGAAAGAATCATTCTATAATTCTGTGATTTAGGTATATGCCATGTTTTCTTCTCAAATGTTTCCTACAGGTTTTGATTATGTATGGCTACAATTCACTTTCTGACTAGAAAGGACCTACTTTACTCTGTTTGGACTGCTGTAACAAAATGCCATTGACTGGGTAACTTTTAAACAACAGAAGGGTATTAGTACTGGAGGCTGGGAACTTCAAGACCAACTAACCAGCAGATTTAGTGTCTGGTGAGGAACCACCCATTTCCTGGTTCGTAAATGGTCTCTTCTCTCTGTGTCCTCACATGACAAAGGAACAAGGCAGTTCTCCAGGACCTCTTTTATAAGGTCACCAATCCCATTCATGAAGGCTCTACCCTCATGACCTAATTGGCCCCATCTTCTAATACGGTGACATTGGCGATTAGGTTTCAGTGAATGAAATCTGGGAGGACATAAACATTCAGACCATGGCAGGATCTTACACCAAAATGGTAGCATCTTTCCTTCATGATGGATTTATCAATAAAAACTCCTGAATTATATTCTCAGACGAATTCTTTCATTTTGGAACTCAAAGCAATACAAACTGTTTATTCTTCCAGAATTTTTTAAAATATATAATGTTATGTAGACAGAAAGTTTTTCCTGAGCAGATTTTTTTGGGAGTTTGGTTTTTGAAACTAGCTTATTAAATCCACAAAATCTTCAGTCCAATTTTTGATTTCTGCTAATTAGAAGTTTTCACTAGGCATAGTTTTGTTAGTAAGTCTTGCTTTAAGCCCCCCTCTTTTTTTTTTTTTTTTTTTTTTACTTCACTTGAATCTTTCTAAAGTTCTTAATTGAGGATTTTAATTGAAGGTTTTTAGACCTATGATGCTCTCCTATTTCTCTCAAAGGGCCAAAGACATGTTTTGTTCTGGGGAGGTTCAGATATGATCAGATTAAGTCTTCTTTCACTAAAAATTGAGCAAATTCCCTGGATCAGCATCACTAAAAAAGAGTCTCTGGGGCAATAGACTGATGTTATTACTCACCATTTTAATGTACATAAAATTAAGGAACTATATTTACTCACTTCAGAAAATTTCTAAGTTGTGCAGATCAATATAAAAGGTGCCTTATACTGAGCAGTGGTTGGTTTGAACATTTCTGTGATTAGTGCAATCTATTTTCAGAGCTAAGGAAGCCAGAAGATTAAAAAAGCAGACCCTTCACTACCTGAGGGGAGTTAACAGTCTAGTGCACAAGAAAGCTTGCATCAGATGACCAGGATTCTTACGGTGCCTCTTTCAGCCAAGGGTTGTGCCTTCTCTGATATTAGGCCATAATGATCACATGCACTCAACATGCAATGCCTCATTTAGTTCTAACCATCATAGTACTGTTATTTCCACTTTACAGATGCTGAAACGAAGGCCCAAAGAAGTGAAGTGACTTACTTGGGGTCACACAGTTCATTTAACCTCAAATCCTCATTTTTTTCTCCAGTGTATAATTTTGGTTTTCTGTTTCCTAGTTTGTGAAGTGCAACATTTGGAGACTGTTTTTAAGCAGACTGTCCTACCAGAAAATTCTAGAAGTCTTAATATTTCTTAATTGTAAAATAAGTGTTTTAGAAGAGATGCCATTACACATAGTTTACAAAAACACAAGTTTATCATGGGACCAACTGTGTCCAGGGAACTCTGGAATTTCTTAAAGAACAGGTCTAGGGGCAAATATGGAATGTAAATGGGAAAGAAATTGTAAATTTTGCTCTACGGCCCTAATAGGATCCAGAATCTATTTGTTTTTACCATTAGGTCCTGTGAACACTAAAGATAATCACAGCTGGCAATATGTAAATTATCCATATTTGCAGCTTCTTGAAGTTAAAGGTTGTGTGTGTTTGGCTGGTATAACTGCATTGCCACTTAATTACCAATATAAATGCTCTCAAATTATAGATACCAATGTAAGCCCCTCAACTTAAAGATTTATTTGCAGAACTCTAAGTAATGACATTGAGCTTCACATTCACATTGTGAGGTGAGCTGAAGAGGATCAGCTTCTGTGTGTAATTGTGCATGATTAGTCTTCTGCCTTGAAACAGAAAAGGAGTATTTCATAGGATTCCCACCATGGCTGGGGAGGACAGGCCGTGGCTGGGGAAGACAGAGGACTACTCTGATGGAGAAAATGCACACCTTTGTAAAGAGGCACTCTGGGATGGAAAGAGCCTGGGGTGGGTTATGAGAGCCATGAAGGTGATGCACATGTGCATAAAGGGAAAGCATTTGAGTGGCTGCCTCTTCAAATTAAATATTCTGTGACAGAAGAGTAGGCTGCATCCTGTGTGTTAGCTCTCATGGCACTGCAAGCTAGAGAGACGTATAACAAGAACCATCATCACTGGTCAATTTCCTTTTAAAGACCTGTCCACTGATTTACTCATTCCATTGATCAGACATTGCAATTCACAAGCTCCTATTACATTCTCTTGGTTAAAAGTGAGGTCCAGATTGGGCTCGACACATGAATCTGTAGAGCTTTCCCCTCTACCTGGCAAACAATCCAAGTCGCACCTGGATATATCAGACCTTACTCATCATTTATGTCCAGGAGTGCTGCATTTGTTTTACAATGCCATCTAATTTGTCAGCTCAGTTCAAAAAAATTTCAGCACCTGCAAAACATCATGAACTCTGAAGTTGACAGGAAAAGATGGCATGTTGTTTGAATAGTTTTCTCAAGATAGAAATGTATGAGTCTTGAAATTGTACATAAAGACAAAAGCACAGCATGCCATGAATTGCAGGAACTCATCGCGGAGGACATGCCTATTAGAATTTATGCTACACAAATGCAAAAGTATGTTCTTATAAATTAAATAGTTTGACTTTTCCACATTTTATACACATGTAATGTTGTCGTTCTTGATTTTGTACATGATAGTGTAGAATAAGCTTTTTGCCTTAGACTTTTTATAGGCAGAAATGTGCCACTGCAATGAAAAAACTTAGGAGCATTTTATGGATGACTGTATTACCATCCTCATCAATTGGCATTTATTGAATTCAGGCACCATAAATAATACTGATATATCTTACATATAGTGGAATATGTGTGTATGTTTTAATAAATGATTTAAATTATTTTCAGGCCATTTTTACATTAATCTATAAGGAAATATAAGCTCCTTTAAAATGGTTTTGAAACTTAGTGTCTCAAAAGGAGTACAAAAACAACTCCGAAGTTCCCCTATGCTTCTGGAAACATTAAATCCTCTTGGCAATGGGTGACATGTGAAAGGACTCCCTCAGTTTGCCCTGAAATACTCCCTTTGGTCCTAAAAACATTACGCACTCCTTTAGGGAGTTCGAGGCAAAGGAGCCAGTGTGTTTTGAGGGACAAGGTATAAATGCTACGGCATCCAAGAGGATTAGCTGCCTTTTCTGGAAAATTAGGAAATTGATGTATAATTTTTAATTACACATAAATTTCAAACTTTCCATCAAAGTCAAATTGTGCTGATGTAGTCAAACGTAATCTAAGCATTGATTCAAGAACCTGCTGATGGAGTGAAAATACATGGAAACTTGTTAACAGGAATTACAATTATCTACATCTCAGCAAATAACGCCAGAGTGTCATGTAATATGCTGAGCTCAGGCAGCCTATAGCCAATGCAGATCTTTTTTTTTTTTCTTCACCATTAATATTTACAGTTGGAAGCAAAACATGGCTGCAATCTAAGTGCTGCACCTAACAAGGAAGTTGTTGGCTTGATACCTTGTTTCCTGACACTGTGAAGCACTGAAACAGCTACCTTCTTAATCATCGCCTGATGATATTGTGTTGAAACTGGAGGGGAGCACATGGCTGTTTTATAAGAGCCACAACCCTGGGAGATTTTCTTCATTGTTTAGTTGTTTTACTTCTTGATAGACATACTGGGATGTTAAAAGCATAGGACTGAAAATTGTGCATTATGGAGTTTTTTCTTTGTTCTCCTGCTGAATTTTTCTAGGTCTATGCAGACACTGTTTGTAAAGACAGTTTACCTCCTGACACCTGCTGTGTGCTAGGCACCTTCCTAGAACTGAAAACAAAACCCTTCCACCCATCAGCCTACTTTATTGTAGTTATTCTCACATGCAAAGTCCAAAAAAAACAAAACACACACACACTAAGCAAACATCAGTAATCAGAGAAGCATGATTGGTTACATAAGCACTGTGCATAGTAAGAGACCTGAAATATAAAATAACCATTTTTACTCTTCTTTCAGTCTGCAGATATGCCAACTAAGGGTAATACAGTTGAAATTATGGGGTAGATTTGGGGTTACATTTATATAGTGCTCTATCTAAGGATGCAGCTGTGCGTAATTAAACAAGCCCTGATAATTTGGATTCTAAGCTGCTTACTAGCTGTGTGACTTTGGACAAATTGCTTAAATCATCTTTTAAATACATGCAATAATCTCTATATCATTAGATTGTGGTGAAAATTAAGAGATGACATCTAAAATGCCAGAAAATATTAAATCCTCAGCTTGTAGTTACTTTTTCCATATCCCTATGTTCCACCTTTTAGTTCTAACGTATTTTACAGGTAATCCCAGTGTAGCGAATGAACCAGATACAGGAAAGATTAACTACCTGGATCGAATGCTCAAAGAATCAAAGACCTAGTTGTCATCTTTGTCATAGAATTAATCTATTTACTCTGGGTTCCTGAAACTAGTAAAAGAACCCTAACAAATAGCAGCAAACGAATTTTAGTGAAAGAGAACAATGAAACATTTAATAGAAGACCAACTTCTAAGAACTACTTAATAAAAATGCCTTTTAATATTGAGGTGATTTCTGCTCAGGTCCACCCCACAAAGAGGACCTGGACTGAGTTGAGCTGTGTTGCAACTCTTTCTCGCTTGTCAAAGTTGTAGCTCCTCCTCGTGTTGCTAAATCACAGCAGATGGCTTCCTTTTACACCCAACGCCGTCAGTGGAATGTAAATGCGTCTCCTCACAACACTGAAAATACTGAGGCTGTGTGTTTAATCTGTGCTGTACAAGCCGAATGACCCTGAAAAGAACATGAGCACTGAGCACGTTTGGAGAATTGGCATCAATCCTTGGAAACAGGATTGGGGAGGATTTTTCAGGCCTAGTGACTAATCATGGTTTTCTTCCTGAGGCTCCTAACTCAGCCATATCCCTGAGGACAAGCAATCTAAATGGTGATTGAATAGAAAAGTTATAGACCCAAGGGAAGTATTTTTTTTTTTAAAGGGGCAGTGGGAGTGTTGTTTGGGGTATGGGAAAAAGTAGAGAGAGTTGCGCTGCACTGCAAAATTGAAGAGGCTTAGTTTATAGTTTGAACATTCAATTCTATGTCTCCTTGGGAGTTAAAAAAATAAAATTTCCCTGTTTCAGATTATTTAAGTCACTAAGAGGAATACTTTCTCTAAGCAATTACTTCAAAATTCAGAAATAATGTAAATAATTCATGTCAGTATGATACCAAGTATGAGACAAGAATTATCCAGAAAAAAAACTATATTTTGAGAGTATGAATAGCAAATTATAGAAATAAAATATAATCAAGCACATTAGCCAGGTTATCTCAGCTTCTTTCTTAAATAGATCTCCAAGCTGCTTAGAAAACAGAGAACCTGATCTTCATTTTATTAAAACAGTCTCCAAAAATTAACCAGTGGCTAAAGGAGAAGAGAACTTGTCATGCAATTTGTCTTTTGAGCCTTTTGTAGCAAAGGAACAGAGTTCTTGTCACTTCTGCTTCCCACCTTTCCTTGGGCAAGGGTCTCAAACTATTATTTCAAAAAAAGATGTGGTCATTGTGAATATCATAATTACCCTATGTACTGTATATAACACAGACTTAGAGATCCCAAAGCATAAAATAACCACTTTAGCTTTATTGTATGATCTAATTTTATAGCAGGTTATTAAATTCTGTGCTAAATTTATACATAGAGATGGAGAAATTTTAGTTCAGCAGTATTTTTAAACTAATAGGAAAATGCTGTTAGACTTTATTTTTGTCCCCTCCAAGAATAAATGCTTTAGATTCCTCAATACAAATGAAAACCTAGCCTTTGCTTCTGTTGTGCTTTTGCGTATTTAGGTGAACTGTTAGTAAAGTCATACATAAGGTTTAGGGTTTGTTTTTATTTTTTTTTTAATCCTGCTAACTTTAAAACCTATAGACTTTTACCAAATGGCTTATGAAAGCCTGACTTCTGAAACAAACCTTTAGTTCTAAAACTAAATACTATTTCAATAAATCCTCATAATATGAAGGTTTCTATCTTTGCTGGTTGTCAGGTTGCTTGGTGTTTTAAGTTGCTTTGAGTTCATAGATTTTAGAAATGTTCACTTGGGATCTGACCAGCCTCTCAGCTTCACAGGATCCATCTCTGTTTAGACATACCAAGTCTCAAACTATTTTGAAGAGAAAAGGCTGTGCAGTGAAAGGCTACCCATTAAAGCATGATGTGTGTCTTTCATCTTCCACTAGGCAGAGTTCGAAACTGAAAGTCTGATAATTTGATGTAAACTGACAGTGACAATAGAAATGGCTACTTTTGAGATTATTTAAGAGAAGGTGCAAGGTATAGACATTCATCAATGAAACACTAAAGGAAAGGTTTTTATTTCTGTGTTTGCTTTTTAAAATAAGAATAGAGTAAATGGCACAATAGATTATATAAACAAGGACTTCAATGACAAGCTGTCAAAGTTAAAATAATATATTTTACATGGGTGACTTGACGCCACACTTTATCACTTACATGAGGGGAAGCCAATTTGAGTCTGGTCAATAAAACACAACCTCCAAAGTTGGGCCTGGGGCAAAGCTGACATAGTGTGGCAGAGCCTGGTGGTTTGGCATCCACTTCTGCTGGGACACAGCAGGAGTTGGCACTGCTACCATCTGGGGTATGTCCTACATTTAAGCCCTATTTGATTAATCAACACTTATGCAGGTTGAAGGGACGATGCATTGGCTCTGCTCTGAGGCAGTTCAGGCTCTAGTAATTTAATGCAGGTCTGAGGCATAAATGGGACTAGTGATTCAAAAACTGGATTTACTGCAGTCTCACAACTGTTGAAAATTAAAGTACATGTGCTGCAAGTTAGGGGTTACTAGGGTATCTCATTATAGGAGGCTATTTTTTTTCAGAGGTTTGAATCTTTGCTGAATTACTGAGAGACTTATTCGAATGTAGGCTTGGACCAAATAATTTTCTGATAAATTGGCCATAAATCCTCAGTAAAATAAGCTTGGTGTTCTCAGCATATCTATTGGCTTTTTGATCATTTTTATGGCTTTCCTTTTGCTGGTCAAATTATCCTTATATGCTCCTAAAGCTCCTCTGACATGGATTAAGTCAACACAAACCAATAGACCTTCATTACTTTGGCAACTGGTTTTGATTTGGGGGCAATAAATATGATGACACAGACTAGATTACCTCTGCTGAAGGGATATGTGATAAGCCGTAGGGATGTCAGGGATCCTGCATTATTTTTTCTGCGTAATGTGAGAATGAATTAATAGCAGCTTTTAACTAGCTGAAGAAAGTTGGAAAGAAGAAAGAAATCTGAATGAAAAGAGAGCCAAGGTACGGCTTATAGGTTAAGAGCAGTGACACCAGTCGATCATAAGAAAGTCCATGAACACCCAATGTGTGTCCAACACCGTGCAAGGCACAGGCAGGCAGGGTCAGGGCCAAATATGTGAGGAAACTAACATGTGATGTGATCCATATCTTAGTGTCTGGGAGAGGAGATAAGACCATCAATGAGAGCAAGATTTATTGTGCAATAAAAGTGTAGAGCAGAGAGAAATAAGCAAGGCCTGGTATAGCCAAGGAAGGGGTAATGGAAGAAGCAAGATCTGCAAATATGGGGGTTGGAGGAACTATTTTCCTTATAAAAATTGTTTGTTAAATTATTACTTTTCCAACATTTTGCTTGGAAAAAAATGCAAACCTAAAGAGAATTGAAAAAAAGTTACAACTAATGCGTGTAACTCTTTAACCCAGATTACCAACTTTTTAACATTTTGATACCTTTGCTTTATCTCTGTCCATATACATGTATTTTTTTTTTGCTCAGTAATTAGAAAGTAGATTGCAGATGTCATGACACTTTACCACTAAGTATTTTAGTATCTCTTAAGAAAGAAGGCTTCCTTCTATAACCACAATGCTAGTATCACACTCAAGAAATTTAACATCTTATATACTATCCATATTCAGACTTTCTAATTGTCCCAATAATGTCCCTTATAGATTTTTTAAATCCAGGATACAATCAATTGCATTTAATCATCATTTGGCATGTCTTTTTAGTATCTTTTTTTATCTCAAACTGTCCCCTGCCCTTTTAATTCTTTTGCCACTGAATATTCTCTTGCTTTTGGAATTCTGTATAAAATCAATTGGCATATTTATCCCTTGTCTTCTAAAATTATTTAGTATGGCAGAAATGGGATATGAAGAAACTCCAATCTTTTTCTACACTACAAAATGCAAGTTAGTAGACGACCCAGCAGATACATAAAAAGGGAACTCAAATAATGAAGCTACTATGTTGAAAATAAGTGGTATAAGTCATCAGCCTAGGAAAGGACCAGTAGTGAGTACACATGAAATTGCTCCCTCCATTCTGGCCCTCCTGAGAGACAGGAAATCAGGTTTCTTGACATGGTATCTAGATGGGTTATATGCCCAGTTTTGGTAAACACTTTCCTGGCACATGAGCTGTCTGCCACTTCCTATTCTAGTTCTTCTCCATTTGTGGCTCTGCATAAGGAGTTATCCTTCTGTAAAGTTTCCCAGGCATGCAGGAAATATCCCAGAACCACAGGCATGCTTTTTGTTCTCCTTAAAGCAATTGGATCATGGTGATTCCTTCAGCCTAAAACATACTTCTTTACCTCATTCTCCCAGCAACTTCCTTTGAGAAACTTAGCGATCCCATGAGGCACCTTCCTTTCTCCTTGTTTTTCCTTCATGTTCACCTCTAAACTAACACCACCCATATGGAACTGTAATTGCTTTATATAGCTGCCCCACCCCCAGGCACTATCACTAAACAGTGAATTATTTTAAAGATAATGGTTATGCCTTTTACTTCCATATCTCCAGGATCTAATATGCTGTCTGAAAGTTTGAAGGCATTCGGTAATAATTTGTTGAGTAAGTGAATGAAAGCATGAAAAAATGAATGAATGAATTTCACCACCAACAAACTTTCTGGGTTCTATAGAACTCTTCTTATGACTGAGAAGAACTTAGTAATGTGTTAAACAGGGCAATCAGTGTTACAAGTGTGTGAGTCGATAATAATTGATCAGCCACTTGGGCAAAGCACTGCATTTTATATTATTGGGAAGTTCCAGAGTAACAAATAGTCATGCCTTACAGTCCTGAAGGAAGGGATAGATTTGGCTTAACTCACATTGAACAACAGCTACACATTCATGCGCATATGTTATGCCAGGCAGGCCTAGCTACAGCTCTTCTCAAAAATGTGCTGGCCCTGGACATTGCTGTGTAAGAGTTACAGGTGAGTGGAGTCACATGGGCTTCTCTGGAGAGGCTTTGCAAAGTACAGAGAAAGTTTGAATTATCTTTTAAAAAGAGGAGAGGCATGATTGAATAAACGGCATGTTTCAGGATAGAGAAGTGGTTTGGAGGAACAGGTGATTCCTGTTTGAAAAGTGGCAGATAGAGAGAGTTGCTCTGCTGGAACCCCCCGGCCCCGGCACTAGCTAGGCTGCAACTGGTGATGACCCTCATGAGGAAATGGGACTCATTAATAAAGAGCCTCAACTTAAAAATTGTTGGGTGGAGTGGCGCACGCCTGTAATCCTAGCACTTTGGGAAGCCAAGGTGGGCGGATAGCTTGAGCCCGGGAGGTCAAGTCTGCAGTGAGCCAAGATCATGCCACTGCACTCCAGCCTGAGCGACAGAGTGAGACCCTGTCTCAAAATAAATAAATAAATAAAATCAAAATTGGCAATTTATATTTGATATGGACAGGTTTGATATAGTTCGTTCCCACGACTTCCTAGTCACGTAAGTACGGTCATTTTTTTCTGTGGGGCTGGATGGAGGATGTAGATTCTGGAGGAAATAAAAGTGTGTAGAGAATAGATGAATTACCTAGGGAGAGGATAATTGGGCCAGGATTGTGACTGTGGGAATGCAGAGAGAGAAATTAGAACAGAATTGTAGGGGAATTGGTTACAAATGGGTCTGGGCATAGAGTAATGAAGAGATGAAAAGGATGTGCTTTGAAAACTACAAGAGTTTGCAGCTCATAGCACTGAATGAGTTACACGCTCTGAATCTTTAGTTAGCAACCACTGTTTTCTAAAATGAAATAAAGAGAAGAAAAGAAAAAAAAGGGAGAGAAGCATGAATGTCCACACAGCTTTTCTGAGACCAAAATAGGCCAAGCTAATGTCCAGTAGTTCACCTAACGGAAACAAAAAGAATAATTCACATGTAGCAAATGATAGCTGGCTCCTGCTTATTTTTTACCTTTATTTTTGTTTTTAATCCTCACTAGCAGCTCCTGATTGTATCACGTGATAACGTTTCCATTCTAGATACGAGGGGCAGGAAAAGGTAAAAACAAACACATTGTTTGTTGATTTCACAAAAAGGAATAATGCTCGTGTCTGGTTGGCTCCTTGGTCATATTATCCCTTATCTGCCACTCCAATTCCTGCCAGCAGCACCTCAGAGATGGCACCTCCCCTTGCTGCTTCCGTTCCTCTGCAGGACACATGGTGAGGTTTTTATTACGTAAAAATCCCAAGAGGAAGAAGCTCTGTGTTGATAAAGTCAATAGCTCATTGCATGCTGCTAGACAAGCTCTAACTTTTAATTCTCTTCTGCCAAGTGGCAGTCTGCAATGTCTTTGTGGAACAGACACTGTTCCAGGTGCCAGGGAAACAATTGGGAACAAGGAAGGCAAATATCTGCACCTGAATGGGGCTTCCATTACAGCAGGATACACACAAAAACTCTATAGACTTCACATGGTACTGAATGCTTGAGAGAATGAAAGCTGATTGCAATCAAAGAGGATGGTCAGGGAAGGTCTCCCCAAGAAGATGACAGCAAATAGTAACACCTACCTAGTTGAGTTATTAGGAGAATTAAAGCATTTTCTGTGTTAAAAACATCTGGCAAACCACTGACACAGGGTCAGAAGAAATGGCTAGCCATTATCTTTCAACAATAAATTTACAAAGCATAATGAAATATAACTGAGTTTGAGCTGCTGGGATTTGGTTCTTGTATGAGATGAGGCGATAATTTTTATTCACAAGGCCATGTGCTCCAAAGAAAACAATGCTATCACTTATACCACCTGCTTATGGAGAGAAAAATATGAAAGCAATGTCCTCAAACCTCTAGCTGCATCTATGCTTCTGCCTAAAATCTGGTATCCTAAGTAGGAGAGAGGTTGTGAATTATCAGGGCTTTTTCTTGATACTTATTTTTACAGATCTAATGCCTATGATGGCTCCTGCCAGGGACTGTTTGGCCCACCACTCTACTTCTAGCTAGCATTGTGGTTACACAGTTTGTAGAATGCAGAAATAAACTTGTCTATTTATGACCAATGTCACAGCACATGTCAAATCTCAGTGTCACTGGGCCCTTTCCCTAAAGGTCTACAAGAGGAAATATGTCATGCTTGAGTTAATGTTGAGGTTGATTGTTTAACCTGGAACTAGAATTCCAAACATATATCCTTATGTTACATCAGTTTTTTTTTTCTCATTTATCTCCAATGTGTCCACAGGAAATTTCCACAGTAGCTGTTCTAGCCTCTTCCTTCCTATCATAGCTATACCATTCCTTCTGGTATGGAAATCATATCAGAAGGTTCCCAGGAAGCGTCTTCCAGGCTGCGGTTCCCTGGACGGTCCCATCTCAGCTCAGTTTTTCCTCCCCCAGCTATTGTGATGACCCCCAATCAGCATAGTTATAAGAAATTGTAATCACATGGTGAGAATTAATGAGAAAGCCTTTATATTGGATTCCTTCTTTTTCCAGCAAGAGACTTCAAACCCTGCTAACTGCAGTCTTACAGCCCTTGGAGGGGGCCGTAGCTCACCATTGTTCTGTTCTCGGCAAACCCAGTGGGAGCTTATCTGTTTTCTGGGAGAAGCAGAGCAGCCAGATGAAGAGATGGGGCAGTGCCAAGGAGAAAATGATACTCAGCATGCAGTGCAGATCCCTCCCTCCCCTGTTCCCTGCTGTCGGCCTGCTGCTCAGAGGGAAAGGTGCCTGGTGGCTCTCTGATCGCCATCCTTTCTTCACATTCCTAAGCCTTTTATTTGGTGGAAGGAGCATCTGGCTGGATAGCCTCCTCCTTATCCCAGGACACTTCCCGAGTTCTCTCTTTTGGCTTTTTAATACCTTATTTTCCCCTTATGACTGTAAAGTGGACAGTGTATTTATGGTTGAAAATTGGCTGCTATAGCAATATTAATTTTAAAAACAGAGTTTTGGCACATATTCAATATTACTATGGAAACGGCCGCTTCTAACAATTCACTCATAAGATATAGTTCAAGGACTGAGGTCTGTGTGGGAGGTTTTTACCATCCACCAAATTGACGATCTACTTGTCAGAATAGCAATTCACAAGAACTGCTCTCCAAATTTGTATTCCTTTTTTAAAAAAGTTAGTGGATGAGCATTCGAGAGATGCCTTTATTTTACTTTATATATGTAGATGGAAGATAAATATTCCAACTGGCATGTTAAAGACACAATGTGTTTAAAATAATTTTTCCATGAATCACTAATTCTCTTAATTGCACATAATGGTCTTACTTGGTTATTTGATGTAACACTAAATACACACACAGACACAACTAGTTTCAGAAACGCACATATTGAAGCTGGAATGTAACCTGTAATCAATTGACACATTCAAACATTTTAACTTTCCATCTTAAACTGTCTCCACATATTTCTATGTAACTGATATACATACAACTGAATTCCAGGAAAGACTTGAAGTAATTCATTCCAGTGTGGTGTTTTCCAGGAGCCAGTTTTTAACCCCAAATATTGCCTTCATTTTTAACCGCAAACATACTTCTGTTGGTTTTATAAAACGCAGGCATGAGAGAAAGGACCTCTGGGGGCTGATGGTTGCAGCATTAGTTCTTGAATTCCCTCACTTTAAGTCAAAGCTTTCATGTTTGCACCTCTGTTCACTTGGGAATGTGAGGTTACATTTTCCAAAAAATCCTGCAATGTTTCATATTTTTTCAGAGCTCCTTCTGATATGTTTATTGTTTTCACATTATTTCAAATGCTGTCATCGGCCCTAAATATCATGAAAGATAGGTCCTGATGCTGACAACAGAATTTGTCTCATTTCTCTTATTTCCAGCTCATTTTGTGTTTTCCAAATTAGATTAACTCTCAAGCAATTAGTAACAGTTGATTCTGATAGGCCCAGGTTGCACACCCTTCCACCAGCGCCACATCAGCACAGTGAGAGTGATAACCCGAAGCGCCTCCTTGTTCACAAGGATGGCCCTGAGTGGATGGTAGGAGTTCTGAAATCCAAACAGGATCAAGAAAATCAATCAGGGGAAGGTCACTTGGGGTAATAAACAAGAGTAATCACATGGATCAAAGTTCTTGTCCTGTGCGTATGTCCTATGAGAAGCTCTTTATCCACTGAATGCTGTAATTCTTAGAACAATTCTAAGACGTGGGAATTGTTGTCCCCATTTATTATACTTATCCTACATATACTGTGGGAAAATGGTATATGAGCAGAGCTCTTAACCACTTCATTACACAGCCAGGAGTGGCAGAGGTAGGGCTGCATCTCAGGCCTTGAATTTGCTCTTTCATTCTTATGACATTTCTGAGAGAAGTGGGAAAACAGTATATGTAGGCTAAGTATACTAAACAAGTATCGAAATTGGATTCAAATCCCTTTCTGTCTGCTTAGCAAGTGCATGCTGTTTCCAGTTCCCCTTCAGAAGAAACAAGATGAAATTTCTTTTCTGGGATTAAGAGGAAAACACACATTAACCTATGGTGCTAGCACATTCCAGCATACAATAATCAGGATGGAAGTTTCAAAATAGGTTTTGACAGTCTCACCATAGAATACCATGGAATAACCTTGCTTGGGTCCTATATAGGCCAGAACCCAGTTAATGTTTCAGAATAAATTCTCTTTGAGGAGAACAAATGAAACATCTATTTATTTTATTCTGCAGATATGGAGTTCAAAGTAATCACAGTTTAAATTAATCATACATACAATATACATTTTTTAAAAGATGTTAATATGATAACTGACTGCAGATAGCAGCATGTCATTTTTCAGAAAAAAAAAAAACAATTCTACATTATATTTATAATTAATTTGGGGTATGTCTTTTCAGGAAAAGGTTATTCAAAAGCTCAGTGTTAGAGCACAACCAATCCAAATAGGGCTGGCCTTAAATCTCGTCCTGCACCTGGAGGCCTCCATCATCAGTTCATGTGTCCCAGCAGTTTCAATTATCAAAAGATCCATCCTAGTGCCGTATATTTTAAGCACAGTTGAAGAATAGTGGAGCAAAAAAAAAAAAGCCTTTCAACCATGGGAATTTAAAAGCAAAGGGCCCTGAAGAGGCGATTTCAAAACCCTACTCATTCAGTTCACTCTAAAGCTTAATGACATGCCCTATTTGATACAGTTAGGGGAACTCTTTCATCAAAAACTTTATATGAGGCTGGGAATTGCAATATTAGGTTTGTAGGTTGGCTCCCTTGGTCATACTGCAACGTCCTGAGGGAATTCTAGTTTATCTTTTAAAAGCAAATAGAATTAGGGAAAATGATAAATGGTATACTAATGACTACTAATATGTTTGTGTATTTGAGAACTTCCTATAGGCTGTGCTTTTTGTATTTTACATTCTTTGTGTTTTATTTGGTCCCATCCTTTGAAGTAGATGTTAATATTCCATTTTATAAATGATGAAAATGAGTTCCTAAGAGGTGAAATAACTTGCTGTGTTTGCACAAGTAATTGGCAGAGCCACGAATCAAACCCAGGTCTCTGCCTCTGAAGACTGACCTCTTAACCACTTCATTACACAGCCAGGACTGGCAGAGGTGGGGCTGGATCCCAGGCCTTGAATTTGCTCTTTTATTTTTATCACATTTTTAAGAACAGCAAAGCAACTGTAGATGAAGGACTTGGTTCCTCAGGAGTCCCAAAATATGTGAAACAGGTCAGCCCTCTGGTTCAACCTGAATTGAGGTACTAACAAGGACTCGGGACCCACCCCCATGAGTCCTTCTTCCTCTCCTGTTGCAGCATAGCAGATGAGAGGATCTGGGAAGCCTCAGTTTACCCAATGTAATCAATCTCAGGCTGAATGAGAAGAGAAGGGCCTGGAAAAGTTTAGAAAACAGAGACAAACCAAGTGATTTTTCTCTTGTGTGCATGGGTGTGGGCACTCCCAACTCTCTCATCCAGGAGAACCGCCATTTACTCCAACAGATGACATGATTTACCAGACAGATTAAGATGAAATCAACATCTAAGAACAAGAGTGTGCATTTTCTAAAGATCATTGGATAGTACTAAGGTGTTTTTCTGGTCAGATTTCATCTGCTCTTCTGTGTCCCAGCCTTTTGACCTTTCAAGCCCAACTCTGCGGTTCTGTTCCTCTTTCCCAGGCCAGAGTTATCTTTATTGATAAAACATATAATTATTTACAAAAGCATGGCCACACAGTATGGATGGAGAGTTTGCCCTCTAGTTGACATAAACTATTTTTTCTAAAAAACTACTGAACTCTATGAAATTCTATATGCTTTACTTCAAAAGCTCCAGTCATTGTCATAACCCAGAATTTTTCACAGTAATATGAAGGAGAGATGGAGTAGTAAACATATTTCTAATGATCTAATAGTACTATATTCTTGAATGTCTCCAAGGCACCTAAGACCAGCTTTTCCCAGCCTGACCTCATATTCTTCCTACACAAACCTCATGTGAACCCAGTTTTTCCTCATGTGAGCCCAATTTCAATGACTGACATCCCAATCCACCTGCTCATCTAATGTGGTATCAACAGCCATCTTCATCCTTCCTCTCTTCCCCACTACCCCACACAATCTGACATGGGGTGATGCTGAATTTACCTCAGAAATCCCTGTCAAACATTCTTTCCCTTCAATTCTCACTCCTTTGCTAAATTTAGACCTAGGTAATCTCTTATCATGACTAATAAGATAAACTAACTTCTCTGCCTCCAATTTCTTCCCCACCTACACTATCTCCCATCCTCCACCCTGTTACCAGAGCTTATCAAGTCATGCTTTTGCTTAAATATCTTCAGTGGCTCCTCACTGACTACAGGACAAAGTCTGAGTTTAGTGTGGCATTCACATTTCTTAACAAGACCCTTCTACTTTATAGTATTTTCTCTCACCAACTCTTTTCACCCTTTCCCAATTCAAACATACACATTCATGGTCAATGTATTGGTCAATATAGTATTTTCTCTCACCAACTCTTTTCACCCTTTCCCAATTCAAACATACACATTCGGTCACACTGGGTTTCTTACTCTTTCCCTAAATTCTAAGGACTTTTATGTCTTCTTGCGTTTTATGTTTTGTTTTTGTTTTTGTTTTGAGACAGAGTTTTGCTCTATCACCCAGGGTGGAGTGCAGTAGCCTGATCTCAGCTTACATCAACCTCCGCATCTCGGGTTCAAGCGATTCTTCTGCCTCAGCCTCCCAAGTCGTTGGGATTACAGGCACCCACCACCATGCCCTGCTAATTTTTGTATATTTAGTAGAGATAGGGTTTCACCATGTTGGCCAGGCTGGTCTCGAACTCCTGACCTCAGGTGATCTGCCCACCTCAGCTTCCGAAAGTGCTGGGATTACAGATATGAGCCACCGAGATTGTCTCATTAAAGTGGAATTTCCTCCTTGAAGTACTTGAGCATCCACTAATCCTTCAAAGGACAATCATGTCTCATTCCAATCTTGCTCCACCTACTCCTCAACACAATTAATTCATCACATGGTCATAACACCTATCTGTAATGTATTATGATTATTTGTGTGTGTGTGTGTGTGTGTGTGTGTGTGTGTGTGCGCGTCTTCCTCTTCTCCTATCTCCAGAATTTGAGCTCCAGATTCCAAACTTTTATTTGTCTTTGTATTTTCATTTCCTAGCTCAGTAAATGCTCATAGTAAATGGTCAATAAGTATTGCTGATTGAATGCACAAACTAATGAACCACATTTGAGCAAGGATTATTGTGAGTAGATCCCAGACAATACTATGAAGCTGTTAAAATATTATATTAATTGTATAATAATTTAAACCAAGACACAGGGGACAATAAAAAGAGACTAAGGATAGAAAAGATATTTAAACTCTCTAGGATGTTAAACACAGATTTCATTTGTAATAGATTGGTTTGGTAACGTGGGGATGAGTCCTAGAGAAAGCTAAATAAGAAGGTAAAAGAGTTTACTACTGATTTACTCTGATAGAAATATGTCTTTGAAAAAATCAGTTTAAAAATTCAAACAGTAACTCCTTTCTGTCTTTAATATTTCTGTGCAACTCAGTCACAGTTTCATGTTAGCCATTGTTAAACTGATAAGAGCTCAGGTTTGCTAAAAAGTGTTTGCAAACACATCGGAATTAACATTAATCAAACCACTGTGTAAAAATAACAACTTTGAGAGCCCAGGATCCAGCTCCCTTTGACAGGGCTCTACCTGCCGTTGTCTGCTGCTAGATACTTGGATTCAGCGTTAAGCACATGTGCCTTTACAACCATTCAATTGCCATGTTGAATCCGAATCAGAGTGATTCCTTTGGAAACCCCCTGCGAGACCAGCGTATCACAGTCCCTCCTCTGTGTCAAGAATTTTTCCCACAAGACCCAACTAATTTAATTTCTTTCCTTTCCCAAAGCAACAAAACAAAACTGTAAAATAACCATTTCTTCAGTCCCAAATTAGAACTTTTGGCAAGGGAGGAAAGAGATCATGAATAATACGTGGCTATAGATCTAGAATCATTTTATAAATATAAGTGTGGGCTCATCTTTTGCCTTTGTTGCTACATGAATCATCTCAGTCACTGAGATTAAGAGACTGAGCAAATATAGTAGGTATTTCATGCCATATTTTCTGACTGTAGACTTTAGATTCTAGATATATGATTATTTGTAAATGATTTGAGAATAAGAAAATCTGACTTTCTTTTAATACCTTGGTCTTTTTACAGTACTGAGTGGTACCAGCTTGCTCTGGTTGGTCTTCATTCCTGAGTAGTTCCATTGTCCTGAATATTTATTTGCCTTTGCTATAGAATTCGCATCCCAATGATTTCAATCTTTCCAGTTGGCAGATGACTTGATCTCCGACATTTTCACCACTATTGGCTCAGTGACTGTCGCCTTGTTACTGATCCTCTTGCTGGCCATTGTTGCTTCTGTTGTCACCTCCAACAAAAGGGCAACTCAGGGAACCTACAGCCCCAGCCGTCAGGAGAAGGAGGGCTCCCGAGTGGAAATGTGGAACTTGATGCCACCCCCTGCAATGGAGAGACTGATTTAGGAGCATTGTGTCCCTTCGAGATGGGGATCCACACACTGTGAATGTGATGACTGTACTTCAGGTATCTCTGACATACCTGACAATGTTAATCTGCAACTGGGATTACACTGGAACTACAGGAATGATTCCTTTGACCACCTTAAAAACTTTCACAGTGGTTCCGCTCGACACCATTGTTTTATTATATTATATCAGCCAATTGCAAAAAAAGTCTGTGCCAGTAATTTCAGCCTTATAATTAGCAAAAACATCTTCCAGAGAATAAAGTCTTCTGTGGCTTTAGTGGCTATCACTGAAACTCTTTCCTCTTTTCAACCTGGGAACAAATTTTAGTTTTCATTTTAGGTTTCTGTACTTTCTGTAGTTTCTGTGTAAACTGCCATATGTTTACATGGAAACTACAGGAAAAAATTGGCTACATTTCTCACTTCTCCTATCATGTGGTCAAAGTTATTGTTGTATACCAGCGATGGGATGTATACTTTTGTCCTTCATTCATGGATTCAGAGAAAGCTCTGGGAATGACTTATGGTCCAAAAAAGTGACCCAATGGCAACAAATAAAAATTGAAATGCAGTTGTTCTCCTTTCTGAGTACTTTTTGCATTTTTGTGACATTATGTGTGACAAAAGTAACCTCTAGGAACATTTGAAGAACCTGCTTATGAATTAGACCTTTTACCTAAATCATTTCAAGTTGGTTACATTTTCAAATTATTACTCTTTGTAAAGGGTTGGTTAAGGCAAAACGCTTCCTAGATAGAAATCAAAACGGGGAAAACTCAGATTCTCAAGTTCGAAAAATCGAGTTCTTTTCTTCCAACTGCTTTTAGGTAAATCAGTGCCAAACAGTGACATTGTTTAAAGGTAAGAACTCCAAAGTTAAATGTATGCACTTTACGGAGTATGTGTTTTAAGACTATGGGATATTTGGAGAAAATGCTGGGGTTTCTATTCTTATATTTTCTTCTACAAAGCATCTGATTATATTTTTATATGTGCTTTGAAATATATGAAACATGCTACTGCTGTAGAATATAAATAAAACTTAAGAATAGATGCATATATATTCTGGGTATACACTCAACATGTCTAATGACATGAATTTTTAAATCTGGTCTAGAAGAACCCATCCATCTCAATTACTCAAGGACATCATTTCAGCAAGTGCCCTTCTCTTCTACATCATCAGTTTACCCATTGTCCTGGGGCATCCCTATCAGCACCAACATGCTGTCATATTTCCTATCATATAAAATTCTCTCCTGTGGCCCTCATCTCACTCCAATATCTACCCCATTCCTCAACACCCCTTTTCAGCAAAACATCTACAGAGGAGTTTTCTGTATTTTTGGTTTCCCTTTTCTTGTCTCTCATCCTCTCTGGAACTTAAACTAATTTGGCTTTTCTCATCACCACTCCATGACCTCCACATGGTCAAACACAATGTCCAGTCCTCAGTCCTCAGCTTACCTGACCTCTCCTAAGCATTTGAAACAATTGTCACTCCTCTTGAAATATTTTCCACACAATGGGACACCATTTCATCTTGATTTTCTTCTTACCTCACTGTCCATCCCCTCTCCATCTCTTTTGATAGTTTCCCCTCATTCCTTAAACTCTGCTTTATTTTTTTCCATACTGTTTATCACCACCTGAGAGACTGCGTATTTTTTTTTGTTGTTGTTGTTCTCAATTTTCTCTATCTAGAATTTAGGTTATATGAGGATAAGAACTATTTTTTTTTTTGACTCCAGTATCTCTCACCTGGAACAGGCCTAACCCATAGTGAAAACACAATAAATATTTTCTGGATAAATAAACAAATAATGAATGAATGGTGCTCAAATTTGTACCTGCCACCAGAGAAATCCCAAAGTGCCCAAGATTTGTGTGGGCTGTCATTGGATGCTCTGGTCATGAAACTATCATGGCTCTGTAGCCTATCTAATGTCTTACTCAATCTCAGGCTTTTTTATCCATATCTAATATTGCTTTAAGTGTAAGTTTAAGAAAAAGCATGTCTCCAGTGTCTACATGTGAAGTATACTATGAGCTATATTTATTTTTGCATTTCATTAGATACAACTTCTTAATAGAAGTTCATATGGAAAAGAAAGAGCTCATGCTTGAAAAAATAAGTAGCTGAGTTAAAAACACACACACAAACTAAAAAAAAATCACAGGATATAAAATGATTCTATTGGTTTAATTAATCTGAGTATTTGCTCTATTCCAGTACCTAGCTTAGAGCTTTGCATAGGAATGTATGTCCAAATACATGGATAAATGAATGCATGCAGGCATGAATAAATGAGTGATTCTTTCCATGTGGACACTCCAAGCACGCACACATTTACAGGCTGCCCCAGCAAGCCAAATCTCTTTATCTTTGAAGAAGCTAAATATTCAATATCTTATGTCAAGAATGCTTCCAAATTAGCCCCATGAAGTATTTGTACTGAACTATTTTTAACAATGTAGACCTCATCTTAGTGGAAAAGTGAAGCATCTGCATGATCAATGACGGTGCAGCTTTTTAATAGAATGTATTTTCAAAATTTGTATTAGGATTGGTTTCGAAGACCGCAACAAAACACCACAGCAATTCCTCCCATGCTCATTTGCAATGTGACATTGCCACCCCTCCCATCAAGAGGAGTCTGTTTGTCTTCTCCTTGAATTAGGGCTGGCCTTGTGATTTGCTGTGGCTGACAGAATGCCATGGAAATGATGCTCTGCCATACACAAGAGGCTTGCAGCTTCTGTTTTCCCTCTCTTGGAAGGCGACCCTGAGATTGCCATACTGTGAAGAAGCTTGGAATGAAAATAACATGTCAAGAGAGAGTCCCAGCCATGCCAGACATCCCTGCTGAACCCGGCCTCAGTCACCGTGCCTGCTGGATGCAATCACTTAGTGACCCACGTGAGAACAGCAAAGGAACCACCAGCTCAATCCACAAAATCATGAGAAACAGTAAATTGTTTTAAGCCATTAAGGTTTAGAGTGATTTGTTACATAGTAATAGATAAATGAAACACAATTATTCACATCAATAAGGCAACCTAAGGAATACAGCAATATGAGGTACTTCTTTGATTCTAATTTCTTTGCTTTTAGAACTGCTGCTCTGGGAACTGGTGGACTATAGAGTATTCATTTGTATAGGAACAATAATTAGTACATTATGAATAAAATATGACACCTATATGTCAGATTTCTCTCAGGATGGCAAATAAGGGTGAAGAGCCACTTAATCCAAACACAGGTCCAGGAGGTGCTGAGGGTTATAGTCCTTCTAGCGCAGCTGTTTGCAGGCTTTGGGGCATGGTGTAAAGTGGACACAGCCGGCCAACTTCCTGCCCTAGGGTGAACCCTGGCCCAAGGCAGCCAATGTAAAAGGCACACATCTGGTGTGAGTTTACAAGGAGTGACAGGAAGCCTCCTTCAAGCGGACTCTCATGTGGCTTCTGTAGTCACAGTGAGTGCAAAGAGAAGCAGGAAATGACAAATGACTGTGACTTAAATCAGCTGTCAAGCCTTCCCCTGTTTTATTCCTAAATTACCACCGTATAATAGATCCTCTTATCTGAGACTGAGACAGGTATGGTCCCAGAGTCTGGCCCTGTGTAGCCATAATTGTTATTATCATTACCAATTAGTATTAGCAGCAGTAATTGAAGAGTAACAGTAATAGGGAATAGAGGTAGAACTAGAAGCCATCATAGCAATGATAATAATGATTATTATAACAATAAAGAGGGATCCCTTCCTGAGCCCTTGCTAGAGGCCAAGACTATCTTAAGCTTGCTGCGCTACATGCATTATGTCTCATTTAGACCTCATAACAGCCTTTGAGGGAGGAACTTTTATCTTCTTCTCACGAGCCTCTGCAGACAAAGAAACATAGTTTTAAACTTCTGAAATGCCCCATTCAGCTGATCTGAGCTTAATCTGAAAAATGGGAATCACACCTCTATTGCACAGGCACATTATGATAACATTATTGGAAAATGCTTAACTACAAGTAAGCACACAATACATAGCATCTATTGTTACTATTCAGATAAGATGAAGTGTTAGTAGGACAAATGACAAGCAGCAGTAACGTTTAAATGGTTTCCACACTCCTACCTCCTACTTTATCTGCCAGACAAACCAAATAGGTAACTACTTTCCTCCTATCCTCCTTCCCATCTGTCTTATAATGTGTTTGTAAAATAAGCAGGTTTTGTGCAGAGAAAGATAATTTTTTCATGTCATTCCCATAACTCTGAATTGCCTCATGATGGTGGTCCCATCCAACTAAAGAATTTAATTCATTCATCTGTAATAAAACAAACGGTACATACCAGTTGTATGTCCTCAGTGAAATTGTCAGAAATAAATCAAAAGGTCTCAGGTCTCTCAGACCTCCAAACAACTAATGATAGAGATTTTTTTTAGTTATACATTGTAGAGATGACTTATTATTATGGTTTTTTTTGGCCCTTTTAGGGTTACTCCTTAAACCTCTTTTGTTAGAAAATCACCATCATCTTTTTTCATTAACAGCAAGAAATATTGGCCCATGTATCTTGATTTAAATCATCCTTCTGATAATGATTAGCTAGCCAACTTTCAACCTGGTTTTATGCTCTGCAGGGGCATATCTGGAAGGAATATGACTTTTCAAGTTTCACCCTGCTTTCAGCAAAAGTGCAGTTTTTACTGCTGTGTATTGCATTGAATAGTGATGACAAAAATGCATGTTTCCCATTTAAACTGATTCTCCTATGATTTGGTACCCAGGCTTTGCTTTACATGGTTCCAGAAACCTGGGAACAGCATCTATCCAACATATTTGGCAGTGCCTGCCTGAGGACAGCTGCTTTAATCACCAATCACAGAGTCTCCTAGAATGGGAGAAAACAAGCTCCCCTTGAAAACTGCTCCCAAATCCACATCTTTCAGCTCGAAGTGGAGCATCCTGTAGAGGTGCTCATGGTTTGCAGCTTGAGGCTCCTGGCTCAAAATTAAACTCATTCATGGCTGAAATAAGGCAAACTGAATGGAAGCAAATATAGGTGTTATGAAAAGTCCCTAGAGTATAAGAGCTCCAGGACCCCATTTTGACTCAATCCTTCATGTCAAAGATTTGGCTGCAGCATGAATTAATTTATTCAGCTACATACTCAACATCCAGCTTTGTATGGTTGCGAAAGCCTTTTACCATATGAGGCGGGTGGTCCACAAGACAACTTCTAGGTTAGCTTTCCCATACAGAGATCATTCAAAAACTTTATTTTGCAAGGTCAGTCCCATTTTCTAATGCCCACTTTAAAAAGAAATTGCTGTACATTTGAATCATTTGGGGATTTTGTTTTTTGTAAAATATAAATAACTAGCACTAACCACCCAGGGTAGGTTTAATTTGAAAATATTTTTTTGCATGAAGAAAAATTAAGCCGAACTTTACCTTAATTAAAGGTTAAAAATCGTAATAAAAATTTTATTTTATTGGGTTTCCAAAGCCATTAGGTTTTCCAGGTCCAGAATATAGACATCCCATATAGAATATAGACATGAACCCAGGCTCAAATTTTTCTAAAAGTATTAATTATTTTTTAAATGCATTGATAATTGGTTCTCTGATAAACAGAAGGGAAGGCAGAGGGTCCTCTTGATTGGCGATCTGAATAGTACCTGGATTTCGGGTCACCACCCCTCCACTGCCAAATACCAATTTCATTCAAATATTGAATCTGCAGTAATAGGACTTAAGTGTCTCAAAATGAAGAAGAGCAAAAATCATCAATTTAATAAACTGTTCGTCTGAAGCCCCTAATGGCCAAAATCAGAGATTCCAATTATGCCAGTTTATTTAGCATTTATCATGTTGATAGAATGAGAGACCTTACCATGGGAGAAAAAAGGATGAAGAAAATGTCACTCACAATTAGAGAGTAAAATGTAATGTCGTCATCCAAACTGACAGAGGGTAACTTAAATCATTTAAAATGAAATACAAATTAATTATTCCACTTATCCCAGAAACTGGCCAAACACACACCCTACTGAAAAAAATCAAATTTGTTTATATTTACTAGAGTTCCAGTGAACTTTCAGAGTTCTAGTGACCTTCTGAAAGCATTTCAGTAGATTAACATCTGCCCTCAAGGGTTATTAGTCTAGAGATGAGACTATTATAAAAGACTCAAAAGTGTCAAAATAAATTCATTGTTGCCATGCATAATCTTAATACCTGTTTAATAATTATTCTCAATTTATTTTATTTATTTATTTTATTCTATTTTTTTTGAGATAGGGTCTTGCTCTGTCACCCAGGCTGGAGTGCAGTGGCATGATATTGGATCACTGCAACCTCCACCTCCTGGGTTCAAGCGATTCTCCTGCCTCAGCCTCCCAAGTAGTTGGGATTACAGGTGCATGCCACCACGCATGACTAATTTTTGTATCTTTAGTAGAGATGGGGTTTCACCATGTTGGTCAGGCTGGTCTTGAACTCCTGACCTCAAGTGATCCACCTGCCTCGGCCTCCCAAAGTGCTGGGATTATAGGCGTGAGCCACTGCACCGGGCCTGCAGTTTACTTTAAAAGGGATGATTAGACCTCTTTTCAAAGGATATTTCTTTCTGTGTTTTTTGATCAAAACAATAAAAACTAGAGATTATAAAAGTAGGTGAAAATATTTCAAGATGGCAGATCAATTTATAGTTCAAAACTCAATTTAGATTCTAATAGTGTTTAGGAACAAATTTGGTCAAAGTTAGTCATCTTCCATGAAAATCATTGCTGACAAGAGGCTATATCATTTAATCAATAATATAGACGAAGTGAAAACAGATTTGGGGGATGCTATGATATTTTTGTTCATTGTTATAAGTGAGATATCAAAAGCTCATTTCTTAAAGTTAGGTTATTTTTTCCTCAAGACTGTAAAGATTGCTGCCTTTAGATGCCAGTTAGGATGCGTACAGTAATTGGTAAATTTCTGTCCTCAGGTTTGGAATGAGATTTATAATCCAGCCAAATATCATTACTCTCCACAAACAGCTATATTAAAAAACAGGTATTTGTGATCATTGATTATTTGAAGCAATAATTGAATATTTGAAGGCATAGATTGTGACCTTTCTGACCAACTGTATGTAATCAGTGCTTAATTTAATCCAACTGGGTGTTGTAGCTGCTATTTCCCACCAAATTTCTGAGTGTAACCCTCTTTTTTAGGCTCGATTATCTTGCTGCTTATTAGTGAAAGATTCCTTAATTCAAAGTCCCATCCAGCATTTCTGAAACTCCAATCCCTACACTGTTCATGCTGAGTCTTTTGTTTTTCTTATCTTAATGAGAAATATCAATTAACAACCTCTACTCTCCCCTTCTACAACAATTAGATACAAGGCACTATCCTCTTCCTTCTCAAGGGTGACTCATGTTGGAGAAGAGTGAAAATTTTTGAATATTGAAGTCTCTTTAGTGCCCTATGATGAGTTGACTTCTGTATCTGTTCTTGTCAGGAATGGCAGCACTGGTAAGTCATCCAGGCTGTGATGGTGGCCTGCAGCAGTTTCCATCAGCCACTCCTATTCTCATCAGGCTGACTTTCAGAGGCCACTGCTGGACAAGGGTGGTGAGGATGTCCTCTTGCATCCTATCAACTACCCTAGGCCAGTAGCAGCTGCACAACTTAGCATTGCTCCCTTCACCCAACCTGGATCTCAGAGCTGCCTGGATCTCAGAGCTGCCCCTTAATCACCAGGGAGCAACTGTAGGATAACACGGCTCCTGCAACCCTGAGTTTAGTCGGAGACTAGGCCACTGCTACTGTCACACTCACATCTCCTCAGAGGCCTCCCTCCATTCCAGACCACCCTTTCCCTACTCCCTTGGAGAATTCAAGCAAAGCTCTCCACCTGTTCCTAAGGATGGTCTAATCTCAGGACACACAGACAAGAACCTGGCTAGGCCAGGATTCTACCAGAGAGGTAAGCACACTTAACTCTAATTAGAGGCCTAGATAGGTATGTGGACAGTCAAAATCTGTCTAGCAACAAAAGCCCTGCCATCTTAGTGTAAACAGCCTCGGGCAGCTTCAGCTATTTTCTCTGGATCAGTGTCAGGTGACCCAGTTCACTTTCTCTTATTTCAGCATAATTGGCCTTTGTGACTTGTGAAGAGGAAGTATGATCTAACTTTTTCTTTCTCAGTACTATTTACTTTCCAGCATTGATTTTTCCGTTTTGAGTTTGAACTTCACGTCTTAATCATTTTCTTGCTACCTCTTCCATCTAAAACTAGGAAGCAAACTAAGCTAGCTTGTGACCTCTGGGCATCTCTCCTAAATTCTGCAACTCTCACCTTCTATCATGTATTAGATCACTGAGGTTAAATTAAATATTACAGGGGTTGAGCACAGTGGCTCATGCCTAAAATCCCAGCACTTTGGGAGGCAGAGGCAGGTGGGTCACAAGGTCAAGAGATCGAGACCATCCTGGCCAACATGGTGAAACCCCGTCACTACTAAAAATACAAAAATTAGCTGGGTATGGTGGCACCCACCTGTAGTCCCAGCTACTCGGAGGCCTAGGCAGGATAATCACTCGAACCCAGGAGGCGGAGGTTGCAGTGAGCCAATATTGCGCCACTGCACTCCAGCCTGGATGACAGAGCAAGACTCCGTCTCAAAAAAAAAAAAAAAAAAAAAAATTCTATAGGAATTTGATGCTCTTTTTAGAGTCAGTCCTTCCCTTAACCTTGACTAGGTTCTTTGAAACTGGTGTCAGCAAAATCCTTCTTTTGCTGACAGTTTCAAAGATGCCCAGACCTTGAAGGTTTTTAGCACTGGCTTATCCCACCTAAGATTGTTCAAAACACAAGTTTTTGAATCACTCAAACATATCTGGGACACACAAATCTGATTTTAAAACAAGTACATATATCCCCTTCGGAACACTACCCCAGCAGCCTAAGAACCACCCCCATCCCCACAGTGGCCGTGGCAGACCCTGCCCAAGAAAAGTCTGAGCTCAGACCCACCTAACCCTGCCCACAACAAGCAGTATTTATCCACTTGCTCTGGTAGCTTAAGACAAAAGACATAAATTTTGGGAGCTTTATGGCAACATCCATTGCCTGAGGAATCAGAATACTTCCCCTGGACAACTTAGGGCAGTTCAAATCCCACTGCTACAAATGCAGCTGGTCCTCTCTGGAAAGTGCAACCTCCTGGCTGAAGGCCAACAAACTCAGACATGTACAGTACCTCTTGACAGAATAACATTGTGACCAGGAAGGAGAAAATGGCTGCATGATCTCAGCTAACACCACTGCCTGAAACACCGTGACTAACCAGAGGTCCTGCGTCTATGTGACAATTTCACTACTAGTATAACCAGCATTTGAGAGAGCCAGCTCACTAAGCCTGTCTACAACCAAGGATTCTCACAATCTATCTTACTCCCCTGTGATGCCATCAGAGTGGGTGCTGGTACCTACTGCTGGGAGACTTGAAGACAGGTCGTATCACTGGATCCTTTGCAGACATTCCCGAGGACCAGCCTGGAGTCTGGTAGCTGCACCGGGTGGCTAGACACAGAAGAGCAATAACAATCATTGCAGCCTGGCTCTCAAGAAGTCCCATTCCTAGGCTAACGGGGAGAGTCCAACATGAAGGGAATACTTCCACAGGGTACTGTGGAAGAAAAAATTCTGAACAGTAGGCCTTGAGTCCTAGATCTTTCTGCTGGTTGGAAGTTTCTTACAGGAGAGACACAATTGCAGCACTGAGAGCAGTAGGGAAAGTCTGTACCTCTACCCCAACAGGCAGGCAGCCTCTGTGATAATGAAGGATTTTGGAGAAGGGGTCCTTGTTCTCCCTGGAAGACCACTGCAGACACATCTGGGGCTTCTCACATGGGAACGCAGCATGGATGCACTTATAGACAGCCTTCCTGGAACAATTCAAGTTGATTACAGCCCCAGAGGAGGAGCACTCCGCAGATTCAGGCCTGCACAAGAGGCAGAGTCACAATCCCTCCCTACTTGGAATATCAACATTCTTATAGATGAAAAGAGGTGCCTTTCTGATCTGAATAGCCAGTACACTGGGGCAGGAGTGAGACTATGAGGTGGATAGCTTTCCTGCAGGCCTGGTAGGGGAGCTGAGGTAGTTCCCACTGTTCATCCTGATAAAACCTCAGCACATCTAATTAAGAGCTCCCCCAGCACCTTCACCAAGGCTGGGACCTCTGCCCACCATTGGGTATTACATCTACCCACCTGCCTTACCTACAAGCAGTGCCTACCCAGGGATACCTCGCCTATTGGCTTGAAGCCTTAATTATCAACTTAGTAAATAAAATACTGGGGAAAAATTAAATAAATAAAGTGTACATCGTGAGAGAATGAGATAAGCTTCAAGAGATCCCTGCCATTTCCAACCCCATAGGAGACAGTGAACTCACCCATACACTAAGTACATAACTACTACACCCAGGATCTGGAAAAGCCAGTGCACAAAGACTCTATATAACTAAGGAACTCATATATAGTCTTCACTCCTAAAAGCACCAAGAATCAAATTAGACTAAAATAAAGTATACACACTAAAGTCAGATCTTTAAGAGGGAAAAAATAGAAATTAAAAAAGAAAAACTTGGTCAAATAAAAAATAAATTCAAGAACAATTAGAAGAAGTAGTCTACCCAAATGAGAAGAAACCTGAAAAGTAATTCTGGTAATATGACAAAACAGGATCTATAACATCCCCAAAAGATCACACTAGCTCCTCAGCAATGGATCCAAACCAAGAAGAAATCTCTGAAGTGCCAGATAAAGAATTCAGAAGGTCGACTATTAAGCTACTCAAAGAGATACCAGAGAAAGGTGAAAACTAACTTAAAGAAATTTTAAAAACAATCTAGGATATGAATGAAAAATCTTCCAGAGAAATAGATATCATAAATAAAAACAAATTGGAACTTCTGGAAATGAAAGACATGCATAGGGAAAAACAAAATGCAGGGGAAAGTTTCAACAATAGACTAGAACAAATAGAAGAAAGAATTTCAGAGCTTGAAGTCAAGGCTTTCAAATTAACCCAATCAGACAAAGACAAAGAAAAAGAAAACAAATTAACAAAGTCTCCAGGAAATATGGGATTATGTGAAATGGCTAAACCTAAGAATAACTGGTGTTCCTGTTTGGAAAACTTATTTGAGAGAATAATTGAGAAAAACTATCCTGGCCTTGCTAGAGATCTGGACTTCCAAATACAAGAAGCTCAAAGAACTCCTGGGAAATTCAGAAGATCACCACCAAGGCCCATGGTCATCAGGCTATCTAAAGATACAGAGTAGAATCTTAAGAGCTGTGAGACAAAAGCATCAAGTAACTTATAGAGGCAAACCTATTAGACTAACAGCAAGTTTCTCAACAGAAATCTTATAAGCCAGAAGACACAGGGGTCCTATCTTTAGCATCCTTAAAAAAAGTAACCATCAGAATCTTGTATCCAGTAAAAGTAAGATTCATAAATGAAGGAGAGAAAAAGTCTTTCTGAGACAAACAAATACTGACAGAATTCGCCACTACCAAACCAACACTACAAGAAATGCTAAAAGGAGTTTTACATCTTGAAACAAAACCTCAATATACACCAAAATGGAACCTCCTAAAGCATATATCTCACAGAGCCTATAAAACAAACAATAACACAATGAAGAAAAACAAAGTATCTAGTTAACAACAAATACGATGAATAGAACAGTACCTCACATCTTAATATTAGCATTAAATGTAAATGGCCTAAATGCTCCACTTAAAAGATACAGAATAGCAGAATAAATTAAAAAAAAAAACACTAACCAAATATCTGCTGTCTTCAAGAGACTTACCTAACACATAAGGACTCACACAAACCTAAGGGGGTGGAAAAAGATATTTTATGCAAATAGAAACCAAAAGCAGGCAGGAGTAGCTATTCTTATACCAGATAAAACAGACTTTACAGCAACAACAGTAATAGAAGACAAATAAGGACATTATATAATAATAAAACGATTAGTCCAACAGGAAGATATTACAGTCCTAAATTTATATGCACCTAACACTGGAGCTCCCAGATTTATAAAACAATTAACTACTAGGCCTAAGAAATGAGATAGACAGCAACACAATACTAGTGAGGAACTTCAATACTCCACTGACAGCACTAGACAGATTATCAAGACAGAAAGTCAACAAAGAAACAGTAGACTTAAACTATACCGTAGAAAAAAATGGACTTAACAGATATTCACAGAACATTTTTTCCCAACAACTGCAGAATATACATTCTTCTCATAAGCACATGGAGCGTTCTCTAAGATAGACCATATGAGAGGCTGCCAAAAAAAACAAGTTTCAATACATTTAAGAAAATCAAAACCATTAAGTATCTTCTCAGATGACAGTGAAATACAACTGGAAATCAACTCCAAAAGAAACCCACAAAACTATACAAATAAATGAAAATTAAATAATCCACTCTTGAATGATTTAGGAGTTAACAATGAAATCAAGTTGAAAATGTAAAAGTTCTTTGAAATGAATAATAGTGATACAATGTATCAAAACCTCTGGAATACAGCAAAAGTGGTACTAAGATGAAAGAGCATAGCATTAAATGCATATATCAAAAAGTCTGAAAGAGCATAAATAGACAATCTAAGGTCACACCTCAAGGAACTAGAGAAATAAGAACAAACCAAACCCAAACCCAGCAGAAGAAAAGAAATAACAAAGAACAGAGCAGAACTGAATAAAATTGAAATAACAACAAAAAAAAATACAAAAGAAAAATGAAACAAAAAGCTGGTTCTTTGAAAAGATAAACAGAATTGATAGAACATTAGTGAGATTGACCAAGAAAAGAAGAGAGAAGATCCAAATAATCTCAATTAGAAATGAAATGGGAGAGATACTACAACCAATACCACAGAAATACAAAAGATCACTCAAGGCTACTACTATTCATCTCCTGGAATTCAATTCATTCCAGGAGATGAATAAGTTCCTGAAAATATACAACCCTCCTCGATTAAATCAAGGAGAAATAGAAACCCTGAACAGACCAATAACAAGCAGCGAGAATGACGTGGTAATAAAAAAATTGCCAACAAAAAACGTACCGGACCAGATGGATTAACAACTGAATTCGATCAGACATTCAAAGAATTGATACCAATCCTACTGAAACTATCCCAAAAGATAAAGAGGAAATCCTCTGTAAATCGTTTTATGAAGCTAGTATCACTCTAATACCAAAACCAGGAAAGGCCATAACAAAGAAAGAAGACTACAGACCAATTTCCCTGGAGAACATAGATGTAAAACTCCTCAGCAAAATACTAGCTAACTGAATCCAACAGCATTTCAAAAAGATAATGCATCATGATCAAATTAGTTTCATACCAGGGATGCAGGGATGGCTTACCATACCCAAGTCAATAAACATGATACATCACGTAAACAGAATTTAAAACAAAAACCATATGATCATCCCAATAGATGCCAAAAAAGCATTTGAAAAAAATCCAGCATTCCTTTAGGATAAAAGCCCTCAACAAAATAGGCATAATAAGGACTTAATTCAAATTAATAAATGCCATATATGACAAACCCACAGCCAACATTATACTGAACGGGAAAAAGTTGAAAGCATTCCCCCTGAGAACTGGAATAAGACAAGGATGCCCACTTTCACCACTTCTATTCAACATAGTACTGGAAGGCCTGGCCAGAGCAATCAGACAAGAGGAAGAAATAAAGGGCATCCAAATTGGAAAAGAGGAAGTCAAACCATCACTGTTCCCCCATGATATGATCATATACCTAGAAAACCCTAGGCTCATCCAAAAAGCTTCTAGATCTGATAAATGAATTCAGTAAAGTCTCAGGATACAAAATCAATGTATACAAATAAGTAGCACTGCTATGCACCAACAATAACCAAGCTAGAATAAAATTAAAAGCTCAATCCCTTTTATGACAACTGCAGGAAAAAAAAAAAGGAATATACTTTACCAAGGGGGTAGAAAGAGCTTTACAAGGAAAACTACAAAACACTGCTGAAAGAAATCAAAGGTGACACAAACAAATGGAAACACATCCATGCTCATGGATGCATAGAATAAATATTGTGAAAACAACTACTGCCTAAAGCAATCTGCAGATTCAATACAATTCCTATCAAAATACCACCATCTTTCTTCACAGAACTAGAAAAACAATCCTAAAATTCTTATGGAACCATAAAAGAGCCCACATAACCAAAGTAATACTAAGCAAAAAGAACAAATCTGGTGGCATCACATTACACAAATTCAAATTATACTACAAGGCTATTGTTACCAAAATGGCATGGTACTGGTATAAAAATGGCATGTAGTCCAATGGAACAAAACAGAAAACCCAGAAATAAAGCCAGATACAGCCAACTGATCTTCAACAAAGCATACAAAAACATAAATCAGGGAAAGGACACCCTATTCAATAAATGGTGCTGGGAAAACTGGCAAGCCATATGTAGAAGAATGAAACTAGATCTTCATCTCTCACCTTATAAAAAATCAACTCAAATTGAATAAAAAACTGAAATCTAAAACCTGAAACCATAAAAATCCTAGAAGATAACGTTGGAAAAACTCTTCTGGACATTGGCTTAGGCAAAGAATTCATGACTAAGACCTCAAAAGCAAGTGCAACAAAACCAAAAATAAATAAATGGGACCTAACTAAACTGAAAGGCTTCTGCATAGCAAAAGAAATAATCAGCAGGGTAAACAGACAACCCACAGAGTGTGAGAAAATATTCACAAACTGTGTATCCAAGAAAGGACTAATATCCAGAATCTACAAGGAACTCAAACCAATCAGCAAAATAAATAAATAAATAAAATAAAATAATAAAAATAATAATCCCATCAAAAAGTGGGCAGAGGGCATGAATAGACAATTCTCAAATGAAGATATACAAACAGCCAACAAACATGAAAAAATGCTCAACATCACTAATTATCAGGGAAATGCAAATTAAAACCACAATGAGATACCACCTTACTCCTACGAGAATGGCAATAGTTACAAAGTGAAAAAAACAACAATGTTTGCATGGATGTGGTGAAAAGGGAACAGTTCTACAATGCTGGTGGAAATGTAAACTAGTACAACCACTGTGGAAAACAGTATGGTGATTCCTTAAAGGACTAAAAGTAGGACTACCATTTGTTCCAGCAGTCCCACTACTGGACAGCTACCCAAAGGAAAATAAGTCATTATAGGCAATGACATGCACATGCATGTTTATAGCAGCACAATTCTTTATTGCAAAGATATAGAGCCAACCTAAGTACCCATCAACCAAAGAGTGGATAAAGAAAATTGGGTAGATATACATAGAATACTACTCAGCCATAACTAGGAATGAAATAATGTCTTTCTCAGTAACTTGGATAGAGCTAGAGGCCATTATTCTAAGTGAAGTAACTCAAGAATGGAAAAACAAGTATCACATCGTCTTACTATAAATGGGAGCTAAACTATGAGAAATGCAAAGGCTTAAGAATGATGTAATGGACTTTGGAGGCTTGGGTTGGAGGGAAATTTGGGAGGAGAGTGACAGATAAAAGACCACATATTGGGTATAGTGTACACTGCTCAGATGACAGGTACAGTAACATCTCAGAAATCACCACTAAAGAATTTATCCATGTAACCAAAAACCACCTGTACCCCAAATATTATCAAAATTAATATGAACAAAAACTTAAAAAATAAAACAAGTTCATAAAGTAATACTTCTTCACGTTCCTTCTAAGCAGCAGAATTATTCAGTTCACTCATTTCCATGTGTTTTGACAATCTAAAAGACATTAGAATGATTTTAAAAATCATGAAATATCTTGCATTTGTGCCAAGAACAATACAATTAATTGAAATCAAACATATCATCTAAAATCTTAACCTGGGAGAAAAAAATGTTGGTAGCAGAGAATACTACACGAAACAGAGGACATAGAAATTTCTGAAAGAAGTTGATTATCTTGAAAGATTTTTTGCCACCATCAAGGTCAAAAGAGCAGCAGAACTCTAAAAGACATGTTCTGTTGTGGAGGGAGGTAATAATGGATTGAAAAGAGAGGGTAGGAGAAGACAATTACATAAATACCGGTGACATTTAAAATGTGACAGGATGAGAAAGTTAAAAAAAAAAAAAAGAAGTTCACCCTGTAAGCAAGGTCACCCAAGATAAATTACAAAACAAGATGCCACTAATTAGATTGAAACTCCAACATTGCTCATTATGGTATTCAAAGTATCCAGCATATCCAGATAATATCATGATCTGCCTTATAATGTGCCAAGGGTCAAATTTGGCCAGGATTCTATTAAATAATTTAAATACATCTAGTTTTAAATGACCTCTAAATTCTTTCCTGCCAGATTAACATTTTAAAAATAATTAAATATATAGAACAAACTAAATGTTAGTTGCTTGTATATACTTTTCACTTTGAATTTTAGAATACATAATGATCTTTACTGTTAACACTGCACTTTATTCACTGACAACATTACTTAAAGAAAGAGATTATGATTGGATAAAAAGTTTCACATTGAAAATACTCTTCCAATAAATCAGGAGAAGCCAGACAATATTGATCCTTTGGTTTGTGTAGCTCTTATAAGTGCATATAATGCTTCCCTATAATTTAATTTGAGAAGCTTTACCCATAATTCATGCACAAAACACTAGAGAATTAACTTCCTCCAGGATTTGGAGCTTTAGAAAGAAGTTCCTGATTACTTGCCTGTGTTTCTTTCACACTTTCAGCGTAACTTCAGAGTTAGTTTTAATTGAGACTTTCAATTTTACTATTATTGAACTCAACAGTATTCCTTTTGGCTTTGGTTTTGCATTTCTGATGTGATGTATAGTAAGCCATTTCCAAAGGATGGATAATTTATTTATCATATTCATGGAGAGTAAACAGATCCTTCCAAAGCTCTGCCATCTTGAACTAGTGGTATTCCATGCAATTTCAACACCAAGCTATTGAGTGTCTGCTATGAACCTGATGTTATATTAAGAGCTGGAGATTCAAAGATAAACAAAACAAAATTTGTGTTTTTAAGGGAATAAGTCATAATAGAGTCATAGGAGACTTGCCATCAAGGCCATCAAGGTCAATGTGGATATCAGATTAATTCATGTACATAAAAATCAGTTACTCACTTAATTTTTTTCCTCTGATTCCTAGCAGAGCATCTAGGAGCAACAGACACAAATAAAATATTTGAGCTACCTGTGAAGCAGGGTTTAGGGAAAGCACAAATAGGTAAACAGTCACAAAACCACAGAGAACTGTCACAATAGAAATTATACCAAGAGGGTATGGAATCTTTACCAAGAATATGGGGAAAAGTGAAGTTATAATTATCTGCAGTTGTAGCTTCATTCAACTTGGCATATTCAGAAAACTGCTTGCTTATCTACACTGCCTTTTTGAATTCCATCTTGTCTAAATAATGAGAATATTTTTCTTCAATTTTATGTTTATTGTATAGTCAATCCAAGTTGCTTTATTTTTCTAGTTTTCAAGGAGCAACATTTTATCACATGATTTATTTTTAAAAATCATCTTCCGTGGGAGCCGTTTGCTGTGGTGGTCCGATGTACTCTGAATTTTAAAGTGCACCTACAGAGTGACTTTTCTTTACTTCTATAGGGGGTTTCAGAGTTGCCACTTGTTGTCGACTACATTTTATTGTAATTTATTAGTTTGGGAGTACTATGCTATGTGCATAATAAACAGAATTTATGTACACTATAATCTACTACAAAACCACATGAAGCAAATACTGAAGTTTGATTTTTGTATACAGAATTCTCTGTTTGTTTGTTTCTAGGTTTATTTTTCCATCCAGATCCCTAGGCAGACAAAAGCTTTCTTTGTTAGTTTTCTGGGTCAGAGATTGGAATGCTTCTAGTCCCACCTTAATAGACTAGGCATTCCATCAAGGGTCTTGACACAGAGGTCTTAATTTCTCCTTCATACCTCTTGAGGATCAAATGCTGTATCTGCCGAATCCCTGAGGATATTAATTTGATATTAACTCATAGGAACTATACCCATACTTACCACCTGCCACCTCGTTAACTCACCGATTTGGTTTGTTTGTTTGTTTTGAAGCCTCAATTATTCGTTTTGGGAGACATAGCAAATACTTTAAATATTTTTGGTATGTTTTATCTAACACTCTTGCCCTAATGTTGAAAGTCATTAGATTCTTCCATGCTACAAAAAAAAAAAAAGCATGATTTATTCGTGACTTTGAGTATAGTTTGTATGGAATCTGTATGGAGTGGGAGAAAAGAAGGTCAGTAAGGAAAAATGTTGACATGTGCATTAGCCTTCCTAACGTTACATGGAAATGGAATGTTTATAACTAGACTTTATGTCAATGATGAACTTAAGGAATACATTTTTGCCAGAAAATTTTAGAATGAACCTTTCTTTTTAAACTGGGAGAGATTTCTGATACTGTATTAGTTCATTTTGCACTACTATAAAGAAATACCTGAGGCTGAGTAATTTATAAAGAAAAGGGAGTTATTTGGCTCATCGTTCTGCAGGCTGTACAGGAAGCATGGCACCAGCATCTGCTTCTGGGGAGAGCCTCAGGAAGTTTTCAATCATAATGGAAAGCAAAGAGGGAGCAAGAAAGGAAGAGGGGAGGAAGTCCCAGACTCTTTTTAACAACTACATCTTACATGAACTCATAGAAGAGAACTCACTCATTACCATGGAGAGGGCACCAAGCTGCTCATAAGGGACGCGCCCTCATGACCTGATCACCTCCCACTAGGCCCCACCTCCAACATTGGGGATCACATTTCAACATAAGATTTTGAGGGGACAAACCTCCAAACTATGTCAGATCCCACTCACAAAAGACTAATTGCAGGCCGGGCGCGGTGGCTCACACCTGTATTCCTAGAATTTTGGGAGGCTGAGGCGGGCGGATCACCTGCGTTCAGGAGTTCGAGACCAGCTTGGCCAACATGCTGAAACCCCCATCTCTACTAAAAAGGCAAAAATTAGCCTGACATGATGGCGGGCACCTGTAATCCCAGCTACTCTGGAGGCTGAGGCAGGAGAATTGCTTGAACCTGGGAGGTGGAGGGTGCAGTGAGCTGAGATCACGCCATTGCACTCCAGCCTGGGCAACAAAAGCGAGACTCCATCTCAAAAAAAAAAAAAAAAAAAAAAAAGACTAATTGCCATGCTGATTGCCCTACCACTATAACAACAGGAAATTCAGACAGAATATATGAAACATTGGTTTCAGATGTAAGACAACACAAAGCAAGGACTTTGATCCATGAGAAAAGAGAAATGAGTAAAGTAAGTTCTACAATTGCATGGACTTACTGCCTAGAGGCAGCAGTTATCACAGTTATCAGGCTGCAACAATGTGAGGGGGACCCTTTCAAAGCCTAGTATTCTCACTGAGCTGAAGAGACAGAGATTGTATTTGAAGAGGCCATGGCAGCTAGAATGTGCGAAGCAGAGTAGAGAGAGGATTGTTACAGATATCTACAGAGAGGTCCCAATGAGTCTTTGCCTTAGATCCACAAATATGTGTGAAGAAACTACTCCAGGTCATAAAGACTTATGAGAAAAGTGTAAACAGAACAATTTCCAGTTGTCAGACAGTTGGGAATAGTTTAGTTTTTCATCTGAGGGGAAAGACCTCCTAACATGGGGGTACTGAGAAGAGTTTTCCAATAGATACTGACTCAGTAAAAGGCCTAAGCTAGCTTCACAATAAAGACCACTCTGGACCCATAGTAATAAAGCTTAAAGCAAGCTTTTAAAAGGTAAATCTCATTTGTAAGGAATTTAACTGCATCCCAGAATAAAATGCCAAGACTATTTAAAGCAATACAATGAAATCTGGCATCCAAGAATATTTGGCATCCCATCAAAACTTACTAGACATGCAAAAAAGCAGGATAATATGTCCCATTGTCAAATTTTAAAAATCAATAGAAACAGGCCCAGAAATAACAGAGATGATACAGTTTGCAGACAAGGACCATAAAACAGCTATTACAAAAATTTGGAGATGATATAATGATAAAATACATGGAAGACACACACACACACATACACACAAACCCAGATCGAATTTCAGGAGGAGAAGTATAACATCTGAAATTTAAAAATATACTGGATATGGTTAATCAACGATCACGAGAAACTGAAAAGCAGCCAAAGATAAAAGACACTATTTATAAGGAACAAAGTTATGAATTACAGCAGATTTCTTGTCAGAATCTATGCAGTCCAGAAGACTGTAGAATGACAATATTAAAGCACTGTAAGAAAAAAACCATTAACCTGTAAAAAAAAAATGCAAAAAATAATTTTTCAAAATAACAGAAATGCAGAGAATCTATTGCCAGCAAATTTGCACTACAAGAGACAGTAAAGGATGTTCTTCAGGTATAAAGAGAAATGATGCATATGCAAATACACATCTACAGAAAGGAATGCAGAGTGCCAGAAATGGTAATTGTGTGGGTAAATATGAAAGACAGTCTTTTTCACTTATTAATCTTTAAAGGTAACAGTTTCAAACAATTTTCAAAAAATAATACTGTATTCTACAATTTACAAGATATTTAGATATATATAAGACAGAAATACCAAGGACAGAGTGGAAAACTGGATGTATATCACTATCAGGTTTTTACACTGTATATGAAGTGATATATTTTTAAAGGAAGATCATGATAAGTTTATGATATGTATTTTAAACCTGAGAGCAAACACCAAATAAAATTTTAAAGAGCGATATAATATAAGCCATAGTGATGACAAAGTATAATCATGAGAATCATTCAAGTAATCCAAAAGAGGCAGAAGATAGGAAAAAATAAATAAATAATAAATGGTACAAATACAAAACAAATATAAGTATAGTGAATTTATTCCAATGCATATCAATGATTATATGAAATGTGAAAGACCTAAACAATGCAATTGAAAGGCAAAGATCATCAGGTTGGACAAAAATGGAAAACTCAGTGAAATTCTGTATACAAAAAACCTTCTTTAAATATAATGGCACAGATTGCTTGAATGTAAAAGGGCAATCGTATACCATGCAAACACAATCAAAATAAGAGTGATGTTGGCTATAATTACATTAGAAATATTTTTAAAATAAGGAATATTACCTTGGATAAAGAGGAAAATTTCATAGTGATAAACAGGGCAATTTATCAATGAGGGTAAAATCAAAAGTGTGAACAGCCTTAATAAAAGAACTTCAAGCTTTATAAAGCAAAAATTGATAGAGCTCAAAGGAGAAATAGAAAATTTTACAATTCTACTTGGAAATTTCAACACTGCTCTCAACTGATAGAACATGTAGACAAAAAAATTAAAAATGATATGAATGACTTGAACATTATCAATCAAATGGATGTCATTATTTATAGAACACAAAAGAATATATATACTTTTTTCAATGCACACAAAATATGCATCATAAAACAAGCCTTAATATATTTAAAAGGATTTAAATCATGCATAATATGTTCTTACATAATCTAATTAAATTAGAAATTAATAACAGAATGACATTTGAAAAGATCTCCAAATGATAGGAAAGTAAACAACACACTTCCAAATAACCCATAAGTCAAAGGAGAAATGTTAAAAGAACATATGTATTTTGATCTGGCAGAAGAAGAAAGGTTAAATATCAGTATCTCCTTAAGACAAAAGAAAAAGAAAAGATTAAACCTAAAATAAGCAGAAGCAGGGAAATCAAAATGTTAAGCCCCTAGGAGAGAGAGTGAAAGTGACTATTTAATGAATAGTTTCCTTTTGGGGTGATGAAAATATTTCAGAACTAAATAAAGGTGAGCTTGCACAACACTAATGTACTAAATGCCACTGAATTGCACACTCTAACATGGTTAGGTTTATATGCTAAGTAAATTTTACCTCAATAAAACAAAATGATAAGAATATAAAGAAGTGATATAGAAACTGATTTAAAAATTGAGAAAACCAATGAAACCCAAAGTTAGACACAAATTATTAATATCAGAAATAAAAGAGGGAATATAGTCACATACCCAACAGATATTAAAAGAATGGTAAAATCATATTTTGAACAACTTAATGCAAGTAAATTTTAAAACTTAAATTAGACAAATTTCTTGATAGATATAAATCATCAAAGCTCACCTGAAAATGAAGAGATGAGCTGAAGAGTCCTCTATCTGCTAAGTAATTGAATTCATAGCTTATAACTTTCCCTTAAAGAAAATTCCATGCCCAGATGGCTGCACTGTTGAGCTAAACCAAACACTTAATGAAAAAATAATAATAATTCTACACAAAATAGTTCAGAAACTAAAAGGGGAGAAAAATTTCCCAAATCATTCGATGAGATTTAGGTTAGCTCCGATACTAAAATTGTAACAGCACTAAAGAAAACTACACACCAATATTTCTCATAAATGTAGACACCACAATTCTTAACAAGGTATCCGAAAATTGAATGCAGCAATAGATTTTTTAAAATAATACACTATGATTAAGTTGAATTGATCCTAGGAGTACAAGGTTACATTCACATTCAAAAGTCAAGTGACATTCTGTTTAGGTAAAAATTTTTTAGAAAACAAAAAGCATAAATGATGAAAAATAAAACTGATAGACATTCTCAAATTAAAAACTTTTTTGTAGACACTGTCAGGAAAATGAAAAGGCAAGCCACAAACTGGAGAAAAGGTTTGCAAAACATGTATCGGGGACTTTTATCCAGAATATTTTTTTAAAAAATCCAAATTTTTACAAGTCAGTAATAAGAGAAACAATACAAAATGCACAAAATAGTTGAATATACTCTTCTCCAAAGAAGATCTATGAATTGCCAATAAGCACATGAAAAGATTCTCATGATCTTCGGTCATAAGAAAAATAAAAATTAAAACCAAAAGGAGATACCACTACACACAAACCAGAATGGCTGAAATTAAAAGGATTGACAATACCACCATGTGAAGTGAAAAAATTCATTTATGTAAAATTCTTGAAAAGGCGAAACTATAGTAAAAACATATCAGAGATGGCCAGGGATTAGGATTGAGAGGAGAGGCAGCTGCAAAGAGCACAAAATAACTTTTAGGGTGAGGAACTGTTCTCAGTCTTGATGTAGTGGTGGTTGCATGACTACGTAATTGTCAACATTCACTGAATTATAGTTATGAAATGGGTGAATTGTGATGAATGTAAACCACATTTTAATAAAGCTAATTTGAAAACATATGAAAGATGCACCTTGAAAGGAAAAGCATCTTCACATAAAACAATAGTTGTGGGTGTCAGGAAAGCAACTTCATAATCCTATAAAAATCTTGAAATCAAAACACCCAAGGACTTTTAGTTCACCTTATAATTGCACATTAAGAATTAATTTTGAGACCCCACAACAATCCCTAAGAACAGTATTCCCTTATTTTTATACAAAATTATCCTTTGCCCAAAATATGTGTATGAGCACCCATGTCTTATCTATAATTATTGATAAGAAATATTGGTTACATTTTTCTAGTAGAAGGTTTTTAAAAGATACCAATTACAAGTCTTATCAATTCTAATTTGCTTAGAAATTCAAATGATTTTTAACAGTTTGTCAACAAGCGTGTCATATATATATTTACATATATATTTACATATATATTTACATATACACACACACACACATATATATATATATACACATATACACACACACACACACACACACACACACACCTATAAGGTAAAGCAGAAAAGCAGAGCATTTCTCCCTAACATCTGTTTTACAAGTTGGGATTTTTGCCTAATGGGTTGTATCCAACTTGGACGTTTATCAAATCTAAGAAAACTTAGCTCTTTTTCAAAAATATATTTTAAGTATTAGATTTTGGAGAAAACAGAATTAAATACTAAATGAATGTTATATATTATATATATGTATTCATAAGATGTGTGCTATTTATATCTAGATATATATTATATATCTAGATATATATTCATAAGATTACATATGTACATATTCATAAGATAGATATCTAATGGATATATATCTGGAAATAGATGATAGATAGATAGATGATAGATAGATAAATAGATATCTTAAAATTAGTCCCTAAATTAGAACTGGAGTTACAAAAAGTAATTTGTATATTTTAAATACATTATTTACAATTAATGTTTAAATGGTGTTACTAAAAAACACATAAATCTGAAATACACTCCATATTTAAAGTAGGTTGATTATAAAATAACAAAACTGAAGAATAAGTAGTTTAAGTGCTGCTCTTGAACATGAGAAAAACAACTTTGTAGATGACATCTGTGGATATTCTGCAAGAGATCTTTAGATGTTCTCAGCAGCTTTAAGTGTCAATAATGGCTCCATATGAAAAAATTCACAAGTTATGCCTTTGTATGTCCTCAAGCATGCTCCTATAGTTTTTAATATAGTTATACAATAATCCAGGTAAAACTCCCCACTCCACCAACTAATATGCGCAAATACAATTAAGAGAAAGAGAGAGGAGATAGATGCCATGGAGAACATGTATATATAAGACAGATTATTTGAGATGAGATTATAAACTATGCTGGAAAGTGTGGAGAAGGAAAGAAAGAGAAAGAGGAAGGAAGGAAGAAGAGGAAGGAAGGAAGGAAGAAGGAAGGAAAGAAGGAAGGAAGGGAGGGAGGGAGGGACTGAACATTAATGCAATCTCCCAAAAAGATTTAGGAAATTCTGTACTCAAGATAAAAACAAACAAGCAAATAAGAAACTTGCATAGAATATTTTGTCAAAAAAGGATTGTCCAATACTTGTAGGAGAAAGTTGAGATAGAAAAGAAAGTTCTGTAGGGAATTTATGATAGTCACGCCATTTGAGTTTGGCCCTGTACTTCTGTCTAATAGCAAGGGGGCTAAAGCCCAGCTGTGGGGTTCAAATCCCAGCTTGGTCATTTCATGCTATGAGACATTAAGGATATAATTTATCCTTTTTCTATCTTGGTTTCCTCAACTCTACAAAAGACTAATTAAGTACCTATTCCAGAAACTCTAGGAGCATGGTCCAGGCATTTGTTTTGTGTTTGTGTGCATGTGTGTGTTTGTGTGTGTGTGTCTGTGTGTGTTTTCTGTATTTTTTTCTTTAAGAAAAAGATCTCCAGGTAAATCTAATGAAAGACTAGGTTTGGGAGCCTGTGGATGAGATAAAAGTCTAAGATTCTATAATTATATTTTGTGGTTGTTGTATTCGACTGTTCTTGCATTGCTATGAAGAACTACCTGAGACTGGGTAATTTATAAAGAAAAGAGGTTAACTGAGTCACAGTTCTACAGGCTGTACAGGAAGCATGGCTGGGGAGGCCTCAGGAAACTTACAATAATGGCAGAAGGCAAGGGGAAGTAGGCACGTCTTACATGACCAGAAGGAGGGAGAGAGAGAAGTGGGAGGTGCTATACACTTTTAAACAACCAAATCTCATGAGAACTCTCTCACCATCACAAGAACTGCAAGGGGGAAATCTGCCCCCATGATCCAGTCACCTCCCACCAGGCCTCTCCTCCAACACTGAGGATTACATTTCGACATGAGACTTGGGCAGGGACACAAATCCAAACTAAAGCAGTTGTACACACCAAACCACCATGAATTCACACTAAATTAGATACTTAGGAATATTTTCTCTTTCAAACTATATTGCAGCTGCTATATACATAGAAGTTTTTCAATAAATATTGAATAATTCATTCTAAGAAGACACTTATTTTAGAGAAATAACGCTTTGGGGGCATGAAGTAAAAAGGCCAAATCAATGGCAGAATCTGGGGAATTTTTATTCATCTGGAACCTTCCACAATATACTCTTATTTTTGTGCTATTAATGCACTATTTTCCATATATGTACAAAATTGTATGCATATATAATAATTCATTGTTACTTCTAGGAAAGGAAATTCCCAGACCTACTACCATAATACTACTCTACGTAGGTTATTTTATTTGTATGTAAACACAAGCTGAGATTTTTTTTCTGCATCTATAAAATGAAGATGTGACCAGGCCTCTCATACAGAGACACTGAGGGTAATGAGACTAATAATCCCTTTGATGGTGGCAGGCAAAGTTTTCACAATCAAAATCAACAAAAATAGCGGAATCTTAGGCTTGCAGGGATAATATTTCTTTTCTTATTGTCAGGCTTTTGCTTCTTCTATATAAATAAGAAAGGTTCAGCATATTAATCCCAGATATTCTGCACCCAGAGGGAAACGTTGTGCTTATTTCAATAGGAATTTGACCTTTGCTTTAGGTGAAACCATCAGAGCTCTTGGATGAGAAGCTCATCTTTCTGGTCCCTGGAACATTGTTCATGTACACTTGACTACATTTCATCTCTGTCCTTAAACCTTAAGTGGGGGTCAATAAACACAGTTGTTTGACTTGGATAGTACAACTCTTATATTCTTAGTGACATTATAATTACTTAACAATTCTCCTATGACTTTAGAGCCTAATAAAATCCGTTGACTATACATAAAAGAATAAAATAAAGTATACCTCTCAGGTAGGCCTGTCAGAAAGATGCAGGCTTAAATTTACACTGCAGCAGTTACAAAGCTCAGAGATAAAGGTATTAGGGTTCTCACAGCAGTCTAGCTAGAACACTATTGGGGGATAACTGGGCAATTGTAAAAGAAGAGTCATCACCATGCAAAGTTTAATTGTGACCAATTTTATTTTAGAACTGCATTTTTGGGTGTTTTATGGTAATGTAGATTTTATTCAATATTTATTTTTGCATATTTTTAAAAAAATTCCCAAAGCGATGCTTTTATACACATCTTCCCAATAGTAGTCAAGTTTGGAGATGATTTATACTGTAGCCTCAAGGATGCAAGAACAATGAAGTAAAATCACAATTCTGGGTAGGTTTTTACAGATATCTGCTACCAAGACGAGCAAAAAGCTCAGGGTTTTCAGTCCTTTTAAATAGTTTTTCATCTAACGCAAGAGAAATAAACTTTGGAAAAGTTCAATTTTGAACCCCTCCTGTGGCTTTTACATAAAAAAGCTTTATGCATTTATGTTGTAGGACTCAGGCAGTTCATATTAGTTGCTGTTTTAGGCACTGCTGTAAGTACTAAACTACAACAGACTCAAGAAATCCACTTTTTCAAATATGATTATTAAATGGCTCTCAAAATAACGTTATGGAAGTTACACTGTCAGAAGGATGGTGACTTGACATGTGATGCACTAAACATGCAGGTTTTAAATTCTGCCTTGTCCTAAACATCATATAATCAACCAAAGTGTAGATTTGATAATGGACCTCAACAAGGCTCACATTTGAGAAATGAAATAACAGAGATGAATAGACTTATAGGTTCATCATATCAAAGAAGTAATCATTTGTGACTTTCCAATATTTTAAAATAAAAGATTGAATAACTTTACTTCATTCAACTAAAATGTGGCTTGAAAAAAACATAGCATTCTGGATATAAAGCATTCTGTTAACATTGCTCTTCAGTACCTTGCTTTATTATTATTTTTTTGGTATGTCTGCATGTTGCATCCAGAGCTACAGATTTTCCACAGTGCTTTTCTGCCTCATTCAAGTATAATAAAGTAGAAATCTATAGAAGCTCTAAGATTAAACAAACTGTACATCATACAAAAAATTAATTTACACAGTCAAAAAGTATTGGCAATGCCCTTTATAAATCTTATCAAAGATTCATCACAAAGGATACTACAATCCACATATGTAATCATCAGCATACAAATGCCATTTTGATTTAGGTGGTGCAGAACTGAGTATCTGTTAAATGTACACATGTAGAATCAGCAATTTGTACCGTATATATTTCTTTTAAAGTAACAGTATTGTCAATCTAATCTAAGGTACAGGATTTTCTTATTGCATATTTATTGTTGCTGAGGCAGTTAGTTATGATACAACAACACAATATCCATAATAATTTTAAATAAACAAAAACATTTCTCCTGGCAACAATATAAAGAATATATTTTTTTCTGAAATCAATGAGAACATTGCTACATACAGATTTACTCAAATACTGAAAAACATGACCTTAAGGCATCTGCCAGAAAAACAGATGTACATATTTATATGAACTAAGTTATGCAAGAAAAATTATTGCACGAAATCCTATTTTCAAAATAAAATATTCTTCTGTCTAAATGTATATAATTCCTTATTTCTTCATCAAATCACGTTAACTGACTTGCTCAAAACCACTCTGCCTCTTAAATAAGGTGTAACAACATACACTAACAATATTACTGGGTTTGACCCAGGAACATTAGTACTGACATAGGGTTTGTAAAAACTATTTCCTACATTAAGAAGTGCTTTGGAGGAAACTAGATTTGGGGATTCATTTTACATTCTTAAATATTCTGATTTACAAATATCTTAAGATTCAGGGTCTTTTATGTCAAACAAAATGGAATTTGTATAAGAAAATTTATTCATGAAAATAATCAGTCTTTTCCTGAAAATCCACATTTTCTACAAGAGAATGAAGGTCTATTGATTATGAGACATTCACAGTGTTCTCCTCTTGATCAGGAGTCTACTTGTTCACCTTAATTAAGAAACAATTCATTAGAATTCCTGAATCCTATTATTAGGATATTCGCATAGAATAGCACTAGTAACAGCAGTCACATAGTTTTTATTTAGAAGGGAGAGACTGTTTCTACAGAACGCTGTTATTCATATAAAAATAGTAAAAATTGGATTCCCATTAACATGCATCCACACCTTCAGTTACTCCTAAACTGAGTACAGTGGCTCTAAGTATTGAAAAGGAGCATCATTCCATTATAGAGAGCCCTGTGCAGCCTGGTTATCTGATAATAAGATAAAGACACTCAGTTTCTAAAAGAGTCTCTAAATCTGCCCCTTAAATGTGGGTATCTTAGCAGCATAATATACTTAGCATAATAATTGAGAAAGTTAATGAAATTAGAAATGATACTATGGTTCATACTTAGAGCATGCTTTAAATTAAGCAGCCAGTTTTTGTTCTTTTTTTTTGAACTTTTTGTGTGTTAGAATCTCAGCTAATAACTTCCAGGCAAAACACATTATTATTATTATTATTATTATTATTATTATTATTATTATTATTTTAATAAAAATTTGCAATTCCTTTTCCTTTGTTCCTTCAGAGCAGGGACTATGTCAGTTATTTTATTTCCCATATCCTCAGTTACTGTACCCTGCATATGACTGGTACAAAAAGTCAATGAATAGTTTTTAAATGAACATGTTATTAACTAATTTTAATTAACTGAAAAAATAATCATGCTATGTTTTGGTGCTTTTCTAAGACACATTAAAGTAGGTAATCATCAAAAGATACCACTTAGTAATATTTTCACTTAAAAAAATAGCTCCTAAATTCCAATATTATTTCTCTATACCCCTGAAATACCACGGATGCAATATCTAAGGGTAAAAAGAAAAAAGTGAGAGTGGGATTCAGAAAGAACCATGACTCCATTGCAGGCCAGATAAAGACTATGTACCAAGGCCAAAAGTCTTTTTAGTTTATACAATTCTGTTGTATAACAGGTGTTGCTTCTTTGAAAAATAATTTCAAAAAGCAGAGGAACTTACAAATATTTGATTTAGTTACCATAGAAAATATGGGCACTGTAGAATATAACACTTTCCTTTATTTCGGAACTCACCCAGTTTAATTTCATTCTCACTATAACCACCATAATACTAGGAAGTCTAAGTTTAAGAGCAGACTTTGAATATTCAAAATTTTACTGGTTTGAAATACAAATACTTGGTAGTATTATTCTGGATGTTTTTAAAGAATAACATGCAGAATTGTTTTTCTGCCTTTGTTTTTAAAATAGAATAAAACTGCTAATTTTGCATTAAAATAAGGCACAAATCACTTTTAAATACCTTGAGACAATTATTTATGAGTGGCTAAATATCCTCAAAGCAACACAGTATTATAACCAAACACCTTGAAAGGTGGCTGAAAAGTAGAACAAAATTTGGATTTCTGAAGCCGTGATGTTGATAAAGCAAATGGACTAAAAACCAAATTTGACCCATGCTACACTCACAGTTGTTTTTCAGACTGAGTTCTGAAAAAAACAAACAAAAAACCATACCTCATTTCAAAATTCATATTAAAATGCTGATTTGCATTCTTTTCACAAATTATGAAGGAATATTTGCCAAGCAGATTAACAACCAGAGTAACCTTTTTTCCTTCTGATTTAAAACAGCTCTTTTGCTATATGGACTTCTTCCATTATAAACTTCAGTAAAGTAAGTTGTAATTTTGTAATAAGCTTATAAAGGCAAAATTTGACAAGAACCTTGAGACTTCTGTATTAAAAAATAAGGATTAAACATTGTTTTCCTTAATGTATACAGTCCATACTTATAAGGGAAACAAGAATTGTCTTCTTATATAATCATAATGAATAAGTGTCCCAAATAACACATATCCATTTAGATTTTGAAACGTAGGTTTTAAAAAAACTTGGTCATTTTCTTTAAATTATTTCAAACCCTCTTCTAGGATTTTAGCTGAAATTATATTCTTTCAATAAATATTTAGAATATAGTCTTATTGGGGTTCTTTAATGATTTCTTGAACATCTTTTCTAAAAAGAAATGTAAAAAAAATCATGATTGGGGATGTATAAAGTGGATATACTGAAAATGCTAATAACAATTTAACCATACTATCACTGCTTTTTTCCCTGATTGTGCCTGGTAATCTAGTCTATCATGAAGTAATTAGTACATGATTCCTTCTCAGATGAATTCCAAAGCTCAACAGTGAATTTGAGAAAGAAGAAACAAATTTTCTATACAGAATTCCCAGTTATTTATGTAGATACTTCTCTGCCCTAAAGAAGGGGAATTATGACTCCTCACTCCTGCATGTAGTGACTTCCTTCCAAAAATGACAGCATGGAAAGGGCAGGAAGAACTTTAGAGTGACAAACGCTACCTCAGCCAGGTTATCAAGGTCCCTGTCAGCATTCACAAATCATGTTGACAGTACGTACCCTTGATATGACCTGATGAAAATGGCACTTTACTTCTGTGATCATCTCCTCAAAACCCACAATCCCAGTCTAATCATGAAAAAAATACCCAACAAACTCCAAGAGAGGAGCATGCTACAATTTATCTGACAGTACTCTTCAAAGCTGTCAATGTCATCAAAAATAAGGAAAGTCTAAGAAACTGTCACAGGCAAGAGGAGCCTAAGGAGACATTCCAACTCAATATAGTGTGGTATTCTGAATAGGATCTTGATGTGGAAAATGGATATTAGGAGAAAACTAAGAAAATCTGAATAAAGTATGGAATATCAATATTGGTTCACTAATTGGGGCAGATGTACCATAGTAACGTAAGATGTTAGTAACAGGGGTAGATGGGAACTCTCTGTACTATCTTTGCAATTTTTCTGTAAATCTAAAACTTCTAAAATACAAAGTCAATTATTTTAAAAAGTAAATTTGAGATGATGATATGAAGCATTTTGATAGAGAATTATTAGTTAAAAAAAGATTTTTTTTTTTTTTTTTGTCAGGACGGTTTATGTTGTATTTGGCTTTCTTGGGGTGGACCCCTAAATAGCAAAGGCATACAGAGAGACTGAAAACTCGTTAGAGTGTCTCATTTGTAAACAGAAGTCATTAACTTCACATTGTAATTCAGCACTTCCTATATTTCACTGAATGAAAGGTAAGTGTATATTTTTATACTTTTTGGAAAACATGGCTATAGTGCTTTATATAAGCAAATTAAATATTTCCATTAAGAGAGCTTTTTAATCTTGAAAAGATGAATTTTGACCTTGATTTGATGAATAGAAAAAGGCATTATTGCTCTGCAGAACACTAATAACTTATCCTTCAAACTTTATACATACTTTCATACATTATTTAAGTATGCTTAAAAAACAGCTTTAAGATTAAGGCAATTAGTGGGTTAACAGTTTCATCAGCTTCAGGCTAGTTTTGATAAGTTTTGATATCTTGATCAGTTCATGCTCAACCAGATTAGTATAGTAGCTACTGGTTATGTGCATGGGTTACATATGCATTCTTAGCTTAAATAAAATAAACGGCATTAAGCACCAAACACTGGGAAATCTCATGGTCAATACATACTTTAAACATACATACACACTAGTACCTGATTTAAAAGCACAGTAGAATTCGCTTTATATTTAAAAATCAATGCATTTCATATATCCTCGAAATGAACAAGTGAGAAAAATGTTGCAAATGCAAAAAAAAATTTAAATAGTATGAGTTGCCATTCCTACAAATAATTCTGTTTATTATACAGATTGCATTGAATCTCAAAATGTCTCCATAGAAGCTTGGATGCAAGATTTAAGTTTGGTTTCCATTTGTGTTTTTGTCTGAAATGTTCAAGCTTTGTTGGAAGTCAGATGTCATATGACATAATGACACTACTTCATGGAGCAGTCCAATATCTTCTGAAGTCTCTTTGGCTTCTTTCCCTTCTTTCTCCCAAGGAACAAAAGTCGATGAATGCCGCCCAAGACCGGGTATAAGCAGATCATCTGAAATCTGGCTTAGTGTTTCCCTCTTTTCTGTTTTTCCTTTATCAGTCTGGGAAACTTCAGGGGAAGTGAGTTGGAAATCCAGTCCTGAAGTAGGGTCACTCACATTGTCAGCACCGAGGTGCTTGTTACTGTTTTCCTCTTTCAGGATAAACAGAGAATCTGTCAAACCACTAGAGGAAACCCGCTTCCTAGGAGATGGAGGGAGGTGTTTGCCATGGAGGGCACTATCGTCTTGCCCAAGATTCCACTCTGCTTGGTCACCAGAACCACCACAGAGGAAAGCCAGGTTATTCTCACTAGGAGCATTAGATTTATTCTGAAAAAAAGAAGAAACAACAAACTCAGAAAACTTTTAATAAGCATTAATTTAGTTCTTTTTTCTCTTTTGAAATAAATGTTAATAGCGTTAAGTTCCTCCCAGAGAAAATACAGCATTGAGAGTCAATTTTAAACATTTCCAAATGGCTCTATTAACAGGGATGAAATGGAATGGACTTTGGTTTCCACTGCCTTGCAGCTGTCACCTAACAAATTCAAACTAGATTATATAATTAATGCCAAGTTCTGAAGTCACTTACTATCAGAACAGGATTGTCATTACTCATACTTCTATCTCTGCTGTTTTTAAGCATTCAGTTAAATTTGCATAAAATAATGTTAAAAAATAAAATCATGTTCATTTTTGGGTAAGAAAAATGATTTGAATGAATACATTTACTGAAGTTTTTTTGAAAACTCAGGAAATATGGGGAAAAAGTGAAAACATTTCACATTTTAAAAATTCCCCAGAGACAAGTATAAAATTAGGTTGCAAGAAAACATTATTGCTTGACAAAATAATTTCAATTAATGACAATAACCACTAGAACTAGATAAATGAAAGGGAAAATACTAGAATTTTAATAATAGAAATAATTTCTAGTGATTAAATTTTATCATATTTTTGAAGTTTTGACCCTTACCTACTTAGAGGTTAAATGCTTCTACCAACAAAGAGTATAAGATCCAGTAATCACAGCCAAGGCAAGAATATTTTCTTCTAATTTTATAAGTAAAAAAAAATCTACTAACCGTAGGTTTGTAATCAATGTCATCCATTGATCTAAAGAAATCCAAGCTCTTTGCAGCTGCCAGCTTCCCCTGATCTGAGCTGTGTGTGCTCAATGTATCAAGAATCTCTCCTAGTAAGTCCATTTCACCTGAGTAAGGAGTCTTCACTCTTGTTTCAACAGAGTCATCACTCTCATAGAGATAAGCAGAAGCTTCTTCACCATCTTCAGAAGATAACCTGAAGAAAAATAAAACACGCAGTAGTAGGTAAATAACCATATTTGCTGCATGTAAGTAATCTCTCACCAGTTACATTACATTAATGAGAGAGTTAACAACAAAATCAATAATTAGTTCATCACCAAATTCTTTACCGTGATGTGTATACTAATTCCAATATGGAAATATTTTGTGCATGCATTAAGAACAAATAAAAAGTTTACGGTACCTTATGAAACTGAAAGTAGAAGCAGGGCTTTTCACAGTTTAATTCTGTGGAATTTGGGACCTTTACTTTAGGAATATTAGACTGAACTACTTGGAAAGTCTGCTATAGCCTAAATTCACTTTCAATATTTAATATGGTTTTCCTTTATTTAATCACTTATTTTAGAGGAGAATGCATATTCCTTTACATAGACAGAGATATAGTTAATGAAGAAAAAAGAATGTTCATTTTGTCATTGTCATACATCAATTGTAAGAAGCTAAACATATATTATTTCCCTTATATTAAAATTAATTTTTAACACTTTTTATTAAATTTTCATCTTCTGATATCACCATAGACTTAAGTCTACTGTACCCTCAATTCCATTTCTTTCTATTGACTATTATCACCATTCCTGATATTTAACCTTCCTCTCTTCAGAATGAGTAAGAGCCTAATTTAGATGGGCTTCTATTGCCCCTTTAACACTATCCCAGATATCTCTGTAGACATTATTGCTTTCCAAGAACAAGATATTTAAGGTCCATCTTAGTTTCCTGTCCCAAGATATCCCCCATAACATTCCAGGAGCACTGGGTCCTTTTGCTGAAGAACACTGTAAAAGGGCAACATCTGAGCTCTAAGAGTGCATACTCTTTGAAATACCCTTTATCACCAAAAACTTCTGCTGTTAAGCCATTCCACTTAATAGGACACCAAAATCCATTACTTACTTGCTTGCTCTTTCAATGTCATCATCATCTTCATCATCATATAGAGCACCATCAAGGCTCTTAAGAGGCCTTTTTAAGCGTGCCTGGAGAGAGAGATTGACAATAAATTGGCATTAGCAGTTTAAAATAAGTCTCTTTAGCAAATTTTAAAGCAACAATGTGATTTCATAAGAAACACTTTTGCAAGAAATATGCATTCAGGGTTTTTGAATATTATCCAATAACTTGACAAACTGGGACAGGAAGAAAGGGAAGCAATAAGGTATATTTATCTCAACACTTACTAACTTCTCAAACCAATAAAAAAAAAAAAAACCCAACAGATCACTGGATTGAATACATATGCACAGTCACATAGACTTTCAGGCCCTGATTTAGGGATACTTGACTTATACTCAATTATACCCTCATGCACCCATCACACAGTTTCAACAATTAACAGTATTTGCCAATTTTGTTTCTTTTATCCCCAGCCCACACTCTCTTCCACCCCAAGTATTTTAAAGCTGTGCTTCTCAAATCTTAATGTGCGTATAAATCGCTTAGGGACTTATAAAAATGTAAAAGTGTAGATTCTGGTTCTATAGTGTTTCTGAGTCTGAATTTCTGCATTTCTAACAAGCTCTTAGGTAAGGTCAATACTGCTGAATCTGGGGGGTCACACTTTGAATCATTAAGTTTTTGAAGCAAATCCCAGGCAACCTATTGATTCACCTGAAGTACTTCACTATGTATTTTTAACAACTTTTTAAAAAACATAACCAAAATATCATTATCATACCTAGCAAGTTAATAATTTTTCTTTAATATCTTATAGTACTCAGGCCATATTCATATTCCTCTATTTCTCCCCATATTTTTTAGTACGTTTCTTTGGACCAGAATCCCAACAAAGTTAACATTGTATTTGGTAGATATGTTTCTCAGGTCTCTTTCAGGGGACTCAGTTCAACCTTCCCTCTCCTATAAGCCATCCATACCCTTTAACATGCTATCCTGTCCTCACTTCCTATAAATTGGTAGCTACCTCTGGAAGCTTACCCTCAGTTTCTTTTTCATCTTCCTTTGATTTTGGCAAGAATATTACATGGGTATTGATATGTGCATTTTTACTGTAACATGTATAGGCACATAATGTTTAAATATCTCATTTTTGGTGGTACTAAGATTCATTAATGACTTCAGGTATGATTCGTCAAGCGATCCATTATACATTTCATTATCAACTTTTGACCTGAAGGTTTTAGCATTCCATGATAACGACTGGCTAAATCCACTATTTCATTAGGGGCTAAAGAATTATGCTTTTCTAGAGCATTCCTTCTATATTTATTTGCTGGCATTCTATAAAGAAGAGCTTTACCTTATCAACTATTTGACTATTCCAAAATACAATGTATGGGACAGGCAGGACAAATCCTTGATTTCTTTCCTTTTAACAATTTTGAGAGTGATGAGCTAAGCTAGTGTCCTAACAATCTCTAAAGGCAAGTCATGAGGGTCTTTTTTTTAAATTCCCATTATTAGTAGATACTTGATGTTGTTCAACCCACCACAATTCTTCTTCTTGATGTTCAAATTGTTCCATCTTTGAAATACACCATGATTATGTTTTTAAAATAGTCCTTATCTTTTAGAGCTATAACTTGAAATATTCCCAGATTAAATGATATGCTTTTGGGTATTTATTTCAAAATAATTTAATGGTGGAGAAAGAGAATAGGTGAGGCTGTGACTGAAATAAGATTGGCCATGAGTTGATAATTGGTGAAGGCTACATAAATGGTTTCTGGGGATTTTTGTAAGCTTCTCCTTCCTTCTGCATATGTTTGAAATTTTCAAAATAAAGTTGTTTTTTTTTAATGGCCCCATCTGTTACCAGTGGTAGCCCTTTCAAGTTGATTCCTGTGTCCTTTGACATAAACTCAGAAGTGTTTAGTAAGTTTCCTGTTTTTGGCACAATAAGATGTCTCATTTCAACTTAGAATTTTTCTGCATCAAACCTGGAATCAGCCATTTCTTCTAAAAAACACTGGTTTCTGTAGATGGGAAATGGCATTTAAATTTCGAGTCTGGGTGCTATGGGTGCTTATGGCTGCAAACCATCCTTTTGAATGAACAACAGTAAACTTGAATTTGGAGACTTCAACCATGACACCAGAGAGGAATAACTTTCTGCCTTCTGATTTTGAGTTCCCAATCTAGATAATTGTCTTCTTTTATTGCAGCCACAAAGAGTAAGCAAATTTATGGAACCTATAGGACTGATCCCTACTCCACTCCCTTTATGCCACTGCTTGTGAGTGGCAAAAAGGAAGGAATGAGTAGTAAAATATGCTCTTATAACCCCTACTCGGAATGTGTAGTGAGGTTTCCATAAGTTCAGGGATTAGAAATGTATCTGGGGCCTCTAACTGTCTAAAACTGGGGCCTATCACTTTATCACTATAAGTTTAAGGTACATGAGTTAAACAGAAATCTGCAGAGTAGCCTAAGAACAAAGCCACCACTCACAGCAATATTTCTGTGGGAAAAATACATTTCATGTACTCTCTCCAAAACTCACAAAATATGATACAATCCTTTGTTTCTGAAGACAAGCCATTAGTATTACACTGAGCTCTGTATATGCTTGGCTTTATACCAGCTAGCAGGTCCTGCATTTAAGTTTTTGTTTACAAATGAAACAAACTGAAACAAAGTCTATGAGGAAGCTGAGACTTTATATTGCTATCAATTAAAATCACTGCTACTTAAGAACTAATACAGGAAGATTAGATAATACATACTCAACAGTGTTTATATTTGTAGAGTACTTTGCAAAACACTCTCACATACACACAGATACTACGAAGTTAAATTAAGTCAAGCCTTTGACACTAAACAGCTCTAAGTCTAATGGACCCTACAATAAATCTGGAGTTATTCCAAGAGAAGTATATAATTTGCCCAAGCACACACACTTTATCAAAACTAGGAACCAGAAAACAGAACTTATGTCTTTCCCTATTGTGTTGCAAGTCCCTTGTTCATTTTCTTCCACAAAAGTTACCTTTATATTCTGTAGCTGTCTGCATATACTATAGCATCTCTATTTTTTAAGTCCAACTTTTTTTATGAAGCTACTGCTTTTTCCACAATCAAACATCTACGTCATGATATAAGCTTCACAGATACATTTACATTTTAGTTTCATGTTTCCTAGCTAGACAAGCATTCTATCCATTTCTATATAGGGATGTTAAACAGTATATCTTATGATAAGTTTTAACACTACAATTAAATTATAAACAGAAGTAAAACTGATTAATATGTTGTTTTCCTTTCCTTGGGTGTTGACCTTTGTGTTATCCATACTTATTATACATGTACTTATGTACTTAAAATTATATACATATATGAAATAAGCTTCTTCTAATTAATAGTCATTGAATATATATCAACCTGCATTAGGAACTGCAGTTTATATATAAGAAATAACAACGTCCAAACAGGTGATAGAATATGTCAATTGCTTGATGACTTCTACATAATTGTGTTAAGGTCACAAAAAAAGAGAAAAAATTAAGGAGAAAGATAATCATAATGTAATCGACATTTAAGACAGAGAAGAATAGCAGTAGAGATAATCTGGGTCCATACAAGCTCAGCAGCTGATGGTGTTCTGGTGGGTTGCGACTCTGAAGCACAGTGCTTTCAGGGGAAATAAAGGACAGTTTTCCCCATGTTCGGAACATAACAACACAGGGAAAAAAGGCCTGGTCACAATCTTAAAAATAAAGGTCTTTTGTGGGGAAATGGTAGTAAGTAAGTTTAGACTGCAGAAAACATATTGTGTATTCTTAAGGGTGCCAATACCCAGCCAGTAACAGTACATCTTCATCTAGGTTAACAAATCACAGACATATCATTATTAAAAACATGCATATTAACTATGCAGGACCTGAAATGTAAATGACTATGATAGAGAAAAATAATCTGAACCCACACAATAAAAATAAAAAATATATACATTATTTTAACACAATTGGGTATAGTGACTTATCCTTCAACATCCAGCTCAAATGTAGCCTCTGGAAAGCTTTATCTGCTAAGTGTTCCTCTGTATGGCCACATATTTGGTAAACATTTGGCAAATGTACTATTAATCTCATTGTGTTATCTGCTCGTGTGTCTGCCTGCACCACTACACTCAGAGCTCTCTATAAGTGGGATTCAAATTTCATACTTCTTTGTGCCCTTTGCACCCTACTGTATGCCTTCCTAGCATGGAAGACAGTAGTAGCATGAATGAGGATGTGCTTACTGGGTGTTTGTGGATTAAAGAGATGCTAGAAATTCAGAGAATAATTAAATGTGGCTGTTGCCTTACTTGGGGGAAGTACAGAATAGCAGCTTACAGAAGTTTCTCAATAACTATTTGCTGATGAAAAGAAAAAAGGAATAAATGACATTCACTTGCCTTTCATTCATTAGGTCCTGCAAGTTCAAGGTCTGCACCCTAGGGTTCCCTTTGTTCTAACCAAAGGTATCACCATGGCCTTCTTCAACCCCTTATATTTGTCCTGATTTGTCCTAGCACAGGACCTTTGCATATGATTCCTTTACAAGAAACACTTTTCTCTTACATTTATCCTCTTTGCACTGTCTTTGTCTATACACATCGATTTTCATTCAAAAATACGTAGTAACTGCCTACCCCATATTGAGTCTCTATTATTCTGTCTTGTAGAATGTTACAGTCTGTAAATTGCTGACAGAGTGATCTTTTTAAAAGGCAAACCTAATCATGCTATACTCCTATTTAAAGAAATCCTTCAATGGCCCCTTACAGTCTTCAGGATAAAGCTCATACTACTTGCCTTGCACAGAGGGATCTGGCTATGGCAGCCTCTCTGGAGGCTTCACCTGCCATAAAGATGTTTGCTCCACACTACTAAACCGTCTCCTTCTCTTGTATACTTCTCAATGTCTTCTGCCTCTGTCCTACACGTGGGCTGACATGCTACCAAAACTTCTTTCTTCCTGGCTCTTCCCCCCAGCCTCCCCATGTTTTGTTTGTTTGTTTGTTTGTTTTTTAGTTATCCTTCAAACCTTGGCTCAAGAGTTTATCTTTCCAGGAAACACTCCCTTGCTCACCAATTAATTTATATGCCATTACATTCTCTCTCCCACCGTACAGTAGGCTTTTGAGGGCAGACCCCTTGCCTTGCTAATTTATCTCTTGTGCCCTCAGAATCTAGCACATTGTGTCATACATACTAGTTCCAGGAAAACTGCAAAAGACTCTGAAAGGAGCAAAATGATTATGAGGTGTCTGACCAGTGGAATTATGAATGCTGTCTAGAAGGTCCTGTGGGGGTTATCAAGTTTTGTAGTGCTCTGCATCTTTCATTGTCTTCAACTATCTTGCCAGGATATAATTGGACAAATTGTATAACCAACGCCTTATCTTAAGTGGCAGTAATGACAATCCACTAGAATGGAACAAAGAGGTTGTTGTATTTATGCAGTTAATGCCCACAAAACCCTCCCAGGAAAACTTACATGCTGTCTGCCTGAGAAAGTCCAACCTTATTGGGGTAAGGAAGGCCTTTTTCTAGAAAACCAGGAACCTTAGCAAATTTGGAGAATCTCAAGAGGAACTCACCTTAATTTACAGATGTTTCAGGTAAACCATATGGTGGCAAGTTTTCTTGGGCTTAGTTGCTTAGCTTCAAGATAGCAAATAGCAGAGACTATATAGGCTCAATCTGAGGTTTCTTATGAAAATTTACATAAGTAAGGAAATTCTGAAGGCTTAGCTAGTCAATACTGCATGGCTCTAGATTTACAATGCAAACTCAAGAAGGCTTAAATGGTTAATTAGCTTTCTGGTTGCCCCAACATAAATAGGCCAAATCTAGTAAGAACAGTCTTCTTTTTGTGACTAAGAACAATCTTAGAGATTATTATGAACACAAGTGGGGAGACTGTCGGGAAAACTGTGAAAGACTTTGAAATGGGCAAAAAAAATATTGCTATCCTCCCAGTGGAATGCTGAGTGCTGTCTAGCATTCTTTTCCAGGTTTTTCTGATACTATACAGGTCTGCACCATTCATAGGTTCTATTTTTATAGCTCTGTAAAGATAGAAATTAACTTGTGAAAGACTGACGGTAATGCAAATGTTTCTTGTCCATAGAGATGCAAGTAAATTTTGTCCAGTGAAGATGTAATTATTACATTGTGGATATTATGGTTTTGTATCTGTCAGCATATACATTTCAGTACTCGAGTGTTTCTCTTTTTCAGATTGTCCTTTATACCACCTTACTGGGGTTTCCATATTAATTAATGAGCTAATTAAAATATGAGTCATAAGTTTATTTTTATTGTAAAATTATTCTTTAGGTCAGGCAGAAATGTTTTCTGAATAAATGAATATCTTTATACATAGTAGGTAGTTTTTGCTGAGAACCTATTAATGAACTGATAAGAAAAACATAAAGGATAAAGTACTATACTAGTTCACTGACATAAACATTTTTAGTGTCCATGAGGCACAGAAGGGTATTATATTCATTCATTCAACAAAGATTAAAGAAATGCCTGCTTTGTGCCAGGCATTGGGCTACACGCTAGAGCACAGTGATAACTAAGAAGAGGCCCCTTGTCCTCATGGATATTATATTCTAGTAAATGAGACATGAATTAAATTGAACAGTCATACAAATAAGCATAAAAATTATGACTTCGGTTAATTTGTACTAAACTATGATTGCTATGAAAGCCCTTCAGGAAGTTGACCTAGTGTGGGAGGTCAAGGGAAGTCTTTCCCTGAAAGATATTTGAGTTGAGCTCTGAAAAGTTAGTAGGTTAGTTAGATGATGGAAGATGTAGCAATATGTGCAAATGTCCAGTGGTGGGACAATCAGGGCAAATACTAAGGAATGAAAGGTAACTATTGGTGCATTGTGGATTGGGGCTTATGTTGGTACATGGGATTTTTTAAGGGGCCCATTAAGACTTGCAGTTATCCTCTTAATCACTAGATGGCAGACATATATTAAGAAGGCAAAAGCTGGAAATTTAAATTCAAGGGGGATTATAATAGTAAGGTGGGGGAAATCATAGATTTAGCAGGGAAGTATGGGAGATGAGAATTTAGTAGGGGCAGGCAGGCATGGGATAGCCTCTGGACTTACAGGTCCTGATAATGAAGAGCAATAGAAATCCATCTAATCAAGAAATATTTATTGAGAACCTACTGAAAGCTGCTACTGCGTATTCCCTGAAAGTCAGTAGCTGTATCTCATTTTTCTTTCAGTTCTTAGCATCTCTTCACTTCAACATCCATTAAGCACTTATTACATGCATACTACTGCCTTCCATGCTGTGAAGCATAACAAAATAAATGAAAAAGATGTTCCCTTTTCTCAAGACACTTAAAAAATATAGGGTGAAATGCCAAAATACTACATATAGTAGAGCAGTTATAAATAAAAACTTTATTCCTCATTGTATGAACATAATTGATAAACTTTTTGATCATAGATGAAAATCTTACATTAAATGACCATTAATACTGATAAGTAGTGTCAAATTGTTGATGTTCCTAAATAATGAAAAAATAGGTCCAGTCAGCTAATAATATAACTGTAACTACATATTATAAACATCGGTAAATTCTGAGATCAAATAAGAAGGTATAGAAGTTTCTGAACTGTACAGACCTGGTGTAGCTATCACATTAACACTGGTTATTTCACTAGTCATGTTGATGCTGTGCAAATTAGTAACTCTCTTGAAAGACAGTACTGTGCAAAACAAGGGTACATTTTTTTGGATGTAAAATACATCATGAGAAAACAAAATAAGCAAAGTTTTATATCATTCTGATACAAAGAATTAAGAATAAAATGGGGAATTGGATGTCACACAACCTCAATTAGACTGCTCCTAGGGCCTAAACACACATAATTGTAAAAGTTTTGCTCCCCTGAAAATGTAAAATGTCAAGTACACATCTAATATATGTAAAAATTCATGAAGTGAACATTCGTATAACAAGGGATGCTTGCTAAGAATGTGAAAAGGTACTAAACTAATGAAAAAGGCTATCAGCATGCAATACAACTTACTAGAGGAGATATTCTACTAGAAACACTGACCCTACAGGTGGACACTAAGTGAAAAAATATATACTGGTAAAGACAAGAAGGAAAAGTATTTTATATGAAAGAAAAAAATGTAAGAAAATGTACACAAAATGTGACAGAGGTAGAAGGACCAAGACACAAAATCATAGAACTTAATGTCTGAGGAGATCTCAAGAAATAAGTTTAGTTTCGTTACAGTAAGCAAAATAAATCTTTCTTTTCACTGCAATGGTTTCCAGAAAGTGAATCAGAAAGTAGAATGATGAAAATCACTCCCCTGATGCACCAAGGAGACTGTTAACCTTGCAGTTACCATTTTGATCACCAGGTGGCAGACAAATATTAAAAAGGCAAAATGCAGGGTAAATTTAAATTCCTGGGGTTTGGGAGGGGAAGGAATAAGGGATATAGGCAGACGAATGAGAAAATATAACTTTTTAGACATAAGAAAATTAAGATGCTTGTAATACATAAATTTTTTGAAAGTAGGTACAATCTGTACTACCCTCCATTTTACAGTTGAGGCAACTGAGATCCAGAAGTGTTACCTTGCTTATCTAAAGTCTACAACAAATCCCCAAGCTTATGTATTTTGCAGCCTAAGAAAAAAATACCTGCATGAAATAATATGTGAATAAATTAAATAATAATGTATAATTATAATAGTGACATCTTAAAATGCATGGCAGTTTATAATTCAAAACAAGCTTTAAAAAGATGTGTTTTAATTTGTATAGGTAATAACTAAAGAGTTAAAAGACTTACCCATGATTGACTTGCTTCAATGTGTTAGCTACTTTATGTACTGTATTTTATTTCATTTAAATATCTACTATACAACAAATTTGGTGAACATTTTCTCTATTTTACATATTAGGAAACCAAAAGATTAACAAAGCAAAGTGACTTGGGCAAGACAAGGTAAATCATAAGTGACAGAATGTGACTCCAACCCAAGTGTTCTGACTCATGAACAGAACTGTTTTCATCATAACTATGCTAGATAAATAAGTCCAGAGAGACCCAGAAGAAATAAATGTCCAAGAACTAGCCTGAGAAAGGCTAGCTCTAAAAATGGCAAGCTATAAATCTCATTTTTTAAGGCAAGTGGTAGTTTCAGAATAATAAGAGTGCTAATGTTCCAGGTAGGTGAGATGTCAGGATGAAGAGACAAGAGCTGAACATACTTTGCGAAATATGCTGAAAACATACGTGTCAGGGCAAAAAGGCAAACTGGAAGATTATCAAGATACGTATTTGGTGAAGTCTGATGAATTCAGTTGATTAAGGGCTGTTATTATTAGGCTAAGGACACAAAATTTTACACAAGCATCAGAATTACATTCCTTGAGCAGGTGACTGCTATGTGAGACTAGGTCACTAGGAAAGATTCTGATGTGGCCGTAACACATCCAAGGACCCTTTACCAATTCTCCCAGTCCATAGTGATTTCAGAATCCTTGTCAGTTTTATTCACTTATTTCTCTACCACTCAACTGTCATCTGATATATTCTCCATTATAAAGGCAGTGTTTAATTTTAAGTACATTCCTCTCTTACCAAATCCTTGAGACTAAGAATCATATCTTTTCATTTGTTTTGCTTCTAATATCACTTCCACTTCAACTTAGAAGGTAAAACCTGCAAGAGAATGTCACTCCCATCCTAACAATGAGAAAAAGCTGGATAATCTTTTTAAAAAATCATAATTTTTGTTGAACCTATGAGACCTGTGTTGCAAGTCAACCAAGTAAACTGAATTTCATATATTAGAAGCTCCTCCAAGGAGAGATGAGAGACAGGATTAATTTCACCATTGGCAAAGCACAAGGGAAGAGGTAGCTGCCATATAAACAGGTAAGAAAAAAATCTGCTAAAATGTCAATAAGGTCTTAAAGGCCAACCATGGGCTAACATGTCAGCTTAGAATAGCTGAGCGTCTCAAAGACAGGGGGAGTTTGCACACGCAAGCTCTTTTCCATATGTAAATTTCTTTAATTTTATTTCCAATTGAGGTAACTCTACTACCTCGTGCTCATAAGAAAAATTGGGAGCAGTACAGGAGACTGAAAAGCACTCCCCTTGGTGGTTCAGGCTTGCAGGAAGTGACAGGCTGCACAGGGACAGGCATGAAGTCCCAATGACCTTTGAGGACATTCATTTATATAAAACAAAAGCCTTAAACTGCTGACAAACTCACTGCCTCCCAAGACTGCTGGGGGAAATGTAGAAGTAAAACCTTTATCTGCCCTAGGGAAGAATAAGAAGCCTTCTTAAGAACAGAATCCTATATTGATACCAAGCAGAGGTCTACTACCACTGAGCAGGGCAGAAAAGCCTCGGCCACCTAAGACCAATCACAGATATAAGGAAGTTTCTCTGCCATGAAAAGAAAGTGGAAGGATGCTAAGAAAGTCCCACTCCTAAGGCACGGGGGCGCATGGCCCACTTAAGACAAGCATAGAGAACACATAAGGCTAGGATCAACTAACTAGTCACAGATGTTAACTGCTTTGGAGGGGCAAAAACATTGAAAGAAAAGCCTCTATATAGCTCAGGGGTTCCAGGACTGCTGATAGCTCAGAGTGAAGCAAGAACACTGAGAAAGCTTTCCAGTACCTTCTTTAGAAGACTCTACTCTAAGCACAAGATAATAGCAGCCCATTACAGGCAATGATATCAACAAAATCAAAATCCAGTTCATTTTCCGATGGACTCAGCCTCTTATACAAACAGCATGATAGAAGAAGAGCCTGCCAGTTTCTAGGTGTAAATACTATTTAACTGTTTCTACCCATTTCTGGGTGTAAATGCTGTTTAACTCTTTCTATACATGGGGTCCATTGTTCAATTAAGAATTATAAGACATGAAAAAGCAAGAAAAATAAAGATGGACAACATGCATGAATAGATGGAACGATAGCAGAGAAATGGAATCTATTTTTTTTTTAAGTCAAGTGATAAAAAAAACTCAAATGATGTAAGACATGAAGAATTCTTCTGATGGGCCCATTGGAAGACTAAGGAAAGATTCTGTGCTCTTTAAGACAGGTCAATAGAAATTATTCAAAATGAAACACAAAGGAAGAAGAGAGCAGGAAAAATAAGACAAACAAAAAAATCAACAAGAAGAAACAAAACAGAGCATCCAAGAACTGAGGGATATTAGAAACCAGTCTAATTCATTCTGCTCCCAACGCATAGTTGGCATTCATTAATTTTTTTTTGGTATGTTGTTGTTAAAAGTTGACAGGATATAAACAATATTACTAATATTTATGAAACTTCTGGTGACTGCTGGAAGAACAAATTCTGTCACTACACTAATTCTAATCTTCACAATAACTCTATGGAAGTGGATATAATTATCAATATTTTATAGATCTGAGGGCTAAGAGGATTAGAGAAGTTAGGAAAGTTACTCAAGTTCACATACCATCCAAGCGGCACACTGTTCTGATCCTGATCTCTTATACTACAAAGCCTGGAATCTTTACATTCCCGCAGGGGGTCTTTCTATTAAGTGATGAGGGTGATGGTTGGATGTAAAAAGGAAGAGTAAAAATAAACATCAATGAAGTAAAGTCTTTCTGAATTTGTAAATAATGGTCCTTAGTAAGTTAAGAGGAGATAAGTGATCTTGAAAGCTCTAGATCAGCAGGCCTAGCACAAAGTAGGTGTTCAGAGGAGGTATACAATCTCGAAAGCTGTAAACCAGCACACGCTAGATACTGGTTGTGTTGAACTGAATTAGACAGACTCTCCATTATGGTATGTCCATTATGTTCACAATGCATTAAATGCTTATTAATGCTAAGTTGGGGTCTGTTCTAGAATTTGACTAAAGAAATCTGCATATTAGATTTTAGAGAGAATATGAGAAATCAGAACTGACCCCTTTACAGACTGCTTTTACTGAACACAGATTAGGAAGTTTAGTTTCTATCTAAAAGATCCCAGAAACACAGTAGTTTATAATTCATTTCCCCATTGTTAATCAGAAACTACATAAAAACCCATTCAATGGCAGCACTCTATCAGGGATTCTAAAAGACTGTCTCTCACTGAAGTGTGTTAATAGGTAGAAAGAAGGTCTTGTATTCACAGGAGGTCTCATTATTCACCTGTGTTTATATGTAGTATGGTTGTGAACTGTTAATACTTTTAGCCAACTTTTAAAGATAGTTCATATGCCAAGTAATTATATCAATTTTAAATTTTTAAAATACATTGTTTCATTATTTTTTTCTGGTCTTTAATATTTGAAAATGCAAATTCTACCAAAGACCCTGCACTAACTTTTCAGGACCAAAAGATTATTGATCAGTGCAAATACAAGTTTTATAAGACTATTAAATAGTATTCTCAAAACAAAATAAATAAGTCAGTAACCCTTTGATAAATGGTAAGCTATTTGCAATTTCACTTTTGTTGACAGGGTTTCAATATTTCAACATTTAAAAAGGTTTCTTAATACATGACAAGTCTACTGTATTATCAGTAAGACACAGAATTCAGTTCCTCTCACTAACTAATGTGAAGATGACTTTTCTAGCTGGGATAAATAATTTAGAAGTCAGTACTGAAGAAAAGAACCATATTATTTTCAATCACCTTAGTAAATTATGTTTTCAAAAAATATACAGCTAAGGGTTAAAATATTTGTTAGTAAAATAATTATAGCTGCATTTTATTTCTCAGATTTACCATATTAATATATAATGAACATAAATGTGTATGTGTGGAATCACACATAAGTAGAGTATTAAAATGCTTCTGGTGTTAAATGAATCAAAGGTCTTAACAGAAATTGCAATTATATTTTGGTGTCAGAATCAAATAATACTAGTTTTCAAAAGCATTTACTATAAACGTCAAAGACACTAATAAAGGCAAAAAGAGAACAGATCTGTGAAATAACTGATATTATATTCATATGTTAGAAAAGCCATAAAGAAACTTCAGAGAAGGTTGAAAAACATAGTCCTATTTTGTAATTAGTATAGGCGCACAGGCCAACTTAAGATATTTATGTATTATTCTAGTGTTTTATGTTAGGAAAACATGTTAGGAAATATAACAATGTGTAGCAGATACAAATCCAGCTCAAATTATAAGATCCTATTATACCCCCATAGTTAGAGATCTATTGACATTTCTGAAAATTCCTTTCTCTTGGGGGACACTAATAGGCAGCAGCAGTAGCCCTACAAAGAAAAGACTGGTTTTTCCTTTCATCAACACCAGCATTGATCTCTGACAAACTTTAAAAGCAGCTCTATATTCAAAACCAGAAGAAAATCAGCATTTCTTTATCCTAAGATTCTTGGAAAACAATAATAATTTGTTTACAAAAGGTAGGCACTTTTGGAATAGAGAACTGTTGTTAATTTAATCAAGACCCCTTACAAACAAAAAAGGCAACAGGGAAAAAAAACAAAGTCAAATAGGACAGAATATAGGGAGGAAAAAATATTAATGATGTGATTACTGATGTAAAGTCTAGAATGGTAGTATTCACTAGATTTACTAAATGGAGAAATTGAGTACCTTTGTTTTTGTTTCAAGACATTGTAATAAATGTCAGTCATTTCTGGCAATAAATTTGAAGAGTAAAATTACAACATTAAGGTACATGTCAACTTTAAAATGTCTCAAAATATATACTGAACATGTTCACATAAAAAGATTATCTTCCATTATATGTTATTAATATACTAGTATTGTTCAGCAGAGCTAAACATTTTAAAAATGAAGTCCAAGCAAGTTATTGAAAGGAGCTGGTTTTGAATTATTTATTTGATAGAATTATGTTCTTGAATAATCTTATGACAATATAAAGGTCTCAATGTGTATTCTGTTGTGTTTCTAAAAGACACACTATTCTGAAAGGCGCTAAAAATTTTTTGTGTAACTATCTTCTTTTAAGGAAAGTACTACATAATGTCCACTAGAGGGCACCCTTGTAATCCATAACTGATTTAAAACAAACATTTAATTATAATCAAATTTAATATTTTGGAAATTAATATTATTTCAACAGAGAAACAAAAGAGAAAAATAACTTTCTGTCACATTAACAATATGGAGAGTGTATTTTTCAAAGTGAACTCAAAAGATCAATTTATAAATTATTGACATTAGTATTAATATAATTAGTCTACATATATCTTTGGAACGCTGACTGCTAAAATGTGTTTTCATTTAGGCAGTATTTTTTTTATGGACATGGACGTGTGTTAAAAGAAGAACATTCACTTAACTTATTTCAAAAGAGTTGATCACTTGAAGGTTTTTTTTTGTTTTTGTTTTTTTTCTGAGGCAGAGTTTGGCATGATCTTGGCTCACCGCAACCTCTGCCTCCCGGGTTCAAGTGATTCTCCTGCCTCAGCCTCCCGAGTAGTTGGGATTATAGGCATGCATCACTATGCCTGGCTAATTTTGTATTTTTAGTAGAGATGGAGTTTCTCCGTGTTGGCCAGGCTGGTCTCGAACTCCTGACCTCAAGTGATCCGCCTGCCTCGGCCTCCAAACGTGCTGGGATTACAGGCATGAGCGACTGTGCCTGGCCTATCGCTTGAAGTTTTACAATATTTTCTTATTACTTTAACATTTCAGCTTGATAACAGTGTTCTCAATACTGAGCCAAATTACACAGTGATAAAAATAAAGATTGTCTTGCTTATCATGATTTGATTCAATTATTTGTATTATTTTGTAAACGTTTATTTTACAAAGTAAAGTATTCTTTCTAATTTTCTGCCCCACTCTCACCCCATGTAACAACTATCTTTCTTTTTTTGATTTACAATCACTTTTTTTTTGGTCAAAAGTAAGTGGTTACTCTCCTCTATAAACACTGAGTACACCATTTCTTTCCTGACCAGTAAGGCAAACTATTCAATAGATAGTATTTTTCCAAAGATCCCAACAAGTATACAGTTTTCCGAAATCTATTACATCATCCGAACAAGAAACATTGTATTTAATTACATTTATTTTATTCCCAGAGTCCAATGAATTCCTATGAATGAAAGTGTTTCATAAATACAATACTATAAACCACACCCTACTAGGTGTGGACATCCCATCTTTTCTTATGCTTAGGAACTAAGTAATTTAAGAGAACCTAAGATATTCTTTTCTTATAAGTTTCACAGAAAATTACATCTGTAGCATTTTAAAATATGACATTTATTATATATAAAAATAAACTATTTGATTGCTCATATTTTTAAATAAGATGCTAACATATTGAGATTTCTCTTAAGTCCCTGTTCAATCAAAACATGGCTTTGAAATGCTTTACTTGTAAGTCTCTGCATGCATAAAAGTATATATGACTTCTGAGCATATTTTAAAATATAAAAGTATGTTACTCATCAACTATAAAATGAACTCATAGCTATTGTGCTATGTTCCACAAATCCATTAGAATGTTTTATAAACCATTAAATACATAAAGATCCAAAAAGACAAAAAGTTTCATTTCTAAGTGTGATATCACCTTGTATAATGGATAAAAATATAAAATCACAGATTATATTTTATGCTTAAAACATTCTTATGGCCGGGCGCGGTGACTCACGCCTGTAATCCCAGCACTTTGGGAGGCCGAGGCGGGCGGATCACGAGATCAGGAGATCGAGACCATCCCGGCTAAAACGGTGAAACCCCGTCTCTACTAAAAATACAAAAAATTAGCCGGGCGTAGTGGCGGGCGCCTGTAGTCCCAGCTACTTGGGAGGCTGAGGCAGGAGAATGGCGTGAACCCGGGAGGCGGAGCTTGCAGTGAGCCGAGATCCCGCCACTGCACTCCAGCCTGGGTGACAGAGCGAGACTCATCTCAAAAAAAAAAAAAAATTCTTATTTGTGCATTCAAAAGATAACTCTTTATACCTCAAAACTATTAGTCTGTATGTGACTATATTAAGTAAAATAAACGTCCACCAGTTTAATAGTGCTTGGTCTAATAGTAGAAATTATGACTATTAAACATATTTCTATTTGTAAACACTTTATTTGGGTAACATTCCAAGTGAGAGTATTTATCAACAAGCATACTGCTTTGTATCACACTGCAAATGAAAAATAACTTTCCACTCATTTTCTCATGCTGTTTTTACATAATTAACTGGAGGTTGAAAATCTAAAAATATTGCTATTTTTCCCGACATGAAATAGTTAAGAGTGATATATATATATATATATATATATATATATATATATATATGTGTGTGTGTGTGTGTGTGTGTGTGTATATGTATATATGTATATATATGTATATATGTGTATATATGTATATATATGTGTGTATATATATGTGTGTGTGTGTGTGTGCACGCGCGCACATGTGTATGTGTGGGTGGGTGGGTGTGTGTGTGCATATGCGTGTGCCAGGGTTTTAATAGGGCTTAACAACAAAAAGCTTCAGTCCCCCACTTTCCCTAGGTTTTGTTGTGGTGATTTTGCCTTGCTTAGGGCCATCCATCTGTTAATGTCGACTTGTAATACAGCTAAGCTCTCATGCTTGTTCACTAGTATAGTTGAGGTGTCTGTGAGTCTCATGAAGACACACAGAAACATACACATTATAACTGCTAGACTAAGCCACGCATGGCTAATATGGAGCAATATCTCAGATATATATAACTTTTACATATTATTTAAAGAAATTTCTTATTCTTAGAAAAGAAAATGTTAGTAAATGTTTACAAGTAAGTATTTTTAAACATAATCTCAGATTATAGATTTATGTTATCTTATATTTTTCACTAAGTCTCCAGTATTCTATTCTAAAATAAAACTGATGAAAGAACATAAGTACATAGGATTAAGACTGTTCTGCACCATGACCAGTGGCTATATTCTCAGTGGACTCACTGGCCCTGTTTTCAATAAAACCAGAGAAGGATCCTTTCCCTGGAGTCCTGTTAGGCTGGGGCTGCTGTTGGAACTGTCATCTTTACACAAAAGGGAAAAGGGTTGGGTTTTACAAATGTGGAGCCTAATTGGGAGATCTTCATGGCTGTACCCTTGACATTTATTTAAGCCTCATCAACAAAACGAGCAACAGCCATACTAATTAGCAGACCAGCACACAAATTACTATTTGTTGGATGTGGACTATAGATTCACAATCTATTCCAAAGATAAGCTAAATAATGGAAAACAGGTTTAAAACACAGGCTTAGAACTTTGTTCTTTTCTACAGCACACAGATTGTAAAACTTCATAATGTTTTACTTTAAAATACATTCTTGGAATTTAAATGATCATAATCCCATTTTCATCTTTTGAAAAACAGATGAAAATAAAGTCTCTCACTGACAAGTCTAGCTGGAAACTGGAAATGTAAAGTTCTTTAGACAACTGAGATCCACTTCTGAAATGAATAATCAAATGGACTAGGAATAGGATGAGTGAAGACTATACTCAATTTTACTCACAATAAAATGACATACTCAAGGTCTTCTAAACTTATAAATAAGATATTTCTTGGTACAATAAGTTTTATATTTCTATTCAAGTCATAAACTGGGATCTATGATCATCCCTACTTAGAATGAAGATGGATAATTTTAGGAGTCCTAACTACTTTAGTGATTAGAGATTATTAGTGATCCTGGACTATAACTACCAAGAGAGAAATCAGATGGTGCCACTGCTACAGAGACCTGGAGTTCAAGATATATGATATGGTAACCATAAACAAACAGCTACCGATTATCAAGTACTTATTATGTGGCAGATATTTTATATACATTATCTATAATGCCTATAGCATCCTGGGAAAATAACTTGTATTATTATTTTACAAATGTAAACATTAAGGCTTAGGGATATTTTGTTTTGCTCAATGTTAAATCCTAGTACCTTTTTCAAAGTTAAGTTCTGTCTGGCTCTAAACTCCATATCCTTATTTCTAACTATCCCTCTTCTACAATCACTCCATCCAACATAAAGGCATGACAATAGTGGTTAGGTACCTAAGTTCTAGAATCAGTCTGCCTGCTTTTTAATTCCTATTCTGCTATTTATTACTTGTAGAACTCTGGGCACATTTATTAGTCTCCATTTGTTTCTAAATCTGAAAAACGCGGATAATAATTCTTGCCCTGACTGGATTGTTGGAAGTTTTAAATGAATCACGTAAATACAAACATACACAGACAGCCTCACTGTTATCAAAAAACTGTCCATCTTTTCCAGGTCTTCTGAGGCTGCTCTAGGGCATTTTTCTACTATTTCAACTGTATAAAAATTGAAGTTTGAAAAATAGTAGTAGGAACATGAAAATTATCTAGATTACAAAAATCACAAAGGTCCCTGCAGAAATTTGCCTTTAGGCAATTAAATTCACCACATAACAAATCTTTTTTTTTTTTTTTTTTCTTTTTTTTTTTTTTTCATTTATTTTTATTTTATTTTATTTTATTTTTTTTATTATACTCTAAGTTTTAGGGTACATGTGCACATTGTGCAGGTTAGTTACATATGTATACATGTGCCATGCTGGTGCGCTGCACCCACTAATGTGTCATCTAGCATTAGGTATATCTCCCAATACTATCCCTTCCCCCTCCCCCAACCCCACCACAGTCCCCAGAGTGTGATATTCCCCTTCCTGTGTCCATGTGATCTCATTGTTCAATTCCCACCTATGAGTGAGAATATGCGGTGTTTGGTTTTTTGTTCTTGCGATAGTTTACTGAGACTGATGGTTTCCAATTTCATCCATGTCCCTACAAAGGATATGAACTCATCATTTTTTATGGCTGCGTAGTATTCCATGGTGTATATGTGCCACATTTTCTTAATCCAGTCTATCATTGTTGGACATTTGGGTTGGTTCCAAGTCTTTGCTATTGTGAATAGTGCCGCAATAAACATACGTGTGCATGTGTCTTTATAGCAGCATGATTTATACTCATTTGGGTATATACCCAGTAATGGGATGGCTGGGTCAAATGGTATTTCTAGTTCTAGATCCCTGAGGAATCGCCACACTGACTTCCACAATGGTTGAACTAGTTTACAGTCCCACCAACAGTGTAAAAGTGTTCCTATTTCTCCGCATCCTCTCCAGCACCTGTTGTTTCCTGACTTTTTAATGATTGCCATTCTAACTGGTGTGAGATGATATCTCATAGTGGTTTTGATTTGCATTTCTCTGATGGCCAGTGATGATGAGCATTTCTTCATGTGTTTTTTGGCTGCATAAATGTCTTCTGAATAGACCAATAACAGGCTCTGAAATTGTGGCAATAATCAATAGTTTACCAACCAAAAAGAGTCCAGGACCAGATGGATTCACAGCCGAATTCTACCAGAGGTACAAGGAAGAACTGGTACCATTCCTTCTGAAACTATTCCAATCAATAGAAAAAGAGGGAATCCTCCCTAACTCATTTTATGAGGCCAGCATCATTCTGATACCAAAGCCAGGCAGAGACACAACCAAAAAAGAGAATTTTAGACCAATATCCTTGATGAACATTGATGCAAAAATCCTCAATAAAATACTGGCAAACCGAATCCAGCAGCACATCAAAAAGCTTATCCACCATGATCAAGTGGGCTTCATCCCTGGGATGCAAGGCTGGTTCAATATACGCAAATCAATAAATGTAATCCAGCATATAAACAGAGCCAAAGACAAAAACCACATGATTATCTCAATAGATGCAGAAAAGGCCTTTGACAAAATTCAACAACCCTTCATGCTAAAAACTCTCAATAAATTAGGTATTGATGGGACGTATCTCAAAATAATAAGAGCTATCTATGACAAACCCACAGCCAATATCATACTGAATGGGCAAAAACTGGAAGCATTCCCTTTGAAAACTGGCACAAGACAGGGATGCCCTCTCTCACCGCTCCTATTCAACATAGTGTTGGAAGTTCTGGCCAGGGCAATCAGGCAGGAGAAGGAAATAAAGGGTATTCAATTAGGAAAAGAGGAAGTCAAATTGTCCCTGTTTGCAGACGACATGATTGTTTATCTAGAAAACCCCATGGTCTCAGCCCAAAATCTCCTTAAGCTGATAAGCAACTTCAGCAAAGTCTCAGGATACAAAATCAATGTACAAAAATCACAAGCATTCTTATACACCAACAACAGACAAACAGAGAGCCAAATCATGGGTGAACTCCCATTCACAATTGCTTCAAAGAGAATAAAATACCTAGGAATCCAACTTACAAGGGATGTGAAGGACCTCTTCAAGGAGAACTACAAACCACTGCTCAAGGAAATAAAAGAGGACACAAACAAATGGAAGAACATTCCATGCTCATGGGTAGGAAGAATCAATATCGTGAAAATGGCCATACTGCCCAAGGTAATTTACAGATTCAATGCCATCCCCATCAAGCTACCAATGACTTTCTTCACAGAATTGGAAAAAACTACTTTAAAGTTCATATGGAACCAAAAAAGAGCCCGCATTGCCAAGTCAATCCTAAGCCAAAAGAACAAAGCTGGAGGCATCACACTACCTGACTTCAAACTATACTACAAGGCTACAGTAACCAAAACAGCATGGTACTGGTACCAAAACAGAGATATAGATCAATGGAACAGAACAGAGCCCTCAGAAATAATGCCGCATATCTACAACTATCTGATCTTTGACAAACCTGAGAAAAACAAGCAATGGGGAAAGGATTCCCTATTTAATAAATGGTGCTGGGAAAACTGGCTAGCCATATGTAGAAAGCTGAAACTGGATCCCTTCCTTACACCTTATACAAAAATCAATTCAAGATGGATTAAAGATTTAAACGTTAAACCTAAAACCATAAAAACCCTAGAAGAAAACCTAGGCATTACCATTCAGGACATAGGCGTGGGCAAGGACTTCATGTCCAAAACACCAAAAGCAATGGCAACAAAAGACAAAATTGACAAATGGGATCTAATTAAACTAAAGAGCTTCTGCACAGCAAAAGAAACTACCATCAGAGTGAACAGGCAACCTACAAAATGGGAGAAAATTTTCGCATCCTACTCATCTGACAAAGGGCTAATATCCAGAATCTACAATGAACTCAAACAAATTTACAAGAAAAAAACAAACAACCCCATCAAAAAGTGGGCGAAGGACATGAACAGACACTTCTCAAAACAAATCTTTTAAAAGAATTTGGATACTTGAGCCAGTTCTAACATGACAGTGATGCTACTCTTCAGTAGCCTTACAGTAGGAAGAAAAGAGTGTATATTATTTCCACTTGTACCTGTTTTCACCTTTTTTAATGAGGTTCAACAGCTAGTAAACTAAGCTGTCTTTGAGAGAGGTATTAATGAGACTGAGCATTTCAAATAATAGAAACAGCACAGAAAAGACTAAATGAAGAAAACTAAATTTCTGTCTTCCAAAACAAAAGTCTTTGTCTCTGCTAGGTACCTCCACCAGAATGTGAACTCTTGTGACACTGAAAAGATTTGTGGATCTAAAACATCTAACCTATTTCTTTGGAATGACTGGGTAATTCATAAGCAACTTTTTAAAAACCAAAACTTTGCGGATTATGAATCATGTAGCTGTGCTTTTCTCTTCTTTTTGGCTGTGCAGGGAATAGGCCTTAACAGCTTCTTAACTACATTTAACATTTTCTCTGCCTTAAAACTTACCTAATTTTAATACAGTTTAATCTTTTTAAGGTTCTTTGTAAGATATTAAAGTATTTTTGGAAATAGGTAGAATATAAATGAATAGACATTAGTTTCTCTGACATACATGCTGATAACTAGACTTTAACCACATCCAAATATTTCTAGAAACATTACATATTTAGTTGAAAATCTTAATATACTCAGATACCAATATTATTATACTTGGAGAGTTAGGAGTAAGAGAATTCCTGGATTTGGTAATCATCATGCGACAGTATGCCCGTGGCTCTAGCATCAGCTTTCTGCCTCTTCCATAACATACTGTATCATATTTCACTTAAATCAATGGGGCTGGATTATCTCCAGAAAAGTGAACCAAAGAAGCTTCTGCAATATCAGACTGCAAAGAAAAGGCAGCAGACTATGGCTGATGCCTTTTGATTTCCTTGCCCAATGTGCAAATATAGTACCCTAAATTCATTTCCACCTGTAGCCTTTTTTGCTAGTGTAAGTGGCTCAATTCTCAGGAGAGAAGGCAACATCAATCCATTAGGGTAGGCTGACCTTAAACTTATCAAACCCCAGATTTGTGGTACAAATTTCCAGCCTCCAGGCATTTAAAAATGCAGATCTGTTTTTGTTATTTTGCAAATATGACTTTTTGGCAAATAGCATTATGGCAGTTCCCCCTTACCCACGGGGGATATGTTCTAAGACCCCCACTGGGTGCCTGAAAGTACAGTTAGTACCAAACCCTATACAAACTATGTTTTTTCCTAAACATACATACCTATGATAAAGTTTCATTTATAAATGAAGCACAGTAAGAGATTAACAACAATAACTGATACTGAAAAAGAACAATTATAGTAATACTCAGAACAGCATGTCATTAAAAGTTTATGAATTATTTATTTCTGGGATTTTTCATTTAATATGTTTTGACCACACTAACTGTAGGTAAATTAAACATTGAAAAGCAAAATAGTGTGAAGCAATCAGAAACAGTAGACATCTTGTGAGATATTGTCACAGTCCTTAAAACCACTTCTCTGAGAACTGCTTCCCCTGTTCACCCCACTCACCTCTACTGCCCTTCCTGTGTCCTTGGTAACATGGTACTCTCCTTGCCTCTCTGGCTGGAGTTTATTGAACGAAGAATTAATGCCTGGTCCAAGTGAGCTGATTACATTCTTCCTTAAGGAACTGGATTCTAGAATTATTATCCATTTCTAGTGGCTGCTTCAACTGAGGGCCTATAAGATCTGTGTCAAGGACACAGAGAAGCTGAGAAAACCAGTCTACAGAATGCACAATGAACAAATAAGCAGAAAGAACAGGCCAAGCATTAAAGGGGGAGTGGGAGGGGAGGAGAGAAATGAAGGAACAGGGGATGGGAGAGGGAGGAAGATGGAGAAAAGAAGAGGAAGAAGAAAAGGGACAGAGAGGGAGAGAGGAAAAGAGGGAGAGAGACGGAGGGAGGGAGAGAGGGAGAGAGAGAGATTGAGAGAGAGAGAGAGAGAGATAGATGAGATGAGATGAGATGAGATGAGATGACATGAGATGAGTAGGGAGAGAAGCTGATATTCTTCCCTGATTACTTTTTCCATTTCCTAGTTCTAATCCTACCGGAAGCCTAGATATATTCCTGCAATTAGATGTCCTAAAGAATGCCTATATCCTTATAATAAATGGCTTGATATTATTTTATTTAATTTGTGAGTTTGCTAACACTATTAAAACTAAATAATTAAAATCAAGGATTTGATGATAATTTCAATGTAAACGTACCCGCTCTGCTTTTATAAATAAACTGTTGGCCACCAATTGGCTATCATTTCAAAGCAGTAACAACCCAACATCAATTCAAAGAAGTAACATTAGTAATGCAAGATAGCATGGACTCTGGAAGCCTTGGGAAAAAAATTAAGGGTGAAATGTAGCAGAAAACAATTGCTAGAGGGCCCAAAATTTAGCTCTTTGTCAAATACATATGTGAATCTAAAACTAAAAAATCAAATTTCAATTACAGAAAAAAATGCAAGCAAAATCCTAAATTATAATAGATATTAGTAGGCAGGATATGAACTCTTAAAAATTTTGCTATTAAGATATATACAACACAGACCAGGCTCGGTGGCTCATGCCTGTAATCCCAGCACTTTGGGAGGCCGAGGCGGGCAGATCATGACATCAGCAGATCGAGACCATCCTGGCTAACATAAACCCCGTCTCTACTAAAAATACAAAAACAAAATTAGCCAGGCGTGGTGGCGGGTGCCTGTAGTCCCAGCTGCTTGGGAGGCTGAGGCAGGAGAATGGCGTGAACCCAGGAGGCGGAGCTTGCAGTGAGCCGAGATCGCACCACTGCACTCCAGCCTGGGGGACAGAGCAAGACTCCGTCTCAGAGAAAAAAAAAAAAAGATACATACAACACACAGATATATTTACCTATTTATATAATGGGACACATAACGAATACAAAGAAACATACATACTGGGTATACATGTTTCCTGAAACTCAGATATTTATCATTTGAAAACTAAAGATTGTTATTCAGATATTATCAACATTTGCATCACAATTCTAAACATGTATGTTTAATCAATTCTTATACACCAGGTAGGAAAATCATGTTAGAATTCTTAAAGAATAAGCCCTACTCCTCTCAATTCCTGTTATAATTATTGCTGTCATGTCTACTGTAAACCATAAAATGCTAATCAATGCAGATAACTGAATTAATGATAATATATAGTAGCCCTGAAGACTTAGTGTAAGTATACACTGAATGGAACCCATTATTCTATAAGGTTTTCCGTAACCTAATACAATTTTCTCTATCAGAATGTACAGTGTGAGGACTATAGTTAATAATATTGTATTGTATACTAGAAAATTACTAAGAGAATAGATTTTAGGTGTTCTTACTTTGCAAAAAAACAGGTAAGATAATAGATGTGTTAATTTGCTTGAGGGCAGTAATCATTTCGTTATGTATATGTATATCAAAACATCATGTTATACACGTTAAATATATATAATAAAAAAAGAAATTGTCTCTAGAAGTTAACAGAAAACAAAAACAGAAATCAGTAATGTATTTTTTAATTACATTATCATAAAAATGCTATGCATGTTAAAGGAAAGAAGACTTTAAAATTTTTTTTTAAGATCTACTTTACAGCATGGTGAATATAATTAATAACAGAGTACTGTACATTTTAAAATTGCTAAGAGAGTAAATTTCAAATGTTCTTCCCGCAAAAAATGTTAAGTATTTGAGGTGATGGATATGTTAACTAGCTTTATTTAATTAGTCCACATTACATTCATGAATCATAACATTACTTTAGACCCTATAAATTTATATAATTATAAACCATCAACTTGTAATGAAAAATAAATTAATTAAAATATGAGGAGCTAATAGTAGTTGTCGTAATTTGAAACTGATATTTAGGAAATGTGTTTCTCCAATATAAATAATGTTTTTTTACATCTTAAAGTATCCTATAGGTAACAAAGATCTCATATTCGTTTTCACAGAAAATCTACTCGCCATGGTAAAGATAACCTAAATGCTCCATATTAAGCCATAAACATTTTACAACAGTATTTGAGATGTTAAAGCTTGAAAACAGACAAGAATTGAACATATTAGTGGTGGGAAAAAAAACAACAGAAAAATCAATAGCAAATCCATTATTAGTTCACACATTAATAAATGTTCTCCAGTTAACAGCAGTAACAAGAAAAGGTTTCTGACTTCGGGAATAATTATTTTATTGAAGGGCTTATTTTAGAACAGACAATCAGTACTGACTATCAGTATGCTACAATCACACAATTCTAATGTGAAAATATCAGCTTAATAAATGAATAATCACGAGGAAATACTCAGTATGTTACAAAAACAGTCCCATGAAAGCAGAGAATTTTTGTGTTTTCCTTTTATATATACCTGGTATCTAGAAAAGTGTGTGGCATATAGTGTTGATGAATGACTGAATTAATGGGATTTTTTTTTTTTTTTTTTTTTTTTTTACAAAGGACTAGAGTTTCAGTACAGCTTCACTATCCTTTCCCATTCTTAAAGACTGTTGTTACGGTTTGAATTTTGTCCTCTCAAAATCTCATGTTGAAATTTAATTGCCATTGTAATGGTATTAAGAAGTGGGACTTTTAAGAGGTGATTGGGCCATGAGGGTTCCACCCTCTTGGGTGGGATTAGTGCTGTTATAAAAGGGTGAGTTTGGCCCCCTCATCTCTCTTGCCTTTCTGCCTTCCACCATGGGATGACACAGCAAGAAGGGCCTCATAAGGTGCCAGTGCCTTGATCTTGGACTTTCCAGCCTCCCGAACTGTGAGAAATAAACTTCTGTTCTTTACAAATTACCCAGCCTCAGGTATTCTGGTACAGCAGCACAAAATGGGCTCAAAGACAAAGACCCTGGAAGCACCTTATGGCCATGTATACTTCTGTGGTGCCTGGCTATCCAGGAAAGCTAACTGAGCATCAGAGATGGCTTTTCGCCTCCTTCTGCCACTGATCAGTTATGAGACTTATGGCAAGTGTTGTGACCATTCTAGCTATCAACTTTCTCATCTGCAAACCTTGGCAACTGTTATAAATGAAGCTTTGCAGCCACTTCCAGTTCTGTAATTTTGTAGCTACAGTCCACTCAAGAATTCTTTTTTGAAGCTAGTTTTCTAAGGCCACTTAAGATACAATTTTGTATATACCAATTTTGTTTAGTTAGAGCCTTCATAAATGTACTTATGAAAAAAAAACCAGGAACACTTATAGCTATGATTCTGAACACTCAGTCACTTGAAACAATATTTTAAGTAGCATCAGCATATAAAAAGAAGCTTTAACTATTTATAGCAAATAAAATAATCTAACTTTAGAATAGGATAGACTTATAGTAGTTCAGATTTTAATTTCTATAGACTATTTTAATGGCCAAATACCCATGTATAAGATTGATTTTATTTTTGTAGTAAAGGAATCCTATGATTTCCAGTTTATCATCAAGCTATTCACACTCTATAAGAATCACACATTCAATTGTCTTTTCCTTCACTGGACTATGAGATCTATGAGGGCATGGGCTAACAAAGCATGTAGAGACCGATATCTGAAACATTTGACTCTCAATCCCCTTGTAGCCTTCCCAGGTTCCACTAACTCCTCCCCTTGACCAATACTGCAGGTTTTCATATAAGATAAAAAATTAGTGGATCCAAATTGTTCCTAAATAATTTACTGGAATTATATAATTTGAGAATGTGGGGGAATGAAGGGTAAATAACCTTACTTACCTGAGCAAGCTTACGCTTTTCTGAGTTTCCTCCCTTTTCATTGTGTAATTTGTAAACTGGTGTATATTGTACAGAACTAGAACAGGTCCCATAATCTTCTTCATTTTCCTACACATGAAAAAATATACAGGCAATAATTGTAAAGTACTCCTTTTATTACTAACGTATTAGATTAATAAACAAAGTATCTGATATACATACAAGTAGCAAAATAACACTTCAGCTTTAAGTGTAAAGAATCTATTTAAGAAGAAAATGCATTTTTCTATAATCAAAATTAATAAATTTAATTAAATAAGGTTAATGATCTTAATTATTTATACTGATAAATTTAATTTAATAAAAATAATTAAAAATCTTTGATTACTTTGAATAATCTGAATAAAATTTATATAAAGATAATTTGCTATCACTACACTGGAAGATTTAAGTAGTATGTTTTCTCCAAAGGTAAAAATTCAAAACATAACTGATAATAAAATCTGTGAAGATACAAATTAAAATCAACACACATATACACATATTTACATATCTGCAATATTCATAACTTAAATACATACATAATATTTTGTAAATTAAGAACATTCTTCATTTTAAAGTAACTACTATTGGAATGAGACTATCAAAACAAATGCTGGCATTCCTGGGTTACTTCTACACAAAAGATATCTTTTAAAAATATTCTTAGCATAAAGCAAGAACTTCAATTGTGATATCAAGGCAATTAACTTTATGAAAACATACATCCTGTTAAAACATCTTTGAAGATTTCCATAGTTCTGTGATAAAATATTCAAACAGTAAAGAGATTATTCAGTGAATGCATACAGAAGAGCAGATAGTTGCCAGAGGGCTTGTTATAAAAAATACATTCTTGAACAAAGGGCTAAGCATATTTCAAATGTCATTAAAAACACAAATTTCTAATTTGGAAGTATAAACTTCAAACTAATACAAGAATCAAGGTAAAATGGAAAAAAATGAATATGACATACCTTGTGTTTTAGTTTACTCTTCACTTCCTTTAGTCCCAGCTTTGCATGATTTTTTGCCTAGAAAATGATAATGAATGTGCCTGGCTCAGGATGGTTCCATTACCATTTAAAGAATAAGTATACAAGATCAAATTTAATGACAATTACTAAATATTCATATGATTTAGAAAAAGAACAGATTATAATCTAACATTCTATTTTCAGGGATACGCATATCACTTACTATTTTATTACACCTAAATCAGTTGGTAAAACCATTAGTCTCTTCTTTGTATACAAGTATCATACAAAGGCTAACATTTAGACTATTTTGTTTCCTAAACTATAAAGAACACAAAAGGAATAAACCAGATTACAATGTTAAAACTGTAACAAACTGGAGGAACAGAGAAAGTACATCCCCGCAGCAAATTATTTGGGTAGATGCTTGAACTTGAAAAAACTTTGGCAATTTTACAAAGCTTTATTAAGAGCTTTTACAGGCAGACACAGAATTTTATTAGCAGAGCCATCTTAATGGAATGGTATTTCATATATAGTTTTTCTGGTAAAACTTAAAAGTCATTTAACAATTTAAAGCTATCCTCATGTTTCACAGGGAACCTGGCCCCAGCATTTGAGTTTCTCACATCCTGCTGTGATTCCTGTGGGGTATAACTTAACTAAAGACAACTGGGGGCTTTCACAAAAGCCTTAGCCTTTGTTCCACTAGAAATTCCTACTCACAGTGGCAAAGGTGAAAAAGAGGAGAAAAGGAATTCATATTTATTTTGTTTCCTAAATATATGACTGTGTGCTGGGTGCTTAGCATGCATTATCTTAGGTAGTTATCACAACAATTCTGTAAGATTAGTACTACTATGATCACATTTTAAAATAAGGAAAGTGACTCAGGGAGACTGTAATCTAGCTAACTATCCTCGAATCCACTTGATCACACTAATCTTTTCAGATGCTCTTTAGTATACAGAGTTGAAGCTACTAGTGTCAGTCTCTTCCATGGTTCTATAATTCCATAGTGCACTGATTCATTAAAATAATTGTTGTCCCATGTCCTCCTCTGACTTCCTTCAGATAACCTGGAAGGCCGGATATAGGTTCTCTCTATCCTTTTCAACTTACCAATTTGAAGCTTAACACAATGCAAGTATTCTCCAGAGAAATGCTCCAAGCAAATGGCTTTGGTAATAATTTAAAATGGAGACCTAACAAGAAAGATGACTCTGAAAACCGTTTAGCCAAATAAAATATGAATTCCACTTTGCTGTTATTCTTAAATTTATACAAGTGTGTATGATAACTCTAGTTTTCTTTATGGCCCCTATCAGCATAGAAAAACATATGCATGAAAAGCATAGGAAAAAAAATTTTAACTATAAAAATAAGTATAAAAATGTTATAAGAACAGGATGGAATCATTATTTGCTTTGACAAACACATATTCAGTATTTCTGTAGTATGTTCAAAGTGCAGAGCAAAGTGATAGGAAAACAAATATAAAAGTAGGGACAGTATCTCTTACTGTACCTTCATGTTCTGCTATAACTCCAATGATGAGTATAAGGCCTAGTTCACGATAGGCACTCAAATAATTTATTGAATAAATGAGATAGAGGTAAAAACATGATTCCTACTTTTGAAAAATTTACTATCTATAGAAAACCAAGGTAAGTAAATTCTGTTATACCACACAACAGAAATTAGGAGTTTTATTCATAGCAATTTGTGGTCAAAGAAGGAATTTCAGAGTACACATTTCAGAAAATGAGCAGTCTGGAAAGATCAGTTTTAGAAACAATTACAAAGATCACAGAATGACTGACTTACCTGCCCCAAACCTCCTGATTCAGGGATGATATGATCACAAGATAAATGATAAAAAAGTGATTAGGTATATTCTAAAGATCTTAATTCACCTGAAATTAATTTAGGGAACAATCCTCCAGAGTAGAAACCTTTTTTATTTATTTATTTATTTATTTATTTTTTTCCCTGAGACAAAGTCTCACTTTGTGGCCCAGGCTGGAGTGCAGTGGCACAATCTTGGCTCACTGCAACCTCCACCTCCCAGGCTCCAGCAATTCTCCTGCCTCAGCCTCCCAAGTAGCTGGGACCATAGGAGCACGACACCACACCTGGATAATTTTTGTATTTTCAATAGAGATGGGGTTTCACCATGTTGGCCAGGCTGGTCTCAAACTCCTGACCTCAAGCGATCCACCTGCCTTGGCTTCCCAGGTGCTGGGATTACAGGTGTGAGCCACAGCACCCGGCCCAAAGAATAGAATTTTTAATTTGAAAAGATTTTACTTCCTTGCAGAGAAGAGTTCAAAATAAAATACTCCACTGATTAGAATGATAAATTTTAAAATAATGAATAGGGTTTTGAACATGTTTGCTTCATTGCTGCGCTTTTGTGAAAAATATGAGTGAAATTAAGGCAAGACACATATTTGGCAAAACAATACAACTTCTCTAAGCCTAAAAAAAACCCTCAACTGCCTGCTCCAGAAGAAAATGAAGGGCTATTGACTGTGAAACCATTTTTAGAATCTTAAATGAATGTGAGAAACAAGGATCAACATTACTTTGCTTTTTCACATGGTAGTTGTGTACTATTTCATTGTAAAAAAAAATCTCTTCAAAAACTGCACTTAAACCACCAGAGAGGTTTCCTAGGAAAGCCATAGAACAACCAAAAAAAACGCAGAGGCTGAGGTTTCTAAGGGAAAATGATAACCTTGTCTTATTTTGGCCTTATGGTTAGGGATCAAATAATTCTAATTTTGGGACTGTATTTTTTAATCAACTCTATAGATTAGCTTCCCTACTATAAAATTTAATATTTGAATGGAATTTTTAAACAGAAAGGGTGGCCACATTCATATCACAATTTTAACTCAAGGAATAACAGAAGTTCTAAACTTTTATTAAAATATACTATTTTATTATTAATTCAATCACATCAACTCACTTACCGAGAAAAGCTTTTGAAGACAAATTCTTACAAAATCAAAACCCTTGCCTTAAATATTTTTAGAAATATAAAATATCCGACCTATTGAATTTTAAAAAATTTATTGAACACAACACACTAGCTTCTCTCCTGGGAAGTTACTAGACTAGTATTGAGAGAGAAATGTACACAGACAAAACAAGTGTTGAAACAGAAGGTCCTACAGATACAAAAATACGTATATAAACATTTTTGTGTAGGGTTGAGAAGACAAAAATATGTATAAAAGCTTTTTTTGTGTACGGTTCAGAAAAATTTTTTCAGGGGAAATAATGTCTGAACTAAGTCCTGTAAAATGAACTGGTGTTGACTAGGTGGATAAAGGCCAAGAAACTGACATTCCAATTAATAGGAATGGCTTGAGCAAGAATCAAAGGGCAGAGGAGAATATCTCACATTCATGAAATGAGGAGTAGCTAAGTGTCTTCAGAGATATGGAACGTTCTGAGGAGTAGGGGGAAAAGGAACTAGACATGAAGGGTTGGGTTTTGAAGGGTCTTAATTGTCATATTAAAGAGTTTTTTTACTTTATCATTTATTATTTACTTTATTATTCTTACTATTATTCCCATTATTTTTTTTCTGCAAGTCTTACAGCAGCGGTGTCCAACCTTTTGGCTTCCTTGGGCCACATTAGAGAAAGAAGAATTGTCTTGGGCCACACATAAAATACACTAACATTAACACAAGCTGATAAGCTAAAAAAGAAAAGGAAAGAAGAAGATGAAGATGAAGAGGAAGAGGAAGAAGAGGAAGAGGAGGAGGAAGAGGAGGAGAAAGAAGAAGAGGAAGAGGACGAGGAGGAGGAAGAAGAAGAAGAGGAGGAAGAAGAAGAAGAGGAAGAGGAGGAAGAAGAGGAAGAGGAGGAAGAAGAGGAAGAAGAGGAAGGAGGAGAAGGAGATGAAGAGGAAGAGGAAGAAGAAGAAGAAAGAAGAAGAAAAGAAGAAGAAAAGAGAAGAAGAAGAAGGGAGAAGAGAGAAGGGAGAAGGAGAAGGAGGAAGGAGGAAGGGGAAGAAGGAAGAAGGAAGACGACGACGACGACGACGAAAGAAGGAGGAGAAGGAGAAGGAGAAGGAGAAGAAGAAGAAGAAGAAGAATTCCAAGAAAAATCTTGGAATGTTTTAAGAAAGTTTAAGAATTTCTGTTGGGGCTGGGCGCAGTGGCTCACACCTATAATCCCAGCACTTTGAGAGGCCAAGGCGGGCAGATCACTTGAGGTCAGGGGTTTGAGACCAGCCTGGCCAACATGATGAAACCCCGTTTCTACTAAGAATACAAAAATTAGCCAGGCATGGTGGTGGGTGCCTGTAATCCCAGCTACTTGGGAGGCTGAGGCAGGAGAATTGCTTGAACCTGGAAGGCGGAGGTTACAGTGAGCCGAGATCGTGCCACTGCACTCCAGCCTGGGTGACAGAGCGAGACTTCGTCTCAAAAAAAAAAAAGAATTTGTGTTGGGCCACATTCAAAGCTATCCTAGGTCACATGCAGCCCACAGGCCATGGGTTGGACAAACTTGCCTTGGAGACTCACTGAAGAATGTTAATAAACAGTCAATGCATCTTTGAGGGAAAAGACCTCGCTATATTTTTCTTTTTTTTTTTCTACTTGAGCCGCAAGTACACAGCAAGAATGTAAAATGTTGTTAAATGAAATAATGACATTTTACAAAATGGTACCCCATCAATAACTGTTTCAATTTGCTGCACAACTTTGCCGATAGCTTTGGAATAAAATGAGAACCATTTTTAGATTATATAAAAGAAACTACCCTCTGCATGCAATGTTATAATTTTAACAATTGAATTTGCTTTGGTCAATATTAATCCTAATTTTTTTTTAGGTTTATTTAAAAGAAAAATAGAAAATATTCAGAATTTATATGTCTATCACCTAGGAAAATGTTTTATAATTTCATAAATAGGATTGTTAAATATCAAAAAAACTTACAAATTTATATGCTGTCCGTACAGCAGGGGTTGCTTTGGTCATTGCTGTGTTGAACAGTGCACCTCCTTTCTGCAAAAGAAAAACAGAAACATATTTCCAAAAACTTTTAGCTAAAATATCCTGAAAACAAAGTATTACAGTAAGTTGCATATTTAAAAAAAGGGCTTTACTCACAACTTAAAGACCTATACAAATTATTTCATGTTCAGTGTTCAGTGTTTTCAAGTTTCTATGTACTTTAATAATTTCAAACAAAATGTACACTTTCCACCTTGTTCTTTAGTTGATATAATACATCACTTAAAAATCATTTCTTCCTTGAAGCTTAGGTAGACTTGAGCAATATGACTAGTAATTTGAATATATTTAAAGCTTAATAAGAAAGAAATACAAGTTTATCAGCTGTTTTAATATCGGGCAAATAAAGTCTCAGTCTGGGGGAGAAAGTTTCATATTTAAAAATCATATTAACAAAACTATATTACCACAAATTATAAAATTGCCATCAAATCCTTCTACCCCACCTAATTTCTTCTTCTGGAAAATAATATAAGAAAAACAACATTTGGCAGTAAAATCTTGCTTTTCAAAATGAGCCATTTATCTTTGGACCAAAACTTTCCATTTAAAAATTATCTTAATGAGTATCAACAAACTATAAACGTAAAATAAGAATATTTAAAATGTGACAAAATATACAAACATTTCAAATATTTCAAATAAACAGCATAAGTATAAACAGCATACTTTTGCTGAACATTTCTCCATTTATATTAGAGTGAAAGAATAACATTTGAAAGCTTATGATTACCTTGACTGTATGCACCCATTGTTGATATGACCTCGGGTTCCCTGGAATATATAAAAATGAGATGCCAGGAATGGTTGATCAAAAATAAATCTGTAAACCAAAATTTATCAAGAACTAGTATTTGCACAATTTTTAGTAGGCAAATTTTATATGCAATGTTGAAAAGTAGTTCTAATAAAATCCAGCGATCAACATATCTGGTTCCAAATTCATAAATAATTTAGTCAATAAGATGATATCAGAAGGTAAAAAAAGAAATACATATACAACTTACCTAATCTTTCCCATCAACTGATCTCAGTTAGATTTCAGCTACCTTCTTGTTTAAAAGCTTAAATACTCCCTAAGTCGCAGGGGTAAAAAGTCACAATAAAAAAACAAAATCCCAGGCCTGGTGTGGTGGCTCCCACCTATAGTGCCAGCTACTTGAAAGGCTGTGGCCAGGGCACTGTTTGAGCCCAGGAGTTCAAGGTTGCAGTGTGCTAAGATTATGCCACTGCACTCCAGCCTGGGAGACAGGGCAAGACCCCATCTCTTTTTTTTTTTTTTAAAGTCCCAGTGGCTACTCAGACACTATCCAATACAAAGAACCCCTAAAACATACTGTTCTCCTCTACTCTGTGGCTGTGGATTTTAAAAGATGTATCACCTTGCTCTTACAAAATAGAGACAAAATGATCTCAGCCCCAAAATTTCTTTCTAGCTGTTATCTTTGCATCCCTAATCAACATCAGGCAAGAAGTGTCCAGCTCTGGATTCACTTCTGTATTTAAAATCTTACTCTAATTTAAAAGAAATATCAAAAAACAATTTTTATTCTGAAAAACATCTCTGACTACTCAGAACACAGCATTGCACCTTTTCTGGAGGATGAAACATGAAGACAAATTTTTTTTCTTAACTTGTGAAATAACTACAGCAAAATGTAACTACCTAAAATAACCTTTGTAAAAATAAGTTGCCCTGTTTAAAAGGTGTGAGTTTCAGGTGGTATTTGGCTTGACCAAACTTTTAAAAGTATATTTCCCTTGTAAAATAATAAAACATTCCAAGTTATTCTACCAATTTATTTCTCAAGGAGATTTTTTAAACAACAACAAAAAAAACCCTGCAGATCTTTATTCATCCAGATTATTCATATATGTTTCTGTATTAAAAAGCTCTCATCAGTTCATATACTTTTTACTTCTCTACTAAAAATGGCTGAGTGGAAATCACATATTTAAGACTTTGTTATTATTCACAGTATTCTGGAAAGTGTTTTAATTATTTTCCCAAAATGAATGTAAGAAAGTGGAAGAAGAAACAAACACCAGTTTAGCATTCTGTAACCTTTGTCAATCCAGAAAACAATTCTTTTAAACCTCTGAACCACAAAGAAACTAGCTATGATAAAAGTTTCAAACTATCGTAGAAAGGTTAGGGTCTTATTTAGAACTATGAGGAATTTAAAAAAGCTAATTTTCAGCTCTGTACAAGTCATCGCATGTTTTTATCTACATTATTTGAACTGTACTTTTCTACTGTAAAATAGGCAAACAGTGCCATAAGCAGTCAGTTCAATGAGAAGGAAGTGGGCTTTGGAGTCCAATGGACCTTTAGAGCTCAGGCCTACTCTATCTTTGTGAAGGATGTGATTTGGGATGAGGTCCTTAACTTGGCTGAGCATCAGCTTCTTCATTCATCAAATAAGCATAATAGTCATTGTCCTTCAGGATTATTGTGAGGATGAAAGATAACGATTAAACAATGTTTAGTATGGTACATAGTATATTGAAGAAATATCATAAATGATCGTTATTACTATAAATAATTTGCCAAAATAGAAAACTGAGGTTCTATGATGATGTATTATTCAGCCATGTTCTCAAGGCTAGCAACTGAAACAGAATAAGAATCTAGGAATTTAATCCCCGGTTCATTATTCCTTCAACTCTGAAAAACTCCCTCTAAGACTGCTAAATAAAATATGATTAAAACTTAAGTTATACAGAGTTTCCTCTGTATCACACCCAAAGCAATTATATTTGAAAGGGAAAGGGGCTGCTCAAGGCTAATACCCTGAAAAAGAAGGTTAATAGAGAGAATTACCGGTAATAATCTAAAATTTCATAGTATAGGGGCAAAGAAGAAGTCCCTTGCTTCGATGTTATGAAAACATGGTACAATTTAGGTAGATTCCTATTTTAAAAGTTTTAAGGGCTAATTGTGCCTTTAAATTTTACTGCTTTTATGATTTAAGGTTCCTATTTCCACAATATTTATGAGAAAAGTACATTATTCTTTAGCAGTGTTAGAAAAAGGCTGTTATTCTAAAAATTAATTTGAATGCTAAAGAAATCCCTCAGAATCCTTCTTTTAAAATAACTGGATTATGGCAATAATAGGCATTACTGAGGAAATTCTTAACATTATTTTTGTTAATAAAACTAGTGATTTTCTCACACTTAAGGACAAAATATCTATTTCTCATTTATGCCAAGACTTTCTCCTCAAATGTACTTGCTTAAATTCCAGTAATTTGTACTCATTTATCTCAAAATGTAAATTGGTCTAAATTGTTCAACAAGGCCAGAAAAATGCCACTAAACTGATATTACCTACCACGTCTTCAAATTCCTTTGATACCTTAGTCAGTAAAACTAAATAAGAATGGAAAAATAAATAAATGAACAAATAAAAGACTCATCAGATTATATGTGTAAACTAAGGAAGAAACACATGCTAGTGATAGAGAGTAACCACATACTCCTCATAAAATGAATCTGAAAATATTTCTCCTGTTTAAAGTTGATGTAAATGTAAAAACTAGTTTTATTTTAAATGAAAAAAAAGTATTTAAAGAAAGAATATGTTCTTAACTACTCAATATTTCTTACCTGCTTTTTCACAGACCAACACTGTGTTTACTTAAATGCATCCTTTGTTCTACTCCTGTCCTGTTTTATTATCTTTTAAACTCCATGGTTACTCTTCCCTTCACACATTCCTTTTAAGTTAAGTTAAAATTTTCCTTTTAAGTTAAGGTGGAAGATTTTGCAAGGGTCTCATGAAGGAATAAGGTATGACGTGGATTTCCTTAATAGTCCTGATGAGGGCTCACAGGGCAGAGGCAGTTTTTGAAAAAATGCATGTATTCACAGATTCTTTAACCATACAGTTCCAGATTCAAATGTGAATCTAGATGTTCCTTATCTGATTGTCCTGCACTGTATATTTTTAATCAGAGCCACAATAATGATAAACCTCCATCATATTCATATTCATTTTATCATAACCATCGGCATTAACAAAAATAGTGTATAAACTACTACTGCAATGATAAAGAGGAGAAAATAGATGTTTCTCTCAAATTTCCTAATTATTGTTGCTTAAAGGAACACAATTTTTTCTTAGCTTTAGTTAATGTTAATTTCTGCCACAGTGGTCTTTCTAGGACTTCATGTGTAAAAAATCTACAAGAAATTCAAAAGAGATGAGAATTTTGCTTTGATTCAATCAGAGTAGGAAAGGGTTAAGTATTACTCTTGTTTACTGAATGTTTTTGCATTAAGAAAATCTACTATAAAAAACAGTATATCTTTGAAGCCACATAGACACATGTGGAATTGAGACTCTGGCCACTACTGGCTGTGTGACCTTGAGTAAATTATTGAGCTGAATACTCAATAAAAATGAGGTAATGAAAGTACCTCCTTTGCTGGATTAAGAAAATGTGGCACATATACACCATGGAATACTATGCAGCCATAAAAAATGATGAGTTCATGTCCTTTGTAGGGACATGGATGAAGCTGGAAACCATCGTTCTCAGCAAACTATCACAAGGACAAAAAACCAAACACCACATGTTCTCACTCATAGGTGGGAATTGAACAATGAGAACACATGGACACAGGAAGGGGAACATCACACACCAGGGCCTGTTGTGGGGTGAGGGGGGGGGGGAGGGATAGCATTTGGAGATATACCTAATGTTAAGTGACGAGTTACTGGGTGCAGCACACCAACATGGCACATGTATACATATGTAACTAACCTGCATGTTGTGCACGTGTACCCTAAAACTTTAATTAAAAAAAAAAAAGGAAGTACCTCCTTGGGTGTTGTGAGGGTTAAATGAGATAATATTTGTAGAGCTCCTGGGAAAGTTTCTGCCACATATTAGTGCTCAATAAATATGAGCAATTATTATATTACTATTATTATGAGATAAACAACAAAGTTAGATCAGTTTACTTCTTTGAAGAACAGGTTAATTTCATGACATCGATATATTCTTCTTTCTCACAAGGGTAATGTGAATGACGTATGTTTGGAACTGACCTCTAGGAACCATTTTATAAACACACACACACACACACACACACACACACACACCCCCTAGATAGATGGATATCTTCTAATTAATAGTTAGAACACTGCTAATTTTTATTGTATAAGTCATCTTTTTATTTCAAATCCTAACACATTTTGCTTTATTTTCATCTACAAAAAAAGTCTATGTATAAAATAACATAACACAGAATAATTTAAAAATAATGCTTGACAGGCACAAATTTCTAACGGACTTTCTTGCTGTACTCACTGGAATTAATATTTGTCAAATTAGGCTTTCCTTTTAGATAAGTACTGGCTCTCTCAAATTAAAATAAGAGTTCAAAACCTTTTCATTTTAATAAAGAACAACAAAGTAGTGGGCATTAAGTTGTATTGAAAATGCAGCAGTTTCTAAGTCAGATACTTATCGGTAATCATATTCTCCTAATCTTTTTTAAACAATAAGGCTTTTCGTGAAAAATTTTAGTGGGCCCTCCCACCAGAAAAGCCACCTATCTCTACTCTATTCAGAGGTACCTGGACCAATGGTTAAGACTACAGAATTTAACTGTACAAAAGGATCATAGTTCTAGCCTCTTATTGTCACAAAATGTCATCTTCAATTCTATAAAAGCTACTAGCCCCACGGGTCATAAAGATAATGAGACAGCAGTTATGTAAATACCGAATAGATGCCTTAAGCAACTTGTCCATGGGCTGACAAAATTTTGCTTGTCTGAGTTGAGAAGTAAAAAAGTGTTATTTTAACACAAAAGTTCCATTGAAGCTAAATTTTTACCCATGAACTGAAGGAAGCAAGGAGCTGAATGATTCCACATTCAGCTTACTTTCTGAGTCAAGCAAACTAACTTTTCCCCAAGCTAAATGCTTTCAATGAAATGCTACACTTACATCAGATAAAGGTCCGCAACTACTGAGTTCATTTGTACCTCCTTTAATGAACCAATTATCTCAATGGTTTCTATATTTTCATGGTGGGAAAATGAATCTTAAAAATAACGTTAAATTTTGTGAAATGTGTAGATGAGTACTTATTACGTTTTGTCTTTTCATGTGTCATTTCTGAATTCCAGCATCTATTTATTTACATATAGACTGAAGTTTTTTTTCCTCAAAACAAACATACAAAGAAGTTTAAAAAATTGCTATTATACCAGGCCAAAAATTAACACACTAAGATACAGAATACAAGGATTTTTGTTTATTTAGTACACTTAATATTTAGAACAGTGCCTAATACATTGTAAGCACTCAGCAAATAATGAATGAACACGACATTTCAAGGACTCAAGCAAAATGCTCTGCAAGTCAAGACTATACACCACTACAATCGTGCAAAAATATCAGTTTGTAAATTATTAATTGCCTAGATAATTATAACAGTATTTGAACATTTACACTAGAAGGATTAATTGTACTTATGGAATGGTAAACTGGAAACTTTCTTAATGCTGCAGTGATCTATAAAGTCAAAAAGGTAAAGACATCTGTATAATAATAATACAGTTACTTAAATATGTATAAAGAATTTTGGTGTTCAGACCCTTCTTTTTGGATTGTATTACCAATCATAACCTCAGTTCTTAAATTCATACTCAGTAATAACCATCACTAGTAGTTTTCTAGCAGAGAATACTACTATTCAGAAGGAAAGACAGGAAGATATGAGTTGATTGGATTTCTGTATTACTAATTTCCAGCAATATTAAGAGATTATCGAGGCCAACAGCTGCCAATTCAGGAGGCCAACTTAATGCCTTGAGTAACAGGTATCAGGCAAAATAAGCTAATTCCATAGCTTTTATAAGATGAAAAATGTATTTAAGACATTACATATTTAGGAGGAAATCATTAGTTGTTTATGAAATAGGTTTTATCAGACACAAGTGCAAAGACCAAGAAAATTGTTATTGAGAAAATGGATAATCATATTGTAACTTGTCTTTACCTCCACAAAAGCCACCTGAAGTGATCTCTTCTTCAAATACATCAGAGAAACCCCTTCCTGCATTTAGTTTTGCCAGTCGACCATCGATAAACTAGAATTAAAAAGTGTCAAATAAAATGTATCAAATAAAATGTTATCCAATAAAATGTTAATTTTTCATTTTATAAGGTTAGATTTTTACTTACATCAAAAACATTAATAACAGACTCTTGTATAAATTACACATATATGGTGTATATATACACACACACAAGAAAATTCTCAAACAATGGAAAGAACAGGTGCTCAGTAGACAGCAGCTAATTAATTAAATTGCAAATGTACAGCAAAGAGTCTAACTCTAACTTATTAGCAAAAAATAGCAAAATGCAGTAGTAAAGATCATAGGCTCTGGATAGGTTGCTCAATGCACAATCTCTACAGAGGAGTTTGTACAAAGGTACTGTTGCCTTGCCAAGCCATTTACCCATGGGGCTCTGTCTTCCCCAGCCAGGCCTGTTTACCCAGTACCTGCCTCACGGTGTTGCTGCAAACAACAAATTAGATTAACCTAGGAAATGTGACACAGCAAGTATCTGTGAGATGTTAGACATTACCTGTTTTCAGCTTATTAACTTCATTCAGTAAAATAAAACACTACTTGTCTAACCTATTATATTCTAAAGCATAATAGAGCACCAAATAATTTTAACCATTTACAATAAAATCAATACAACTTTCATAGTTCCTGGCATACATTCTCACTGAATGACAGGAATTATGATTATTAAGTTAAATACAGTTGAGGTAAATGCATACTGACTTGATATGCATGAGGTTATTTTAGGCAATATTTTTCAGTGTTCTTAAAAAAGAGGTTGGAGGAGTGGGAAACTGAAACTATCAAAAGCACCCGAAGATCTTTTTCGAAGTGCAGAAATCCAGATACCCTGGAGACTATCTTCCATTGCCTGTTCTGCTCCAGTCCTCACCTGTTCCAACATACATAGCATACCAGAATCTCACAGTATTAATGCTGCATTTGAAAAGTATCCTGGGTATTTTTATATGACCAACCCAAGGTGAAAATCAATGATTATACACACACACACACACACACACACACACACACACACACACACACACACGTATTACTAGCAGCACTTGGTTACCTTTTATTTTGTTGATTTGTGGCACCTAGAATTTGATATGTTGTGGTTTACTCCATCCATAATTATGATGAGGTATCTTTAAGTCTTCCTTGCTTAAGAGGCAGGGGATAACATAGGAAAGATTTACATGCTTTTTGCAAGGAGGACTTGAAGATGGATTAAAACTTCCATCTTTTGGATGCATCCAAAAACTAACTAATCCTGACCATTTTTTACCCTAGAAATTTAAATTTTACCTGAACTAAAATAAAGTAGCTGGTCTTTAAAAAGAGAAACTCAGATACTTCCTTGGTTTTCTGTTTGAACGGTTAATGAACAAAACTAATTGAGATGAGTTGTATAGGACAATACAATATTCCTCAGCAGCAATTTAAGATAATTAATAGGCTGGGCGTGGTGGCTCACGCCTGTAATACCAGCGTTTTGGGAGGCCGAGGTGGAGGGATCACAAGGTCAAGAGATCGAGACCATCCTAGCCAACATGGTGAAACTCCATCTCTACTAAAAAATACAAAAAATATTAGCTGGACGTGGTGGCGCACACCTGTAGTCCCAGCTACTCAAGTGGCTGAGGCAGGAGAATCTCTTGAACCCAGGAGGTAGAGGTTGCAATGAGCCAAGATTGCACCATTGCACTCCAGCCTGGCAAGACTCCATCTCAAAAAAAAAAAAAAAAAAAAAGAGGGGGTGGGGAAGAGAATTAACAGCAGTAAGTCACACCAGTTATAAGACTTTGATTCAAAAATCTCTTACAGAAAAAATTAAGAAAGAATAGAAAATGAATCAACAGATTCATGTTCAAAATGTGCTTTACCCAGACCAAGGGAACAGAATAGAGACACCTGAAATAAAGCTGCACACCTACAACCAACTGATCTTTAACAAAATTGACAAAAATAAGTAATGGTGAAAGACACCCTTTTCAATATATGTGCCAGGAAAACTGGCTAACCATATGCAGAAGAATGAAACTGGAGTCTTACATCTCAAGATATATTAAAAAAAATTAACTCAAGGTGAATTAAAGACTTAAATGTAAGACCTCAAACTAAAAACCTTTCTCCCTAGAAGAAAACCTTTCTTCCTAGAAGAAAACCTAGGAAATACCTTTCCAGACACTTGCCTAGGCAAATAACCTATGACTAAGTCTTCAAAAGTAAATGTAACAAAACCAAAAATTGAAAATTGGGGCCCAATTAAACTAAAGAGCTTCTGCACAGCAAAAGAAACTATCAATGGAGTAAACAGACAACCTACAGAATGGGAGAAAATACTGGCAAACTATGCATCCAACAAAGGACTAATATCCAGAATCTATAAGAAACTTAAACCAACAAGAAAAAAACAAGTAACTCCATTAAAAATTGGGCAAAGGACATGAACAGACACTGCTCAAAAGAAGATATAAGTGGCCAAGAAACATATGAAAGAATGCTCAACATCACTAATCATCAGAGAGATGCAAATCAAAACCACAATGAGATACCACCTCACAGCAGTCAGAATGACTATTATTAAAAAGTCAAAAAGTAACAGATGTTAACGAATTTGTGGAGAAAGGGAACACTTATACACTGTCGGTGAGAGTGCAAATTAGTTCAGGCCCTGTGAAAAGCAGCTTGGACATTTCTCAAAGAACTAAAAATAGAATTACCATTCGATCCAGCAATCCCCATATTGGGTATATAGCCAAAGGAAAATAAATAATTCCTCCAAAAAGACACTTGCATTTGTATGTTTATCCCGGCACTATTGACATAGCAAAGACATGGATTCAACCCAGCTGCCTTTTACCAGCAGACTGGATAAAGAAAATGTGGTACATATACACCATGGAATACTTTGCAGCCATAAAAAAGAATGAAATCATGTCATTTGCAACCAATAAATGATGCTGGAGGCCATTATCTTAAGCAAATTCATGCAGAAATAAAATCAAATATTGCAAGTTTTCACTTAAAAGTGGGAAGTAAACATTGGGTATACAGGGACACAAAGATGGGAACTATAAACACTGGAGAGTCCAAATTGTGGGGAAAGGTGGGAGTGGGGCAGAGGTTGAAAAACTACTTATTGGGTACTATGTTCATTATCTGGGATATGAGATTATTAGAAGCCCAAACCTCAGCATCATGCAACATACCCATGTACCAAACCTACATATGTACCTCTGAGTCTAAAATAATGAATGAATGGAAACAACTATTAATGGAAAAATGTGGTTTAATCATCCTTTTATCATCATCTAATGCTTTTGAGTGAAAACTGTGGTAAGACAGGTTTAAATAAACATAGCCTAAAATAATGGAATCTTAGATTTTTTAGAGCATGAGTTGTTCTCACAAAACTTAGAACTATTTGAGGACAAGGACCATACATTACCCATTTTCACATCTTCATTATGCTTGGCATACAAAAGGTTTCCTATAGTATAAATTAACATGGAGTGTGGAGTATCAAAGGCCTGCATCACAACTTGGCCACTTACTAGTTTTATGATCTTGGGCCACTTGTCACCTCTAAGACTATTTCTCCTTCTGTAAAATGGGAGTAATAAAAATACCTTATGCGGTATTGCAAAGAGCTAATTAAAATAATATAAAGTGTCTGCATTGTGTACACCCAATAAATGCTAAATAATAAAGTCCACTTTCCCCAGTACCACCACCTTTTCTATCTCTGTCCAATTTTTATGAGCTTCCCAAGGGAAGGATCACTGTCTTTCACATGTATGCATCTTCAATACCTGGCAAAATACCTGCCATAAAGTTTGAACTGAGTAAATGTTGTGGAAAGACGGAAGTACACTTTAACAATGCTGAAGTTCATATACTTCTACCCAGTTTTAAAGGCAAATAATTATAATGCATAGAACTAATTCATTTCATTCTATCTTGAGGTCAAAGCTAGGAACTTATAATGTTGGCATCTTTGCTATACATAATGGTAATTTTTAAATAAGGTGGTTTAAAACGCATGCAAAATTTGACTTGCACACATTTGTAACACAGTATTATAAATCAAAGTGATCTCATTTGATGGACTAGTTATAATTTTTTTAAAAATAAAGTGAAAGCAAAATGATAAAGTGAAAGTAATACATTACTGACAAATAGAACAAACTAAGACATCCTTTAAAGGACTTAATTTGCTCTAAAAGATTAAGACTAGAAGACTTGCTAAAAGGTTTTCATTTTTGTGTTTACTGGAAATAATCCATCCATTTCAGAAATAAGTGGAACAGTTCAAGTCTAAAAAGCGATAAATCCCAAAACTATTTACTGATTATGCATTTTTGAGTATGAGTAACTACTCTGTCTTACTAACCTTGTGATTTGAGCCAACAGAAATTAATCACTCAGTAAAATGACATGTGTTATCACTGACTTTGCAAACAATCCTGTCAGTGGCAGACACCAATGTACACAATGAGTGAAAATGTTTGTTCTTGTAACAAAAGATTGATTTCATGCATATACATACATATATTATATGTAGATGCATATAAATAGACATCCAGGAATAAACTGAAAAGCGTTATTAATGAGAAGAATGCTGAATTTAACAGTTTTTCAAACACCTTTTTCTATTTTTATTCAATAACAGCTATTTTTCCCCCAAGTGGAGTTGGTTCATGGTTATACCACTTTAATAACTCTGGAGCATTTCATAATAAGTAAAAGAGATAAGAAAATTTTTAGTTACTGATGCAGAGAAATAATTTTGAACTAATAAAAAATCATCTCTGTTGGAAAAGCTGTGACTCTATAATGTGCTATCACATGTTGCCTTATAAACAGTTACCTATTTCATTTAGTAAACACATATCTACAGGTAATTGGAAGACATAAGCTTTGAAAGAATTAGTTTATTATTATAAGTAATGACAAATAGCATTGTTAATAACAATAAAAGTGACATCGATATAACATAAAATTAGGTTGCAAGTAGATTTTTAAAAGAACTTAAGAATTTGCTTTAAGATGATGCTTTTATATAAATCTTAATATTTTTCTTTTTATTCCAAAAGAAAAAAATTAAAATCTAGATCTAAACATGTTAATCACACCAAAACATAAATAACATAACTGGAAATCTTACAAAAATTCATAGATATTATCCCATAGTATGGATTCCATAATTTCATAAATTATAAATAGATAAAATTGATTTAAATAATAATACATGTAATTCTCAAGATCAATGACATTATTCCCTCTAAATCATCAACAATTGCAAGAACCAGATTTTGTTAATCTTTATGACATGATCTTTTTGCTTTCGGAGATGACAAGGATTTTAGGAGCTATGAGCCAGGAACCGTGGACAAAAACAAATATACATGTTACATAACACCAGAGGCCACGCTCTAGTTTTCAATCACGGGTCTGTTACATCAAAATAATATATATATAAAATCATTAATAATTAGTCCAGTCCATTATACTGGAGGGCACTCAGGTTTGCAGGTTTCCTTTCAACCTTGCTTATGACATGATCTTAAAGTACTGTGACAGGTTACAAGATAAATATTTTCAAGCAGCAAAACTGCTTCTGGCTCTTCTTTTTGATATTGATGTCACTAAGGTTTTTAGAAGTGTTTTTATCTTCCAATAGCCACCTAATACGACACTGAGTCAATTTAAAGAAATTATCTGTTGCTTTAAATATACTTCAGTAAGTAATACTGTTAAATGAAAATTAACATTCACTATTCAAATTCATTTTTTAAATACAATTAAATATAAAATGAATGTTTCAAATATGTAATATAAAGAATAGACTCCATAGGAGGCTTCTTTCCAAAAAATATAAAGAATATGTTTTGATCAAAGTCACAGATTACACTTCAATATAGCTGCCAGTAAACTGGTAGGAATGTATATGTCCTCTAAGAGATAAGTCATATGCCTTTTACAATTCTTTAATTATTTACCAGTCAGTGTATTTCCAGCATTGAATCTAAAAATCCTAAAACAAGTTATGCTATTATCAGTGTTCTAATTCCCTTAGTGGTCTAGACACATGTTATATAAATATTTAATTGCAATCACTCCATCAAAACTCTATGACAACTGAATTTCAGGATTCTAGTATCATTTTAAAAGAAATATTTGATCTTTTTTAAATCCTTATAAAAAAGATTCTGGTAGAGAGATGAGGCAGTGGTGCAATTCTCTGCCGAGCTGAGGAAGTAGCAAGATTCAGTGTTGTTTTTTGTGTTAACATGGCAGTCCTGTTACTGAAGCAAAGCTGCAGAAGTGCTGAAGCAACACAATAAACAAATCTACACACCCAAATTCCTTCTTCAGCCTGGAGGAAACATTACCATGGCTCAGAAATTTATCTCACATTAGAAACCCTTCTTAGGTACAAAGATAAGAGGTAACTAATAGATTCAAGTCTTGAGAGCTAGAGAAAAATAGTTTTAAAAATCAATCAGCAATTTAAGGAAAAATAAATACAGTAAAAAATTGCTTTCAAAAATAAACTAATTTCTTATGAATCTTTAAAATTTGCCTTTTTATATAATGCTCCGGGCTAAAAATTTAATAAGTCTAATTTAAATATTTCTTCTTAGAAATGTTCAGTAAACCTTGACAGGTTAGTGAAAACTACACTGAAGTGTTACAATAAATTACATCAACAGATATTTATAGACACCTGCTAAATGCAAGCCATTCAGTTAGTAGCTATATATAAACACAAACTGCCTACAACAAGTGGGAATAAGCAAGGTAGGTCAGCTCAAACTAAGAAAATTAAGTATGTGGGAGAATAGAAATAAATTGTTATTTTTATGCCATTAGGTAATGAGATGACTATCAGGCTCCAGTATACTAAATTAGACTACCATGGTATCATGAACAGGAAAACACTATGAAGAGTATTAAGAGCCCACTCAGTGCAATGTACTATTAAAACTAATAACCTAAAATAACAGTAATAAGACAACAATACTACTTTCAAGGATATGTCAATTGACATTAAATAATGTGCTAAAGAATTTAGTCTGCTGAACCTTATGATCACCAGACCAAAAGAATCAACTAATTATATTATTCAGGGAATATTTCGCTGAATATATATGCTATATTCCAGGCACTTTCCTAGACACCTGAAATACAGGAATAAATGAAGCAGGCAAAAATCCAAGCCCTTGTGATGCTTAAACATGTAGCGGAGGTAGGGGAAGAGAGTTTTAGCATGAAATAAGAAACAACAAATGATGTAGTATGTGAGAAAGTGATGAGTGTTAGAGAATAAGATAGACTTCCTAAGGGAAGTTAGGAAATCTAGGGCAAGGAACTTTCTATTTTAAATAGTGTGGTCAGGGTAGGTCTCATGAAGACAGCATTTAAGCCAAGTCTTCAAAGCCATGAGGAGGTTTAATGGGAAAAGAGGATTCCAGGCAAAGGGAATAGCCAGAGTAAATACCCACACTGGAGTAGGAACAGGCAGGTACTCAGCAGGCCTGTGGCAGGCTCCATGTATCAGGAGAAAATCCCATCAGCCATAATGACTATTTGCACTCAAAATTTATAAACCTCAACCTCCAATAGGATTTGAATACCAAGCAATTCTATTTTACTTTGCAGTCACTCCATTCACTCTCCCCATCCATTTCACAATGTCCTATCTTCTTTCTCCTTAAATGTTTAACGACCTCTCCCATTCTCCTTCAGTTGACGATCTTTCTTCCTAATTTCACCAAAAAAGAGAAAATCGAAGTAATTAAAAGAGAAATTCTACAAGCTCTAAGTCACACATTTACCTACCTCACCCATCTGCGCTCACAGACTGCCTTTTCTCCTGTTATGAATAAACTGCCTGTGCTCTTGCAAAGACTAACTTCTCTAACAATTTTTCCTTCTCTCTTCTGAATATAGTTTTATTTCTTAACTAGATCTTCCCAGCAGCATACAAACATGTTATTTCTTCTCTTGACCCCACTTACTTCTCTAGTTATGTGCTATTCCATTCTTCACAGCAAAATTCAAAAGAGCTGTCAGTACTTTGTGTCTACGTCCTCTCCTCTCATGCTTCAATCACAATTTCTGTCTCACCACGTCAGCAAAATTGCTCTTGCTAAGGTCATCATATATCCATGGTTACTAAATCCAGTAATCAATGCTAGGTCCTTGTTTTAATGAGCCTGTCATGAGCATTTGACAGTGTTGATCCCTCCCTCTTTGGTATTCTTGTTGGCTGCTAATATAAAGTACTCTTCTGGTTTCTGTCCTACCTAATTGTTCATCCACTCTTTCATAACCTCCGTTGCTAGTGCCCTCTTATACTACTTTCTTATCATTTCTATTTATACTTTTTCCTTTGGTAATCTCATCTAATCTACATGCTGATGGCTTTAAATTCTACCTACATGCTGATGACTCCAAAATGTATATACCTCCAGTCCAGTATTCTCCCCTCCTCCTTTATCCATCCACTTACCTAATCAATATCCTGCTTGCATCTCCAATAGATATCTTGACTTAATATGTCTGAAACTCAACTCTTGTTCTTCTTGACGAAATCATCTTCTGCCCACAGTCTTCCCAATCTCAATTTTAATTGAGACAAATACTTCCTTCCAGTTTCTCAGATGAGATAACATGGAATCATCCATGACTCTGCTTTCTCTCATCTTTATATCAAATCCTTCAGAATATCTATTGGCTTTATTTATAAAATAAACCCATATTCTGACCAAATCTCATCATATCTTCAATCAACAGTTCCACACTGCCATCAATTTCTCACCTAGATGACAGCAATAGTTTTCTAAATCTTCTTTCTCTCTGTTTCCACTTTTGGCCACCCCACAGGATACCGCTGAAGTGACACATATTCCAGGAAATCTACATTGACTATATTATTTTAAATTGTAATCCTACCCTCACCTCTGGTAGTCCCCATTTAACATACCCTGTTCTATCTACTTTCCCATAGTACTTCTGATCTTTGAAGATCAACATTAGTTTTAAATTATAATTTGTTATTAGAAATAAAAGTTTCACAAAGTCAGAGATTGTCTTCTTCTTCATTCTCTGATGTACCCCACACAAAACACTTCCTATTATACAATGGATACAGGCATATCTCATTTAATTGAACTTCACTTTACTGCACTTCAAAGACAGCTTTTACAAATTGAAGGTTTGTGGCAACCCTCCATTGAGCAAATCTGTCAGTGCCATTTTTCCAACAGCATCTGCTTACTTTGTGTCCCTGTGTCATATTTTGGAAACTCTTACAATATTTCAAACTTTTTCATTATAATCATATTAGAATTACAGGATTATATTATATGATTATAGTTGTTATGGTGATCTGTGATCAGTGATCTTTGATGTAACTATCATAATTGTTTTAGGGTGCCAGGAACCACCCCCACATAAGTCAGCAAGCTTAATTGATAAATGTTGTGTGTGTCCTGACTGCTCCACTGACTGGCTATTCTCCCATCTCTCTCCCTCTCCTCAGGCTTTCCTATTCCCTAATTAATAACCTTACAATGACCTCCACGCATCCAAGGGAAAAAGCTAAAAATGATGAAGCTTGTTGAGGAAGGCATGTCAAAAACTGAGACAGCCTGAAAGCCAGGCCTCTTGCACCAAGCAATTAGCCAAGTTGTGGATGCAAAGGAAAAGTTCTTGAAGGAAATGGAAAGTGCTACTGCAGTGCCCACACGAATGACAAGAAGGTGAAACAGCCTTATTGCTGAGATGGAGAACGTTTGAGTGGTCTAGATAGAAAAAGTCAAACGAGCCATGACATTCCCCTAAGCCAAAGACTAATCCAGAGCAAGGTCCTAACTCTCTTCAATTATATGAAGGGTGAGACATGTGAGAAAGCTGTAGGAGAAAATTATGAAGGTAGGAGACATTGGTTCATGAGATTTAGGGAAAGAAACCATCTCTACACATAAAAGTACATGGTAAAGCAGCAAATGCTGATGCAGAAGCTGTAGCAAGTTATCCAAAAGATCTAGCTAAGATTATTGATGAAAGTGGCTGAACAACACATTTCCCAATGAGGATGAAACAACCTTCTATTGGAAGAAGATATCATCCACGACATTCATAGCTAGAGAGGAGAAGTCAATGCCTGGCTTCAAGGCTTCAAAGCTTCAAAGGACAGGCCAACTCTCCAGTTAGGCGATAATGCAGCTGGTGACTTTAATTGAAGCCAATGCTCATTTGCCATTTAAAAAATCCTTGGGCCCTTACAAATTATGCTGAGTCTACTCTGCCTGTGCTCTATAAATAATACAAAGCCCAGATGACAATACATCTGCTTACACCATGTTTTACTGAACATTCTAAGCCCACTGTTGAGATCTGCTGCTCAGAAACAAAGACTCCTTTCAAAACATGACTGCTTACTGACAATGCACCTGGCCACCCAAGAAACTCTAATGAGATATAAAAGGAGATTAATGTTGTTTTCATGCCTGCTAAAACAATATTCATTCTGCAACCCATGGATCAAGGAGTAATTTTGACTTTCAAGTCTTATTATTTAAGAAATACATTTCATTAGGGCTACAGCTACCATAGGTAGTTATTCTTCCAATAAATCTGGGGAAAGTAAATTGAAAACCTTCTGGAAAGGATTCACCATTCTAGATATCATTAAGAACATTCATGATTCATAGGAAGAGGTCAAAACAGCAACATTAACAGGAGTTTGGAAAAAGTTGATTCCAACCAGCTCTCATGGATGACTTTAAGGGGTCCAAGACTTCTTCGAGGAAGTAACTGCAGATGTGATGGAAACAGCAAGCAAACTAGAATTCTAAGTGGAACCTGAATACGTGACTAAATTGCTGTAATATCATAATAAAACTTGAACAGATGAGGAGTTACTTCTTATGGATGAGGAAAGAAAGGAGTTTCATGAGATGAAATCTACTCCTGGTGAAGATGCTGTGAAGAGTGTTGACAATAATGAATTTAGAATATTACATAAACTTAGTTGATTAAGCAGCAGAAGGGTTTGAGAAGATTGACTCCAATTTTGAAAGAAGTTCTACTGTGGATAAAATGCTATCAAATAGCACCATATGCTACAAAGAAATCTCTCATGAAGGTAGGAGTCAATTGATGTGGCAAATTTCATTGCTGTCTTATTTTAAGAAAAAGACAACCACCCCAACCTTCTACAGCCACCTCCCTAATCTGTCAGCAGCCATCAATACTGAGGCAAGAACCTCCACCAGCAAAAAAAAAAAAAAAAAAAAAAAAAGATGATTTGTTAAAAGCTCAGATTATCATTACCATATTTTAGTAATAAAGTATTTTTCAATTAAGGTATGTACATTTTTTAGACACAATGCTATTGCACACTTAATAGACTATAGGACAGTATAAACCTAATGTTTATATGCACTGGGAAACAAAAAACTTTGTGTAATTCACTTTATTGCAATATTCACTTTATTGTAGTGGTCTGGAACTGAACCCACACTATCTCTGAGCTATGAGTAAAGAATACTTAAAAAGTGTTTCTTAAATTTTAGTGTTCTTACTTTTTATGGCATTTCATTAATAATGTATATTTCTGGGCTTTAATCCAGGCCTCTTTAATCATTAGTTTTGAAGGTGAGACTCAAGAATATGCATGTTTAACAGGCTCTCCAGGTAAGTCAGTCTTACCATAAGAGAGCAAGCAGTCTGAGACTACACTCTGAGAAACACTATTTAGGATATTGAAATCAGTTAACAAGAGATGCTGGGAGAAAAAGTATCCTTTATCCTGATAAACTGTCTCCTCTTGTACATTTCTTCTGTCATTATGTCTCTATATTCCCCCATGTCACATTACATTTTATCATTTTTTCATGTTATAAAATACATGCTTGATGCAATTACCATCTCCTATCTATTCATAACTCAAATCTTTCTTAACACTCCAAAACTGTTGAATCTTCATTTACTAGTAATACAAGTGCTGACATTAGCTATAGATTACATACCATGAATCACTATCATGAAAAAGAATAATAGGAAAATGTAGAAATCTGTAACAATTTTTTATGTTAAAAGCTTTTAAATATCTTCTGAAAATCTGTAGCTAACATAAAAGGAAATATTTCACTTTGGTCCCACTCCTTTTATTCAACATCTTATTATGTCAGGGAAAGTAGATCACAGCACAAAACAGAGCAAGTGCTCAGGATCTCATAGAATTTCCACTTCTACATGCTACACCACTATGTGACTCCAAGTTTAAAATTGTAGATATCATTTTATTTAAAATACAGTAACACTTTACTCCTATAATTTTCTTTTTTTTCTTTCTTTTTTTTTTCTTTTATTTTATTATTATTATACTTTAAGTTTTAGGGTACATGTGCACAATGTGCAGGTTAGTTACATATGCATACAAGTGCCATGCTGGTGTGCTGCACCCATTAACTCGTCATTTAGCATTAGGTATATCTCCTAAAGCTATCCCTCCTCCCTCCCCCCACCCCACAACAGTCCCCAGAGTGTGATGTTCCCCTTCCTGTGTCCATGTGTTCTCACTGTTCAATTCCCACCTATGAGTGAGAATATGCAGTGTTTGGTTTTTTGTTCTTGCGATAGTTTACTGAGAATGATGGTTTCCAATTTCATCCATGTCCCTACAAAGGACATGAACTCATCATTTTTTATGGCTGCATAGTATTCCATGGTGTATATGTGCCACATTTTCTTAATCCAGTCTATCATTGTTGGACATTTGGGTTGGTTCCAAGTCTTTGCTATTGTGAATAGTGCCGCAATAAACATATGTGTGCATGTGTCTTTATAGCAGCATGATTTATAGTCCTTTGGGTATATACCCAGTAATGGGATGGCTGGGTCAAATGGTATGTCTAGTTCTAGATCCCTGAGGAATCGCCACACTGACTTCCACAAGGGTTGAACTAGTTTACAGTCCCACCAACAGTGTAAAAGTATTCCTATTTCTCCACATCCTCTCCAGCACCTGTTGTTTCCTGACTTTTTAATGATTGCCATTCTAACTGGTGTGAGATGGTATCTCATTGTGGTTTTTATTTGCATTTCTCTGATGGCCAGTGATGGTGAGCAATTTTTCATGTGTTTTTTGGCTGCATAAATGTCTTCTTTTGAGAAGTGTCTGTTCATGTCCTTTGCCCACTTTTTGATGGGGTTGTTTGTTTTTTTCTTGTAAATTTGTTTGAGTTCATTGTAGATTCTGGATATTAGCCCTTTGTCAGATGAATAGGTTGCAAAAATTTTCTGGTACCAAAACAGAGATATAGATCAATGGAACAGAACAGAGCCCTCAGAAATAATGCCGCATATCTACAACTCCTATAATTTTCATACAGCTCTTAGATAAGTTTCATTATATTAATTTTCATAAACTCCTCATCTACTAAAACTGTCAAAATATTTTCATGCATATTCCTTATAATAGGGAATCACTCATCAACTTTTCATTTATTTATTTAATAAACTTAAATGCCTATTATGTATTAGCTATTAGGATACAAAAACACTTAAAGCATGAACCTTGTTTTTACAGAGTCTACAACACAAGAAGGAGCCAAACAAACCAACAAATATCATATGGTGCTAAAAGAAGGGAAATTCATAGAAGTATGAGAGGTAAAAAAAAAAAATTCCTGGAAAAGGTGTATCTGAGCTTGGTCTTAAAGAAAGAATAGACTGAGTTGTGGAATGTAAAATGGAGAGAGGATATTCAAAGCAGAGAAAACAAGAACAACAAGTATATGTGCATTTCTTCATTCATTTATTCCTAGAGGGACAGTAAATCATAAAGACTAATGACAGTAAATAAAGACAGAAATAGTGACAGTAAATAAAGATTAGAACAGAACTAAATGAAATAGAAACTAGAAAGGCAATAGAAACGATCAATGAAACTGAACATTAGATTCTGAAAAATTAAACTGACAAACCTTTAGCTGGTCTAACTAAAGAAAAAAATAAAGAAGCCTCAAATAAGTAAAATTGGAAATGGAAGAGGACACAGTTCAACTGATACTACAGAAATATAAAGAATCATAAGAGTCTACTATAATCAACAATTATACACCAACAAATTGAATAACCCAGAAGAAATGAATAAATTCCTAGATACAACCTATCAAAACTGAATTATTAACAAATAATGAAATAATGAACAAGGAGACTGAATCAGTAGTCAAAAATCTTCCATCAAAGAAAACCCCAGACCTGATGACTCCACTGCTGAATTGTAACAAACATTTAAAGAATACCAATCCTCAAACTCTTCAAAAAAACTGAAAAGAAGAGAATATTTCCAAAGTTATTTTATGTGGCCAGCATTACTCTCACACCAAAGCCAGACAAGGAGACTCCAAAAAGAAAGCGAATTACATCCAATGTCCCTTAAACATAGATGCAAAAATCTTCAACAAAATACTAGCAAACCAAATTCAACAGTGTTTTAAAAGGATTATCCCTGGAATGCAAGGATGGTTCAACATTCACAAATCAATAAATGTGATATACTACATTAACAGAATAAACGGCAAAAACCTTATGATCACATCAACAGATGCACAAAGGCATTTGACAAAAATCAACACTCATGATGAAAACACTTAACAAATTATGTATAAAATAATTTATCTCACCACAATAAAAGGAAAAATATAACAAGTTCACAGCTAATATAATAGTCAATGGTAAAAAGCTAAGATAAGGAACAAGACAAGAGTTCTCATTCTCACCATTTCTTTTAAACACAGAAGTAGAAATCCTAGTTAGAGCAATTCATGAGGAAATAGAAATAAAAGGCATCCAAACTGGGGAGATGAGGGGAGGGAGGGAAGGAAGGAAGGAAGGAAGGGACGGAGGGAAGGCAGGCAGGGAGGGAGGGAAGGAGGGAGGGAGGGAAATTGTTTGCTCATGGCATATTACATGCGGAAAACTCTAAAGACTTGAGCAAAAAAACTGTTGGAACTAATAAGCAAAATCAGTAATGTAGCAAGATACACAATCAACGTATTAAAAAGTAGCATTTGTATACATTAATAACTATCCAAAAAGAAAGCAAGAAAATAATTAAATTTACAATAGCATAAAAAAATACTTGGGAATAAAATTAACCAAAGAAGTGAAAGACCTATACAATGAAAGCTATAACACTAATAAAAGAAACTGAAAATGACAAAATATATAGAAAAATATTCCATGTTCATGTGTTCATGGATGGAAGAATTAGCATTGCTAAACTATCCATACTACCCAAAGGGATCTACAGTTCAACGTAATTCCTACCAAGGTTCCAATGATATTTTTCTCAGAAATATAAAAATCAATCCTAAAATTCATATGGAACCACAAAAGACCTCAAATAGACAAAACAATCTTGAATAAAAGGAGCAAAGCTGGAGACATCACATTATCTGATCTCAAAATATACTATGAAGCCATAATAACCAAAATGGCATGGTACTAGCATAAAAACAGATATACAGACATATGAAATAGAATAGAAAACCCAAAAATAAATCCATACATTTCCCATCAACTGATCTTCAACTAAGGTGCTAAGAACACAAAATGGAGAAGGACATCCATGTGCAGAAGAATAAAATAGGGCACTTATCTCAGATTATATATAAAAATCAATTCAAAATGGATTTATAAACATAAGACCTGAAACCATAAAACTACAAGAAGAAAACACAGGGGAAAAGCTTCTCAACACTGGTCTGAGCAAAGATTTTTTGGATCATGACTTCAAAAGCACAGGCAACGAAAGCAAAAATAGACAAATATGATTACACAAAGGAAATAACAGAGTGAAGAGACAATCTCTGCAATGGGAGAAAATATTTGTAAATTATATCTGATAAGGAATTGATATCCAAAATATATAAAGAACTCAAACAAATTAATAAGAAAATAAATAACCCAATTAAAAATGGGCAAAATATTTGGAAAAAAAACATTGATCATAAGAAGACATACAAATGGCCAACAGTGAAAAAATGTTCAACATCACTAATCATCAGAGAAATGCAAATTAAAACCACAGTGAGACATCATGTCATACCTGTTAGGATTTTTATTATCAAAAAGACAAGAGGTAAGTTTTGGCCAGGATGTGGAGAAAAGCTAACCCTTGTACCTTACTGGTGGGAATGTAAATTAGTATAACCATTATGGAAAACAGTATGGAAGTTTCTCAAAAAACCAAAAATAGAACTATTATATGATCCAGCAATTCTGCTTCTAGGAATATATCCAAAGGAAATGAAATCAGTATGCTGAAGATCTATCTGCATTACATGTTCAATACAGCATTACTCAACAATAACAAATATATGAATCAACCTAACTGTCCATGAATGGATGAATACAAAAAGAAAATGTGGTATACACACACACACACACACACACACACACACACAATGGAACACTATTAACCCTTTATAAAGAAGAAAATCCTGTCAACTGCAACAACATGATTCAATCTGGAGGACATTATGCTAAGTAAAATAAGCCAGGCATCAAAAGACAAATAGTACATGATTTCACTAAAAAAGTCAAACTCAGAGAAGCAGAGAACAGAATGGTAGTTACCAGGGGTTGGGGTAAAGCAGACAAAATTTTAATTAGACAAGAGGAATAACAAGTTCAGGAATTCTATTGTTCAACATGGAGAGTACAGTTAATAACTATAATGTATAGTTAGTAACTATGTATTAAATACTTGAAGATTGCTAGGAGAGTAGATTTTAAACGTTCTCGCCACAAAAAATGTTAATTACATGAGTTAACTGATATGTTACTTAGCTTGATTTAGTCATTCCACAATCAAAATTGATGTTAATTAATTTAGCCATTCTATAATCAAATTCCAATATCAGAACATCATGTTATATATCATAAATATATACAATTTTTATTTGTCAAAAAAATAATGGCCAGGCACACTGGTTCATGCCTGTAACCCCAAACCACTAGGAGGCTGAGGTGAGAGGATCACCTGAGATCAGGAGATCAAGAATAGCCTAGGCAACATAGCAAGATCCCATATCTCCAAAAAAAAAAAAAAATTTAAACCAGGCTATACCATGGTTACTGAATTTTCCTTATGTGACATAGGAATTTATCTCCAAAGAAGTACTGAAGATTAGCTGAGAATGATCTCCCCTCTCCAAAACTACATGGGATTTATTTTATCAAATAATAAGTACTCAGATGTTTCCTCACAATAACAATATAGTTATCCAAGGCCCACCAGAGACTTTCGAAATAAATTTTTATTCAATTACCTGGTAAGAATAATCTTAAGAAACAAAACTAAGATTTTTCAATTTATGTCAATAAAATTACATAAACATTTGATAGAACTGAGGGCATGTTTACAAAATGGAATGGTGATTTTATTAGAGGTGGATGATCTTGAGGATTTTTACCCTAATATTATAATTTATACACTTTAGTGAATGTACTATGTTATCTTAGTGTTCTCTTTTGGTCATAAAGAGGTTACCTTTAATGAAACAGAAATCTCCCTATGTCCCTAATCTTAGAGTCTTTACTTATTATTTATGGTTGTTATCACTGTAATAAGCAAATATTTGAGTATTCAAAATCGCTTTTTATGTGTAATAATAAAAAACATGTTAAGGAGAGATTTGACTGAAATTTATTTAGCACCCAACATTGACAAGGTCCTATGCAAGAAACTGGATATATAGAATGCAATCATAAATGGTCCCAGTATTAGAAAGGTTCATAACCTATTGAGAAAATTGATATGTAAATGAATAAGACAGTTATTTAAAATGTCAATATAAAAAGACATATATGAACATTATCTCTGATTTCTTATTTCTCTCTACTCTAACCCATAAGTAAGAGTTGACAATTCTACCTCTCAAACAAACAAATTCTGTCCTGCTTCACTCCATCTTGTTTACTACCACCATCACTTCTCTCCTGGACAACTGAAAAAGCCTCATAATTGGACTTTTGCCACCTCTCTCTCCTCTAACATATTTTCACATGGTAATCTGGGCAACCTTTACAAAATACAGATCAGATCCAATCATGTGCCAGCTAAAACTTCCCTACAGCATACTGTTCCATTTAGAATAAAAGGTAAACTCCTTATGCCTTCAAAGCCTTGTATGATCTGTCCCTTTTATGCCATTCTAACCTCATTTAGTACAACTCTTTTCCATGCCCACATTTCATTTATTCGGATCTTAGAAAATGCCAAGTTCTTTCCCTCCTTTAGGTCTTTGTAACAATTCTCTCTACCTGTAACCATGTTCTTCTTTTCATATCTCAAAACTGATTCCTTCTTTAGACGTAGCTTAAATATCACCTTTTCAGTAGTGCCTTTTCTAGTCACTCAATCTAAATTGGCCATCCAGTCAATGTCTCATATACTCTGAACTTTTTGCTCACTGATATTTTTCTTATTTGCTGTTTGTTTGTTAACCCATTTCCTTCACTAGAAATATCAGCTTCATAACAGAAGGCTACACATCTCTGAATCTCAAGTGCTTGGAGTAGCAGCACCTGACACAAAATAAATAATCCATATGTAATTGTTAGAGTGAATAAACAAATAAAATGTGTTCAAACTAATAGACACACAGAAAAAAGAGTACAGACTTAGTGACAGGGAGGGACACTCAGGGAAGACTTTAGAGAGGTGAAAATACATATTAAAAAGAGAAATTACAATAACATGGGATAAATGCTACAAGTGAGATATGAATAAAAATCTAAAGGAGGGATCAGTTCCAAGATGGCCAAATAGGAACAGCTCTGGTCTGCAGCTCCCAGTGTGATCGATGCAGAAGACAGGTGATTTCTGCATTTCCGATTGAGGTACATGGTTCATCTCATTGGGACTGGTTGGGCAGTGGGTACAGCCCACAGAGGGCAAGCCAAAGCAGGGTGGGGCATCGCCGCACCCGGGAAGCACAAGGGGTTGGGGGATTTCCCTTTCCTAGCCAAGGGAAATCGTGACAGACTGTACCTGGAAAAACGGGACATTTCTGCCCAAATACTGCGCTTTTCCCATGGTCTTAGCAATCAGCAGACCAGGAGAGTCTCTTCTGTGCCTGGCTCAGTGGGTCCCACGCCCACAGAGCCTTGCTCACTGCTACCGCAGCAGTCTGAGATTGACCTGTGAGGCAGCAGCCTGGTGAGGAGAGGGGCGTCCGCCATTGCTGAGGCTTGAGTAGGTAAATAAAGGGGCCGGGAAGCTCGAACTGGGCGGAGGCCACTGCAGCTCAGCAAGGCCTACTGCCTCTATAGACTCCACCTCTGTGGGCAGGGAATAGCTGAACAACAGGCAGCAGAAACTTCTGCAGACTTAAACATCCCTGACAGCTCTGAAGGGAGCAGTGGTTCTCCCAGCATGACATTTGAGCTCTGAGAATGGACAGACTGCCTCCTCAAGCAGGTGCCTGACTCCCTGTAGCCTAACTGGGAGACACCTCCCAGTAGGGGCTAACAGACACCTCATACAGGCAGGTACCCCGCTGGGACGAAGCTTCCAGAGGAAGATCAGGCAGCAATATTTACTGTTCTGCAGCCTCCACTGTTGATACTCAGGCAAACAGGCTCTGGAGTAGACCTCCAGCAAACTCCAACCGACCTGCAGCTGAGGGACCTGACTGTTAGAAGGAAAACTAACAAACAGAAAGGAACAGCATCAACATCAACAAAAAGGACATCCACACCAAAACCCCATCTGTAGGCAAGCAACATCAAAGACCAAAGGTAGTATTCTCTGACGGTAGTTTGAATTTCTGTGGGATCGGTGGTGATATCCCCTTTATCATTTTTTATTGCGTCTATTTGATTCTTCTCTCTTTTTTTCTTTATTAGTCTTGCTAGCGGTCTATCAATTTTGTTGATCCTTTCAAAAAACCAGCTCCTGGATTCATTAATTTTTTGAAGGGTTTTTTTGGTCTCTATTTCCTTCAGTTCTGCCCTGATTTTAGTTGTTTCTTGCCTTCTGCTAGCTTTTGAATGTGTTTGCTCTTGCTTTTCTAGTTCTTTTAATTGTGATGTTAGGGTGTCAATTTTGGATCTTTCCTGCTTTCTCTTGTGGGTATTTAGTGCTATAAATTTCCCTCTACACACTGCTTTGAATGTGTCCCAGAGATTCTGGTATGTTGTGTCTTTGTTCTCGTTGGTTTCAAAGAACATCTTTATTTCTGCCTTCATTTCGTTATGTACCAGGAAGAAGTTGAATCTCTGAATAGACCAATAACAGGCTCTGAAATTGTGGCAATAATCAATAGCTTACCAACCAAAAAGAGTCCAGGACCAGACGGATTCACAGCCAAATTCTACCAGAGGCACAAAGAGAGCTGGCACCATTCCTTCTGAAACTATTACAATCAATAGAAAAAGAGGGAATCCTCCCTAACTCATTTTATGAGGCCAGTATCGTCTGGATACCAAAGCCTGGCAAAGACACAACAAAAAAAGAGAATTTTAGGCCAATATTTCTGACAAACATTGATGCGAAAATCCTCAATAAAATACTGGCAAACTGAATCCAGCAGCACATCAAAAAGCTTATCCACCACTATCAAGTCGGCTTCATCCCTGGGATGCAGGGCTGGTTTAATATACGCAAATCAATAAATGTAATCCATCACATAAACAGAACCAATGAGAGAAACCACATGATCATCTCAATAGATGCAGAAAAGGCCTCTGGCAAAATTCAACATCCCTTCATGCTAAAAACTCGCAATAAGGTATTGATGGAACATATCTCAAAATAATAAGAGCTATTTATGACAAACCCACAGCCAATATCGTACTGAATGGGCAAAAACTGGAAGCATTCCCTCTGAAAACCAGTACAAGACAAGGATGCCCTCTCTCCTATTCAACATAGTGTTGGTAGTTCTGGCCAGGGCTATCAGGCAAGAGAAAGAAATAAAGTGTATTCAATTAGGAAAAGAGGAAGTCAAATTGTCCCTATTTGCAGATGACATGATTGTCTATTTAGAAAACCCCATCATCTCAGCCCAAAATCTCCTTAAGCTGATAAGCAACTTCAGCAAAGTCTCAGGATACAAAATCAGTGTGCAAAAATCACAAGCATTCCTGTACACCAATAACAGACAATCGGAGAGCCAAATCATGAGTGAACTCCCATTCGCAATTGCTACAAAGAGAATAAAATACCTAGGAATCCAACTTACAAGGGATGTGAAGGACCTCTTCAAGGAGAACTACAAACCACTGCTCAACAAAATAAAAGAGGACACAAACAAATGGAAGAACATTCCACATTCATGGATAGGAAGACTCAATATTTTGAAAATGGCCATACTGCCCAAGGTAATTTATAGATTCAATGCCATCCCCATGAAGCTACCAATGACTTTCTTCACAGAATTGGAAAAAACTACTTTAAAGTTCATATGGAACCAAAAAAGAGCGCGCATTGCCAAGACAATCCTAAGCAAAAAGAACAAAGCTGGAGGCATCACGCTACCTAACTTCAAACTATACTACAAGGCTACAGTAACCAAAACAGCATGGTACTGGTACCAAAACAGAGATATAGGCCAATGGAACAGAACAGAGCCCTCAGAAATAACACCACACAACTACAACCATCTGATCTTTGACAAATCTGACAAAAACAAGAAATGGGGAAAGGATTCCCGATTTAATAAATGGTGCTGGGAAAACTGGTTAGCCATATGTAAAAAGCTGAAACTGGATCCCTTCCTTACACCTTGTACAAAAATTAATTCAAGATGGATTAAAGACTTAAATGCTAGACCTAAAACCATAAAAACCCTAGAAAACCTAGGCAATACCATTCAGGACATAGGCATGGGCAAGGACTTCATGACTAAAACACCAAAAGCAATGGCAACAAAAGCCAAAATAGACAAATGGGATCTAATTCAACTACACAGCTTCCGCATGGCAAAAGAAACTACCATCAGAGTGAACAGGCAACCTACAGAATGGGAAAAATTTTTTGCCATCTACCCATCTGACAAAGGGATAATACCCAGGATCTACAAAGAACTTAAACAAATTTACAAGAAAAAAAAAAACCATTAAAAAGTGGGAAAAGCATAGGAACAGACGCTTCTCAAAAGACATTTATGCTGCCAACAGACATATGAAAAAAGGGTCATCATCACTGGTCATCAGAGAAATGCAAATCAAAACCACAATGAGATACCATCTCATGCCATTTAGAATGGTGATCATTAAAAAGGTAAGAAACAACAGATGCTGGAGAGAATGTGGAGAAATAGAAAAGCTTTTACACTGTTGGTGGGAGTATAAATTAGTTCAACCATTGTGGAAAAAAGTGTGAGGATTCCTCAAGGATCTAGAACTAGAAATACCATTTGATCCAGCGATCCCATTACTGGGTATTTACCCAAAGGATTATAAATTATGCTACCATAAAGACATATGCACATGTATGTTTATTGCGGCACCATTCACAATAGCAAAGACTTGGAAACAACCCAAATGTCCATCAATGATAGACTGGATTAAGAAAATGTGGCACATATACGTCATGGAATACTATGCAGCCATAAAAAAGGATGAGTTCATGTCCTTTGCAGGGACATGGATGAAGCTGGAAACCATCACTCTCAGCAAACTATCACAAGGACAGAAAACCAAACATTGCATGTTCTCACTCATAGGTAGGAACTGAACAATGAGAACACTTGGACACAGGGCGGGAACATCACACACCAGGGCCTGTTGGCAGGTAGGGGCCTGGGGGAGGGATAGCATTAGGAGAAATACCTAATGTAAATAATGAGTTAATGGGTGCAGCAAACCAACATGGCACATGTATACCTATGTAACAAACCTGCACATTGTGCACATGTACCCTAGAACCTAAAGTATAATTTAAAAAGAAAACAGAAAAAGAAAAAGAAAAAAAAATCTAAAGAATAGAAAAGACAGAATGATCAATGTAAGAGTTGACGTTTGAAGAGGCTATGGCGGAATGACAGGAAGCATATTAATACTGATGGTGTAGTATGGCATAGACAAAACCTGACATTGTGAAATGTATGTGTGAAGGAACATTCAATGTGATTGCATATTACATTAGAATAGGAAATTGGAAAGGATTTGGAGCCCAAAGAGGCACCAAGCACCTTATATAGTGTGATACTCCATGAAAGTGGCAGAACCAGGATACAAATCCGGATCTACTGGATTCCAAGCCAATATTCTTCACAGGGGTACAGACCTGCCATTAGTGACACTCAATGGTGTGACCAAGAACACAAAGCCAAAGGATGTATGTGGTATATTTAACTGAAATTTTAGTTTTATTTTAATATGAAGGTAAGAAGAGGGTAATACAACCAGTATTTAAAATGTTTTCACTTTAAAATAAACACTGCTATGTTGTGATATAGAATGTACAACATGTATAAATGTTTTGGAAAAATGCAGAATGCTTCCTAAACTGTGCCTGTCAGTGGGCTTCTACAGCCACCCCCTTATACTCTTTAAAAATATGTATTCTCTTCTGCCATGGGGGGCACTTTTTTGGATAGAAAAGTTTGAGAAATACACATTTTTATTACTCAATGAAAGGTAGAAAAGGTTTTGGGGGAACATTAAAAAAGAGTTTTCCAATTTGAATCTTTATCATTTTCCTCCCTGATAAGAGTTAGAATTTGGGCAAGCAGAATTATTTTGAATATCTATTTAAATATATGTGAGTTCCTTCACTATTAAATAAGTTTCCTAACAGTAATCTAGATTATCAGTTAAAAAGGCCTATATTCATGGAGAGCCCGTAAGTTTATAGTTCTAGATGAGGCTCTTGGATTGACACACTAAATTCAATCAGACTGCATGAATAAATAAAATGTGTTTAAAGTAATATAGGCACAGAAAAAAAGGAGTACAGACTTAGTGAGGGGGAGGGACACTCAGGGAAGACTTTAGAGAGATGAAGTCAATATAAAAAAGATAAATTACAATAACATGGGATAAATTCTATAACTCAGACATGAACAGAGCTCTAAAGGAATAGAAAAGATGAGATGATTGACCTAAGGGTTGACATTCAAACTATTATAGCCACTTGCCATAGCTACATTGCGGTATAGAATATACAATGTATAAATGTTTTGGAAAAATGCAGAATGCTTCCTAAAATGTGCTTATCAGTGAGCTCATACAGCCACCCCCCATACTCTTTAAAAAATGCATTCTCTTCTGCCATGGGGGGCACTCTGTTGGATAGAAAAGTTTGAGAAATACACATTTATATTACTATATGAATGGTAGGAGAGGTTTTGGGGGAAAGGTTTGGTTTTGCCGTGGTCCTTAGCCATGGTGAATGTATGGTAAGATGAGCAGAAAAAACTTCAGTTCCAGGGGCCTTAATAACAAGCAATGTACAGAAGAAAATAATTTCCTTCATTGTATCAGTATGAGATAAAAGTAAGAGACCTGAAAATAATGGCTTAAGTCTTTGTAAAGCTGCTAGCTAAAGAAAGACGGTAATGTCAGAGTTGTGGATTTAAGGAACTGTTTCTGGGATTCCTTCCAAATCCATTACCTGAAGAGAAATTCATACAAATGGAACCCACTATCATCCATCTAAGCTATGTTTATTTCAAAGTATCATGGAATGTTAGAGATGAGAGGTATCTCAAACTCAGTGATCTTTTACTCTAACTCATGTTACAATGCAGAAACTGAGACCAAAAGAGGTTAAGAAGTCAACTGTCAATGAAAATACAGCCTATTACTGGATGACGTATAAACATTAAAAATATATATGTTTTAACACAATACTTTAATTAAATATTAACAGTTTAAATAATAATAATAAAGCAAGGATAGTTGGTAGCTTCTGCTTTGTTGACTGAAAGAAGGAGTGTCCAGGGGAGGGGAAGATTTTGATCAAAGGATACAAAGTTTCAGTTAGACAAGAGAAATAGGTTTTTGAGATCTACTGCATGGTACAGTGACCACAGTTAATACTAATGTATTGTACATTTCAAAATTGCTAAAAGAGTAGGGTTTTTGTTTTTGTTGTTGTTGTTGTTGTTGTTTCTTTGAGATGGAGTCTTGCTCTGTTGCCCAGGCTGGAGTGCACTGGCACAATCTCAGCTCACTGCAACCTCTGTCTCCCAGGTTCAAGCTATTCTCCTGCTTCAGCCTCCAGTGTAGCTGGGATTACAGGCGTGTGACACCTTGCCTGGCTAATTTTTGTATTTTTATTAGAGACGGGGTTTCACCATGTTGGCCAGGTTGGTCTCAAACTCCTGACCTCAGGTGATCCACCCCCATCAGCCTCACAAAGTGCTGGGATCACCAGCATGAGCCACTGTGCCCGGCCTAAAAAAGTAGATTATAAATGTTCTCAGCATTCTAAAAAATGTGAGGTGATAGATATGTTAATTAGCTTGATATAATCATTCTACAATGTGTATGTGTGTATCAAAACATCACATTGTACCCCATAAACACACACTATTGTCAATTAAAATTTTTAAAAAATAAAATACAACAAAAATTATACAATTGAAATATTTTTAAAATGATAAGTAAACTAGGAGAACACTGTCTTTCCTTATACCTATGTAACAAACCTGCACGTTGTGCACATGTACCCTAAAACTTAAAGTATAATACAAAAAAAAAAAGTCCCTCCCTTTAAGGGACCTCCCTAGTTAGCCTCACATAGTAGCTAGAACTACAGGTGTGCACCACACATCCAGCTAATTTTTGTATTTTTTGTAGAAACAGGGTTTCACTATGCTGCCCAGGCTGGTTAGACCTCTTTTAAAGGCTTTCCGAGTGATTCAGATAGGTCCACCAATTAGATTATCTAGAATAGCTTTCCAAGTGATTCAGATAGGTCCACCAATTAGATTATCTAGAATAATCTTCTTTATTTATAGTCAAATGATTAGGAGTTTTAATTTTATCTTTAAAATCCTTTCATAGCAAAACCTAAATTACTGTTTGATGGAATAATTGGGGATGGTAGCCTAGCCAAGTGGACACATTAATGAAACCAACACGAGGGGGGCAAACTCAGTTTTTGTTGGGAAATGTCCTCATGTCACTCATAATTAAAAGGTGTTTTGTTTGGCATAGAATTCTATGTATTTTTTCTCAACACACTGAAGATATCATGCCAGTATCTTCTAGATTCCATTGTTGCTGCTGTGAAGTAAGCTGTCAATATATTGCTCCTTTGAAGGTAATCTTTTTTCTCCTATTTAAATAAATTTCCATTTTGTTTAGTGTTTTATAGCTTTGGATGTATGAATATACACTGTGTGTGGGCATAGATTCTTTCTTCTTTATTCAGTTTGGATGTTAAGACTTTATAAATTTGTAAATTTATGAAGTGTATTTTCATTGGTTCTGGCACTATCCTTTCAACTACTGTCTCTGTTCCATTTTCTGTCCTCACCTATTAGAACTGACTATATGAATTTAAGGACATTCTTAGTCTACCCTCTATGTCTATCAACTTCCTATATTTTCCATTTCTGTCTTTCCATACCACATTTTGTATAACTTCTTTTTCAAATATATCTTCAGCTTAGCAAACCTCTCTTCACTTAGATTTGATCTGCAATTACACACATCAACTTATTTAATTTCAATTATTACATGCTTCCTTAACAGAAGTTTATTTGCTACCTTTTTGAAATTGGCTTTGCACTCTTTGAAGTTTTTCTTCTCTGAACATTTTAAGGCTTGTTTCTTCTTTCAACATGTTAAACATGGCTATTTTCATATTCTATTTCTGATAATTCCAATACTTAAAGTCTTTGCAAGTCAGTTTCATCTGTTGTTTCTGCTAGCTCTCATTTATAATTTCTTTCATTGTATTTTTAATAATTTTTCTTTCTTTTCTTTCTTTCTTTTTTTTTTTTTTTTTTTTTTGAGATAAGAGTCTCACTCTGTCGCCCAGGCTGGAGTGCAGTGGTGCAATCTCAGTCACTGCAAGCTCCTCCTCCCAGGTACATGCCATTTTCCTGCTTCAGCCTCCCAAGTAGCTGGGATTACATGCACCTGCCACCACGCCCAGCTAATTTTTTTTTTTTTTTTTTTTTAGTAGAGACAGGGTTTCACCGTATTAGCCAGGATGGTCTCGATCTCCTGACCTCATGATCCACCCGTCTCGGTCTCCCAGAGTGCTGGGATTACAGGTACCTGTTGCTAGGATCTAATAATTTTCTCCTGTGAGTCACTGCGCCTGGCCCTTTTAATAATTTTTAACAGCAAAATTTCCTTTTGGAATTTTAGCTGGAAGAATTATTTGATGCCTGGCTGAAGGTGATTTCCTGAAGAGGGAATATATGTTTGCCTCTTCCTGAGGTCTGGGGGCACTAACATTTAGGGTCCTTTAAATTTCGTTTGAGTTTTGTCAGCCAAAATCAGAAAATATTAATTCAGGCTGCAAATTTCTGTGCAGACTGACATGTGGTTATTTCTTAACAGCATTTTTCCCTTCCCTCTACCCAGCACTAATGCTTTGGATGTATGAGTTTCCTTACAGATCCCCAGGAAACTGACTGAGAAAGTAAACACCTTTATTTCTAGTTTACCTGTACATTAAGTCTTCTCAGAATTACAGGAACTGGGTCTCCTATTACACTTCTCATCTTGTAAAGTGAGCACTAGGCTTTGTCTCCTGTACTGTCTCAACATAAGGAGTTCTTTAAATATTACGTTTTAAATTGTAGTATGTAGGTTATTTATGGATCCTACCCTGCCATATTATCAGAAATAAAACTTCACTTTAACTCTTTCCTTAAAATTATATGCTGCTCTCCTGGGTCAGAGTCCTCTCAAATTTGAAGCATAAGTTGTTCTAAGAGATAACCTGAATAATTCTAGACCTATAATGGATCACAAAGTCATAGTCATAAATCTTTTGTACCTAATAAATATTTTTATATTTTTTCAGCCATATGAGTAGTATCTTTGAGGATTCATCTGTGTTAGTTTTTTACCAATTGACTCTTCTTTTAGAAGTTTGTGAAACTCTGTCAACGAGAATCTTTTCAATCCTTTCAGGGCTATCTTCACGTATCACTTTTTTAAGAATCATGAGCATATCAAGTTCTAGAAGACAGCCAATTTGTGCAAGTAAGACTATCCACATTGTCCACATAATTAGTTCTTTGGTTGACCATTTTCATATTTTACATTTAACGTCCTTGAACAAACTGTATTTTTTAAAAGTCCTACACAGATATGTATTTTGTTAATGTAATTTCTCTAAGAATGAGGCAGACATTAAGATTTGCTGAGCATCAACAAGGCACCATGCATTGTGCTGAGAGTGTACATGTGTTAATTCACATAAACCTTATAATAATCCTGTGAGGTAGGTGGTAATATTTCTATTTTAAAGAAAAAGAAATATGTACTCATGTAAAACAGATATTCTGCGATACAGTCAAAATGCAACCCAACTATACATGACTCCTAAAAAGTAAACTCTTCTGTAACTATGCAAAAAAATTACTGTTTTATTAACTTTATTAAGTGGTAAGGAACTAGTTACAGAAGTTCATGATCAAAGGGAAATAAGTTAGATATTCTACCTACCCATTCAATCCCTAACCCCCATATAATTTAATCTTCACAACTCAGTTTTGATAATGGAAGATAGTGCCTCTTCTTGATAGAGAAAAATACAAAAAGGTACTGATATTTTACTCAACAAGCATGCACTGCATGACTAGCTTAGGACTGTACTGTGCTATACTTCAGCATTTATAAAGCACTATCACTTGATCTTCCTTTCAACCCTGGGAAGTAATTGAGTCTATGCTTGGAGACCTCTAGGGACAAAAAGCTCCAAAAGCAGCCCACTCTATTTTTTGGAAATTCACAGGACATCTCTGATCCTGAAATCCATGCTCCTTAAGTTTGTGTACAGGATAACCTTAACCCTTTCCTTAATGTAAAACTTCACTTATTGGAAGACAGGTATCTCCCCATGCCCCAGAGTATTTTGTAATCTCAGATTATTTTTTAAAATTTCCTCAGAAGTAGTAGCATTAATTGTTGCCATGCTGACTTCTTTACTGACCTAATTTGAAGGTTATTTTGAGTGATATAGTATCTTCCCTTCTAACAGTTCAAAAAAATTATTAGACTGTCAGCTTCTCAAGGGCATTACTGAGTTTTTATTCATTTTTGTATCCTGGCCCTGAGCACAGTTTATGACACACAGTAGGTCTTCATTAAATGTTTAATTCACATAGTAAACTTTACACTTAACATTGTCATGCGGAATAAGAAAAACAAGTGTTAAGAACTTAATTCAAATTTTGTATACAGAAACTAAGACAACCCAATTTAAGACACTTGCTATGATTACACAATGGAATGACAGAAGCAGTGCATCCAAAATTTCTGAAATCTGATGTCTAGTTACTGCTTTTTTGAAATAGCAATTATATTTTCTGAACCAAAAATCAGGACAAACAGCATAACTATGAGTCTTATTATTAATTCTGAATGTATGAGTATTAAAAAGTCTTACAAAGCTTAAAAAGTTAAATATTCATTTTATGAACTATTTTATAAACTATATTACAATGGAATAATCCTATCAAAATACAGTTTGTTAGTTTACCGTATCAATCCACCATACCAAAATAACTTCTTCTAAGATGCCTTGTATAAGTAAAACTAGTCATGTTGCTGCTTCTTCTGTGAATGTATATTCTTCCTCAATGAGACTTTAAGCTCAGCCACATTTGATGAGAAATTTTTAATAGCAAAGTTATTATATAATATTTCTAGAGTGCTATGTCATAACTAGCTACGACTTACAAAATAAACAAAAATTTCCTGACATTCTAGAAAAGATGCTACTCAGGGTTTGTACATAGTTTTATAGTAATACAAATGTGTAAAACTGACAATGTTGTCTTACAAAAGAAAAATGTGGAGGTCCACTCTTACCTGCTTAAAAAGCTGGAGGTTAATGGCAGTTTCCAGGAACTGTTTCATCACGCTTGAGCGGTGCTTTACAAAACTCTCCTCACAGAAAGTGATGGGCTCACCCTAGATAGAAATAAAGATTTTAAGGGCATCAATAAAAGGTTAGTCAGAGAGAACTAGTCTCTTTAAATAGGTATGTGAAGAGTGATAGAGGAAGCGTAAGGTGCAGAAGCAACAGACCCTTCCTTACACAGAATAGTTTAGGCTAGTAGAAATATTCCTCTACTAATAAGCCTGTACTACACCTTTCTAATCCAGGATCCCATGTACTCTTAAAATTGCTCAATTTTACTCCCTCAAGTAAAAGTAAATCCCCTAAAAATAAAGATTTGACATCATCAGATTGAATTATGAGTATTAAACATAGCACACATACCTGAAAATATCACATAATTTTATTGCATCCTGATTGGAAAACACTGTTACTATAAAAACTGCTGCATGATATTTGACATTCGCACTTAGTTGTTATGATCATTAATTTGTTTTTTAATTAATGAAAAGATTTTACAATCACCTTCTCTTCATGATTGCAAAACAATTCAGGCTGGATACTTTCCAGGATAAGTCCTACTTGGGATCTGCTTTCATTAATCCTTTGCGTTAAGTAATCATATTTTTGCAAGCGTCTTGTGGTAGCTCTACCAAATGCTCCTCCAAACCAGCAAGGACTTAAATCTCAAGTCCTACTGATTCCATTTTTTTTCTATTTATTCCTTTGCATGAATGCAGAAAATCATCACCCACTGGCTAATTCCTACCACCTGCTATTTCCCTCATCAGCCTGAACAGCCCTTTAGCCCATTCAACACAAACAAAGATAAGTGACTAAACTTTATGACAAAAATGAAAACACAGATGAATAAAAATGATTCCTTCATTACAATGCACCTTGTAGCAATATTTATGTCATAGGAAAAAGAAAAAGTGTGCCTGTTTACTTTGTAATAGAACTTTGAAAAAAAATAAGAATAATTTAATTACAATTATAATTTAATCTTAAGGAAGACTCAATATTATTACAGATATCTTTAAGTACAATTCTGAAAATAGGTTCCTGTATAAATAAAATAATGAGAGTAACTAATTAAACTATTACCACTTTCTGATAAAGTTAATACACTATAGAACTGTACTGTCACATTCAGTAGACACTAATCACATGTAGCTATGTAAATGTAAATTTATGAAGATTAATTAAAATTTCAGTTCCTCAGTCATACTAGCCACATTTGAACCGCTCAATGGTCACATGTGGTTAGTGGCTACCATATTGAACAGCACAGATATAGAACATTTCCTTCAGCATAAAAAGTTTTCCTGGATAGCACTGCTATAGAAAAAAGAAAACAAAATTCAAACAAATTATTAAAGAAGACAATTCGATAAACTCTTAAGTGGTGTCACCTACCATCAGCTACCAGCCAATGATTCATAATAAAAATGTCATTACACATTTTTATACAGATGATTGCCAATTTTTTTCAGAGGGGAGGGGTTGGGGAGGGTGTCATTCTGCCATGCAGGTAGGATTATAGTGGTTCATTCATAGCTCACTGCAGCCTTGACCTCCTGGGCTCAGGTGATCCTCCCACCTCAGCCTCCCAAGTAGCTGGGACTACAGGCACATGCCACCATGCCCGGCTAACATTTTGTATTTTCTGTAGAGAAAGGGTTTCGCTATGTTGCCCAGGTTGGTCTCAAACTCCTGGGCTCAAGTGATCTCCCCACCTCGGCCACCCAAAAAGCTGGAATTCTAGGCATAAGTCACCAACCTAGCCTATTATTGCCAATGGTAAAGAGCTACAGATGACCTTTAAATTACATATTTTTTAAACCGGACTAATTTACATAAATATATTTTGGATGATCACAAATGTACTATATTTTCCACTATCACAGAATTTATAATCTATCGGAGGAAGGCAAGCCTGTTAAAAATAAAGGTCTATTGTTTTCTAATCTCTAGTACTAGCATCATCCCTAGTTACACTGGGAGCCCGATAAATGTTTTATGACTGAATTTTAAAAATAAAATAAAAATAGCAAATGAGCTAAGCCTTATTCTATATGACATATCATCTTCACAAAAATAAATACAATTTTAAAAATAAATATAAGTAATTGCCTCTAATGGCAGTTCTGGCATCACTGCTATTACAAAGTAATCAGGACTAATAGTAACTTTAGTTTTTATGGGATAGATTTTTCCTTAAACATGTAAAGATGTATTTCAAGACAAGAAGAAATGGATGAGAGACTAAAGTCTATGCTTTCTTAAGAGTTGGGCATAGTTTAATCATTAGCCTATGTGAATTAAGCTAGAAGAATTCTGTCCTCATTAACCTTTGAGTACTTTCAATCTCTCCAGAGAACAGGTAAAGAAAAAGCTCAGATTTGCTGTCCATCCACTTGTGATGACACAAATCATGGAAAAACTTTGAACTAAACCTTCAATTTGATTAACACGGTTTATTTACTAAGAATCTCTGATAATAACAAAAGGCAAAGCACTGACACATCAGAATTTTCTCTCAAGGAGAAAAATAAGTCTTTATTAATAATGCTTTAAAGTTGTATATATTAATATACAAGAACCTCAATTACTGCCATCACTGGAAGCCTCAATTACTGTCATCCTTAAGGCATATGTTATGAAAGAGATATTAATAAATGACTCTTGAGTATGAGTTCTTTAAAATCAAAGTTGAATTGAATGACATGAGAAGAATTCTGCCTATGATTTTAACCCAGGTTATGAGTATTTGAAGTTCATGTGGTTAACTACATTGTTAAACATTTCGTGGCAAAATCAATAGGACTAGTTTGTCAACTGATATGCAGTGATGTTTTTCAAAGTGTGATCCAAGGTCAGACTTTTCCACAGGATCTGTAACAACAAAAGTATTTTCATAATAATGTAAGTCATTATTGTCACTCTTCACTCTCATTTTCTCCTGAGATCCAACAGTGTTTCCCAAAAGCTACATGGTTGGCAATATTGCAATAGACTGAATACGGAATCAAATATCAGAATCCAGCTGACTTCTATTAAGCCAGATATTAAAGAGATCTGAAAAAAATGTAAAACAATGATATTGTTCAGACTAAATTTTTTTAGGAATATAGCAATTTTTCACAAAAATGTTTTATATTCATATTTAATTAGTTTATATTGCTTTTTAAATAAATGTATATTTTTTCAGTTTTAATTTCTAATATGGTAAGTATTTATACATATACCTCACATAAATTAAGGTTCTTTGATAATTTTTAAGAGTATAAAGACATCCAGAGACCAAAATGTTTGAGAACCACTGATATCGACAGTAACAAGTAGGGGTCAAAGGTGACTTCCAGATTTCTAGATTAAGGGTCATAAAATGACATTATTTATTAGAGACTGAAAATATAGAAAGAAAACCACATTTAAGGAGAAGTTGATAAAATCAATTTTGGCATATGTTTTCTGTAGTATTCCTACTGGAGCCTGAGACAGGGGTTCTTGGTTCAATTGATTTTCGCAGATCACTCTCAGGAAAAAGGTATTAAAGAAAACAAGACGGGGCAGAGGAAAAAGTCAAGCAAGAACATGGTCTCAACTGGAGACAAGCTTCAGCCGAATCCCATGGGAAAGCACTGACTGTATCACAGAGTTAATCCCACTTTGAGGCAGAGAGGCCAGCTTCTTATATCCCATATAAGAAGTGGTCTTTTTCAATGGTGAGAGGTGCAAAGATGAGGGTTGAACACAGTTTTCCTGGTGAGGCACTCCCATTTAGCTAAGTGCAATTTTTCACAAAACGGCAACAACAAGTACAGGGGATCTGGGCAGGGCACCAACAGTATCTACTACAGATGTCTGTGAAATACATGAAGATATGTAGCACAAAGCTAGAAACTCGTGTTAGGAAAATTTGTTATTTAATACATACTTAAGAATTATCTGTACAGACTTGAATATTAAAGTTGAGTTGATCAATCTACTTACAGAAAACGACTTATGCAATTGAGAAATACCCATCTATAATCTATTTTTTTAAATGTTGTATTATTCATTCACAGAAAAGTAAGTAAACATATGATTCTGTAGAGACACAAAGTAACCACGTAGAAACATAAAACAATGGAAAAGAAAATCTCTTCATGAGATAATTCTGACATGAGAGAAAAACAACTGAATATTTTGCTCCATAAAACAGTGATGGGGCAAAAAGAAAGGAATCAAAAGCAGTCATTTCGATGGAAAGCCCAACAAAGGAACATAAACAGCTATCAGGAAAACATAATCTGCAGTAGAATCGGAATAAAGTTTATATTACAGAGAAGAGAAACAGATTTTCTTAGGGACTTATTTTCTGCCATACATTCAAGGTTATTTTCATATATCTTATCTGTGAACTCTGGAGGTCGGGGACTAAATTCTTGATCATCTTTGCATTCCCTATGGCAGTGGTCCCCAAACTTCTTGGCACCAGACGCGGGTTTTGTGGAAGACAATTTTTCCACGGACCAGAGGAGTGGGGAATAGTTGTGGGATAATTCAAGCGCGTTACGTTTATTGTGTACTTTATTTATATTATTATTACATTGTAATACATAACGAAATAATTCTACAACTCACTATAATGTAGAATCAATCAGTGGGAGCCCTGAGCTTGTTTTCTTGCAACTAGATGGTCTTATCTGGGGGTAATGGGAGACAGTGACAGATCATCAGGCATTAGATTCTCATAAGGAGCATGCAACCTAGATCCCTCACATATGCAGTTCATAATAGGGGTTTTGCTCCTATGAGACAGGAGGTGGAGCTCAAGCAGTAATGTGAGCCATGGGGAGCGGCTGTAAATACAGATGAAGCTTCATTCCCTTGCCTGCCACTCACCTCCTGCCATCTGGCCTGGTTCCTAACGGGAGCTGGGGATCCCTGCCCTGCAGCACCCAACCCAGTACCCTGCATTTTGAGTGTTAAATAAATATCTGCTAGTTACTATATGAATTATTTATATAGAATAATTAAGCCACAAGTAAGTTATGGATGAAATACAGCTGTTTTTCTACCCTAGTATGCTGCTCAACTTCAGAGTGATAATCATTATTGACATAATGTTTGTGTTTGTTTGTTTTAAGAATAAGTATCTTTCAAGTTCTATATATTGTACCGGGAGTAGAAAACTTTGTAAGAACAAGAAAATACTTAAAACATAGATTAGATCTTATACTATCAGGACGTGTATGACTTAGCAAGAGTTCACTGTGAAAGAAAATTAGGGCATCAGAAAGAATGATAACGTAAAAAATGTGAAATATAATCCAAAACATCAACATTATACTTATTCAGTTCCTTAATGCACCTGGACTCAATGTAATGTCACCATTACAAAAGGAGTATAAACAAACTAAGCAAAAATGTCTGCATATTGATGGCTATTTTAAATTTAAAATATCTGAAAGACTCTGCTGTCAGATATCTCATGGGAATGTTCAAATATTTGCAGATTCTCACAGGAAATAATAATAAATGATTTTCAGGTTATACAGCATTTTTCTTCTACATGTCCCAATGCTATTATTATGTAAGATACAGCAACTCTACTTTCAGAGTATATTAACCATGGAAACAGTAATTTTCTTCCATTGTTGGCACTTTAGCTAGAAGTCAATGAAAAAGAACCTCACAGTCAAACTATAAAGTTTAATCATCAGCATCAAAATATTCTATTTGTACATATTATTTTATTACTTTATCCTCAAGTTGCTGGATCTGTCTTGAAAAAAGAAAAACTACAGCTACCTACTAATGTTCTATTTACCTATGATTCAGCAACTTAAGACAGAAAAAGGAACTAATTTTTCTAAATTAGACATTGCTGTTTCTAGCTTTTTGTGTGAATTTAAATACTTAGAAAAAATTAATAGATTGTGCATTAACTTTGTTCATACTATTAAAAATTACATTTTTCTTCCCCACAACTTAAGGCAATAAGAAAAACACTCTCCATTCTCATAAAACATATCAGTGATATATAAATGGAACACTTACTACCCAAGTCCCTAGTTCTAACTATTCCAAAGTACTTGAGGAGAAACTGTATATTATTACTGAAGCAATTAAGCAAAATTCTCTCCCTACTAATTAGAAATGAGCAGAAAGAAAGTGCCATAAAACAACTTTTATCCATTAAAAAGCCAGATGCACACCAAATATTTCTTTGGTGGTAACCATCTCTCAAGTCAACAGGTCTATCTGTGCTCAAGCAAGAGAAATGACATGAAAGGATGTGTAAAATGTTTTAGTAACCATAAAACTGTGAGTAGTACTTTTCAACTTGGATTTTTAAAACTCTAATAAGTTGACAATTACAAGTTTCTTAAATGTAAATGTTAAGACAAAGATTTAGTGAATGGCCTTTTAAATTATGGATGCCAACCCTGTGTTTAAATTGCTTGAGCTTAATCACTAAATACAACAACATTACTTACTGATAATGTTTTAAAGAAAATAATCAAAAAATGTTTGAAAGATAACTCCTCCACCTTGTCAAACGGAGGACCGGATTACTAACCAATCTTTATTCTTAAAGTAACTTATTTTTTATCCATTAGCAAGGTTCAAGGCAGCCCAGGAAAGCTTGAGTGATGGAAACACATGACAGCACCTTAAGCATTAAAGGGAATAAACTTGAGTGTTACTTCTGTGCTCTCAGGCAGGATAATCAAGTATGTCTTTGAATATACTAAACAATATTTTAACTCAAACAAACATTTCTTCAGCATTAGCTGTTATTTAAAAATTTGACTTATTTTTTTATAGCTTCTGACACAAGTGATACAAAGAGGTATAACTAAAGACCATTTCTTAGTTATTTAATACAATCATTTAAAAGTATTGTCATGTTTAAGGCAGTGTTTTCCTTTCTGGAAAGATGCTTTGTTTGTGGTTATGCTAAAGGGATTTTCCTTACTAAATCTACTGATTTTAATATTTTATTTTTAATAATGACGACGTAAACAGCATTTACTACATGGCAATCCAAGAAGCATCATTACTTTTTTTTAACAAATGCGAACACCAAAGCACTAATAGGTTAATTTGCCCCAAGTCATACAACTAGTTGGTCACCGAATGAGGATGAATCCAGGCAGTATGGTTACAGAGTCTTGTGCTCTTACCGCTTTTCTTCCATTCATTTAGTACATTAATTTTATCTCACATTTTTCAATTCTTAAAAAGTAGCTAACTTACTGTTGGCTAAAATCCAAAAAAAAGAGTAAAATATTCATTACTTTATTTAAATTTCCAACAACTTTAAGGAGTTTTATATTTTTCTCTGTAATTAAGGGTAGGTACAATTTATTTGCCAATCATGCCAAGGTAACATTTAGAGAGTGTGGATTACACACTGTAAGTAACAACAATTTAGGGTTGCCAGCTTAGACGTTTTAAGTACTTAATTTATAAAATAAGTTACTCTTTAGCAGAATTTAGCTTATGTATTTAGTATCTGTATAGGGATATGCAAATCATCCTAGTGGGTATTTTTCTCATAATCCACATCCACTGGTTCCCCAGTACTCCTGTCTTCCTTCCTAAGGTCTTTGAGATTTGAGCCTTCAGGATATTCACAAAGGTCCTTTCTTCCTCTTCTTCAATAAGACCATAATAGCCACACCTGTCTCCCCGCCTCTGGTCTTGCTCAACTTTGATCTAACATGAACATCATAAAAGTGAACTGTCTAATATACAACACTAAGCACTGCATTCCCATGATAAATAATTGTAAACACTGTGCATTAATTGTAAGATAAAGCTGAAACTCTCCTGATTGAAGGTCATTTATGACTGGTTCTGCTGCCTCTATAGGAGCGAATCCTAACCCTTTTTGGTTTTATTCTTTTTTGAGAACATGGTGAAAGACATGAAAAATGCACATTTTCAATAGTTATCTCCCAGGTTTCTTGTTTCCCATACATTTAGAAGTATAATTTTCTTTTATAATTTTCGGATTCGTTTTGTTTATTACTGCTAGAGAAGAAATGACTATATCACCCTTTATCACTATAAGCTCCTGTGGGGATGGGGGCAGGGCACATGCTGAACATTATTTTTTGGTCCAGAAGCTTCAGAGAGGTCCTATTATAGCTGCATTCAACATATATCTGATAAACATAAATTATATCTATAATGCATCCTAATAAACAGAAGAAGTATATTCTTATACAATGAAGCAGCTTGCCATTGACTTTTACTTTAGATGCTTTTCTGCAGAAAGAGAAAAATAGACAAATCAAAACTCCCTTTCAGTACAATATATTCAGTCCTGCTGTGTAGAGCATTAAGACAAAGAAGGGAAGAGAAGAATTAGAAGACTAAAGGGAAGAGGATGAAGCAGTTTGAGTAGTAGTAGTTACTCCAGGTAAACAAAACCATAAATGGAAAGAGACAGCATAAATATCAAATAATTTCTCCAATTTATATACCCATTATGAGATGCCTATACCACCTGTTTCCATTAAGAAAATTCCTAAGATTTTGTATTCAGTTTGGTCTTTCCATTAGTGAATACTGAATGCCTTTCATGTATCTTCATTTAGAAGTAATGCACGTTCAGGAAACATATCTTAAGAAGTGTATCACGGCCGGGCGCGGTAGCTCACGCCTGTAATCCCAGCACTCTGGGAGGCCGAGGCAGGTGTATCACGAGGTCAGGAGATCAAGACCATCCTGGCTAACGCGGCAAAACCCCGTCTCTACTAAAAATACAAAAATTAGGCGGGCATGGTGGCGGGCACCTGTAGTCCCTGCTACTCGGGACGCTGAGGCAGGAGAATGGCATGAACCCGGGAGGTGGAGCTTGCAGCGAGCTGAGATCACACCACTGCACTCCAGGCTGGGAGACAGAGTGAGATTCCATCTCAAAAAAAAAAAAAAAAAAAAGCATCATATGATAACAGAGGCAAAGTAGAACAGAAATATGCCACACTAGAGCAAGAGAGGGACCGTGAAAAAAACAGATTCAAACCTAAGCCCCACTCTTCACTAGCTAGAGAAACAGTGAGGTTACTTAAATTCTATGAGTATCATTTTCCTCATCTTTAAAATATAAAGAGTAATATTTTGAAGGCTTGTAAAAATTCAGTAAGAACACTTATCTAAAGGGCCTATCAATGCCTGGCATCCAATGGGTGCTCAATGGTCAGTTAACGTTTTAATAGTGATCAAAAATTATGAATATCAGTCAAAATAACAATGTAATTAACAAATCATATATGAATAAGGCTGAAGAAATGTGTTAAAATAAGTATAATTAATTCATAGAAAGAAGGGGTCAGTACAAACACAAACTACAGCTTCCAGGATCATGAAGGAACTAGACGGCTATTAAAAGTGAGGATTAAAAGCGTTGCCAGGAAGAAAGAACACTATAAGTAAATGTGTGGAAGCCTGAGAAGCTTGGGACATTCGAAGCCACAGGCAGAATTCTCTGAACTGAGGTCAAAGTTTAGGAAAAAAGGATAACAGACTGCCTGCCCATGGTAAGGGCCTTGAATGCCAGGTGAAGAGATGGCACCTGAGACTGATCTGTCATTGGTCTAACCTACAGGTTTAGTTTTGTTAAAACTAAGGGAAATAATGGTTTATTTTTATGTGTATAAACAATCATAAAATTTTAAAAAGTAATGTCTAGTAAAATAATTCACATTATTAACACCTACTGAGTAATATTTTCCTTTCCAATTGTACTATAGTAGCAGGATACTCCTTAAATATGTTTTTGAAACTTCTCTCTGCACTTAGCCCTTTTTTTAAATATCAACCAAAATATATTTGATTGATATAAAATATTTTTGGTTGATATTAAAAAAAGGTCTAAGTAAAGAGAGAAGACATTGGTCTATTATATCAATGACCGAAAAGAATTATAAAACAAAACATTAATATACTTTTAATAAATTATGATACAAGTAATGTATAAAGATAATGGTTGAAAAAGCATAGTTTATGCACAAAAAGAAATAAATCATTTTCCCTAAAAACTATCTCTTGTGAAAATAAATGGAAAATAATCATCTAAGTGCATTCAGTATACATTAAAAAGGAAGCTTTCATTCAAAGACTGAGTCAGAAAAAATGTAAAGGCATAGAAAATGAAAATACTCCTAAAAAAAAAAAAACTAGCAGCAGAAATGAAAACAGGAAAATACCAAATGTAAAAAGAAAAAAATGTAGGCAACTAAACAAATAAATTTATAACAAAATGTGATCAATAAACAAGAAATATACTCTAAGATAAAATTAAACATTTTTCACAGATAGTAACAATATGGCTTTCAAGATTTTTTTTTAAAAAGTCACTGAAATCTTATACTCCTATCTGTGCAATGAAGCTTAAAGGGTGAGAAAATTAAACAATGAAATCTACAGTAACTAATATTAAAGATGGGATATTTTATTAATTTCAGTCAGCACCCAACAAACTGATAGTTTAAATCATTTTAGAAAATGTTCTCACTTTGATTTGCTCCTTTCTTCAAATCTGAAGTACTCAAAAAATTTTAAAATAAAAATGAAGTTTAGTTTATAAAGATGAATACGTACTTAAATATGTCAAAATTCAAGTAAAGTGATATTTTTAACTTTCCTTCCCATACTGTAAACTTGAAATCAATCCCTATTTTCAAACTTTGACATAACCAGAATCAATCACCAATTTTGTGTTTCAAACTCATTTTTATGTTTTAACTGATGTTGAACAATTCAAATACGAATATGCCCTACTGTAGTATAGATTATTGGTTTCCAGTCTTTTAAAGAATGAGACCCTTATAACTATGAACAACTTTTTAAGACTCCCCCATGTGAGATATGTATACTCTGTATAGTACTATGAATTATATAATGCTTTAAAAATATACACATATCTCAAAAAGATTAGCAAGTAAACTAGACAAACAAGCAGCTGAACTTATAAAAATAGCAGCGGATCTGCCCATGCATTTAAGGAATCCTTCCAATAATTAGATGACCTTTTAGAGCTATAAGGACCACTTGAGTGGGAACCACTAATTCAGAAGTCAGTTTAGAAAAGATACAACCCATTCACATTTGCTTAGTGCCTCAGAGTTTACAATTGAGTTTAACTGAGTTACAACTGAGTTATCCTGAAAGATAGAGGGGGAAGGTATAAGAATTCTCATTTTACAAACATGAAGATCAAAATCTAGAGAGACTAAGGAAATGGGTCAAGGTTACGCAGTTTAGTAACAACTCCTATTAGATAGCAGGTCTTCTTATTACTAAATCAATGGTTTTATCTCTTACAACTTATTCACCCAGTGAAGGAAGAATAGTGTAATAATTTCTGTAAAATCAGCCTAACATGCTCTAACCAACAATTCAGAGAGAGCAACAAATGTATTTTGACTTGCACCTTTTTGGATACTCTTAAAAACTTGGCTATAATTCTACACAATAATAATTAGGGTATTAAAACAGAAAGAATGAGAAAATGAGCTAAGATATGCTAAAGAGATAAACCCACCTTAGCAAAGGGTCATGAATTAGGAAGACAACAAATTTCCAAATATTGTAAAACCTTCAAGTTCTATTTTTCTTAAGTATCACTTTGTACCTGTCATTTCTAAACTCATTAATCTAATAAGCCCAATTGTCTTGTGAATTTCTTAATGATCTTAACAAGATCAGGTAAGTGTTTTAAAATACAGTAATACAAGTCTTTAATTAGTTAAGGAGTAAGTATTCCAATCCTAGAGCATTAATAATGTAACACAAAGACTTTGGGAAATACTAATGAAAGAGTACTAAACAAAACTAAAAATAAAAAGTCAAAAATTGGAGATGAAATGTATGTTTTGAAACACATTATTTTGGATCTTAAAAGATTTCCATGATATTTTTTGAAGGTGTAATATTAAAATGATGTCTCTTTTTTTCTGTCTCATTCCAAAGAACCATAAAAAAGCAAATTAAAACAGTGATGAAACAAAACGCTTACAGGTTTGTATCTCAGTGCATCTCTGTAGGATCCAAACAAAGCAGCCTGTGCTCTAAGAAAGGCCCTAGCTACTCCATCACCCGTAGCTGTAGACTGCTTCTTCAGTTTATTTTTCAAGGCCGAGACCTGCATGACAGAGAGGAACAGTTAAATTAACACCTCAGAAATTGGTACAGCGAGGTAGGAACCCAATCAGCAGGCAAACCACAGTGTCTGTAGGTCAGCCAAAAATTCATCCTCCTCCCTGATAGCTTATCTTTTTAACTGCAGAGAGCACCTGCTGGTCTGTTAATTGAAACGAAAGCAGGAGAGGAGAGTAACGTGCTAATGCAAATTGGTTTATGCTCTCTTTTTTTCCCAAGGCCTCTTGACATAAATAAGCTTTAATTATTTTACAATAAACTGCTTGTGAGCCACATTTCTACAGATTTCTAGCAATTACAACATGTGTCTACTTGTTTTGAGATGAAGCAGGTTAGGTTTTGTTCGTTTTTGCTATGTAAGGTTATTTGTTACAGGTCCTCCAGGATCACTTACCATTTAATTTTATTTTTGGAAGTCTCATTTGCATATATAATTTTCCAGTCATTTGTTGAATAGTTTTTGTCATTATGAGATAAAGAAGAGGGGAGAAGAGATAAAGTTATTGAAATTATACCATGAGTGGAGAATTTTATGCAAATGTTATACATTGTGTCATTTAATCTTCACCACAGTCTTCTAAGAAAAGCATTCATATTCCCATTTATGAATGAAGAAATAGAGGAACAAAGATGTGAATTCATTTGCCCTTACTATGTAGCCAATAAGTGGCAAAGCTGGGATCTAAACCTAGTTCTGTCCAGTTTTTTCCACTACCACATGGTGGGTTTGAATTCAGTATCATTGCCTCATGAACCGGTAATCAGATTAAAACACTAATGTTTCAAATCAAAGAAAAACTTACCTAAAAATGTGCATAATTTTAAAAGATATTTAAGTTTGTTTTAATTTTTCATACATTTTTCTATCTTTTAAGTGCTATGTATTTTAGAAAATGCATATTATTTATGAACAGAATTTTAAGTGAGATCATACTCCTGATGTAAACTCTTATTTTTTAAGGAGGAGGAGATATAAAATGCTCCTATGCATCCAATTCACTGTACCAATTCCTTTCACACAAAATAGAAAACTATATTCTGTTCACTTAAAAATATTGGTTCTCATATATATTCATCAATGCTTAAAATGGAAACATATTAAGTTGTGTAACAATTCTGTTTTATTTAGAAAAAAAACTGGTACGACAAATTTTGGAAAGAATGCTCACTTAACAGAGCATATTCTTACCCTTATGAAACTATCATATAACAAAATAGTCATTTCTCCTTTTTAGGTATATATGTGCATACATATATATGCAAACATATACACACATACATACACATGCACACATATACACACACACAACACATGCACACATATACACAAATACACATGCACACATATATCTATGCAAGAAGGGTTATTTTTATTTCTTTATGCAAGTAGCCCTGACTTTGCTTGTATATGATTGTAATTGAACTGTCAACCTAATTAACAACTAAACTTTGAATAATGCTAATGAGAAATGAACACAGCATCAGAGGAAAGACCAGCTCTACAGGTGATAAAACTTCACAATAGTGACATTTTCCAGTGTAAAGTCACAGTTACTGTGATCTGATCAAAGAAACAGACCCCCATTGGGTCCAATTATAACCACAGTTTCGAAAAAATTATTGAGTTATGTTCATAATCTATGCAGAAAGGCCTTTGCAGTGTAGGTCTTCTCCCCATAGCTGTGATCTTTTCAATTTATATCCAAGCTCCATAGATTCAGATAAAAATTGAGAGCCTAATTCATTTAGCCCACAAAGTGCATAAATCAGGATTCATTTAAGAGGGATTTTTATTATTAAAATCTAATCTCAATAAATGCATATTTTTTGGTAACCCACATATTCAAACAATAATAATTACAAAAATAAATCTAAATTAATGTCCTTTATTCTGAAACTTCTAATGCTACTTTTAAGTTTCAAATGCCTTCAATAGCAATGGGAGTGCATATCAATATACGTATTTAATTACTACCTCCACCCCCAAAAAAGATTACGATGTAAGGAATATGATTCCAGTCTTTTTAAAGTATTATTATATATAAATAGTTTTTTTAAAAGATTTTTACTTTAGAAAATAAAAAAAAATTAAAATGCACCTTACATCTCTGCAAAAGAAAATTCCTTAATGTGTATTTTTAAAAATAAAACATGAAATTCACAACTCAGTTCTCCACAAATCAAGAACACAATGTTCTCTGGACAATCACAACACATATGCTCACTAAGAATACAGGCAAGTCAAGCCATTCCTCAGCCTTTATTATACCAGATCCTTGACTGCATAATTGTTGCCTGAGTTATAAGGGAGTATTAAACACAATGCCACAAGCCATTCCAAACCAAATCATAAATATGCAGCCTTCACTTCCAAAACTAGTCAATGATAGCTCCTGAGATCCCTGTGGATGTGTAGAAAATAGGAAAAGAATGTACCTGTTCTAGAACTATGCTGGCCAATAAGGTAGCTATCAGTCATATACACACTTGATATTTGACTTGTCTCAACTGAGATTTGCCGTAAGAGTAAACAGACACTGTATTTAGAAGACTCAGTACAAAAAAAACTCAATAATGTTCATATTGATTATATTTGGAAGCAATAATATTTAGGTATAGGGTTAAATAAAATATATCGTTAACATTAATTTCACCTATTTCTTTTATGATTTAATGTGGCTACAAGAAAACACAATCATACATGTGGCTCACATTTTATTTTGGACAATGTTATTCTACATGAGTATACTATCTAATTTCATACAGATTTTAAACTAAAATTGCCTGGCAAGAAATATAGTTATATTTCTCCTTTGCCTCTTTCTACATTATTTCAACTTTTACAAATTACATAAAAATAATTTTTCCTTGACCTACTCTAGTGGGCTTCAATTGTCAGTACATCTGAAGTTGTTCCTGTTTTTCAGAGACCAGAAGGGCAGCTAAGTGTTTCTACATGGGCAAATGAATGCTCAAAAATAGTCTGTAAGAAAACAATTGTTTTTTAAAAATCAGTTTTAGATATAAGGATATTAATATAATATAAAATCATTGCATCAACCTGGCTGTGTTTCTGGTCTTTACATCACTGGAGTAAATTATCACCAGTTACCAATGCCCTTTGCAGTGCTAATTAGCTTTTAGCAGTTTTTATCTATAAAAATGATGGGGTCTGTCCTGTACTTTTTAATACCTGGTCTAGGAAAGAGCATTTTCTGCTTTAATTTCCAAACTTCTAACTTTAGTTATGAAATAAATATATCTCTTCCCATGAAATCCTAAGGCTTATACTCACACATAACTCTGAATTCAGAAAAGCATTTGGAGCCTTAGTCATATGGCTATTATCACATAATCCTATTAATACTGAAAAAGTATCAATTGTTTTCTCTTTTTATTCTTAAGAAAGCAAGCTAGCCTCAACCTCCAATGGCTAAGAATTACTTCACAAAGGACATTTTATTGTATTGTCTTTAGAGATTTTACACTCTGTAAATACATTTTTTAGTCTAATTTAGTATTAGGATAGATCACAAACGAAAAGTTAAACAATGAAAAGAAAATTCAGAAATAAGCATCATTTCATTGCTCTTATCAAATGTTTTAAATTCCTTTCAGTGAGAATTCAGACCTCCAAGCAGCCATCCATGGGAAGAATTATAACCTGGATTTTAGCACGCTGGGAATTCACTGCAGCATGAATAATATTACCACCAATTCCCCACTTTTACCCTCTTAGCACTAAAGTGACTATGAATAAAAGGACAGAATTACATAAGTAAACACAGCAAATAGGTACATGTTAAAAGAGTGCAAGCCATGTGCACTCAGTCTAAGTAATGAAGTAATTATACCAAAGGACAGTAAGCCAGGAAGGCAGAGCATAAAAGGGGGTTGAGTTTTTCTGAGAAGTAACAGATTTTTTCTTTTACTTAACTTTTAGATGTGATTTCTAGATATGCTTTTGCAGTAAAAATATATTAACTGCTATACCTAGAAATTTTTATTTTACTTTTAATGATCACAAAGAGAAGCATCAGGGTAAAGAAGAGAAGATAAAAATAAGTGTTCCAAAATAATATTTAGATAATCTACACAACCTAAAACACTCCTAAGATATTTTTAAATATTTCCTTTCATATAACTAAACTGCTCTCTAAAAACTACATACATTTAGAAAAGTTAAAGTGTCAAATAATCATCTGTAGAACAAAGTTATAAAGTTGAAAACTTTTATTCTCCCTTGAATCATGTTATAGTTATCACATGAATTAGATATTAAATCCCTACACTTTTTTAACCTTTCTAAAGTTCAGTTTATTAAGAAGCAAAATTAACACTTCTCTCTTAATAATTTTCTAACAAGTCTCTATTCGAAGATTAAAACAGTAACCTTTAACATTTATTAAATGAAAAGCATATGATATACTTACCTACAGAGCATATCATTACATTGTTTCATTGTATGTTTAAAGTACCTGTCAAATCCTAACGAATATGGCATCATCTACAAGTATACAATGAATTTCCAATAAAATCCAAAGGTCTTTAACAAGAACTACACATCTTTTATGATCGCCCCTGCCTATCTCTACTATCTCATTTTGCATAATTCTTTTGTTTATTTCACTACAGCTATATAGGTCTTGAATTAACCAACCTCTTCCCCACAGGAAAACCTTTATATATGTTATCTCTCCTCTCCCTCTTCTTCCTCCTCCCATCTGGCTTACTCATACTCATCATCATTGAGGCCAATTCTGCAGAAAGATGTTCCTGATACACTGAGCTTGGCTGGACCACAAAAGGCTGATCTGAGAGTGCGGACTAGTAAAAATGGCATCTCAGTTTGGCTAAAATTATTTTCTTATCAGTTTACTTACAGCAGAGATGGCTTTAAGTCCACCAACATCTATTCTCCCTTTCTTTGCTAATGGAAATCTTAAGTTTGGACTGGTGCATATTTAACAAAACTAGGTTAACTCAGCTAGTTTCCAACATCCCTTGGAACTTGCTGTATCCGTATGGCTGGGTTCAGACAAACGGAATGTGAGTTGAGGAACATGACATTTTCAGGCTGTCCCTAAAAGGGATATGAATACCCCTCTGTGGATTCTCCTCTTTACTCTACGGCAAGGTAGACAAAGAGCATACCTTAAACCTAGAGTTGGATGCTATGTATTGAGGATGGCAGAGTTGTTCCACATCTTTGGAAAACTTACCTCTTAATTGTTATACAATAGAGAAATACATTTCTATTTTGATCTAAGAATGAGTATTCAGGTATTTCTGTTATAGCAGCTTAGCTTGTACCCTAATAAATATACCAAACAGTATAAAGGATAATAAACAGTATAAAGGATAATAAACAAACAGTATAAAGGATATATGAGAGATATGAAATAAGAATATAGACCAAGCTCCTAACTGCTTCCATACTTTCTCATACTGGTGCACCTGAAATCCCATCCTCAGTGCAACTGGCACAGCATCAGGTTCCTGCCACGTCATAAGAAAAATGAAACCTCAGGCTTGCAACCTTTACTATTAAGCTGGAGAAGAACACTTGAGCCCCCGAGAATTTATGCACTACCACATAAGATAATGCCTTGCTGCACCACAGAGACACACATGGTTTTTTTCCCGTGCCACTGAGCTACAACAGGTCCAGCCTCTACCTATCTCACCCTTAATCTAAATTAGGATACCACTGTAATTCTCTCCAACTGCACCCTGTTCTTTTATAACATTTGTCTCTATTTGTAATACTAGATGAGTGTTAACACACCATAAACTCTATGAAATCAGGGTATATGTTTGCTTGTTCACCACTATATACCCAGTTCTTAGCACAATGCGTGTACATAGTAGATACTTGATAAATACCTGTTGAATGAATAAATGAACAAATCTAACAATCTGTTCCATGCACAATTCTACATTTATTCCTCCAGTTGACTCAATCAAAGTATCTGTGATGGTGCTCAGAAACATAATTCATTTAAAAGGTCACCAGGTCATTATGATATCGGCAAGGTTTGGGAACTGCTATTGTGACAGTGCTCACAATATTACACACAAAAAGTTGCTTGGATATGGAAAAATCAAGAATTTAAAGGACCAGAAATAAATTGCAAATAATTTTAACAGCCAAAATCAAGGTTTACCTTTTTTAGAAAAAAAAAATATCTGCAGTAACAAGAGAAAGAAGCATGGGAGGAAGACATTAAAAGAAAGGCTAGGTAATTTAGTTGGAAATGAAAAGCCATGAGAAAGCCAAGGAACTTCATTGAGCACTTAAAATCACTAAAAGTAACAAACAATAAATCAACTTTAGAATGGCAGAAGTACAGAGACATAAAGGGGGGTATTACCAAAGCCTGGATCATTGCTGTGGGAAAGCCAGGTTCTCTTACTCAATTGAGAGAAACTAACAAAAATATTTTAAATGTTTACAAGCACAGTTAAGGTTTTCGGGTTTTGCTTTTGTTTTCTTTGTTCTAACATTTAAGGTTTATATTTTCAAAATATACACCAAGAAAACAGTTGGGAGAACAGCAAAATCTATAATAGTTTACCTACAAACAAAAAAACTACTTTGTAAATAATTATATCTCTGATAATAACTATTTAAAAGAATAGCTGAGTTTCCACAGACATTCAGCTGGGTATGCAGAAGCACAATGATTGCCATCACAACATGGTCTCTTTTTCTAAATACAGGAAATAAAAGGTTATGCTCATAGTCAAAAAGTATACTTTATATATACGTCCAGGTTTCTCATTTTCATTATTCTTATTAAAGTCAAATGGAAATATCCTTATAAAATGTTCTAGGAGGTAACTGTAAACAGACTTTAAAAGCAAGTTTCTATTACAAAAGATAAAAGAAGTGTAATTATATTTCCTTTCAGCAATCACTTATTGAATGCCTATTTACAAAGCACAGTACCAAGGCTGTGTGGTGGAGGCAAGGTACACCTAGATGCCTGAGTTCTAACAATTGAAGACTGAGAGGAGAAAAAGCATGACTATACTTTTCCAAGGGCAAACTGAAAGCAATATTTGTCTCCTGAAGTAATAAAATGTTCTCCAAGTTACTCTAGAAGCTGAATGAATCTTTCTAACCTGACCACCCTAGAAATTTGTTAGGGACTTCATTTACCATTAAACACAATAAAGATTACAGCAGAACTGTGGCAAACCTGGAACTAATATAATATTCTCTGGGGCCCTTTTTTTTCTTTATAACATATATTATGACAATTTAACATGTTAAACCTTCATGTTAGATTACAGGAAATATTCAATGAATTAAACATATCCATTGACAATCTGTGTGGTTCTAAGAGTTTAATTTGCTTACATAACTTAATATTTTTTGAAAAGTTTATTTTAGAATTCCCTGAAAAAACTAATTCTCTCAAACTTATCCCCAAATTAATAAATTCACTTGAATGTAGATATTCAAATATTTGATATCAGAATTTTAGAGGTTTTCTCCAGTTCTTACATGCTCTTAATGATTTTTGGTGATTCAGAGCAATTTGTGTCTTTCCTTTTTTTATCACAATAAAACCACTTAATGCACTCCTTCTTATGATTCCTGAAAGCTTCACCATAATATGTATGATATTTTAGATAGCATCATTATAATAAGGTCTTTTCAACGTTTTAGTAATTAAATATGCTTCATACAAAATATAGCTATCCTGTAACATACAGTGGTCTACAGTGACTTGTACAATAACTCTTAAGTGTACCATATTTTCTATACACCCTCATAGTAGAAAACAGAAAATCATTTTCCAATAGTATTATATTTAAGATGAAAATGAAGTTTTAAAAATAGTGCTGAAAATCCTAATTTAAATCAAATGGATCAAACTGATATTTCTTTAACAAGTTTAAGTGGCAAGTAAGCTTCTATAATATATTTTAAATGAGTTATTCATTACATTGTATATCACATTTATATGAAAGGGACCATGGTCTACTGTTTCGGGCACAGGCCTGAGGATCAACCTCTATGAACTGAATCTATAGATATACCATTAACAGTATACTTTCTGTGCCTTGATTTTCTTATCTAAAATAGGAATAGCATATTGACCTATCAATATTATTACTATTCTTACAATCTAATAAGTTTAAATTATTAGAGACCGTTAAGCAATACAGGTAAAAAAAAACTTGCCTGTTGTAATGAATATTCTAATACATGTAACCTTTTCAGATGTCAATTCTAATGTGCTTTCATCTATAGGAATTTACAATTGTTTAATATTCATATGAGAGAATTCCTAAATATTATAATTCTAATTATTAGCTTAATTCCTAGTAAGAGAGTAATTCTATTTATATTTGAAATAGTAACAACCTCCAAATTGCTTTTTTAAAACGTTAATGATAAAAATTAAAATGAGCAGGAATATCTCAGAAATATATTTTAAATTATTATGCAATTAAAACTAAATTCTATATAGATTTGGAATAGGAGGTTTTAATACTGCATTTTCATAAATTAAAATCAAGTCATTTGAGATTTCAAATGTTATATTTAATTCAATTGGTTCTTTTTCTCACCCTTATAAACATACTACAATAACACTAACTGTGATTGATGCTGTAACTGAGTCCTAACATTTACTTTTTTTTATTTCAAAACATTCAAACTATACTACAGATGTTTGAAGGTGTCTATTTGGCACAGCCACTAAAAAATAAAGTCACAATATATTAATAGACAAAAACTACAAGAGTATATTTTATTGGATCTACTGCCTTTAAAAGTTATTCCATGTAATAATCAATATCATTAAAATCACTCCCAATAAAATATGTTTTTTTTTCTTTTAATGATCCAAATCTATAGTGAAATGATGAAATCAAAAAACAAGTGTTCTTGTCAGAAGACAGGAAAAGAGGTTTTCCCCCTCCCTTAACGAAAACAAAGGAATCCTGAAAGCTTTGCCCTGATTTATTTTTCCAATTTTAAATACCTTAAGAGTAGCGGAACTGCTACTGGCATGGTAGTATTTCTAACAGTCAATAAATCTAAAATATTATGTGTGAATATTGGAATGAAGCCATTAAGAAGATTACAGCATGCAACACAGCAGAGGGTCCACAGGAAAAAAGAACTAGTAATTCAGGACAACTGTGACCACTGACCTTTGAACAGCCAAGACCACTGGTCAATCTGACACAATAATAGAGTACACATGCATAGAAAGTCAACCAGCCTGTAAGTATAATTTAAATGCTTTGGTGAAGGATTTTAAAAGGACCCCCCCCAATTAAATCTCAGTTAACCTATTAAACAATCAAACAATACTAATAGTAACATTTTTCAGGTTTCAAGTATATTTTATCAATTTAAATCACACACAAAAAATTTTAGTAAGATCATTTGTGATTTTAACACAACTCATTTAAGACATTTACAATTGTCCTGTTCTGTCTAGTGGGGCAGGGGAGCTTCTAAAATATGATGTGATGCTTCATCCTATTTCCACCAAAATTGTAAGAGATAACTTTAGAAAACTGATGAAAAAGCTATATTTATTAGAAATGGGTTCTAAAAATCACCCAAAAAATTTTTAGAAAATTACTATAACTTTAAACCATCTCACACTTTCAGTAAATGGTCCTAGCTCCATCTCAGAACTATTTTTATTTGTCTATTCTTTAAATTTCTTTATAAGTCTGTGTCCCTGAATTTCAAGCATATATTTAGTTAATCAATCTACACCACCTTTCAGTATAATTTTTATCTATATTTTTAAATATTTCAGTTATGTTTATATTGTCATTTATGAGTAAATAACAAGATAGTCTCTTCTGTCATTTTATATATTCAGGCCTTTACATGTGTGAATATTATTTACTTCTCCATATATTTAAATACTTACATGTGTGAAATATTATTTAACTTCTCCATATATTTAAATAAATGTTCTAATCATCAAACTAATTCTACTAGGAAAGTAGTACTTTTCAATTTAAAAAAGAATCACCCATCAAAAAAATAAAATTTCAAAGATTATTTTTTCAAGAATCATCTATCATTGATTGAAGCTGCCTATAAAAATTTTAATATCACGTACAGAAAAGCTGAATTTCTTTCTCTTTTTTTTCTTCTTTCTCTTTTTAACAATCTTTCTCCCTAAGGCATTAACGGTAGGAAGTACATGCATATAAGGAAAGCATTCTTAAAAGTTGGGATTCTATTTTCATAATTATTTCTCTATCCATTGAATAATACTTTGATTAGTTTTTAAATGAGTAACTCTAATAATTTCTTTGTGATTTTGTTTTTGCAAAAATTTTATAATGAGGTAATCTAGTTATAATGAGCTAAAAAGATGTAATTTTTCACTGGCCTAGGATTAGATTTGTACATTCATAGCATAAGTTTTACTACAGTAAGATAAGGTAGTTGAATTTTAATATGTCTCAAGGTCAGCAAGTATTTTACGGTATTATGGGCATAAATAATCTGATTTTGACTTTAAAATCATATTTTTCCTATCATTAGACAGAAGGACAATCAAGGCTGGTATTAGTGTATTTTTGAGTTTAGGATTTTTAAATTCACTTTCTCAAACTCCTTAATAATGGATTTCAAAGTAGTTCAATATTACAGAAAAATATGCTCTGAAGGCATTTTTATTCCCAAATTTTAATATCCATATAAAGAATAAATGCTTTGTTTTTTTAAAAAGGAAGTTATTTTAACTTAGAACTATGTTATAAAGATATTTTTAAGTAGCCATTAAAATATATACAGAAACAGTACTAGTTTGCATTTTTGTCCTGTACTAAGGAATATGAAGGCCAAAAATAATGCACTTTTGGAGACTATTTAACGTGACATACAGAATATGTCCCATTATAAGCTGCAGACACACGCACACACACACACAACCCTCCGCAAGATCAAAGACCAGAAGAGAACTGGCACTTAATTTATCAGCCTTTACAGACAAAAGACAGTTTTCGTCATTTCAAAAGGATCAGATGTCTTTTATGACAAACTGGGTTTGCAGTTTAATTTACAAATAGAATTCTAAGTAAGCAGTCTTTGCTCTGCCAAAGCAAATGACAAACAGTGTAGGTTTTCATTCTTGCAGCCCTCAGCAGGATAGAAAAGATTAAAATAAAACTGAAATAATTTAGAGAAAACAAATAAATGTTTCAGAAAGTTGAGGGAGATCAAAGCCAGAATTTTCTGACCCCAACTGTACAAGCATTTCTTATTATATTGACCAGTAACATCAGATCATTAATTAAAAGGAAAAGCGCTGGCAGGTGGCAGGGAAGCAAAAGCCGATAATTGGCCCCCTTCTTCTTCTTGCCTTCAAAAACTCTCTCATTCTTTTGCAAGACATGCCACTAGGCAGACAGAAATGCCTACTTTGTAATATAATGATTAAGATGAGATGAAGAGACTTAGGTTTAAAGAAACTCTGCCTAATGAATGCATCTAGCTTTTTAATTATGATCTTACTTTTACAATAAGGAATATGATGTTCCATTCAAAATCTCAACTGCTAAAAGGTAAAAATATTAAATATAGAATCAACATTGATTTCTCTCACACCCCATGCAAATACCCAACCCTTTTATTTCAGATATTAAAAGTGGGAAAAATAACTTAGTAATTCAGAGGTCCAGGAGAAAACATATATGTTCACCACTGAATAGCCTTCATACTTACCACATCACTTGGTAGGTTGTTCAAGTCACTAAATGGTGATTCTAATGTGTTTGTATCAACATTTAACATAACAACATCTTCCAATGATTTGTTTTTCACTCTCTATAAAAAAAACACAATTATGAATACAAATCAGTATATTTACTTTACAAAGTTATGATGAGTTTGGAAACAGAAAACATTATCTTAATGCATTAGGCTTGGGAAAAGAAAAAAGGAAAATCCTATATTATGAAAGGATAGAAACAACTTTGCCTCCTGAGAAAGTCTGACTACAACTCATACGAAAAGATTTAGTAAAAATGCTTAAAATTGAATATTTCCTCATCTTATATTAAACATAACTACAACAAAAATTCTTATAAAATAGGCACAGTTATATCAAACTGTAAACAAATTATATTCTTTAAAATTTACCCATTTAAGTTCAGTCCCATGAAACAAGAATTCATGGCCAGCTCTATACCTATGTTTAGCATAAAGCATATTGCAAGGATAACATAAACCAATAACTATGACTACAGCATTAAACTATAATTTAAATTTTTTGTCTATATTCTATACAAAAAGGTATATGTTGGTGATGAGGACTGAAAGCTGAATAAGAGAGAATAAAAGGATAGCAATATGGAATTTATTGTTAGTAATATTTCTCACATGAATTTCAACAGAAGGTACCAAATTTAATAGCCTATCAGACTATCTTGACTTGTCCCATTTGTTTGAAAGTTTAATCAAAATAGTCAAATTATCTCAATATGTCTACAAATAATAGTAAATAAGAATTTTATCATAGTTTTCATCCTTAAAGAAAATACTTATGGTTCATTTTTCCTACTTAAACTAATAGGTATACTTAATTCATATAATTTTATTAGTCTTATTTAATTTGTAACAAATAGTATTATTCCTTAATAAGTGCTCATTAATTAAATACATTCATGAACTCTGAATTTCATAATTGTATAAGTCAACTAGCAATAGGTTAATAATTTGAGTGTAGTATTTTTTAAGTGGTGGTCTACAATAATAGTCATTTTTGAAAACTGTCACTTAAAATCTTATTATTACCTTATATTTTAAATTGGCCAAACTGGTTATTCTAAGTTGGTCATAATTAAAATTTCTCTGATTCATTTACAATTTCAAATCTCTGCATATTAGAATGTTAAACTTTCTAAAGCAATGGTAGTCTAAAGCAGAGAATTTCCACATGTTAAGAAAGGCATAATGTCTACAGTGAGGACAGATGATTCTAAAAATCTGTCTTCTTTATTATAAAGACTTAAAAGATGGCCATTTCTAAGATATTAGCAGCGAATCACTTATAGTGATACTACTGCAAAAATATTTACAAATACACTTATTTCCTTTTCTTTTCACATATATGCAAAAAGCTTTAAATACATATATGTGTAGTTACCTATAAAGTAACTATAGTATAACTACAGTAACCTATTTTATAAGTAAAAATATAAATTATGTTAATTGCATTTGTGTGAAAAAACATGTCATAATTTTGATTTTCATCTTCAACTTTAAGTTGTCATTTTATGACAGAAACTATAAAGATAATCTAATAAACCTGATGTATTTGTTAAGGGATAAAATGAGTTAGTCTGTAAATAGCCTAAGATAAAGCTATGTGCCCCCAAAGTGTTTCGTGAGGACATTATCACTCAACTCAGAACAAGGAAATTGGTACTACTATGACATGTACAATTTTTTCAAAACTGCTCTTAGTTTTAAAAATCTGGTAATTGCTGAATATTAAATTTTATTTAAGGGACCACTCGAAAAAGAATAGAAAAATATATTCATTTCAAATTAATAAACTGAGATTCCCTAATATGAAAATAATTCTATTAATACATTAACAAAAAAGGAAAAAATAGAGTGTAACAAATTTTTTTAAATTTGGATTAGTATCACTATTTCATCTATTTTTTCCCTCCAAATTAGACTTCAGCTATTTTTTTTTTCTAAATAGGCATTGGAAGTCATGTGGTATATAAAATGGTACCTCCTTCTGTGTCTCACTGTTACATCTCATAAAGTTATGAGATACAAAATTAAGAAAATTTAAAAAATTATCTTTTTCTTCAAAAATAAGAAAATAATATTAGACATAGACTGAAATGCTTATTAAGAACAACTGTAAGGTGGTGAAGTTAGTGAAGTCTTTCTCACACCCTCTATGTTTAACTTTTCCATACAATATGGCTACAAAGGTACTTTTGCACATTAATACAAAGAAATGACATAGTGGCAGCAATCACATGATCTTATAAACCTGGGTCAACATTTTATTTAGAATCCATTGTATATTAAAACAAACAAGATAATCCTCACATTTGTAGCCTTTACTAATTTATTCCTAATGACCTGCAGGCTTTAGTCTGCCTTGAGTTCATCCCCAAAGTCTAGTTTTCAGGCAGAACAAAATGTCTTTAGCCTTTATTTTAGAAGGAAATTTGTATTTTAAAAAGATCTGGCCATCCTTTACTCATAATTTCATTAAAACAACTGAAAGAAAGATGTTAAGGGATATGAATTTCATGACTTTGAACAACTACATTTAGAAGTTGTTACATTAGGTTGGTGCAAAATTAACTGCAGTTTTCGCCATTAAAAAAAAAAATAGCAAAAACCGCAATTGATTTTGCACCAACCTAATAACACAATAAAATGTGTTGAAACTCTCTTGACCAAGAGAGAGGGAATAAGAAAATATTTTAATTATTCCTTAAAGAAAAAATTGGTTGTAATTGCCAGGCAAAATGCAAACATTTACTCAGTTCAGTCTTACATACTAAATATGTAAATAGCTGTATCAATATTTTAATTATGAGACCATTTTGGTAAAATTAAAAAGCATAAAAGCTAGAAATTTTAGTGAAAAAATCCGCCTAATAGTGGCATAACAAGAATGAAATTTGCAGGATTTACATCATCTTGTAATAGATTAACAAGAAAGTTGCTGAATGATATCCAATTGTTTTAAAAGAATTCCTGAAGTCCCCAGTATAGCTTCTCATTCACTAATAAACCAATTAAATAAAATAAGGCTGACTATTAAGACACTTAGATAAGTCCAGAGTATGAAAAATACAGAGATTTCAACCAGTCTAATAATGGCTTCAAATATTCTCATTTAATAATAAGAGCCAATTTAAAGTTAGAATGGATTATTCTCTAAGACAACACTTTTTAAGGAGCAAATAATTCTTAAATTTGCTACTTAAAAACAGTATTGGTTTTATTTATAGGTATCCAAGAATATATGATAAATTAAATTGAATGTTTAAAATATATACCCTTTTATACAGTATTTTGGAAACGCTGAATCATTTGCTTTAAAAGTTGATGTAGAATCATTATGCAAAAAAAAAATTAACATCAACAGGTAACCAACAACTTTAAATATTTTTCATCTCTATAAATAAATAAACATGTTATAAAAATTATGTATCCTATTAGATTCATTAAGAAGCGACAAGTACACTAATATAAAAATCAAATTTGATGACTTTTTAGAAGAGAATCCAACCAAGGTTAGATTTTAAATGAAGTCAAATTACTGATACATTAAATGCTAGTCATATATTCCACAATCTAATAACAAATTAAGTACCTACTCATTCATATTTTATTTTATGTAATTTATCCTTTCACTGAAAGTACCTTGGCATGTAAGAATAAGTTTTCTAGAAATGAATAAAAAATAAGGAGTCATAAAGGTATCCAACTCAGACTTCAATATTACAAACAAACCTACTAAAGATATTTATTTAAATATGTTTTTTTTGTTATTGTTGAAACAAATAAAAAATGTTGCCCTAGCATTTTGTGATAAGAAAAAATGCCGGAACCTAGAGTACCGGTCGGAATCCACAACCTGGACCTCCTAAAGGGGCGTGACTCTTTCCCAATATGATCCTCAGGAGTTTTAAAATATATCAACAGACTCATCTTTGATCAAAGTAAGGACTGATGGAGGGTATACAGTGATGGCAAGAGGAAAACCAAAGCTAACTCATTTAGGTTGCTTATTAGAAACTGGGTTAAAGTACAATCTGTACAACCAGCAAAAAAAGACAAATTTATCTGAATAAAACTGATAGCATCTAGCATAATGACACCACTCAATTGACCCAAGACTTTGTTTTAATTAAAGCCTTTTGCTTATTTTATTAGATGCTGATCCTATACCAAGACCTTCCTGGAAATCTCACTAATTTCAAGTTCATGGTGTTAATAGTTCAAGATCTTTCACTATAGGAATAACTTAAGTGACAAAAATAATTTTAAAATGATGTGGTAATTGTGGAAAAAAATTACTAAATTTTATATTCCCCAACAGAACTGAAAATTAAAACTTAAGGCTATATTCTAAAGTTCATGATTAGTATATTAAAACCACATTTAAAATGTACACACTGATAAATGGGAACATAATGAAGTCTGCAAAATAAAAAATTTTACTTCATGACTCATAAGTACATAAATTGTGACTTTCAAAATATAGGTCTGAAAAAGAGATATAAATGATCTCAAGTTGCCATAAAAAAAGGCAACTGATCAAGGACTGAAGTTTTAGTATTTAAAACTTACCATATGATTTCTACCAAACATAACCTATTTTTATGGATTTCATGCCATAAAAAATGGTCATTTAGTATGTTAATTTAAATGTAATTATTTCAATGTTGTCTTTTTAAAAATGATAAGCATACTCTAAATATGAAACTAGTCACTTCTTTGTCCTATACCACTGATATTTCTTCAAAACAAAACTGTTTTAACTATTATTTTATGAGTTAATTTTATCACTGTCTCATGTCTGAAAGATACTCACCTCTATGAGGCTGGAGTGTATTCCAATCAGGTATGGCATTGGGGCACTAAATTAAAAATATATATATGCATAGATTCATATAGTTCATTAAAACTGAAACAACAGTATAAGTAATTCAAAATGATTAAAAATTAAATGTATTAAATGCTCAGTTCCAGCATAACACATTATAGATATTCAAAATTATTCAATATATAAAGCTCAAATTTAATCTTAGAGGCCATTAATATATTTAAAATTAAGATTGCTTTTTATAAACATCATAAAATCATTTATAATTTAATCAAGAGTTATAATGCCTAAAAAGTTTGTTTGTTGGTTTGTTTTTACCTTAAGAAGAATATCCAGGTCTAGGCCATAGTCTGAATTGAATCTTTTCCGTATACCTCATAGCAAATATATCTTAAATAATCATCAAATTTATTAACATCCGTTTTGCACATCTTTTCCTATTCAATTAAATTCTTATTTCTATGATATTCTTAATATATATATTCATTGATACATACCTCCTATGTCACCAAATATTTGGATCAGAGGGTCAGTCTGCAAATATCTATCAAGACTTATTGTTTGTCAGACACTGTTCTGGAACTGGATGTACAAAAGGAAACAACTTCCTCACCTACTGTGCTATCTTTCCCCTCATGTACATTGTCTTTTATTTACCTAATTTTATAAATTCAGATTTATCCAACTTTCACTTTTATTAATAATTTTAATAAATTTAAAAATACTCAAGTGTGAGAATAATCTTGAATTAATTAATTCAACACATGATATTTGGAGCATAGCAGGTGCCAGGCCTTAGGGTAGAAACTTGGGAACAATAATAGACAATATAAACTGAATATATTCCCTATGGATTTTATACTCTTGCAAAAAATATAGATGTTAAATTTTTAATACACAGAATAAGAATTGCTGGTTATTTCAGAAATACTTCTCACGAAATACAAGAAGAAAATTATTCAACTTGACATTTCAAACCTAAAATATTATCTAACAGAAAAACATGAGAATTGACAGATATCTACGAAGTCAATAGCAGATATATGAATAAATAGCTATTTTAAAATAAAACATTTTTGGCAATTCTTTTATAGGCATCTTTGTGCTCTATTATGACACTCTTTTTCTGTTAATGCAAACAGATAATCCTCTTTCTCAAAAGATTTGCATAATTTTCTAAACATCATTGTCATTATTAGAACAGAGCTGTCCAAATTTCTGTGTGTTCACTTTGCTACTGAGAACCAGCAATAGATTACACAGCCACCCTGACAGACCCAGAGATTTCAAAGTAACCTTAAAAAGTTCCAAATTTATTTAAAGATGGCTAACCACCAATCTATATATCCAGAATTTACAAAATAAGTGTTAAAGTTCTTATTTTACTCCTCGTTAGCCTGTACATTCTAGTTCATTACTTCTTATTGTACTAGATTCTAATTCCCAGTTGTCTTTGCCCTTTGTAGCTTTGTTCCTTCCTATTTTTTTTTTAATTTGAATGCAAGAGACCATCTGGAATTGATCTGATATTCTGGATACTTCACTTGGCTGAAAGTTGAAAACTGTTTATAGGCCTTGATATCCTTAAGACCTAACAGATTTTCTACCTTCAAAAGGAAACAGGAGGAACAAATGTGTACTGTTCCACTACTTCCCTAATTCAAGTTCTCATCCCTGTATTCCTTCTAGGTCTCCAGAGAAGAAGACATAAAATGCATATCACTAACAAATCTAGGCTTCCACAACAAGGTTTTGATACCTTTAACAAAATGAAGTTAGGCCATAATCTTAAATATCTCAAGCCCTGCCTATGTTCAAAATAGCATAAAATTATTAAAGTCACTGTGTAAACTTCCAATTAACCTCAGGTTAGTTTATTCTATTCACAAGATTTATAATACAGAAAAGCCCATGCTGTCTGAAATTTCAAAGTACATTTTAATGAAAGAGTTTTAAAATAGGTAAGCCTTCTAAAAACAATAATTACTAAGTCCATTTTACAAATGTTGGTGGGATAAATGGGTGGGTCAGATTTTCTTAAAATCAGAAACAGACTGCTAAATAACCTACTGAATACATCTAGGAAAACTTTTTTTTTTTTTTTTTGAGACGGAGTCTCGCTCTTTCGCCCAGGCAAAAACATTTTAAACTTTATGGAAGATATACTTATCTTCAGAAGTATAAAAAACACATTGATAAAAATTGTTAAGCTGACATAAAAATATTCATTAAAAAGCTTGTATGCAAAATTTAATCATATAATAACTTGAAACTTTTAAAATGGGATCACTTGTTATCTCCACATGTTCTCTTCTCACCAATTTCTCACAAAATCTAAAACACAGATGTTAGAACTGTAAACATTATTAACCTAGAGACTAATTTCCTAAAATAATTACATTTTGCAGAATATAGAGTGAATAGTTGTTTCTTTCTCACAAAAACTGGATTGTGTAATCCTAATATGAAATCACCCAAATCTCATGAAAAGTAACTTTGCAAACCTAGCCTTAAATTTCCTAATTAGATAAGGGCATTAACAAGCCAAGAAGAGATTCTTGGCAACACAGATGTTTTGTCCTCTATGTGAAAAACTGTCCTAAATCTTTCTTTCAATGAAGTTATTTTGCAAAGATAGGATACAGAAGCCTCCATATGATTGCTGCTTCTTTTTGGTAGCAATTCACCTGTACTTAAGAATAGCTTTTTTTTTCTTTTTAGGTTTTCATACAAAGAGACCACTCATGACACAGACTATAACAGCAGTCTATTGGGGTAGTCTAAAGAATACAATTTTCCATTTTTTTAAAGAAAAAAAATACCTATTCTCTCAGAAGCTAAATCTGCTCCTTTCATAAAAAGAAGAGTCATATAGCCTAAATAGTGACTCAACCATTCATGAACAAATGATAGATAATTACAATTTTACTAGTCCTACAGTCACACTACCTGCCATGTGTTTATGGACTTAGATAGGTTAAGACTGTCTTGCAACATCATAGACTTGCCACATTAAAGTACTCTTACATTGGCTGATTAGGGGAAAATGCAGATGGTGTCATTTCCTCCCAGGCACCTTCCCTAAGCTACCAGGGACTGTAGGCCACTTCTTCTTATGTGTTGCCATCCATGGTCCTTTGTATGCCTATTCTGTAATACTTATAGTATTGCAGTATTACACTGTGCTGTGTGTGTGCATGTGTGCACATGTAAGTATGTGTGTATTTCTTGCTATCTGTGAATCTTGCAATGGCATAAACTAAATCTTATTCATTACATTACACACTCACAGCTTGGCAAATATTAATAGATGGTCACTAAGTGTTTAATGAACAAGTGAATGGATGAATGAATCAACAAAGTAGCAAGGCTTTATTGGTGGACCAAGATGCGATATCCATCCATGGTCACAAGATGGCATTACGGCTCTCCACAGTCCAACCCACACCAGAGCTACCAGTTGCAAAAACAGAAATACTTTATGGAGGTAGGATTACCTCAGGATTCAGAAAGTTCCAATCGTGCCAAAGAGTTAGCAAAGATATATCTTTTCCTATCAAATCTTCATGACACTATTTTTGAACTGGAATATTCATAAAAAGTATTTAATCAAAACTATGAGATTGAAGGGATGATCTGTAATTTTTTTCCCTTTTACATGTAGATCAGTATGATTTTTTAACCTCAAGGATGGAAATGGAAGAAAACTGTTTACCCTAGGAAACAGTTTAGTTTACCAAGTTTTCTGATGGCTATTCTTTAAAAAAATAATTATATTATATTACTCCGTTCCTATGATAGAAGCTGAGCCTATCATTGTGACCTTAAGGTTCAGGAAGTTTCAGATAACTTCTTGTTTGAATATCACTGACTTACTCTTTGAACCAGGGAGGTTTTTGGCATGCAAGCTCTTAGAACTCAACCCAAAGGCTATTTCAGACATTAGACACTAGAAAGAAAATTCCAGGGACTGAAATATGAAACAAGCTTACTTCATTGAATTTTATGGCAGGGGTAGAAACGATTAGAAAAGATCTGGAAAAAAATTAGTACAGAACTGCCTGTGTCATATAATAATTTCTAAATAACATTTTAGAAAGTCTTAAATGTGTAATTCATTACAGATAATTGAACTTAATTAAAGGTGTGTTATCTCTTAAGAGGTTAGAACATTTTAATAGAAAAATTAAGATGGCACTAACATCATATATAAAACGTAATTCTAAAGATATATTATGTAAAATCATATATCAATATATTTCCAAATACTGCTGTAAAATATATTTTTAAATAAATAAAGTTTAATTACTGAACAGTATATACAAAGATCTACTGCATATGTCAACATAAATAAATGAGACCCTCCCTTTAAGGAATGCTAAAATATTATAGGTATGTTGGTTAAAGGAAAACTCTAAAATGAATAACAAAGGGCCTATTTATTTTATTCTTAGACTTGTGTGTGTGACACTTAACAATATAAACTACATTCCTATAGTTTCCTGCCAAACAGTTTCTCCTTTCTAGTTCTCAAACAGCATAATAGCAATGGTAGGTCACTGGGCACCTACTTCACAGCATTATCAATACTAATAATATTACCATGCTGTGGAAACACACCAATATATTAACGTAATCAATATGTGGCCAAGTACATGTGTTGTCACTACAATCACTTGTTCTGAAGAGGCTCAGTCATAAAAAGTTAATAGAAACCCTCTGTGTATGAACTTAAATCATTTTTAATCCTTAATACTTTCTGCCTTTTATGAAATAAGAAAGTTAAATGAGTGCATTGATTCTAAAAGTGCTGTGTTTTAGTAACATTAGCTGTGAAATAAGCAAACACATTAAGGTCAAAATTGTTTCCTTCTATGTGTGTGCACAATGATTTAGAGGAAAAATCCCATCACATTTCTTAAGAATTAGGCTATACCTGCAGAAGATGATTATGCAATGAAGATAACATTTCCCCCCCTAGTCTTGAAGAAGGCCCAGAAGCTGCTATTTAGAAGTCTAATCCTTGTTTAGACTCATGATAAATATGCAGACTCTTCCAGGTGAAGAGAACAAGGAGGGTCTAGAGGCCTGGTTATTGGGATCCTTTAGGAATTGTGTCTAATGCCAGGAAACTTTTCAGAACTACTCCCAATACTTTTCAACATTGCTTTTCATGGTGGATCAAGGCTGAGACTTTGACTTAAACAAAAAACAAGAATTCTTGTATTAGAGACAACCCCTTTATCAGTACTTGGTATTTGGTGTGCTATTATTGAAAAAAGAGGGGTAAAGAAGTGTATTCTGAAGTAAAGGTAACAAGAGTATGCCCTGACAGAGACAATGTGGTTGCTGGCAGATTTGCCAGACAAATTCTGACACCTGGGATACTGGGTTCTCTAACTGACACCATAACTTCTATACAGTTTTCCTAACACAACTTAAGACTGTTATTTTTTTCTATTTTGCATTGAGTTATCTAAATGACTGCAGAAGAAATTCACAAAATCTAAAGAACTTTATGTTTGCTAGGTATAAACTTGCGCTACCTTTGTACAGAATTATTCTGTCCTTCATAAAAGCCATCTTTACTATTTATTAAAATGTAAGTTTCTGTGATTTCTTTTAAATATGCCCCCAAGTTTACCTAGTTCACAAATAAACAGATAATCTAATCATGAAACCTAAACTTAAAGGAGTCTGGCAAAAGCCAGCTTACCAGCAGTAGTCCAGCAGGTGTGGAGGAAGCACTGGGATGTATATGTGTTGCCAATACATTGGGTATAGAAGAGCAGCTGATCCATGGATACAGGCAGTTAACTGAAATTTGTAAAAGGATAACAAAAATAAGTAGCTGCTGACCTTCCAAACAAAAAGCAATGTTCAATGTATCAACAATGAACAGTAATCACAGAACAATTTACATAACTACATAAATCACATTGTCTTTATCACTTCTACATGTAAAAAGTCTTACATCTCAGAGGCCCCTCTGAAACATATATAAACAGCAAAAGAAGCTTCTTGGGAATCATGTAGATAGTTATAATCATCTGAAAATACCGAGTTTGGGATTGAAAACTTAGAACATAAGTAAAAGTAAAACTGAAAAATTAGGTGTGCATCTTAGAAAAATTGTAGGAAATTACAATTTGTACAGCATAGTTTGTGTATCACTCAGATTAATATAAGATGATTAAATATGGAAAGGAAGAGAGGCTGAAAGCTCCTGAGGGATATCATTAGGGCAAATTGCCAAAGAATGAAACATGAGCCAGTTAGGAGAGTCTGGAAGCTGCAATAATATCAGGGGACTTGAATGTTCGACAGTTGGAGCTTCAGTAATGTGTGAACTGCGGGTTACGGTATCAAGAGACTCTGTTCACTGACACATAGAATGTCACTATTGACCAGCAAACTGCCCAAGCTTGACAGCTGTACTACAGGAAGCCAAGTATATCATAATTTCATATTTAAACTGTTCATTCCAGATTAACATTTTGTTTCCTAGCTTTATATCACAACAGCTGTAATTACACTGTTGCTATTTTAAAGGTAATTGCCATTTTAATTGTTTTGTTTTGGTAAGCAGTTAATTAAACATTTTTTAGTACTTAACAAAAGGATATCACTTTTTTCTCCCATCTTCTGACCCTCATCAGAATTCTTTTAATGTGACTTTCTTTCCATTTTAAATTATATTTCTGTAGATGTAAAGTCATTTTTATGCATAAAGCAATAATTAAATCAGCATTCTTAATCATTTTAAAGTTTTGCTATAGTCTGTATTTCAAGGTTACCGATTAAATTATTTTATTCAACTTGAAGATCAGAATTAAAAAAAAATCTGAAAATGAACCAGACTTTCTATAAACCGTTTTCTCTATTATTATACAAAGATATTTAAAGAAACTAAGTGATAAGCACAATTAATTTAAAAAAATGAATGTACACAAAGCTATCCAAATCCTATTATTAGCCACATTTGTCTATGTTTAAGTGCAAAATAGATCCATTACATAAAGTAAATTAAAATAACTCGATTTGAACCAAAACCAAAAATTTTTATTCAAAGTATATGCATCTTTGCCATATGTATTATATTTTTTCCAGTCATGTTTTTAATCAGTTTTGTATGGCAAATAATGTATTTTGATTTCACTTAGGATGTTATCATTAAAGGATTTTACTACCTTGTACTTACAAGCTTTAATAGGTTATGATAGTATTCCTTCAATAAGTATTACTTTTTAAATTCCTTAATTAGAGCCTACAATATGCCACTAGGAGGCATTCAAATACTTCCATTTAACAATTATAGACCATGGATTTATTTATGTTACAAACTGCAGCTAGAGGGAAATGAAAATGGGGTTGATCTAACTCATTGTGTCAAATTCTCCAAGAGCTCTCAGGTACTCCTTAGTTGTAAATTAGGCCTCTTTAAGACTGTATTAACTCTTTCCACCCCCTTTTTAACCTGATGGGCTAAAAGAGCTTATGAAGCGTTGAAAGGCAGCTAATTATTCAATTTCTCAATCTGCACACAGATGACTTTTTAAACAGCTCATTTAAAGCCTTAAAAACAACAAAAAAGAGAGAGTGTTCTTTTTTTGTTACTGAGCAAATAAAAACTGTAGCAAGAGGAAAAACACGTTCTTAATGTGAGGTATTATATTTAATACCTCACTTTATTTCACTGGGCAATTTATTTCACTGGGCATACCCAGAGTCCAAAGCACTCTACTAAATGCCATGTAAATACTTTCCCTGCCTCCTTACTGGTCATCCTTAAATGAAGTTTTATTAGTTATTCGCTAACAAAATTCAACATTATCTGATGAATTTGACTGATTTCTTAGAGGATGGTTTCTGTAATTATATGCAGAGTCACAAAATTTCTGCAATGGCCAGCATCTGGTAGAGGGTTATGCCTGCTAATCAAGATCTACCAGAAGAGAACCGAGTCTACAGGACTTGGCAACTTTCTGGATGTGGGGTATAGGTGACAAGGAGAGGAAAAAATATATGACAACTCCTTCCCAACCACAGTTCTGGAACTAAGCAACCAGAATGAATTATTAAAGGTAATATAGCAAAAGTGTCAGGTTTAAGTAGAATTATAAGGAATCTGCTTTGGCAAATATTTATTCTGTTAACCATGAGACACCTAAATGGAGATTTCCAAAGAAGACGGAAGCATCCCAAAGATAATCCTCCATATTCACCTAGTAGCATGCAAGAGCTGTGAAACTTAAAAAAAAATGAGAAAATACTATTATGGCATATTCTTTTACAGATGATAGCAAAGTTGCAAGTAAATAAAATAAAACAAATTTACTAGAAAATGTAACACATTCATATGTAAATTGCATAAAATCATAACATGTATATTACAGACACAAAATTAGGGCTCTGCCACCAACAAGCCATGTGATCTCTGGCACATCTACAAATATAACCATGTCTCAGTTTTCTGATCTTTAAAATAAGAACTCTATGCTAGATGATCTGTAAGTATTTTCTCTCATAGATCAAACATTCTTTATTTTTAGATCAGATGAATTCTATCTTTTTTATATTCTTATGTATTGAGATTTCTTCTACCCTGGTGGCTAACGGAATACTATGACTGGACTATAATTCAGATCCACTTTCAAAATATATCTAAAAGTTTAAGTGCTTTAAAGTGCTTTAATAAAGTAGGTGCTCTAAAGTCCATAAGGTAATTATGCAACTGAAAATATTATAATAATTTTTTTGCTTAATTCAACAAAAATTTTGAGTGCCTGCTATATGCAATCGAAATCCCTATGAGGCAACAGGGACACAGTACTAAACAGAACAAAGTCCCCGTTTCTATGGAGCTTATGTGTTAGTGGAGAAAGCAAACAATAAACAAGTAAAATAAATATTGTCAGAGATTAGATCTATAAAGAAACCTAAAGTAGGGAGTGATGGGGGTGGGGAGCTATTTTAGATAGGAGGATTACAGAAGAACTCTAACGTGGTGACATATGAACTGAAACCTAACTGAAGGGAGAGAGTAAACTCGTGGATTTGGGAAGAAGAGCATTCCAGGTAAATTAAACGAGGCATTCAGAAGTCCCAGGTGAGAACATGCTTGGCATCTTCACAGAGCAATGGGGAAGTCAGTGAGATCAGACTGGAGGAAGTGGGAGAATGGCAGGAGATGAGGTCAGATAGAGAAGCAGAATCAATGATGGAGAGCCTTCTAGGACACGGCAAAGACTCTAAATATTATTCTCGATGACATTTTTACATACCTCTGAAGAGAGTGCTATCATAATAAACTATTTACCTGGAACATTTGAGAATATACAAATTAAAGAAAAATATACAAATTAAAGGAAAATAGAGCCTTCTAGGACATGGCAAAGACTCTAAATATTATTCTGGATGACATTTTTACATACCTCTGAAGAGAGTGCTATCATAATAAACTATTTACCTGGAACATTTTGAGAATACACAAATTAAAGGAAAATAAACTACATATTTTAGAAGTTTGGTTTGCAATATAAAGTACTACAAAGAAATGAGAACAATTTAATAAGCCAAGTAAGAAGAATCTTATTAATTTAACATTATTTATGATATATTGAATCTTTAAGCTTAAAGAAAAATGAAATATCATATAGTCTTTCTTTGGGCTAGAATTACCCAAGTATCATATGTCTGATTAGTGACAGGGCCAAGACTCCACATTGCTTTTCTAATATCGTCAGTTGCTTCTTTAATACCACAATTGTTCCTCACGAAAGCAGAGAAAAGGGTAAAGGGAAGAATTTCCATGTTTCAGTTCAAACATATCTCTGGCATTATACCCTGAAACTGAATAATACACTGTTATAATTTTCAGATAAAAATGAATTTACCAAATAAAGGTTTATGGAAAAAAATTTCTTATCTTTATGTGACATATGATATTTAAAATGCACATATATTTTCATAAAGCATACCCAATATATTGAACTAATACAGTTCCAAAGAGCTGACTAATGCAAAATAGAAACATTGGTAATACTGATTTACTATGGACTTCAATTACAACATAAGTATATATGGGAATCATGAGAAGGGACAAGAACTAATGCCTGTGAAACCAGACAGAGAAACCTGACAGCAAAGGTCTGCAACAGTTAACTCAGTCATAGAACAAAGGCATTTGAAACTTCTGGTCCCAGGTCACCAGGTCTAAACATAGGTAGTGCCATTGAAAATAATAGCAACAACAAATGTTTACATAATGTTTACCATGTGCCAAGAACTGTTATGAGTACTTGAACTACTCATACCTAATCCTCACAACAACCTCATCAAGTACTATTATCATTACTTCTACTTATCAGATCAAGGCACTAAGACAAAGTTCAACCAACTGCCCACGATCACAGAGCTTATCAACAGCAAAGCCAGGATACAACTGGAGGCAGGCTAGATCCAAAGTATAGTAACCACTATTTCAAACTGCCTTCAATATACAAAGATTTTAAATTATCATCATTATGAGGCTTTGAATAGCATCCACTGACTGAAAATATTGTGTTTTATACTAATTGTATAATAGAGAATGCATCTTTGGACCGGACAATCAAACAAGAGCCATTGACCTTTGTATGAGAAATCTATGATAGACAGAGATCTGATTTACAAAACTTTCCTCAGGCAACACAGACTGTAACTACAGCAGGTAACTAATAAAACAGACTCTCCCAGAAAATGTTAAAAGGATAAGATCATTGATACAAATTCTACAAGTTATCATCTCAACTTATGTCTATGAGTACACCTAAGTTTGAAACTGAACCAAAGTTGTCCTGCTTTGTGATACAAAATCTGATTTGTTCCTTCTTCTTAAACTATATTTATTAGAAGAAATCAGTCTATTAATAAAACTAGAATTGTTTTAAGCAATTAAATAGGCATGTATTTTGAGGGAGGAGAAAAAGACATTTATCAGATTCCCATGGACACAGCAGAAAGACAATCCATCTAGTATAATCACCACTATGAAAAATAGCACAATTTTAACTAGCATGCCTTACAGGTAAAGGTATCATATAGACACATTGCTACTCACACTATTCTAGCCTCTGTATCACCTATCTAGATTGTGCCTCATTCTTTTGTAGAAATCCTACACTTCAGCTAGAGTTATAGGAGTTACTGCAGGGTTAAATGAGTTACTGAGGGGCAGATTTATATTCCCTAAGAAAGCATTTATTAATAAAATCCAAGAAACATGTATTAGAGACCTCACCTGATTTTTAACTGAATCAATACTTAATTTAGAAATTTAAGCATCATAAATAACTATAAGTATAAACAGTAAACTGTTGCAGATGGGAATGTAATGAATTCCTCATAAAATTTTTAAAAAATTAGTGGAAACCATAAAGAAAAAAACTGTTTAAACACATTTAATTTATATTCACATTTTAAAGTTCAGACCAAAAACGGGAGCAGCAGGGTATCTGAAAACCACAACATTAACTACTAAATAGTCTCACTTAAGAAAAACTCTAATATTCAAATTAAGTGAGACTTATAAGAAAATGTTTGGAGAACAGAAATTTTACATAATGCAAAAACAATATTTTGTACATTTTTTAAAAATAGAATTTATTTCTTAGAATACTTTTACATTCATAGCAAAACTGAGCAGAAAGTACAGAAATGTCCCATGTTCTCCCTGCCCTCACACACCCATGGCTTCCTCCATTATTAACATACCCAACCACACTGGTACATTGTTACAGTCAATGAACCTATATTGATACATCATTGTCATCTGAGTCCCTAATTTACATCAGAGTTCACACTCTAGGATAAAACAAATTTACAGTGACATGTATCCACCATTATAGTATCATAAAAATGCTCTATTAAATAATTACATATAAATCTAACAAAATATGTATACAATCTATATAAGGAAAACTAAAGACTCTGATAAAAGAAATCAAAGAACTAAATAAATGGAGAGATATTCCATGTTCATGGGTAGGAAGACTCAATACTGTGAAGATGTCAGTCCTTCCAACTTGATCTATAGATTACAATCCCAATCAAAATCCCAGCAAGTTTTCTTGTGGAAAACAAGAAGGTGATTCTAAAGTTTCTATCGAGAAGCAAAAGACACAGAATAGTCAACACAATTCTGAAAGAACAAAGTTGGAGGACTGACACTATCTGAGTTCAAAACTTATTATAAAGCTACAATATTCAAAACAGTGTAGCATTTATAAAAGAACATACAATTAGATCAATGAAACAGAATAGAGAGCCCACAAATAGACCCACATAAATATAATCAACTAATCTTTGACAAAGAAGCAAAGGCAATACAATGAATAAAAGACAGTCTTATCAATAAATGGTGCTGGAAGAAGTGGACATCCACATGCCAAAAAAATGAATCTAGATACAGTCCTCACACTTTTCATGAAAATTTACTCAAAATGAATCACAGACCTAAATGTAAAATGCAAAACTATAAAACTCCTAGAGGATAATACAGGAGAAAATCTACATGAACTAGGGCTTGGCAATGACTTTTAGAGACAACACCAAAGTCATGAACCATGAAAAAATTAATTGATAAGCTGGATTTCATTAAAACTGGAAACTCTAAAAAGCAGAGCGCCTCTCCTCCTCCAAAGGAACACAGTTCCTCACCAGCAACGGAACAAAGCTGGATAGAGAATGACTTTGACGAGTTGAGAGAAGAAGGCTTCAGACGATCAAACTACTCTGAGCTACAGGAGGAAATTTAAACCAAAGGCAAAGAAGTTAAAAACTTTGAAAAAATTTTAGACGAATGTATAACTAGAATAACCAATACAGAGAAGTGCTTAAAGGAGCTGATGGAGCTGAAAGCCAAGGCTCGAGAACTATGTGAAGAATGCAGAAGCCTCAGGAGCCGATGCGATCAACTGGAAGAAAGGGTATCAGTGATGGAAGATGAAATGAATGAAATGAAGCAAGAAGGGAAATTTAGAGAAAAAAGAATAAAAAGAAACAAACAAAGCCTCCAAGAAATATGGGACTATGTGAAAAGACCAAATCTACGTCTGATTGGTGTACCTGGAAGTGACAGGGAGAATGGAACCAAGTTGGAAAACACTCTGCAGGATATTATCCAGAATTTCCCCAATCTAGCAAGGCAGGCCAACATTCAGATTCAGGAAATACAGAGAACGCCACAAAGATATGCCTCGAGAAGAGCAACTCCAAGACACATAATTGTCAGATTCACCAAAGTTGAAATGAAGGAAAAAATGTTAAGGGCAGCCAGAGAGAAAGGTCGGGTTACCCTCAAAGGGAAGCCCATCAGACTAACAGCAGATCTCTCAGCAGAAACGCTACAAGCCAGAAGAGAGTGGGGGCCAATATTCAACATTCTTAAAGAAAAGAATTTTCAACCCAGAATTTCATATCCAGCCAAACTAAGCTTCATAAGTGAAGGAAAAATAAAATACTTTACAGACAAGCAAATGCTGAGAGATTTCGCCACCACCAGGCCTGACCTAAAAGAGCTCCTGAAGGAAGCACTAAACATGGAAAGGAACAACCGGTACCAGCCACTGCAAAATCATGCCAAATTGTAAAGACCATCGAGGCTAGGAAGAAACTGCATCAACTAACGAGCAAAATCACCAGCTAACATCATAATGACAGGATCAAATTCACACATAACAATATTAACTTTAAATGTAAATGGACTAAATGCTCCAATTAAAAGACACAGACTGGCAAATTGGATAAAGAGTCAAGACCCATCAGTGTGCTGTATTCAGGAAACCCATCTCACATGCAGAGACACACATAGGACATAGGCTCAAAATAAAAGGATGGAGGAAGATCTACCAAGCAAATGGAAAACAAAAAAAGGCAGAGGTTGCAATCCTAGTCTCTGATAAAACATACTTTAAACCAACAGAGATCAAAAGAGACAAAGAGGGCCATTACATAATGGCAAAGGGATCAATTCAACAAGAAGAGCTAACTGTCCCAAATACATATGCACCCAATACAGGAGCACCCAGATTCATAAAACAAGTCCTAAGTGACCTACAAAGAGACTTAGATTCCCACACAATAATAATGGGAGACTTTAACACCCCACTGTCAACATTAGACAGATCAACGAGACAGAAAGTCAACAAGGATACCCAGGAATTGAACTCAGCTCTGCACCAAGCAGACCTAATAGACATCTACAGAACTCTCCACCCCAAATCAACAGAATATACATTTTTTTCAGCACCATACCACACCTATTCCAAAATTGACCACATAGTTGGAAGTAAAGCTCTCCTCAGCAAATATAAAAGAACAGAAATTATAACAAACTGTCTCTCAGACCACAGGGCAATCGAACTAGAACTCAGGATTAAGAAACTCACTCAAAACCACTCAACTACATGGAAACTGAACAACCTGCTCCTGAATGACTACTGGGTACATAAATAATGAAATGAAGGCAGAAATAAAGATGTTCTTTGAAACCAATGAGAACAAAGACACAACATACCACAATCTCTGGGACACATTCAAAGCAGTGTGTAGAGGGAAATTTATAGCACTAAATGCCCTCAAGAGAAAGCAGGAAAGATCCAAAATTGACACCCTAACATCACAATTAAAAGAACTAGAAGAGCAAGAGCAAACACATTCAAAAACTAGCAAAAGGCAAGAAATAACTAAAATCAGAGCAGAACTGAAGGAAATAGAGACACAAAAAAAACCCTTCAAAAAATTAATGAATCCAGGAGCTGGTTTTTTGAAAGGATCAACAAAATTGATAGACCGCTAGCAAGACTAATAAAGAAGAAAAGAGAGAAGAATCAAATAGATGGAAAAAAAATGATAAAGAGGATATCACCACCAATCCCACAGAAATACAAACTACCATCAAAGAATACTACAAACACCTCTACGCAAATAAACTAGAAAATCTAGAAGAAATGGATAAATTCCTCGACACACACACCCTCCCAAGACTAAACCAGGAAGAAGTTGAATCTCTGAATAGACCAATAACAGGATCTGAAATTGTGGCAATAATCAGTAGCTTACCAAACCAAAAGAGTCCAGGACCAGATGGATTCACAGCCGAATTCTACCAGAGGTACAAGGAGGAACTGGTACCATTCCTTCTGAAACTATTCCAATCAATAGAAAAAGAGGGAATCCTCCCTAACTCATTTTATGAGGCCAGCATCATCCTGATACCAAAGCCGGGCAGAGACACACCGAAAAAAGAGAATTTTAGACCAATATCCTTGATGAACATTGATGCAAAAATCCTCAATAGAATACTGGAAAACCGAATCCAGCAGCATATCAAAAAGCTTATCCACCATGATCAAGTGGGCTTCATCCCTGATATGCCAGGCTGGTTCAATACACGCAAATCAATAAATGTAATCCAGCATATAAACAGAACCAAAGACAAAAACCACATGATTATCTCAACAGATGCAGAAAAGGCCTTTGACAAAATTCAAGAACACTTCATGCTAAAAACTCTCAATAAATTAGGTATTGATGGGACATATCTCAAAATAATAAGAGCTATCTATGACAAACCCACAGCCAATATCATACTGAATGGGCAAAAACTGGAAGCATTCCCTTTGAAAACGGGCACAAGACAGGGATGCCCTCTCTCACCACTCCTATTCAACATAGAGTTGGAAGTTCTGGCCAGGGCAATTAGGCAGGGGAAGGAAATAAAGGGTATTCAATTAGGAAAAGAGGAAGTCAAATTGTCCCTGTTTGCAGATGACATTATTGTATATATAGAAAACCCCATTGTCTCAGCCCAAAATCTCCTGAAGCTGATGAGCAACTTCAGCAAAGTCTCAGGATACAAAATCAATGTACAAAAATCACAAGCATTCTTATACACCAATAACAGACAGACAGCGAAATCATGAGTTAACTCCCATTCACAATTGCTTCAAAGAGAATAAAATACCTAGGAATCCAACTTACAAGGGATGTGAAGGACCTCTTCAAGGAGAACTACAAAACACTGCTCAATGAAATAAAAGAGGATACAAACAAATGGAAGAACATTCCATGCTCATGGGTGGGAAGAATCAATATCATGAAAATGGCCATACTGCCCAAGGTATTTTATAGATTCAATGCCATCCCCATAAAGCTACCAATGACTTTCTTCACAGAATTGGAAAAAACTACTTTAAAGTTCATATAGAACCAAAAAAGAGCCCGCATCGCCAAGTCAATCCTAAGCCAAAAGAACAAAGCTGGAGGCATCATGCTACCTGACTTCAAACTATACTACAAGGCTATAGTAACCAAAACAGTGTGGTACTGGTACCAAAACAGATATATAGATCAACGGAACAGAACAGAGCCCTCAGAAATAACGCCGCATAACTACAACTATCTGATCTTTGACAAACCTGACAAAAACAAGCAATGGGGAAACGATTCCCTATTTAATAAATGGTGCTGGGAAAACTGGCTAGCCATATGTAGAAAGCTGAAACTGGATCCCCTCCTTACACCTTTTACAAAAATTAATTCAAGATGGATTAAAGACTTAAACGTTAGACCTAAAACCATAAAAACCCTAGAAGAAAACCTAGGTGTTACCATTCAGGACATAGGCATGGGCAAGGACTTCATGTCTAAAACACCAAAAGCAATGGCAACAAAAGCCAAAATTGACAAATGGGATCTAATTAAACTAAAGAGCTTCTGCACAGCAAAAAAAACTACCATCAGAGTGAACAGGCAACCTACAACATGGGAGAAAATTTTTGCAACCTACTCATCTGACAAAGGGCTAATATCCAGAATCTACAATGAACTCAAACAAATTTACAAGAAAAAAACAAACAACCCCATCAAAAAGTGGGCGAAGGATATGAACAGACACTTCTCAAAAGAAGACATTTATGCAGCCAAAAAACACATGAAAAAATGCTCACCATCACTGGCCATCAGAGAAATGCAAATAAAAACCACAATGAGATACCATCTCACACCAGTTAGAATGAACATCATTAAAAAGTCAGGAAACAACAGGTGCTGGAGAGGATGTGGAGAAATAGGTACACTTTTACACTGTTGGTGGGACTGTAAACTAGTTCGACCATTGTGGAAGTCAGTGTGGCGATTCCTCAGGGATCTAGAACCAGAAATACCATTTGACCCAGCCATCCCATTACTGGGTATATACCCAAAGGATTATAAATCATGCTGCTATAAAGACACATGCACACATATGTTTATTGCGGCACTATTCACAATAGCAAAGACTTGGAACCAACCCAAATGTCCAACAATGATAGACTGGATTAAGAAAATGTGGCACATATACACCATGGAATACTATGCAGCCAGAAAAAATGATGAGTTCATGTCCTTTGTAGGGACATGGATGAAACTGGAAATCATGATTCTCAGTAAACTATCGCAAGGACAGAAAACCAAACACCGCATGTTCTCACTCATAGGTGGGAATTGAACAATGAGAACACATGGACACAGGAAGGGGAACATCACACTCTGGGGACTGTTGTGGGGTCGGGGGAGGGGGGAGGGGTAACATTAGGAGATATACCTAATGCTAAATGATGAGTTAATGGGTGCAGCCCACCAGCATGGCACATGTATACATATGTAACTAAGCTGCACATTGTGCACATGTGCCCTAAAACTTAAAGTATAATAATAATAAAATAAAATAAAATAAAAAATGAATAAATTTAAAATTTTTGTTCTGTGAAAAACACTGTCAAGAAAATTTAAAAAGCAGCCACGGACTTTAGAGGAAATATTTGCAGAGGGCATATCTGATAAGAGCCTGTTATCCAAAATATACAAAACTCTTAAAATTCTATAATAAGAAAACAAACAACCCAATTAAGAAATGGGTCAAAAACTGTAACTGATGCCTCACCAACCTCAGCAAAGATATACAAATGACAAATAAGCATATGAAAAGATGTTCCCCATCACATGTCATCAGGGAAAGGCAAATTAAAACAATGAGATACCACTACGCACCTATTAGAATGGCCAAAATCCAGAACACTGACAACAAATGCTGATGAAGATGTGGAAAAGAAACTCTCATTCATTTATGGTGGGAATACAAAATGGTACAGCCACTCTGGAAGACATTTTGGTGGTTTCAAATAAACCTAAATTTTTTATACTTTATTTTCTTCCTTTATTCTCTTAGGATGGTATCTTAGTCTCTTTGGGCTACTATAACAAAATACCTCAGAGTAGTTAACTAATTAATAATAGGAGTTTATTTCTCACCATTCTGGAGGCTGGGAAATCCAACATCAAGGTACCAGCAGATTCAGTGCCTGGTAAAGGCTTGCTCTCTTCTCCATAGGATGGCACCTTGTTACTGCATCCTCACACGGCAGGAGGGACTGAACAGCTCCCTTGAAGCTCTTTTATAAGGTCACTAATTGCATTTATGAGGGCTCATGATTTCATTACTTCCTAAATGCCCTAACTCTTAATACTATCATATTAGGTTTTAAATTCCAAAAATACAAATTTTAGGGGACACAGTCAGACCATAGTTGATGGTAAATTCTGATACTTCACTGCTAAAAGTTTATTCTAAACTATTTCCATCATACCCAAGTCCTTTGGAAAGTTCTAATCATCTCACATTTAGTCACTGGTTTATTAGCTCTTCCTAGCCAAATAATTCTAAATTTTTCTTTCTTGCTTGCTTCCTTCAAGTATTCATTCTTTCTTTCATTTTATAGTTGGAGAAACTGAGGCAAAGTTAAGTCAATTGCCCAAGATTACTAAGCCAGCAAGTGGGGCACCAAACCTGTGCCAGACATTATTATTAGTGGTGAGGATACAGTAATGAACAAAACATACAAAAATCTGTACTCTCAAGGAACTTACATTCTAGTTACCCTCTATATACCACCATTACTGCTGTACTCACCTCGTCACAACTCTTTGGATTTCTGTGCTATCACATTATACATAAATGCCAATACCCTCAAATACATCTCCTCACCTACATGACATTTCCCTATCACTAAATTTACTCCTTTCTAATTCTCACTCTCAGAAAGTCAATTCAATAGCAGTTTTTCTTTTCTTAGAGAAGGCCCTTCTACTTTTCCACCAAAATTAAAGAGTGTAACACTACAACACTCCTCAAATCTGTCTATATTTTTTCTTCACAAATATCTAAACTCTACATTCTGGAGGATGAAGGGTTAGGATATGGTTTATACAAAAATTACATAATTTGGCAATCATTTTAAACAATAAATATACAATATAAGAATCATTGTATTTAACAACTAGAAAGGATCCTAGAAATCATTCTTGTTCAATTTCTTCATTTTTTAGACAAGAAATTTCAGGGTAAAAGAAATTAGATGAATTATAAGAAGGTAGCTGATGTACTGTAGAGTAGTTAGGACTAAAACACAAATCTCTAATTTTAGAAGGTATTATTAATATGAACACATTACTACCATATATTCAGACAATATTTCAAATAAATAGTAAATAAAAACTGATTGAAGCTACTCTTTAACTATTAGTCATATTTGAAATCATAATTTAAAATATCTTTCACCCAGAACAAAATAAAACTGATCGCAAACCACCAGCAACTGAAAAAGAGACAATCACAATGGCAGAACAACAACAAAGTAAATTCTAAATCTTTAGAGTTAACAAATATAATAATTTGTAATTAAATAAGAATAAACAATTATATATATTTTAATGTTAAAATTACTATATATAACCTTTATCTTATGTCTGTTTAACATACATGTGTATATTTAGCATGCATATCATATATATGTGAATATCTGTATGTATATGTGTGTATATGCATACACATAATTATAAAGTGAAATTTGCTGTTAGTAAATGATATCAAGAACTGTCCCCTTATAAAGCAGATACTAAGTAAACATTTGGTAAAGACTTGTCCTGTGTATGCCACTCTACATTCTCCCTTTTCTTACCTACTCTTAAGCTAATACCACAGGCAAAAGACTCTTGCCTGGAAATGTTTCTAAAACCCAACCTCACCTCCCTCTTAAGGTCACTGTTCTAGTTCAGGAGCTAATCATCTCTTGCTTTTATTACTGTAACAATCTTTTAACTGATCTCCTGTCAGCTGGATTCCCCCTACTGCATTTCTTCTTTTATAAGGCCACCAGTGTTATCTTCTCCAAAACAAAACTTACCATGTCATGTACCTCATTTGCCTCCCCACAATCTGTTGGATAAAAGCCAAACCTCTTAAATTAGCAAATGTGATTCTTCACAATCTGGCCACTGTTTATATCCCCAGATAGATTTTGTAGTCTGATTTCTCTCTCTCCCACTCTCTCCATATACAAACATACATACACACACACAAACAGTAATATATTAAAGATATATTTCCTAGACATGATACAAATTCCTTTCGAGAATGAGGTGTCATATTGAAGTAAACTCTGTAGTCTGCCACTCTATCTCCTAATATCTCCCATGTTAGAATTTTTATCACACTGACTGTCCTTGACTCACTGACACTGTTATAGAATCACAAATTAGTAACTCTGAAATTCCCAGTACTTAGTACCTGGCAAATAATAGCATTTATCAATGCACAAATGAATAAATACTTATATACCTTATCTTTGGAAACTCTACTCATGCCAAATATTTATTTCAAAATAAAGGCATTTCTTTCCTTCTCAGGTGGTTAACTATTTTTAACTCCTTCCTATTTAACAGAAGAATGCTTCTACTTTAATTTTAAGATGCCACTTGGCTAACTGGGGTACCATATGCCACTGAATCAACAGGCTGAAAAAGAGGAAGTTAATCTACTGGCTTGAGTGATTGTTCTCAATAACCAAAGGGAAACTGGGGTGCTTCTACATAATAGTTTGGCAAAGAGAAACGTGTCTTGAACCAGGGGATTCTCTATGGTGCCTCAGGACTTGCATGCCTAAAGTAAAAGTTAATGAAAAACTACAACCAAAACACAGCTAAATCTTTGAGGATTGAGATTCTTTGAGAATGGGACATTTTACCAGATAAAGATCCTGTCCAGGTGAAGTTCTAGCTGAGGGTGAGAGAAATATGGAATGGGTAATAAAAGGAAGCCATACATACCAATTATGGCCTCTTGACCAGTTACATAAACAAGGGCTTCTCCTTTAGAGGAAAGGGTGAGAATGTCTACATTTGTAAAAAATGATAGTTGTATGTTATTAGGTAGAAATATAGATTTGTTTTATTGTACAGGAATTCAAATATGTGTAGAAGGGTACAAACAGAGGCTGAGTATCCAAAGGGGTGGACTGTACCAATTATCAACTTATTGCCTCTCAGCTCCAAATCTGCCCCTCACTGCCTGATCTGTGAAAATGGATCTGGACTCTGGATATTTTTCCTTTTAGCAACTGGCATGATGTCAAACTTTGTCAGGAGAGGGTACTAAAGGGACAATGCAAAAAGAGAGAACTTGCTCCTGGTTCCAGTGAGACACTCTGCAGGCTCCTGCAAAGCTTATGGCTCATCAAGGGCTGGCTCCTATTGTACCTGCATCTTCCCTAGGGCCCATTTCCTATAGCACAGGTGTCCACCAGGCTCCTATGCAGTGGGCAGTTTCTGCAGTGCCTGGCTCCTGCAGGTACTGGCAGCCAAAGGTTTCCCTCAGCATTCCCCTACCTTATAGCAGAGTACCCCTGGCTCTTGCAGCACTTGAAGCCTTTCTACTGCCTGGTTCCTGCAGCCCAGGAGGCATCTCCTGCACCTGATTACTGGAGTGTACAATTTCCAACAGTACCAAGTGGCCAGCAGCTTCCCTTTGTTAGTTTTTTAAGGGAGTTTCCCCAGTAACACGATCCTAGTTAATAGCTTCACCTTAGGAGGCTTTATAGTAGTCTGCTGCGAGTGAGGCATCTCTTGCAAACAGCTTCCCCAGTACCTCTCATATGGCTTTCCAGCAAGTTCTAAGGAATGGCATTTCTCTGAGGGCAGCTTTCCTGGGCACCCCAAAGGGCAGGATTCCAGAAAATTCTGCCAGTGTGGCACCACAGCAACTTCTCTGCTATCCAATGAGCCACACAGCTGTGCCCTCTCCATTGGAGTCTGGATCTCACACCCAGATAGGGCTTCTTCCCTGGGTGCTCCGTCTCAGCCCTAAGACTAGTAGCTGCTTTATATTTGTTATTTCTATAGTCTTTAGAATTTCCTTCACTTACTAGTAGCCCATCCCTTGTTACCCCAATCCCAATGTTATAGTTTTTAAATTCTTTATATTAAACTTTCCTTGTTCAAATTACTATGTAATTTCTCTTTCCTGGTCATATCCAGACTGATACAAAGGCTGTTACTTTATGATCTTACCTATAGAACACTGCCTGGCATGAGTTAAGCATTCCTTAAATGAGGAACGATTCAATGAATGAACAAATGAACATTTTTTATAGAAAGAAAGTAATGAACTTTCTATTTAGGACTATATGAAGACCAAAGAATACCAAACTAAGTTCCTGTATAGGCTGAACAAGAGTCATAACTGCAATACAAATCCATGAATCTGAAAAGGGTTTAAGATGTATTAATACATTTTTCCCTAAGGCATTACTGTTTTGGCATAGACTTTTAAAAAAAATTATCTAGTAGAAAATAGCTAAACACAAATCTTCTTTTAAAGACAACACCTACACAGAAATTAGTGCCTAGGCCGGGCACAGTAGCTCACGCCTGTGATCCCAGCAACTTTGGGAGGCCGAGGCAGGAGTGTTGCTTGAGCCCAGGAGTTCAAGACTGGCCTGGGCCACATGGTGAAACTCCCGTCTCTACAAAAAAATACAAAAATTTGCCAGGCACAGAGGCACATGCCTGTAGTCCCAGCTACTTGGGAGGCTGAGGTGTGGAAAGATGCCTGAGATCTGCGGGCAGAAGCTGCAGTGGGCCCAGATCACATCACTACACTCCAACACCTTGGCGACAAGAGTGCAACTCTGCGTGAAAAGGAAGGAAGGAAGCAAGGAAGGAAGGAAGGAAGGAAGGAAGGGAAGGAAGGAGGAAGTAATCAGCACCTAACTTGGAAACTTCAAGGTTTACAAAGAAACTTTCATTATTTAAAGAGACAAATGTCAAAGAGATAAATCAAGGGATACATTTCTACTTGACAAAGATACACTTTCTACTCTGGCATTTTCAGTATCAGATGAACACTTTATATTTTACACTATAATGTAATTAATAATTTTTTATTTTAAAAACTTTTCTGACACAATTTAAATGATTAAATTTATTCTTCAATACATACATGAACACACCCACAGATACACACAACCCATGGTTTTATTTATTTTATTTTATTTTTTGATACAGGGTCTCATTCTGTTGCCAGGCTGGAATGCAGTAGAGCGATTATGGCTCACTACAGTACTAAACTCCTGGCTCAAGCAATCCTCCCACCTCAGCCTCCCGAGTATCTGGGATTACAGGCGTGTGACACCACACCCAGCTAATTTTCTTAATTTTTTGTAGAGACAGGGTCTCACTACATTGCGCAGGCTATTCTCAAACTCCTGGGCTCAAGCAATCCTCTCACCTCAGCCTCCCAAAGTGCTGGGATTACAGGCATGAGCTACCATGCCAGGCAGGTTTTTAATTTTTAAAGAGATCGATATCTAATACAAGAGCTTGACATATTCACTAATATTTAAAATTTGAGAAGGGTATGTGGTAAATGCTATGATAATTCAGAGATGAAAGATGTTACACTGGTTACTCATACAAACTAAGCCTTCTGTAAAGCAAACCAGATTTTGAAAAACATTCAGAAGCATGCATGTGGGAGATTTAAAACACATATGAGGAAGAGCAAAAAGTGCAATTTCATCCATTCACTCAGAAAATTATTGTTAAAACCTTCTATGGATACATATCAACACTGTCCTAAGAGACAGATACATTGTAGTGACTGACTGAACAAGATTAAAAAAAAAAAAGAAAGAAAAAAAAACCCGCCCTGATAACTTTATTGTCTAAAGATCTGTGTGGACTATAAGTAATCGAAAAACTCAGAAAGACAAGTTTAGAATCAGATAATGGATAGTTTTTTACCAGACTTAGCAGTTTATAGGCAATGAGTAACCAATAGATTTTTTTTATTCTGAAGGATTAATTACATATAGGATGAATCTAAAAGATGAGAAAATGGAAAATGAGAGGTCCAAACAGAAGATAAGTGCTAGCCCTAAAAGTGGTATTCAAAATGAGAGAAAGGTATAAATATGACACATTGAGAGATAATCGACTAGACCTGCAAAGACGAGGAAAAAAGTCACTTCACTGTAAGTAATTCAAATAATAAACAGAGGTTCCTTAAGGGAAGGGATACTATATTGGGGCAGAAGGTAAGGATGCATTTGGTTTTATAAGATGGTCATTGTAAGAGGCAAAATTGCATAAAGGTTGTAAGCATATACTTTGGAATCATACAGAACTGGTTAAACCAATTCCTAGTACTATGGCCTTGATCAACTTACTCCCTCTCAATTTCAAAATCCACATTTTCATCTGTCTACCGTGGATAACAACTGTACCTACCACATAATACATAATAATTAAATGAGTTAGTTTAAATAAATTTCTCAGTAGGGTAAGTAGCGCAAAGCATGCCCTATATTATATATTGGCTATAATTATTAATAACATCATCATTTTATGTAAGTGAATTCAGTATATATGATCTGAAAATAATATCTGTGGGAAGTAGTAACTGCTGAACTAAGACAGTGGGCAGTTGAAGAACAGGAATCGGAGAAGAAAAGATTAAGGAGGTAGAACCTATAGGATGTAGGTGGGGAAAACAGATGAGAGGGAGGAGTGATTCACCAAATTAGCCCTTTATAGTAGGAGAAGGAGACTATGGGGAAAAGATGGCGAGTTGCATTTTGGCGGTATTGAATGGGATGTCAACAATGAGCTAAACTGCACTATAAGAAAGCTCACTGGAAGAGAAAAACTTGCCTAACTGTAAAATGAAAAAAAAAATTATAGTATGTGAAAACATATAAATATAGAAGGTACATTTTAAAATAAACACACTGCCCTCAATAGTTTTATTAAAGAAACAAAACCAACACATACATTATTTTCTTTTATTTAATGTTGATTACACTATCAGCACAAAATTGTCACTGTTCCATATAAAAAATACTAACATTATCACTGTCTGTAAGCTATAAGGATAAGAAAAAAGAAAAAAAAATGCTTGGTAAACTGAAATCATCCAAGGTCATTTCTGTGGATATCATACAGGAACAAAGCTTACAGAGCCTAGGGGAATGACAAGTTAATAACAACTCTTTGATAATTCCATAATTGTTAAATTAAAAAATTCTTCATTGTGAATTAAAAGCCAATTATTTACTTTTAGAACACAAATGGACTAAATCATAAGGCAGAAATACGTGTTTATTTTCATGAAAAACAGAGCCATTATCACTACAGGAGTTGGAAGATAAAAACACCTCTAGTTTTCCTGTAACAGAAGTCTCCTCCAAATAACCTTCACACATCCCTTCCAATAAACTGCTTCCTGATGACCTCAACAGTACCATTTCCCCACTCCAGTCATATTCACTTAGCACTGACTAAAAATACAATGTTCAGAATAGCTGTGTACCGGTGAAATGATAAACTGGTAAGTAGAATTATTCAGTTTCAGATGACATAACTGGTTGCTTACGGGTTTGGGGAAGAATTAAAAATCTAAAAATTGCTTCTAGAATCTTTCCCTGAGAGATGATAACAATTTTTAACTGCACCACTCTGCTGCAGCTTTAAAAACATGAGGCACAAAAATACACTTTAATAACCTTAACTAGGAAGCAGGACTACGTAATCTTTGTTCTCTCACCAAATGTTCAATTCCTCATCTCCAGAAAGAGTCTCTGCACTTCGGGTTTCAGATTAAATGCTGACACAGGTGGCTCCATTAAGAGACAAATCAAGAATATGTATAATCCAGATGAAGAGGTTAAAATCCTCTGGACTGCCTTTCAGTCTGACTAAACCTGTAAAATCTATATTTAATAGCTGATTTTCCAGAGATCGAAAGATTTCTTTTTACATATGCCCTTGATGGAATTAATGAGAGGAGAGAAAAGCATATGCTTAAATGCCTGGGGGCAACTATAACAAAGGAAGAAATTACAGTTTATTAACGTAATTCCAGTACTCATAACATATTGCTTGCTCTAAATATCCCCAAAACAACATGCACTACACAATCAAATCTCTGTAACTAATATGCTTATAGACTTTCTGAGGGTGAATTTACTAACTAAATAATGGTCAAAATAATAGCTAACATTCAGACATCTGCTTTTAAAAGAAGCATCCCTTCCACCTGCTTCTACAGGCCACAAAGATACACTCTAGTTAACATATTACTGACAGGATGATGAGAAAGCTCCTGTCAGATGCTGGCCAGCCGGGTGTTTGAGACAAAATGCACAGCCCCAGCTGAATAGTTAGAGAAAGTCTGGTGAGGTACAATTATAGAGGCATATGACAAGGCTTCATGCCTGACTGATTTGAGAACCACTGACATGGCTTTAAACAGCAATCCAACCTACCTATGGTCACAAAACAGCAATAAGTCAACTGATACCCCCTTGTAATATCATGATTTATGCCTCTGCTTTGAATACACGAGAATCTAATATGATGTTCTGCTAGTCTACCAAGATTCGCTTGGGGCTTAAACATCTATGGCCTACCTACAGCATGGATAAAATCAATGTTCTTGTTCAGGATTACCAGAAACCGTTCCATGTGTACTTGACAATGTATAAATCAACAGAATAATGTATGAATCAACAGAATAAAAAAAAACTGATTATATCTCAATTCATTAAACTCAAACATGCAAAAATATAATAATAGGTACTAACACAATACCACACTTTAAAATATAGGGAGAAAACCTATTAGAATGTTGAAAACATAACAATATTCTTGATATCTGTGCTTACATATCTTAATTTTTTTAATTTTAAACTTTTCATCTTTTAAAGGTTAATTTTTTTTTTTTTTGACATAGTCTCACTCTGTCACCCAGGCTGGAGTGCAATGGCGTGATCTCGGTTCACTGCAACCTCCGTCTCCCGGGTTCAAGTGATTCTCTTGCCTCAGCCTCCCGAGTAGCTGGGACTACAGGTGCGTGGTACCATGCCTGGCTAATTTTTGTATTTTTAGTAGAGATGGGGTTTCGCTATGTTGGCCAGGCTGGTCTCGAACTCCTGACCTCAGGTGATCTGCTCACCTCGGCCTCCCAAAGTGCTGGGATTACAGGCGTGAGCCACTGCATCCGGCAAGAAATTATCATTTTTAACCACAAACAGCACCTAAAGAAAAGGAACCTCAAGCTAGCTGATTCTCTAATGAGAGTGTCACCACTAAAACCTACAGCAAGCTGTAAGGTTTATAATTATCATTCTCTTATAACTATGAAAAATCATGATTGTCAAAAAGTAAATAACTGAGACAAAATTTCTAAAACTACAATAGAATTATGAATGTTAGGCCACCTTTACATATATTCCTCTAAAAATTAAGAGTTGGGCTGTATACTTAAAAAATTAAAAATGGATAAAACGTTAATTTCGAACATTAAACACATTATAGTCTCCGTGATATATAAAAATATGAGTATAAAAAGCTTAAAAACAAGTAAATTCATTGATTTTACTTTTAATTTACATAAATTACTTTTAATTTATGTTAAGAAATGAGTCCTTGACCTTAAATGCCACTATGCATGGAATTTATAGCAGATATATTTTATATACTGTATATATAAAAGAATTATTCAAGACAGATTCAAGTAAAGCAGCTTCCTCCATAAAAGAAGACTAAGATCATGAAAGAGAACTTGAATTATGTTTCTTTTATCAGCCCAACGGTCCCAGAGAGTGAACCAAAACAGAGCTGGTAACTTAGAGGTGACATCACCATCAAGTTTTCATGAATTGTCATAAACAGTTGATAATAAATTGACATCAAACATAGAAAACAACTCCCCCAAAATACTAAGCCTTTATGATAACAATTTGTTTTTAAAGCCAAATACTAAGTTAAAAGATAGTAATGTTAATTTTTACTCTAACTGCAGATGTAGACTATTATAAAATTAAATGTAGAGGCCGGGTGCGGTGGCTCACGCCTGTAATCCCAGCACTTTGGGAGGACAAGACGGGTGGATTGCTTGAGGTTAGGAGTTCGAGACCAGCCTGACCAACATAGTGAAACCCCGTCTCTACTAAAAATACAAAAATTAGCTGGTTGTGGTGGCAGGCGCCTGTACTCCTAGCTACTTGGGAGGCTGAGGTAGGAGAATATCTTGAACCTGGAAGGCAGAGGTTAGAGTGAGCCAAGATTGTACCACTGCACTCTAGCCTGGGCAACAAAGTGAGACTCTGTCTCAAAAAAAAAAAAAAATTAAATATAAACTATTATAAAATTATAGCTCATAATTACTAAACATATATTCTATGCAGATATCATTCTAAGCACTTTATATATATGTATTTCCTTAATCTTTACATCAACCCTATGAGATTAAGGCTACTATTGCTCCTACTCTACACTTAAAGAAACTGAGTCAAACAGATTACTTGGTCATTAAGAGGTGGATATAAATTAAATAAAACACCAATATTTTTCAAAAACATATACTCAGATTTATTTCTAATACACAAATACAGTAGCTTATGCTTCACTCACATAGCTTATTCCCTCACTTTCTTTGGATCTCTGCTCAAATACTACCTCACTGAGTTGGGCACAGCGGCGTGTGCCTATAGTCCCAGCTACTTGGAAACCCAAGGCAGGAGGATCCATTGAGCCCAGGAGTTTGAGACCAGCCTGGGCAACATAGCAAGACCCTGTCTCAAAAAAACAAACAAACAAAATACTACCTCATTGGAGAGGCCTTCCTTACATAAAATGGAAACCTGTCCATCACTGTCTACCCTGTAAACCCACTCACTTTATCCATTATGTAACCCTAGCTAATAAATAATTGCTATTTGTTTGCTCACTTGTTTACAAACTGTTTCATGCCAGTCGAATATGGTTAATGTCTAGAAAGTGCCTGGCACATAGTATGTGCCTAATAAACATTTGTTACATGAATTAATCCTGATAAAATTTAGTTCCAAAGCCTATTATACAATCTTTTTAATTTTGAGGACAATATCCATTTAAAAATATCCTTTTTAATCTTAAAAAAAAATCATGTTTAAAAAATGAGGAGGAGGAGCTGGGGAGAAAGAAGAAGAATGTTTCACTTCAATAGTAAGTTAAAAAATAGCAGATAGGCAAATTAAAATATCAAATGAGTCAAACTGAATTTCTTGACATCTCTAAGATGTGTAAGAAAAAAATTACTTGTGTCATTGACTAGCACTTATTCTCTGATATTACTGCATCATTTATCCACCCTTACTCTTTTAAATGCATATATTTTTCAATATGTAAAGTGCATTTTCAACTTTTAGGAGTGAGCATATCAAATTACAATTCAAAATCTCAAAATCGTATTTTTGAGATTTTCGTGAATTATAAATTCATACAAATTATATGTACAATTGTATGTATTTTTTTCAATTGTAGAGTAATGGAAATAACCCAAAAATTAGAATCAAAAGACTCAATTTCACATTATCTGTCTCTAACTAGCTGTTTGGCCTTGAAGTGGTCATTTAATCTCACTGAAAATACCTTTCTCACTGTTAAATGTTAAACAGATATCCTACAGAAATCCTGAAACTCCTTCTACTTTAAATGCTAAAATACAGATTAAGGTTTTTATTTCTACTATAGGAGAAGAAAACATTAAAAATATGGTTTTATTTATCAATTAATCAAATTTGTGAGGAAGAAAATTCATAAAATATTGAATAATAGTTTTTGCTAAATAAATACATCATAGATTATCTAAAACTATATTTAAATTTGTATTTAAAAATTTAAGTTGAAAATATTAAATTTTTGAAGCTTAAATGAGAAAAAAATTATAAAATCTAGCAAAATACTTCTGAATATTTTTCTATGACCCAAGAAAAATCTTTCTCTCCCTGCCTTTACCATATTAATAAAGACCTTCCAAAAGAACATTTTAGTGAATGTCATAAAACCTGTGATTTATAAAAAATGCTACTTTGACTTTTAAGTTATTATCAGCCCAAAGAGCTGCTCTAAATCAAACTATTATACAATCTACTCCCAAACCACTACTTGGCAACAAAGATGAATCTACCTATTACCAGGTTAGGATAGCAGCTATTATCATGGCCCCTTGATTTCTTTCAAGTGGCTCCAATGGAAAAAGCCACAAGTGAATAATAAAAATCTCATAATAGCTCTTAAGAATTCTTTATATGGTAGAAGGCACTAAAATGAACTCTGGAGAGTTAAAAAGAAAAAAAAACTCTCATCTCCTGATAAGAAAAAATAATTAACCTGACTTAATGCATCTGAGAAGGCTTCCTATAAATCAGACTTTTGTACTTCAAGAGCCAGATTAAAACCATACATCAAAAACGTATGTAGATATTGTCTTATAAGTACACATAGCACATTTCTAAATCTGCAAAGGTTTTTAGGTCTTTTTGTGAAACACTCAATACCTGCTACTTAAAAGAAGTGTGAAGTACTTACAGTGCTTAATTTGCTCGAGATAATCACGATGCGCCTTTCATGCAGCATACTGGCATACAGCTGCAGCATGTTGTTCACATCCACGGCAACAAAATATTCTGTAAGATTTCTCTGTACAAGTAAAAGATAATTGTGTAAGTTACAGCTCATAGTGAATGTGAAGAAAAACATTTTACACACTTACCAGAAAGTCTTGAAGTTCAAAGGGTATTATTATTTAAAATGGTATTTATTAAAATAATTAAGTGTAATACTAGTCGGCTGCCACATAAAGTACATAATATTCTATTATTAGTTGAAACATAACCCTACTCAAGGTAAGTATTTGCAGAGGATGATCAGATCACAGATTTCCCAACTTTCTTACCCGCTAAGTATTTGAAAAGAAGCTAATTTCCTGGGACCCAACCTAGAGCTGCTCTGTTGAATTGTCATCTTTAGTGTATGTCCCCAAGAATCTGCTTTTTTTTTTTCTTTTTTGTCACCCAGGCTGGAGTGCAGTGGTGAGATCTTGGCTCATTGCAACCTCCGCCTCCCGGGTTCAGGTGATTTTCGTGCTTCAGCCACCAGAGTAGCTAGGATTACAGGTGCACGCCACCACATCCGGCTAATTTTTGTATTTTTAGTAGAGAGATGGGGTTTCACCATGTTGGCCGGGTTGGTCTCGAACTCCTGACCTCAGATGATCTGCCCACCTCGGCCTCCCAAGTTCTGGGATTACAGGCATGAGACACCACACCTGGCCAAGAATCTGTTTTGTAAACAAATACTTCTGGTGATTCTTATATACACTGATCCTTCAGAAACCGCTGCCCCAGACAATACATTTGAGTCTTTTCATGTTTGCCATTCACTATGCAGGCACAATCATCATCTGATACGACACAGCATGCACAACGTACCCAAAGGATGAGGTGAATTTATAAAACAGCCCTTTGGTACTTTATTAAGGAAATTACCTTGTTTATACTTCATGTCACGCTTGCTTTATATCCACTATAATCAAATATAATTTGATGATGTTCTAAATTGATTCCTTAATTTAGCACTCTTATCCCCCACATGAGAATGAAACTGGGATAAGCTACTACATTAACTTTGACTTTTAGATCTTCTCCTTTCTTATTATTTATTTTTAATTTTCTATAATGAAACAAATACATCAGAAAGCAACAAACTAATTAAGGGATTCAACAAGATATAACAAACAAAAACTGTAGCATCAGGTGGGCTATGACCTAGTAGGCTAAAACTTCTAGTCAGGCAAGAATGTAAGAAATCCAATTACTTCTTCAATTTCCGGAAGATAGAAACTTTACCATCACAAATTGGTAATCATGATAGAGCACATCAATAGAACCTGTAACTATCAGTGGGTGATGTTGAATTTGGTGGGAAGAGGTTTATTTCGTGCTTTCTCACCTTCCAATTCAACTCTCCATATAAAAATTCAAGTTATTCAAGATTAGTATATTTCCTATAATCTAAAAGAAAGGTAATTTTTAGATGGGGAATTATTTCTCAGCATAGAGTGCTGCCTTATGCTTATTCTCTTGCTTTCTTTTCCCTAAACAGGACTTTCTGCAAAATAAAACATGTTAATAGACAAGTAAAAATACATATTCTCAGTGGCAGTTTTTCCTTTGAATGTTTGTTTCCTTGAAACTTTCAAAGTAATCATCTTTTTTAAAATGTGACATTTGTTAAATCAAGTTATTAGTTGTTTGTTAGTAAACATAAGAGAAAGGTAAATAGGAGAGAGAGTAGACGGAAGCAAATTTGACTTTGAAACCCTGAAGTGAAGGGACAAGGGTCATATAAGTCAAGACATGGTCAGTCAGCCTTAAAGAAAACATTAACAAGGAGTACCTGGCCTACAGTGTACAGCAGTCAATACTTTAGGATCCATTATGTCACCTGAGAGCTTTGATTATCTATCTCAGGCCCATACGAGCAACTTGATGCAAAGCTTTTCATAAGGGTTTTTTGGATCCATCTGTACTGAAAACACCATCGACAGTCTTGGTTTGGTATCAGAAAATTTACTATTGGCTTCTTGGACTTCCTTCACTACCTACATGCTTTTGGAAACCAAACACTCAGTAGGTTTGAAAACATTTGGAAAAACACTAGAATCCCAAAGTAAATAATAAGTATATATTGAAATACTTTTTTCCTGTTGATTTTTCCTTTACTTTTGATTGAGTTATTCCTACTGATTCATTTTAACTTTCCAAGGGAAGCTGAAGAAAAATTACGTAAGGGAATACTTCATTTTCACATAGTTATCCAAAATCATAAAAGCATATTTGTTACTTCTACTTGTCTATGTAAACATTTCTACAAAATACTAATGTGTAATAACTATTAAAATACTGAAAATAGTTCTAGTATGGCTAGAATTAGGACTCTAAATAAAATGAAAATTTTAGCAATTTTTAAAATTTCTTACAATAGCCATCAAACCTTGCAAGATATGTATTGCTTTAAATTAAAATCAGGAAATTAAGAACAGTTCATCTACGATTTGAAGCATTATATACAAGGAATATAAAATACTATGTCAATTTCACTAAAATAATGATTTGTGTGAAGACATTTCCCATTGCTAGAATTCTTCTCCACAAGTAGAAGCCATCTCCTGAGGTATCTCTTCTATCATATACAGTGAAGCTGAAGACCTAATTGAATATATATATGATCCTACCTAATTACTACAAATGATAGAAATAGTTTTCCTTATATTATTGTCCTTAATTTTCCTTATCCACAACCAGATATTAAGAAGAAGGTAAAGGGGCAGATATATAAAGAAGAAAAGAAAATAATATCTTTATTTCTTATTTCTTCATTATTTCTCACAAACACAGATAATTACAATGTATCCTATTTCTCTATATAAAAACGCATAAACAGTGAGACCAAAATAAACAAAATTAATAATATAAGAATAATTAAAGTAGAAAATAGGAAACTTACACTCTCGGGTATTGTTGGGAGTCCAGTTACATCAGGGGCAATGAAGTAGGAATGCTAATCAATACAAATAAATCACATATGAAAAAGATAATTAAAACTGGTAACATATAATTTGTAATGAAAATCAGAAAAAAATATATTGAGTAAATTAAAAAATGCCATGGACTGACATTCAGGATTTGTTGAATTTGAGAGATTCTTAAATGAGTTAGCGGGTTTATATGAGATTTAACAATTACATTGCCATACAAAAAGTTAAGACTTGGTTAAAAATATTTGACCCTAAAATTAAAATTAAAATAGGGAAAAAATGTTAAGGCAAAAAAAGAGTATATTGCTGAAAGGTTTATTTTGTACATATATACATATACACGTATGTGTATATATACAGTATATAGAGACATACACACCTATACATACATATAAACATATATATTATTAAAACACATTTAGTTGAGGTGGACTGGAAAAATTAAAGCTTGCTAACCAAATATATCAAAATCTACTAAGATTCCTGGGCTGGGTTTCTATGGTAAGTCACAAGAAATCTCTTTTGTAAACATCAACCACCCTATTATTTAGCAAATAGCAATAAAGCATAATTTTTCAATGTTTAAAATTTCTTAAACACGTAGTAATCCCAAAATATGATTGTTACACATCTGCCAAATATTAATTAGCTTCTATAATGTTCAAAGAAGTAAAACAGTTCATCAGAATACTTACATAAAGAATACATTGTGTATATATGCCTTCATGTTTCCCACAATGTTCCCAAATTTTACCACCCAGAATCAAAGTGCAATTTAATCATCAAAAGTTTTATTTTCTGTTCATATTAATCTCCAAAATTATTTAATATCTGAATCACATAAGGACATATTTAATAATATCTTATTATTAATGATTAGAAAAGAAACATTTTAGCCAATATTTGAGCACAGTTGAACTAGTCAGAACAAGGATAGTTAACACAGTCATAATCTATAATTTTCCAGGGTAGAAGAACAATAGGAGATAAATCACAAGATCTTTTGTGATCTTGGGACCAAAAAATGTGACAAATCTTGTGCTGTGAATATACTTTAAAATTACTACTACTGAAAATGGAGAATATGCAAAGATTTCGGTCTCTATAACCTACTTTTATTTGGAATAGTTTTTAATAGTACTATATTTCATAAAACTATGCTTTAAAAGATAGTATAAACAGAAAATATTATATATTCCAAATGATTAATTTTCTTAAGAGTCAAATTCACCATTTCCCAAAGGGCTGGAGTGAAGCTTAAAGGCATAGTGAAATAAGTGATTATTTTTCCTATTTAATAGTGATTTTTAGAAGCCAATGTCCTTTTAACTCACCGGTACTAGAGCAGGCTGATCTTTCAGAACTTGCTCACAGGCAATAAATATCTCTTGGTTCTTATAATACATGAGAGAAAAAAATGAATATTTTACTTTCATGGGAGAAGCTTACACAACAATTTGCTGTGTAATTGAGACAAACCCATGTAGCCAAGTTAGCCACTAAAAAATACTTGAATAATACTAATTATAAGTATTATTTTAAATGCTGATTTGCTAATTTTATGCTAGAAAAATCCTAATGAAAGTATTTTCATATTACAAGAGTAGAGAATGCTGTGGATATTTGACGATTTTGAAATGTTTCAAAAAAAAGCATTCTCATTAGACATTAACTTTTTATAAAAATCTCTGATTACTAATGGCCATTATCCACTTGTACAGGAACAAAAACTTACATAATCATCCATTTTAATCTTACATCATAAAACTAAAATCTCCTCTAGTAGCTGAAGATAAGTGTCCTAGTCCCAAATTTGTCACTTATTTAACAGTATAACACTAAATACAGTACTTTAGGAGTCTGTTATTGAAATCAAATGCAATTAATAATTCATAGTAAACAAACATTAACAGCTGATTTTATCAATACTTAAGATATTATAACTAGGCCAGATGCAGTGGCTCACGCCTGTAATCCCAGCACTTTGGGAGGCCAAGGCGGGCAGAATACCTGAGGTCAGGAGTTTGAGACCAGCCTGACCAGCATGGTGAAACCCCATCTCTACTAAAAATACAAAATTAGCCCGGTTTGGTGGTGGGCGCCTGTAATTCCAGCTACTCAGGAGGCCAAGGCAGGAGAATCACTCAAAACTGGAGGCAGAGTTTGCACTGAGCTGAGATCACGCCATTGTTTTCCAACCTGGGCAACAAGAGCGAAACTCCACTTCAAAAAAAAAAAAAAAAAGATATTATAACTTTAAAATAGGTATACAAGACTTGAAACTATAAGACTATTAATTCAAGTGTGTATAAGAAGGCTTAATTATGAAAATAACTATTATACATAGGAACAGAACACAGCCACTCAAATTCCTTTGACAAGATTATTTCAGCTACAATTTAGCTATTTCAGAAGAAAGTATTTTCTCCATATGAGATGAAACTTCAATTTGCTACCAACCAACACCTGAATAGCTCTTCACAGTATATCTAGATATATCATTTTATTTGATTACCAAAACAACTTTCTCAAAAGTTGACATGCTCAATTTCTCAAATGGAAAAAAAAGGATCATCTAAAGAGATTAACTTTCTTGACTAACATTACACACTTAGTGACTGTAACTTAACCCAAAATCTTCTAATCCTAGGTAAAAAGGGGTAGAAATCTTTAATTTATGGTTCTTATTAATAAAGATGAAGTGTTTCAATAGCTGGTTTTTTTGAGATGTACTTTTGTATTTATTTACCCCTGAGCAAATATGATACTCAAATTTAAAGGGAGAACACATTTGTATTTCTCATTAATGCCACCTCCATTGTCTTAGCACCTTTATTTTCCTTAACTCTTTAAGAGTGTTAGAATAACTTTATAAATATAACACTTTCAAAGAGAAATTACCATTTTTTGGAAAATCCCAGGCTCTTCTTTATTCTCCTTGACCTTTCCCTTGGTCTTTCTATTGTATTTCCACTGACCATAAACCTTGGATTCTTTGGGCATCAATGACCTACAAGTCTAAGTTTCTCCTTAACTGCTCTTTCCCCCAATTCTTTCACTGGATCTCCTTTCCTTTTCCCTATAGCCTATTTGGGCAATTAGAACTTAGCCTCTGCTCTGTGCTCTTCTATATTTTATCCTTTAAATAGCTACAATGATGTCTGCTGCTGACTCCCAAATTTGGGTTAAAAATTCCAGGTTATCCTTAGTTTTTTATCACCCAGTCTACAAATGACTATTAAACCTTTCCACTTTGACAGTGTGCAACAAAAGAAGATGCAAACATAAAGCAGCAGAGAGGGTCACAGGAAAGAAAAAACACTGCATTAAGTTGTATGACAAGAGGTTTCACAAAGTTGAAGACTGAGCAAGTTCTAGACTAACAACACATAGTCAACAAAGAGGCTTTAGTCCAAAAGGAAAGCATGATGTTCATTCAAGAAGCTGAACAAAACAATGTGACCAGAATAGAGGAGGAAAATTAAAAGTTGGATTGAATCTAAGAAATGGATGGTCCTGAAAGCCTGGCCAACGTTTTAACAAATTCTATAGAAAATGGGGAGCTACGAAAGGTTTTCAGCAGGGGACTTTATATAGCTTAAGTAACTTTCATCTGACAGTCTTTTGTAGAAATGACTGGAAGGAGAGAGGCTCTAGACTAAGAACTCTTTGAAGTACTAAGCACCAGAACTAAGGTGCTAACCACCTTAGTCTACTACTAATAGTAGTGGTTAAAGAATGGAATAATGTAAGAGAACACTACTATCACATGAAATCACAGGATGAAATTTGCTCAAGACACATGGACCAATGGAACAGAATAGAGAACCCAGAAATAAACCCAAATACTAACAGCCAACTGATCTTCGACAAAGCAAACAAAAACATAAAGCAGAGAAATGACACTCTTTTCAACAAATGGTGCTGGGATAATTGGCTAGCCACATGTAGGAGAATGAAACTGGATCCTCATCTCTCAGCTTATACAAAAAGCAACTCAAGATTGATCAAGGACTTAAATCTAAGATCTGAAACTATAAAACTTCTAGAATAAAACACTGGAAAAACCCTTCTAGACATTGGCTTAGGCAAGGATCTCATGACCAAGAAACCAAAAGCAAATGCAATGAAAACAAAGATAAATAGTTGGGACTTAATTAAGCTAAAGAGCTTTTGCAGGGCAAAAGGTACAGTAAGCAGAGTAAACAGACAACACATAGAATGGGAGAAAATCTCACAGTCTATACATCTGATGTTCAGAATCTACAATAAATTCAAACAAATCAGTAAAAATAAACAATCCCATTAAAAAGTGAGCTAAGGACATGAATAGACATTTCTCAAAAGAATATATTCAAATGGCCAACAAACATGAAAAAAAAGCTTAACATCACTAATGAATCAGGGAAATGCAACTCAAAACCACAATGTGATACTACCTTACTTTTGCAAGAATGGCCATAATCAAAAAATCAAAATACTTTTGTAAACATCAGCCACCATATTATTTAGCAAACAGCAATAAAACATAATTATTCAATGTTTAAAACTTCTTACACATGTAGGTATCCCAAAATATGATCCTCACACATCTACTAAACAAATATTAAACTGATCACCTGATCACCGCATCCCACGTCAATAGTAGATGTTGGCCTGGATGCGGTGATCAAAGAACACTTCTACACTGCTGGTGGGAATGCAAACTAGTACAGCCACTATGAAAAAACAGTGTTGAGATTCCTTAAAGAACTAAAAGTAGAACTACCATCTGATCTAGCAATCCCAGTACTGGGTATCTATCAAGAGGAAAAAAGTCATTACATGAAAAACATACTTGCACACACACGTTTATAGCAGCACAATTCACAACTGCAAAATCGTGGAATCAACCCAAATGCCCAGTAATCAACAAGTGGATAAAGAAACTGCAGTATATATATATGATGGAATACTACTCAGCCGTAAAAAGGAATGAATTAACAGCATTTGCAGCGACCTGGATGAGACTGAAGACTATTATTCTAAGTGAAGTGCCTCAGGAATGGAAAAATCAAATATCGTATGTTCTCACTGATATGCGGGAGCTAAGCTATGAGGACGCAAAAGCATAAGAATGATATAATGGACTTTGGAGACTTGGGGAGAAGAGTGGGAGGGAGGGTAAGGGATAAAAGACTACGAATATGGTGTAGTGTATACTGCTAGAGTGATGGGTGCACCAAAATATCACAAATCACCACTAAAGAACTTACTCATGTAACCAAATACCACCTGTACCCCAATAACTTATGGAAAAATTAAAAAATTAATTAATTTTTAAAAAGAAGAAAGTTATTACCAAAGAAAATACAATAAAGATAACAACTTCCCTGTCTCATAAAAACACAAAAGACTTATATATACTTTGAGTTAGCTTTCCTCTCATTTTCTCTTGCGACATTATATTTTTTATTCTTTATTAGGAAAAGTTTATTATTTTAGAAGAAACAAAATTAATATAAATAAATTTTAATAGTCTAGCCCATATGCCAAAACCATGAAGAAATTAATAAAAAATCCATATTTTATGATTTTGAACTTTAAGCATTTACAAAAACTCCCAAAACATGAGTGTTTTTAGATATAGATGGTACACTTCGTTAAAAGTTTCAATAGTACAATAAATAATCTATCCCATCACAGGCTTGTTGTCTGACAAACAAAAATTCAATCATATTTCCAGTATTTTGTGATTATACTAGAAGACATATTACTGTATAGGGAAAACAGATGAAACTTTTCACCCAGAATTTTTATCACATATTTATATGTTATATGTCATTTTCTATTCTTACTAAGTACCGTTTTCATTTTAGGAGGGTTATTAAGCATGTGTGTATATTCCTTTATTATGCACGGATTTCACCTGAAAATCAATGCTTCTTTTTTTTTTTTTTTTTTTTTTTTTTTTGAGACTGAGTCTCACTCTGTCACCCAGGCTGGAGTGCAGTAACACGATCTCGGCTCACTGCAAGCTCCGCCTCCCGGGTTCACGCCATTCTCCTGCCTCAGCCTCCTGAGTAGCTGGGACTACAGGCGCCTGCCACCACGCCCGGCTAATTTTTTGTATTTTTAGTAGAGATGGGGTTTCACCGTGTTAGCCAAGATGGTCTCGATCTCCTGACCTTGTGATCCACCTGCCTCAGCCTCCCAAAGTGCTGGGATTACACTAGCATGAGCCACCGGGCCCAGCCAAATCAATGTTTCTTAAAAATGAAATATCCTCATAGATTTGGTTACTTTTAGTTTACAATAAAATTTTTTAAATTCAACACACCTGATATATGAAGTTATGATAGTTACAGCATGTTAAAAAGACACAATATTATCACCTTGTTATGTTAGTACTAGCAATGAAGTCTTCCTGGAAGCAGAGATGACTTGGTAAAGAATTGCCTGAAGGTACACGTGCTCTTAACGAAATTGAGACATAGCTATGACTCCCAAAAACAATTACTGATTGAATACTTACCACACTCAAATTTACAGGAGTATTTGCCTTTGGTACTGGGTGGTTATACAGTGATCTGAGAGTTTCATTCAAATCATTTTCCTAGGGCAAAAGAAAAAGTACATTTTATAAATAAAACATATACCAAGCAACTGCAATTAAAACTATTTGATAAAATAATCTACTATGGCTTTTCATATTAGACATATTTTATATAAATGTTTTCCACAGAAACATTTCAAATACCTGAAATTCAAATATTTGAGTCTAAAAATATGAAAACATATTTAAATCCCTTTATCCAGAAGAATAATGGCAATATTTCTATTTAGTATAAACATGTATTTGAAAAACTTAATTATTATAAAATATACTAATGCTATAAAAGTAAATTATCTAAATCATTAAATCCAATAAGAACTGGATTGAATAAAAATAGTAATACAACTTTTTATCAGATCACAGAGTACTCTTATTTTCCATTTCATTTTAAAATCCCAAAGCAATTTTTAAGGAATAGAAACAATTTAAGTAAGATTATTTCACTGAAGTGCAATGTAGAGGTTATTCTAAATATTTCTTTTCTACATTGCTACTGGTCACTACTTGACCCACAATAAATGGGATTAAATAAAACATACAACAAATCTACTTCATAGGATTTGTATAATAATAATGTGCCTTGATGTGCACCCTCAATTTTTCTGCATCACATACTACAAATCCAGTAATAAATATACAAAGATTTTTATAGACATAATTATCCTTATTCTCTATTTTCATATTGGAAAGAATAAATCAAAGGAAAAGGCAATTGTTCAGAGAAGTTAGCAATTTTAATAAGTTTGGATACGAGATATAGACTTCTCACGATCTTTCTTATGCCTTGTCTATCCACTTATACCAAAACTTAATAAATCAGAACTCTGTAACTACTTTCAAAAGTATTCATTCAAAACTACCTATTTGAAGTACTCTTCAGAATGACATAAAAAGAACAAAAACAATGTATTTCTTGATCATTTAAACAACGAAATGTATCAGAGAATACTGTAGATAATACCATTCCCCTTTGTAAAAGAGGCTCATATGGTTGTTTTAGAATTACCTTGTGCAAGGACTGCAAAATAAACAATTTACCTCTTGGACTTTTAAACAATGAAGTATACCATAGAAAATTGTGGCTCATATTGATATTCTGTTTATACAAAGTTCTTATAGGTATAAAAATTTTTAGACTAGCTTTTAAAAATTCTTTGCACTTTCTTACATTGATCAAGTAAGGATAACTTGAACTGTAAAAGTTACTTAAATAACCTATGGCACTGAATTAGAAATGAACAGAAAAAAGTACTACAATTACAGATTTATTTCTGGTTTAATTAATGCTATAAACTTATTTCTTCCTCAAATAAGGAACACAAATGGAGCCTCCCCTATTTCCTCTTCTCAGAAAGCCAAAATTATATAAATTTTCTCATAGCTATTTTCTTTTATGTATTCCAGTATTACTGATGGTTTCAGGAAAAAAAAAGATACACACTATGGAGATAATAATAATTTATCAGTAAGAGTTACTAAAAGTTACTAAATAAAGGAAAAGTATTCAAAATTTGGACAACTAATATAATTAATGTGAATTCCACATGTACATTCACAAAAACAAAGAACAAGAAATTATCACGAATAATTTAACCAGAATTCTGGTTTTGACTTTTCATTGCAAAAAAATAAATAGTAGTATTTCCACTTATTTTCTTAGGCAAGTGAATGTCTGTACAGCTTCAACATAAAATTATTCAACTGTAAAATGATGTTAAGATATACTTCATAGAATTAAGCAATCAAATATATACAGAAAAATATTTACATGCACAAACACATACACATAAACAACTAGACTTTTGACAAACATTAAAACTTGCAATTACATTATAAAAAATTGGTTGACAATTTTAGAAGAGTAAAAGGACTACCTTAATTTATTAATAACACATTTAAATCCTATTTATATAAATAATACCTCCCTTACTTTCCAAGTGACAGAACTGATTATCTGACTGATAAACACTGTACTTTAATCAAAGTCACAAGGATATTAGAAAATATAACTTAGGCCGGGAGTGGTGGCTCCCGCCTGTAATCCCCAGCACTTTGGGGGGCTGAGGTGGGTGGATCAAGAGGTCAGGAGTTTGAGATCAGCCTGGCCAATACAGTGAAACCGCGTCTCTACTAAAAATATAAAAATTATCCAGGCGTGGTGGTGCATGCCTGTAGTCCCATCTACTTGGGAGAGTGAGGCAGAAGAATCTCTTGAACCTGGGAGGTGGAGGTTGCAGCGAGCCGAGATCGCACCACTGCCCTTCAGCCTGGGCGACAGAGCGTGACTCCGTCTCAAAAAAAAAAAAAGAATTTAAATCCAGGATTTCAGGGTTCAATCAAACCACATTGCCAAAAGTCCAGTTACCTTTGTATTACCAATACTGCATTAAGCTTCCTGGGAACATTTATAAAGATTTTAATTCTAAGGTGACTATACTCACCTTTACTTGCGACCACCACCACTTAAGGCAAATGAAGGATTTCAGCTGATTTATCAAAATCATTAATTTTTATTCTTACAAGCTTATTTTCAAATATAGTCTGCATCCATGTTTAACATAGTGCCTGTTTCACCATACTGGGCAGACAGAAATGTCTATACCATTTTAGCTGAACTGTATCTACCAAAGCTATATAATTTTTAAAAATTAAATAAAAATTCAAAATACTATGCCCAGGAGGATATTTTGCTCCAGACTCAGTCAACAGAAGTTTTAAAACAATATAAAGAAATAAATGATTGTATACTGAAAAGCTGAAAACAAGCTTTTCCTATGGAAAAATTTAGAGTGAGGAAAATAACATTCTGTCTTACTATATTCCTATTTTAAAAATTCCATCAACAATTTTGTCTATCATTGACGTTAAAGCATGGGCACACAGAATCCAGTGAACAAAAAAGTCACAATAGCTGGATATTAGTTTCTACAATTATAAAATGGAGAGCCAAAAACTGAATATTAGAAACTTTCTAACGTATTTTTACTTATTCTACACCTTTTGACTCAATATCTATTTGCTATGGGAGACACAGAGATAGAACAGTTCCAATTCTCAATTATTACTTTAGTTGTGTAGACACAGAGTTACAACCCAGTGTAAATGCTCTTGAAACCTACAGAAAGCATCACCTAACTTAACCTGGAGAGTCAGGAAAAGTCTCTAGAGAAGTACTTGTGCTGAAATTAGGTTTGTTTCAAAAGATAGCTACATTAACTTTTTTTTTTTTTTTTTGAGACGGAGTCTCGCTCTGTCGCCCAGGCTGGAGTGCGCTGGCGCGATCTGCGCTCACTGCAAGCTCCGCCTCCCGGGTTCATGCCATTCTCCTGCCTCAGCCTCCTGAGTAGCTGGGACTACAGGCGCCCGCCACCACACCCGGCTAATTTTTTTGTATTTTTAGTAGAGACGGGGTTTCACTGTGTGAGCCAGGATGGTCTCGATCTCCTGACCTCGTGATCCGCCCGCCTCGGCCTCCCAAAGTGCTGGGATTACAGGTGTGAGCCACCGCGCCCGGCCCATTAACTCTTAAAAGATAAGTGTTCTACCAGTAACAATTAGTGAGTGGTCTGTAATCTATCACAACTGTATAGAGTTATGTTCTGGGAACTTTAAGTGGCTCAAAATAATTAGATAGTACATTATGTGCAGCAGATGAGTGGGAGCAGATTAATTTGAAGAGAAGGTCAGAAGCCAGATCATAAAGTTATTATATGTCATGCTGCATACAAGTTTAAATTTTATTCTAAGAAAAAGAGGAGACTATGAAGCGATTGTAAGCAGTGGAATAAAATCAGTTTTCAGAAAGTTCATCTTGAAGAGAAAAGAGTCTTCAAGACTCTTTTCATCTCTTCAGACAAAGAGTGTGTCTGAAATACCCATAAATAGTATCTAGAGAAAAGAGAACCAAGAATATAACATAAATAACACCAAAATTTTAGGTGTAGATGGACAAAAAAGGCCCAAAAGAGAAGGTGAGGACATAAGTAAAACAAAGAAAAGACAATGTCAGGAAAATCCAGAAAAACACAATGTCAAGAGTGACAGAGTACCAAATAAGAATTTAAACAGATAACCAGAGAATGGAAAGTACACCCTAAATGTAAAAATTAATAGACAATAGACAATTATAAAGAATTTTTAAAACACATTTTATTTCAATTAAATTGTATCAAATAGCATAGCTAATATTTTAGTAAATTAGCTCTTGTTAAAAACATCAAAGAATGGCCAGGCTTGGTAGATGGGAAGCAGAGGCAGGAAGATCCCTTGAGGCCAAGAATTTGAGACCAGCCTAAGCAACATAGTGAGACTCTATCTGTACAAAAAAAAATTAAAAAATTAGCTATTTGTGGTGGCACACACCCATAGTTCCAGCTAATTGGGAGACTGAGGTGAGTGGATTGCTTGATCCTAGGAGGCTGAGGCTGCAGTGAGTGATGATTGTACCACAGTGCTCCACCTCTGGGCAACAGAGCAAGACTCTGTCTCCAAAAAAAATTTAAAAAAAAAATCAAAGATTAAGGGAAAAAAAAATTAAAATCATTATCCCATAGAATTTTGTTCATTCAAAAGCAAACTACAGTTTTAATTTTATTTTTTAAGAAAAGCATAAAGACTTTTATTGAGAGCTAAAACTATAAAATTCTTAGAAGAAAACATATGAAGAAAGCTTTGAAAGACTGGATTTGGAAAAGATTTCTTGGATATGACACCAAAAGCACAGGCAACAAAAGACAAAAACTAGATAAATTGGACTTCATTAAAATTAAAAACTTTTGTGCATCAAACAATACTATCAAAAGAACAAAAAGGCAGGCAAACCATAGATTGGGATAGAATACTCGCAAATCATCTATCTAATAAGAAATGAATATTTGAATATATGAAGGACTCTTACGATTCAACAACAAAAAACGCAACATGATTTAAAAATGGGCAAAGGACTTGAACAGACCTTCTACAACTTTTGACTCAATACCTATTTGCTATTGAGACACAGATAAAAGAGTTCCAACAAGTACTTCTCTAGAGACTTTTCCTGACTCTCCAGGTTGACTTAGGTGATGCTTGCTGTGTTCCCAGAGCATTTATCCCAGGTTGTAATTTTCTGTCTGCACAATTAAAGACCTTCTCCAAAGAAGCTATAAAAATGGCAAGTAAATGTCCAATATCACTAACCATTAAGGAAATGCAAATTAAAACCACAACAATACACCACTTTGCACATACATTACAAAACTATTAACCAAAAAAGAAAAGAAAAGAAAAGAGCGAGTATTGGCAAGATTGTGAGGGAAACGGAACCCTTGTACATTACTGATGGGAATGAAAAATGTGGACACTGTGGAAAATGTGGACACTGTGGAAAATGCTCTCATGATTCCTCAAAAAATTAAATGCAGAATTATCTTACTACCCAGTAATTCCACTTTTAGGTATATACCCAAAAGGATTGAACCCAAGGGCTGGAACATTATTTGTACAAACATTTTCATAGCTATATTATTCACAATAGCCAAAAAGTAGAGGAAGCACCCCCAGTGTCCATTGACAGAAGAATGAATGAACAAACTGGGGTGTATTGATATTCAGTCTTAAAAAGAAAAAAATTCTGACACATGCTGCAACATGGATGAATCTTGAAGACATTATGCTAAATGAAATAAGCCAGTCACTTGGCAAATAAGGACAAATACTGTGTGAGTCCACTTATATGAGATACATAGACTATTCAGATTCATACAGATGATACAATGGTGGTTGCCAGGGATGGTAAGGGTTGGGGAGGAATGAGTAGATACTGTTTAATGGATACAGACAGAGTTTTAGACTGGCAAGGAAAAAAGATGTATGGTATTGATGATTGCAGATCAACATTAATGTACTTAATGTCACAAAACTATACACTTAAAAATGGTTAAAATGGTAAGTTTTGTGTTATAAGTATTTTACCACAATTTAAAAATGGGGAAAAAATAGCTTACCAGTTCCTTAGCCAAGTAATCTGCAAGAGTATTTAGAAGCTTGTAATACACTTCAAACCAGGGAAGGTAACTGTAAAATAATTATTTTAAAATGTATATACATAAAATTCAGAATCAGAAAACAGACAATATAAACATTTAATTCATATTAATTCAAACAGGTTAATCCTGGAGGTCAAAAAAGAACTATACCCATTTTCTTTACTTTTTCAGCAAAGTTTTACATATTATTTATTACTAGTTTTCATAAAACAAATCAGAATCTAGAGTTCTATTTAAAAAGCTGTTCATTACATACTTCTATTTTACATCAGCAATATTTAAAATTATTTTCATGGTATTCAATAAAAGCATGCATAAGATAAAAATTAACCACTGTAAAAAAATCATATAAAAACTAGTTTTAAAAAGCTTTTAAAACAAAAGATATCAAAAATATCTCCTTTTAATATGTTACTGGAGTATATAATACAACAAAACTATGTGTTTTTCAATTCTTCAGAAATGATGTTTAAGAATGATGGCAAATTTCAAAATAACTCAATACACATATCAAAAAGACTATTCTAAAAATTATAAAAAATTTTAAATGACTTTTATATATCAAAACCAAATATAATTCAAAATTTAATTCATTGTACTAGATAAAACTATAATTTTTATGATAGCAAAATATTAAATCCAAAAATCATTTATATAAAACAAAATCTATATTCCTTATTAAAAATTAAAATAGTATATTTTTTAATGTCTAAAGATTTTAATGTTAAACTGTACACTTTTCATGTAGAATAAGAGGAAATCACAAAATACACTGTTGTTAATTATCAATTGACAAATACTCAAGACTTTTCTTCAAAGCATTAATACAACATGCTACTTTTAAGAGAAAATATTGTGATGCTTTTACTACATAATTGTACACAGATTAATAGTACATACACATAACATGTAAAATTTAAAAATCAGTAAGTAGAACGTAAAAAAAGAATTCTAACAGGATTTTTTTTCATATAATGTCTGATTTGTTAGTGACTATGAATGATGCCATTTGAATCAGAAACTGAAAGTAGTAATAAAAGAGGAATTTAGGTAAACTACAGTATCTTTACTCAGCAGAATGTTATAGCGTTATTTAAAATGATAATTACAAATACTACGTAATGATATGAAAACTGATATGATACTTTAAAATATCTACCCAACTCTGGTTAAATCTAACATATTGACTGTATGTAATTATCTCTGTGTCCTCTGGAAATAACTCCAAAATGACAATAAATGAATAAAAAGGGTATATATTAATGAATACAAGCAAAATGGAGGAAAAAACAATAGCAATGCAGGTGGATGACTTTGTAAATATGGTAAGCAGAAAGATAACTAACAGCAGAAAAGAGTAAACCAAAACCTAAATGCCATTAGAAAGGAAAAGGACCAGCAGAAGTGCTCCCTAAAGAGTTCTGAAACACTGATTTAACAGTATCTCAAAGAAAAAAGCCCCTCGAAGTCCTATTTTCTTGGAATGAAACCCACTACTATACATGCAATGTTTCCAAATCAGTTTAATACCTTCCTTTTGAATACAAATTAATAGCCAACCACCAGATATTTGAGGAAACACAAATACAAAATGTTTATATTGAACATAAAAGGAACTACAAGTAAATATAGACAATACAAACAGCTGAAGAGAACTCCAAAACTTATATTTAATATCCTTAGGAGCTGAATTAAGAGCAGGAAGCTATTAAAAAAAAACTAAACTTTTCTAAAAAGTAAAGATAGAAAGTTTTAGACAGGAAGAAAGAGCTTTAAGAAATTCTAAAGTCAGAAAAAAATTAAAGTCAATAGAAAGTTTAGATGATAACTCCAGAAAATCTCCCAGAAACTAGAATAAAAAGATAAACAACGCTTGTAAGTTCTATTCCTAGGTATTTTATTATCTTTGTAGCAGCAAACCACCATGGCATGTGTATACCTATGTAACAAACCTGCATGTTCTGCACATGTATCCCAGAACTTAAAGTATAATAAATAATAATAATTTATGTTCATAACAAAAAAGATAAATAATAAGAGAAAAATATTACACTATCAGGCCATCAATCTCAACTATCATATAGCTATAGTCATTCCATAAAGAAAAAATAGAGGAAAGAAATGAATGAAAGTTTCATTTTAAAGAATGACTGGAAATTTTCCCAGAACTTCAGACATGAGTCTCCAGACTGAAAGAATGAGTGAATGAACAGCACAAAGAATGTTCCAAACCAGAGTATCACTGTGAAATTCCAAAACAAGGGATAGAAGAGTGCCTAAGAGTTTCCAAAGAGACAAAACAAGTAACAAAGGGATCAAGTTCAAAAATGTCATCAAACCTCTCAACAGCAATAAGGAAAGTTAGAAGATAATGCCTTCAAAATACAAAGGTTAAATTCTTTGCACTCAAGACTTCTATGTCCAGACAAACTATCAATAAAGTGTGAGAACAGATTAACAGCATTTTCAGTCAGGCAAGGACTCAAAACTTCACCTCCTAAGACATCCTAAAGGATGGCTAAAATAAAATAAAGGAGATGAAAAAGAAGGAATACACGGATGTAGGAGGCAAGAAATCTAAGACCATGGAAGAACAGTTGTGCAAAGGCCTCGAGAGCAACCAGCCCAGACTGAATCAGGAATGAAGGCTCTAGGAGGGAGATGCTGGAACGGGGTGTTTACAATAAGCATATTGACAACTTTGCCTGGAAGCCTGGAAAAATCTGGACAGGTATGTGACACATCTGTGACAGTTTTTGGGGAATCTAAAAATTAGAAATTACTATTGGTAATCTCAATTTTCCTACTTAAATTACTTAACTCTTCAAGCCCCAGTGCTTAGATCGCTATTTTACTATGTGTATCTTCCACTTACAAATAAAACCCTTAAAAATTACTAATACTTTTATAATACTAACTAAATATAATGCAAATCAGCACATCATAGTTTCTGCATTCACTATAACTCAAAGAAATAGTTTTCATGGCAAATTTCCTTCCACCAAGACACATAATCCTTAGTTAGAGCCTAATTGCTTTCATTTGTAGTCATTTCAAACTCACATTTCAACTTTTAATAGCCTGAAGAAATTGCTATTTCCAGACAATTTCAATGTGTCATGTAGTTCAGACCTAAAAATTCAGATGAGACCTAATCTATTCAAAGAACATGCTGGTCTGTTTCTATCCAACTCTCAAGGAGCTTTAGATAAAGCAAAATGTATTGATTGTAGGTGGCTGCATGTCTACCTGTTAATGCTTACATTGTCATTTTCACCTTATTTAAATAAAGTGAGGCCTTTGGTAACCTTAATTTTTCTTTCATGGTCTACTATAAAAACTATATACATAACAATAATTATGTTATTAGAAAGTGAGATAATGTTTTTCATTCTAGACCAAAAACCCTTAACATTTCTTTCAATGTTCTGGTTTTCTGAACTTTATATTATTGTTTTTCACTGGTTATCTTCCCCTTTTAATTTCCTTTCAAATTGCAAAGGCACATCAGAATCAGATTTTTCATTAAGAAGCTAATTTATACAGATAAATATAATTTATCTGTAAGACTATATCCTTGTCTTTGAATAAATAATTAATATATCCATATTTAAGTTACTTTTAAAAATTTAAACAGTTTTTATTTGTGCTAGGCATTTTGGTATCTACGTAATTATTACTGTTTTTTACATGTCCAAGATAATAAGCTTTATTGAATTTCATCCTGGTACCAGGCTATGACTTCATCTATAAATCAAACTATGACTTCATCTATAAATTAAACTAACACTGTTTAGAAATAAGCTTTACCCTTATGGGATATTTCTCATAGTCATCTCTAAGGCCCCAAAATACTTTATTATTTCTATTTGGGGAGTATAACTCACTAGTTAGTTATACGTCCATCTAGGGGTTGAGAGCAGAATCTAAGAATCATAGAATTTATGTGTTAAAACAATTGGAAGTGCAGGAAGTAAAATTACTTAAGGAGTAACTATATGAATGACAGTACATTGGATACTTATATGTATTATCTCATTTAATTCTTACACTAATGCTTTGATACATACTTGACTAAGATAAAGCAACTTATCTAGGGTCACAAAGCTATGGAATGGCAATCTTGGGATTAGAACCCTAATCAACCTGAGTAATATATGCTCAGGGGTCTACCACAGACAGTCTATCACCCTATCTTGGCGTGTATTTCTATATAGCGAGCCTTTTTTAAAAAATATATACTTTAAGTTCTAGGGTACACGTGCACAATGTGCAGGTTTGTTACATGTGTGTGTATACATGTGCCATGTTGGTGTGCTGCACCCATTAACTTGTCATTTACTTTAAGTATATCTGCTAATGTACAGTGAGCCTTTTAATAAACATGTTCAATGACCAGGCATTTCAGGCAGCTAAATGAACTGAGACAAAAATCATTCTGTTGTAATCTTAAAACAGCCTGCCTATATGTCCTATCCACTGAAGCAAATTCTATCTTCTAAAATTCATTTGTTTATTTAACATTCAGAGCATTACCTTTATGACTTTTAAATTATAGTTTGTTCATAGGGGCAAATTTCCCAACAAATAAAGGTCTATTCAATGTGATTCTTTAAAGTAACATTTTGGTAAACCCTTCCAATTTTAAGTTTGGTATTGCTTCTGTGTTCATCACTGTGGATAAAAATTTTGAAAAGGATATGGCCTGCAAAAGTCTTCAAGATGCCTCCCAAAATAACACCAATTATTTATCAACATTCTAAGTATGAAATTTTAACCTAATCAAAAGACTCATAATTGTATCATCTAACCAACACTTTTCTCTGCACATAATTTGTTTGTGAAATATTAGAACAGACTCAAATTTCAACTACAGCACTCCCTGTTACATCAGTATGTACTATCACCATAATAAACCAAGCCTAGTTATAAACAATGCTCTCTTTGTAAACATGTACTGGCTCTCAGTGATAACTTTCTCCTTTTAAAGAGTACATATCATTCATTTTTTAAATAAAAACATCACATATAAAAGTGGAACTACTCTATAACGTAGCCATTGCTCCTAGAAACGTCAAGAAAGCAAGGACATTTTCTGTTGTAAATAAACAAGCATCTACAGCAAACAGTGCTAACTGGCTATTTGCAGGCTGCTTCTATCCTAAGGGCATATTTTGTTTGGTCAACACTGTACTGTTGTTTAATTAAATAAGTTGCCAACTTCCAAATCTGATATAATTCACTGTAAAAATCCAGACTTCTTGTTTCTCTTAAAAGTCAAAAGAACTGGTAATACTGGCCACACATTTTTCACTGTGCAACAAATTCCTAGGGCTGAGTTGTGGCTTCTGTCTTTGAGTGTGGCATGTACTATTCAGATCACCGTACTTACCCCAACTTCCTATTGTTAGGCACCTAACAGGTTTCTCTCATTTGAGCCCCTTACCTGGTCTACATAGGTAATTGAATTCACAACTCCTGATAAGAAGCAACTGCTCAACAGGAAATCCTACCGACTACTCACTTTCTTATCTGACAAGAAAATGATCCAGGGTATACAAAGTAGTCCAGTAATTCCAATTTTAACTATACTCTAAGTACACTTTAAGTCTAAATATATGGCAAAAACAACATCATTTTTAAAAAGAAAACTTTTGAAACACACACATACACACACACACACACACAGAGAGAGAGATAAAAAATACTGTAAATTATATAAGCTTATGTTGCTAGAGTAAGAAATGTTATTTTCAAGTCTTTATTTTGTGGTTTCTTAGGGAATTTTCAAACGATACATGCTCAAAGCAACTAATTTTAAACTGATTATCAATAAGGTAAAATGTTAAAATGTTTTTCACTAAATTTTACAGTCCCAAAGACAGTCAAAGTCTGTATTCTTACAACAGACCACAAAAATCCTAGGAAGTTAAAAAAAATTACTCGACATATTGTAACAAGTGAATAAGACACTTCACTTGAATTTTTAAAATTGAACAAAGAATAACTGTGACTCTCGCACTCTTGCCAACATATATAAATGTAAAACATTATGAGCAATTATTTTAAAACAAAGTACAGGAGATTAGTTAAAATTTAATTGTAAGATCATTTCCTTAATTTTCTGTAAAGACATAAGGCAAAAGAGAGAGATATACATAAAGTCATGAGTCCATTTTGTGGTAGTAAGAAGACTTCCCCCACACTTCTACTTCCACTATAGAGCTGATAAAACTTTTACATTCAAAAGTCAAAGGTTAAATAAAGGAAAGGAAATGTTTTTTGTCAAATAGTCAGGTAACCACTAAAGTCTAAGCAATCAGCAGGAACCTAACTTATAGTAATCAAATAAAACTAAGGAAACTGCCTTTCCGTAGGAAAACATCTAATGTCTAGAGGCTGTTTTTCTGTCTGGAAAATTGACACAAAATGTGTAAAATTGAAACATTCTGCTTCTAAGGGATTTGCCCAAAGGAAGAGTGTGAAAGCTTTAGGTTTGGAATGAGTTAAAGGGGGGAGGGGGAACTACAAAGGCCCTAAACATAAATCTGTCTTCCTTATTGGAGTATTTCATTTTGAACCCTTGGCGACAATTTTATAGTTATAAAATTATGTTAATCAAATTAGGTTAAAAAGTTATTTCTTGCATTTTTGCTAGCATATGAAACAATTCTAAATACAAACAATTGCCAGATTTAAATTAGTAATATCTCAGGATATTTTTGAAATCTTGTTAAAAGTAGGATAGACATGTCATAGAAAGAACAAAAGAACAGAACAGTGGCTCAAAATTAAATATCAACTTTTGTATTAAATAGGCCTAAATTCTAATTTTTTTTCTGAAAGGTGAACAAAATAAATAGAAATCAAAGAAATGTACTAACTTTCAAATCTTGTAATGGCATAAATCCAGGAGAAAATGGACACGTGGTTTATATAGCATAGCATGCAATTTTCTCGGAACTCCGAGGTAAATGCAGATTACAGTAATTTCAAGTCCTATAATAGCATCATCCAGGAGTAGATAAAAGCAGCTTTAAAGCATTATATACAAATGTTCTAGCTTAGAACTCTAAGGACTAGAATAGTTTTTTGGGTTTTTTAAAAAATAATGCATACATGTCACTAAGCAGACCACTTGGCTATGGTAAACAAACACTAAATGATGTTGCTGTTAATTAATTGCCACATAGTATCATTAGTATCAACATCTTTAACCAAAAGAGTCTCTGCCAGTCAAGAAATCCAAACAAAATTATTTTCTGCTATTTCTAATGAAAATATTCTATCAATTTGTACTGTTTTACTTTACTTTGACTTGAAATATCTTAAAGCTTCTTAAATGTATGGCATTTTAATTATGTCTATGCTTCAACAAAAGCTCAAGAGACATTCATAAATATTTTTCTTTTACAATTTTTGGATTAAAAGACAACTTCAAACAGTAGAAGATAGCTCACAAATGAGAAGATTTTTATGAAAATATATTTTATCACAATAGAAAAAAATTAGTGTTTAGGATATTGGAAAGACAATAGGAGAAACATCAATTAATTTCTGTCCAAGAATCTTAATTCCTTTGCTTCTGACAATGAACTCTGGATAATCAAGCCATTATTATCTCACAGTAGAATACCTACAAATGGAGAATGCTTCAGTATAAAGGCACTAACTTTGCACAAAAGGCACCTTTAAGGAGAAGGTATTAACATATTTTAACATCCAAAAGTCATAATACACTACTGGTAAAGATATAAGAAAGTGATTAAATATAACCTATATTCAGAAGGGAAATATTTTTGTGTGAAATCTCAACTTACAAGAAAAGAAACAACAGCAATGAACAATTGTCAGATTAAGCATGTGTAAACATTCTAGGCACTTATGGACAATATGAAAGCCACTGTAGCTTTTTCAATTTATGAACTGCTTTAGATGCATTCATTCATTTTGCAAACTGTGAATAAAGACTACAGTTAATCATTTATTTTGACACAGAAAAATCTGTAAATGTATCTTAGCAAGTCTTTTGAAATAAAACTAGAACTAAATACCAAAACATAAGTGACAATTATGTGTTCACAAATATAAGTGATTTTTATTTTATCTTTTAAACTTCTCTGGATCCTCCAAGTTTTCTATAGCAAATAAATTATTTTTGTTATCAGAAATATGGTTAAAGGCATATGTCTATGTCTTGCTTATGCAAGGATTTTATCAAACTTCTCAATAAATTTTGGCCCTATTAAGCACATGAATTCTAAAAGTGAGGTCACTCCTACAAAACTGATTGCAAACAAAAAGGCTTTTGCCAGCTACTCATAAATAACTCAGAAAATGAGCATAGTTGATCTTCTCTCATATACTTCTGGAAGCAGCACAGTCTGTTATAAAGGAAGCTGGCCTGTAAATTAAGAGACCTGACTACCCTAAACCATTGTATGAATAGCTCATTAGATAATCCTACCTTCCTTTTCCCCCTAAAATTACTAGTTATTCTAAGTCTTGGTTACATAGTGAAATAAGGCAAACTAGGCTGGGGGCAGTGGCTCACGCCTGTAATCCCAACACTTTGGGAGTTCAGGCGATTGAGACCATCCTGGCCAACATGGTGAAACCCCGTCTCTACCAAAAATACAAAAATTAGCTGGGCGTGGTGGCGCAGGTCTGTATTCCCAGCTACTCTGGAGGCTGAGACAGGAGAATCGGTTGAACCCGAGAGGCGGAGGCTACAGTGAGCAAAGATTGCGTCACTGCATTCCAGCCTGGCCGCAGAGCGAGACTCCATCTCAAAAAAAAAAAAAAAGACAAACTTTTTCAACCACATCTTAAGGGTACAGTAAAATTAAGTAACCACTGTTGAAGAAGGAGAAAAAAGAAATTAATTTTAGGTGTCATAGAATTTCTCCAAGCATCTTACAAATCATTGCCATCTGGTTGAACATTTTGTGTTGAAATTACAGAGAAACATCAATATCTGGCTCAAAGATTGTAAAGCCACCCCATCAGCAATATTTTTTTCTCTTTAAATCCCAATTTTCAAGGACACGGAATGAAACTGTCCCATTCCCATTCTTTTTATTTTTATTTATTATTATCTTTTTTTTCCGAGACAGAGTCTCTCTGTTGCCAGGCCAGAGTACAGTGGCACAATCTCAGCTAACTGCAACCTCCGCCTCCTGGGTTCAAGCGATTCTCCTGCCTCAGCCTCCCAAGTAGCTAGGATTATAGGCGTGCGCCACCACGCCCAGCTAATTTTTGTATTTTTAGTAGAGACGGGGTTTCTTGACCTCGTAATCCGCCCGCCTCGGCCTCCCAAAGCACTCGGATTACAGGCGTGGGCCCCTGCACCAAGCCCCCAATTCCATTCTTAATTCTGCTATGTCACCATGATCACCTGACTTGTATGGAGTGCCTATACTAAAACATACTAGTAAGATAATTTCCCATCCTGCAAACACGCACATATTTTACCTGGTAATATAGCTAAATTCCTACTAATTTTTAATATGATACCTGTGGTTCCATATTTATAGTTTATTATCTATATCATAACATCTCAGAGTTTTAGAGCAGGAAAAAATTGAAATGATTTTTGCTTATTGTAAAAAGTAGATAAATGCTGAAGTGAATAAAGTAAAAAAAATTCAGGGTATATCCTTTTAGACTTTTTTATAAGTACATACAATCCCATATTAAGATACAAATATTTATGTGTTAGCTATTTCTTAAAATACATATACATTTACATACACATATAACTTGTTCTCTACAAATATAACAACATACTATAAATATTATTTTGAAATTTTTCATCATGTTACAACAGATCATAAACAATTTCTCTAAGTCAGGGTGTATATATGTGTATGTTTTTCTTAATAGCAAAAACTGTTGCTGCATTATTCATTTATTTATTCAATAATTATCTATCAAGTCTATTAAGAATTATGTGCCAGGCACTATTGTAGACACTGGGAATATATGAGTAAACAAAAGACAAAAATCCCTGCCCTCATGAGGGTAACATTCTGGTGGGAAAGAAGGGAAGGGGTAGTGGGACAGAGAGGAGGTTACAAAATGTACCATAATATACCTAATCAATTCCTACTGAGGGGCATTCATGTTGTCAACACTTTTAAATTTATTTTTTATTATTTCTTTAAATTGACAGATAAAATTCTACGTACTTATTGCGTATACTTTCTTTTCAAGTATAACCTCCTCTCTGTCCCACAACCCCTTCCCTTCTCTCCCACCAGCATGTTACTCTCATTGTTTGTATATACTTGAAAACATTGTTTTCAAGTACATATACATTGTGGAATGACTAAATCTAGCTAATTAGCATTTTTCCTACTATAAACCATGCTGTAATAAATACCTTTGTTCATACTTTTCTCCTCACTCTTAGAAATAATCCTGGATTTAAATTCCTAGAACTGAAATTACTGACTGAAGAAATATGAGATTTTATAATTTTAATAGATATTATTAAATTTTCCTTCAAAAGCTTATACCATTTTTTAGTCCTACAAACAGCACATGAAGTGTGTTTTCCCTCATGCTTATTTAAAAATTTTTTCAATTCTGCTAATCTTAATGGGCTCATTTTTTTTACCCTCAGCAATGCTGAGCATCATGCATAGCTGCATATATTATTTACATTTCCTCTGTAAGTTATTAGATGCTTTACTTATTTTTCTATCAGATTATTTTTCTTATTAACTTGTAGGTGCTTATTATGTATTTTGGCTATTAACCCTTTCTTATAGTGGTTGTAAATATATTTCCACCAGTTTATTATTTGCATTTTAGATTTTATTATACTTGTCACCATACAAGCATTTTCATCATTATGTGCTCAAATACACAAATCTTTTAGGGATTCCATGTATACTCTCACTGCCACAGTAATTTTTTTCTTCTAGTTGACATTTATAGCTTTATCCATCCTTTCAACAATTTTAAAGCTAAAAGTGGTGAAGGACCCATCAAACTAGGTGGATAAACTCGGACTAAAAGCACCATAACTCCTCTTATTGTAGCACTTACAGAAACCTGCCAAAATTCCTTTCCAGGGGATACACTGATTATAGCTTACAAATAGACATTTACCTATCTATAATTTTCCAATTTTCTGAATAAGATGCTGAATTCTATTATATTTGAATCCTCCATTCATTATTAAAATTAAATAGTTATCTAATTTGCTGGTTATTCTCTAAATCAGCTGTTCTCAAAGAATCCCTTCACATACTGTCTTTCAGAAAAAATATTAAGATATGCCATTAAAATCTTAAAAGGGCAATATTTTTCTAATTTACTAGGAAAAATAAGCTGAAGAATAGAATTTTCTAAATTTAAGATTTTCCTCTATGATTTTTTCATAAAGTTTTGACACCTCCTACTTCTTATCTACCAAAAGCACTGTCAAATGACAAAAATAAATATAAAAGGAAACATTATTTTAAATAAAAGATAAAATATTCAATAATACTGTGAAATGTTCTCTTTATTGGAATACACGATTTTACTTTTGGTTTTCATTATCTTTATCTAATATAATCATATTTTCTGCAGGTTAAAAACTCTTCCTACTTCAAAGAATATACCACAAAATTCAGGCGTTCTTCTACATATACAAGTTTAGAACCGCAGATAAAAATAATTTGATTATTGTATTTGCTTTAGAGTTTGTTTTCTACAAATTAATGACAATTGGGTTGTCGATATGGACATTATATTATTCTTTCAGTCGATTAACAAATAGTTATAGTTCATGTTTTGTATAAATATTTTCAAGTAATGATGGCTTTCCTCAATTTAAACAGAAATTCCTAAGAATATTTATTCCACAAGCACATTTATAGAAACTATTCTAAACATTCAATAATTATTTGTGAATGATTAATAAGTTCAATGTATTCAAAGTATTTTAAGAGTTCAAAACAAAAGGCTCAGACTTTTAAATTATAAATATCAGGAGGTCAGTTTAGAGGCAGTGAGGTAAGCTATAAAATACAGACTCAAATCTTACCTGAAAATGATGTTTACTCTCAAATGGGTGCACAAAAACAACAATAAAGGTGGGGGGAAGACTGTGTGTGTGTGTGTGTGTGTGTGTGTGTGTGTGTGTGTGTATTGAGAGAGAAAGGAAGAGTAGGGGAGAGGGGGAGAGAGGAAGAGAAATGCATGCTAACAACTTATGAATCTAGGTAATGTTTATATAAAAGTTTATTGTACCATGAAAATTTTTCTGTAAATCTCAATTTTTTAATGAAAAGTTTCAAAAATGCATTGAGAAAAATAAGAAAGCATATACAGCTTTGGTCTTTCCATTAGGGCAAATCCATCTCGGGCACAGTGCATAAAGATATACTCCCCTTTAAACTGTAGCTTTTAAAATTTCAGCAGGAAACAATGATAAAAGGAACTCTCCCCACCATTGCCCACACTGTCATCTCCAACCCCACTGCCCAGCCAACCTGCTCCAAGTTCAAAAAAATAACCTACAGTTTTAAGCATGACATTCTTTTGGATAAAGTGTAAGTTTTAAGCACAATTTTTATCCAGATGAAAAAGTTGTGCTAAAGAGAGAATGGGGGCACATTCACGATTCTATAACTTCTAAAGCAGTTAAGCACTTACTTTTGAATAAAGATAGAAAAAAACTCTCCAGCTCTAACCAATGTTGTAAGTAAATTAACAACCTCTCAATGAATGATATAACTGTAGCTAAATATGAATAGCAAATGAACAGGAAGACTGATTTTATACCAAAGTTTTCTTTGTAATATGTTATTTCATAAATTGTTATTTCTTTTCCTATAAGCATTTCTAAGAAATCCAGTTTGACCAATATCCATGTTATAATAATAGTTTGGAGTCCTATTTTTATAGACTACATCTGGATTTCTGATTCATCAGGACATATTGCAAGAATGCTAACCTTTAGAACCCTTTCTTCCTAACAGTCAGCAACTCAGATCCCAAGTCCACAGGCAGGAGACATACTCTAAACTACCTACTGAATCAAGGCAGATAATGTAAGCAATTAGGCAGGACAGATAGGACCTTTGGAAACTAGCAAGCTCATGACACAACTAAAAATCTGCTATTCAGTTCCAGCTTATTGTTGCCATGGCAGAATTAGTAGATAGCCTCACTTTTCAAAAGGAATTCGAAATATGAACTATATACAAAACTTCCTCAAATTCATAAGGTTAACGTCCTTTAAAATTTTTAAAACACCCAGTAGCCAAACGAAAACCTCTAAACGCTTCTACCAGGTTCATCAGTTTGCAACCTCTGTCTTAAAGCAGCAGTTCACTTTTAAAAATCCAAGTTCTGGTTCAGTGACAGAAAAGGGCATACATTAATTTAACTTATTTTTTTTTGTATTCCATTTAATAGGTGAAACTCATATTATTTGAATACATCTCTTTATATTTAGTTTTCAAAAATAACTCTACAAAAAACTAATCTTTAAAAAATCGATTATTTCAAGGAAAGTTCCACTATGTTAATGGTAAATCTTTAAACTTAACTGATTCTGTATACAGAAAATCAGGAAAATTATTTTTCAACTTGTTTTTAAAGAAAACAAGTTTTTCTTCATCCCAAGCATAACAAAGTACAATAGAGAGATAGTTACCTATTTTGCATCTAATTTTTTTTACTACAAATACTCACCTAAGGATGCATAAACAAATTGTGCCTCCTGACGTCAGTCTGCAGAATCCAAATCTCTGTTTACTTTCAATGTCTGTCAGTACAAAGGTAAAGTGCTGTCCAACTTGATTCTGAGACACCCTAAAATATAGTAACATTAGGAAACATTGTGCCTTGTTTGACAATTTTCTTCAAGAAAAACAAAAATAAGAGTATATTTATATGTGACATTGGTTTCATCTTTCTAATCAGTTGGTTCTTGAAGCTAGAACTATGTTCTAAAACTAGAGGAAGTGTGAAACTTGTAAAGTAAACACCAAAATAAGTTGTAATACCTCATAGACTGAACAGTTCAGCATATATTAATCTCTCACTAGGAAATCATAAGGTAGTCTACCATAAATGATCATAAGACTAAAAGTGCTCATATTTCATAAATTATCAAAATATTATTACTGAAACTGTAGAAGCAGCTAGAAATCATGACTAAGTCCTTTTCTTCAACTTTAGCCTCTTTTCTTAATTATTCTAAAATTGCTTAGATAGCAAATCATGTCGCTTTAGAATCTAATGGCAGCCACCACCAACTCTGTTTAATTGCTTCTCCTGTTGACATTCTCATCCAATAAAGTACCCTACAAAAATACCCTTGTTATATTTTTTCTAGAATTCTCTTGTACAGCTATCAATATACTGAGGAATACATTTCCAAGTATAAAATAAGAATATAATTTCTACCAAAATAAAAGGCTTATCAGCTAAGCTGTAAAGAATTCTAGTCAACTTTGAAGTATCATACTACCATAATATGTGTCACACTTTGGTATAAGGGGCAATATAAAACGTTAGATTGAATCTTTATTTCTATTTAAAATATATGAATATATTTCCTAGTACTGGCTGTAATCTTGCCATTAGATAACCATAACCGAACTTTTGCTTCCTTGTCCCAAAATAAAATATCCATGACGCCTACACTTTGGTTTTGAAATAGCCATAGGGATTGTGCAGAAGGAAATAAATTACTGCCAGTATCAATGCTACAAACAGTTTTGTCAGGAAATGTTGCATTTCAAATGCTGAACATTTAACAACTACACTTTTCAGTGGATAGGTTTTTCTTACACTTTAATAAACTTAAAATAAAAAAAAAACCCTCTAGTGACAAATGTGACCTCTAGTGCCCAAGATTCATAATATCCTTTTTGTAGCTGGATCCTAAATCTTCCTTACTATTAATATGAAACGTGTAACTTTTTTTGGTAGGGGTAGGGCAATGATTCCTCAGATAAGGTAAAACAAGGAGTATCATTCATCAACAATGCTTATTAGTACTGATTAGTCCATCATTCAGAAGGCTTTATCTTTAATACAGTAAAATCATAAAGTCTCACTAATACTTTAGCGAAGTATTTTCCTAAAATAAACATTCTTTCAAAAACCCTTCATGTCACCCTCTTAAGTAAACTGAAAATAGAGTATAAAAATCACATGAAAAACAATAAACGATCTGTTGTTATGCTCACAGGGCTGTATGTTCCAAGAAATTTCAACTCTATGCAATTTCATCATTCAGTATTTGTTCAGTGAAATATAAAAACAAGATTTTCAAAACTAGAGGAGTTTCCCTATAGCTTTCCATAATATTACACTACCTCTATAAAGCTATTATTGAGAGACAAGTAGCCATGAGTTTTACAGCATGACACAGATGGTCTTTTCAATGAGGATGAAGTGAGATAGAAACCAGGAAACATACATCAAGACATAATTCTAAGACTCCAATCAAGGTCATATTAGTATTTTTTTCCACTAGTGATCACAATTTCTACCTGAAGAGAGAACAAAGGGAAAAAATAGAACCTGTTGGTAATGTGTTTTCAAACTTGTCTTAACTGGTCATAGTAGAGAAAATAAAAGATGTGATTTAAAAGGCTTCCTCTTCCACATATTAATTAATTTTCAACCTCTTTTCAATCTCTAGCCTTTTTGTGAGAAGCAATAAAGAGAAGGGACATTTTATTTTATAAAAAAGCACATGTAATCATTTTCAAGTATGTACTATAAGAATCTACATTTATTTTAAATGATACTTATACTGTACCTTTCAACGTCAAAGGGAAAACAGAACTTTGGCACACTCTGTAGTATTTCCTACAAATGGAAATTTCAAAAAAAAGAAATAAGTTTTAGAATATTTTTTAAGAAGCAGTTAAAACTTCTTTGAGACATTTTCTAGGAGAAAAAGATGCTTTCTTTGTCCTTAAGAAAAATAGCACAGGTTCCTAGACTAAAATAATTGATTATTAAAAAGGAATTAAGTTTGTGCTTTGGCAGATTGCACTGACAATGCCACAGAAACCCCAGGGGGGAAAGGCCTGGCCTGAAGGGTATTAACACCCTTCACATCCCCGCTGGGATTCCCTTCAACAAGGCCATATGGATTTTACAAGAAGCACCGCACCATATGGGTAAGCTACGTCTGCTGCTACTTGTACCACAGTCTAGCCATAGGGACTTCTGACAGATCCTGGCTCAAAAATATAAATGTTGTTTCAATTAAAATGCAGGCAGAGAAAAGGGAATGAAGTTGGCAGCAGAATGAATTACTGAGAGGTATAACAACTCTACATGTCCCATAGTCAAACAGTTAAAAAAAAAAAAAAAGAGAGAGAGACTTTCTATAGCCAAAGAAACATTTACATGATTCAATTCTTGGTATTAAGTTTTATCTTAACACTCTTAAAGAAATGTGTATCTAAAAACAAGCTGTCAAAAATACAGCTTCTATTCTGTGCACTTTCATTTAAGGATTGCCTAATATGAAAATCAATGCTTTAATAAAACACAGAAAATAATCTGAATGATTTTGAAACCTTCAGTTATTTAACAGTCATTAAAAATAATTTCAAAATCTTTTAGAAACCATACACATTAAAAATTATAATAAAATACAAATAATTATCAGCTACTTGGCAAACAAAGTCTTAATAATCTATTTTGTTATATTTGAAAAATAAAATTAAGTCTGATTCAAAAGTTAAACTTTAAACTTGAAGACAACATCATACAACTTCAAAGTCAGGCAATTTTACAAGACAAAGAATTTTATAAGGATGTTTCCCATTAAAAAGAAAAAAGAGCAAATATCTTAATGCAGCAGTCATCCTCACTGAACAATATTTTTGCTACCACTTCTTTGCCACTAAAACTAAGGTCTACAGAAGTCATCAATATCTGAATATTTAAACCGTATACATAAATATAGCATTGAGTGTTTTAAAGTAGAATTTCTTGCATTCTTTTAAAAAGGTAGACTACAATAAAGTGTCAACTAAAAATAAAACATTATAAAATTCCAATACCAATACCTAAGAAAGCTTCAGTGCCTTAATGCACATAAGCAGAAAGAAAAGGATCTTGTAAAAAAAAAAATCATCTACTCTTAGGGCAGGGTACCCTGGATTGCTTATAATCATAATCATGTACCTTTAAAAATATGAGCACAGACTCTATATTAAGCGAAAGCTAACTGTTTCACCACTGACAATATTTTGTTAAATGTAGTTAAAAGAGTCACTAAACTTGCAGTAAGTTAAATTCTGTAAACTGAAAAACAGTTCATTGCAAATGAGACCAGTTCATTTTCATTTGACCATTGCTTAATCCTTATCTTGTACTTCATAAAGTGAAACCATTCACCATTTTTACTATACATGTGAACACTATTCAGACCTCCTCCTATAAAATTGTCCACATAATTTCTGTAACAATAAAGAACATATATTCAAAATTCAATATCTCCCTCTAAATACACAAATTAGTAATATATTTCACATCAATTTTAAGACTCAAGACGAACGCTTCCCAGTTAGTTGCTCAATCTTTCACACCCTCCCCCTCCCTTCTTCCACAAGCAACACACGTGCATACACTTCTGTGAAACAGCCTCAGCTCGCTTCCCAACTGGCAGAAGCATCCCTCAGGGGACAAGTCTTTAAACCTCCGCACTCTTTAAAATTCAACCAGCCAGCAGGTCTATAGACTAGTGTATAAACAGTATAGACAAAAAAAAAAAAAAATCCTCTCTCAGCTTATGTCAGTGACAAAGCAGCTCAGCAGTTGACTGTTTCTCCCCTGACAGTATAAACTGGGTTTACACAGATCAATAGCTGGAAGTCCTACCTAGCTCCCAGGGCTTGGTTTTCTTCCTTAATTACAGGTGCTATTGAAACTGAAGTGTAAAAAGAAAAGAGAGAGACTTGGAAGGAGGCATAAAATGCATGCAAATAGCTTTTATGGATCCTCTTAGCAATAGTATTAATTGAAAATTATACTTCCACATTTATTACAAAAGTGTGTGTGAAGGCTGGTATTTTCACTACACAGTGTTTTTAATATGACACATATACAAACACACACACACACACGCACACACGAAATCCTAGGTTAGCATCCACAGATTATGTGAAAGGTTTAAGACAATACTCTCCAGAAGTTATCAATTTTTCCTTTTTCTACAGACTTTTGCATTTAAAGAAAACAAGAAAAATTATTTTGGATTCAGAATCCTCCTAACTCTCCAAAATATTTTATTTTTATGCCAAAAGAGTATATTGGCTAACACATGTCAAATGATAAAAATAGGAATAATAAAAAGAATGGATGGAATAGAATACAAAATTATGAACAGCAAAATGAAAGAGGTAATAATACATATTTCTGTGTATGTCCTAAAACAGCACTTCTACTATCATGTTAATGACTGGAAACAAGGACTGATGAAAATTTATATTTTGGGGGGTTTTGGGTTCCATACCAGTGTATCTCTAGTAATAAGCATTACAATGAAATTGATCTTGTAAGAGAGAACTAGGGCCAATTGCTAGTGTTAGAGTGGTATATTAATTATTTATCCCATCAGGTTACCATTTAGCACCATAAATTGATCAACTGAAAAGGAAAACAAGCATTTAAGAAAGAATTTACTTCAAAAAAAAACACTAACGTTTACATCTTGATCAAAGTTCTTAGAATTTATTCTTAGAACAAAGGTCTTTGAATTTATCTGAGAATAATCTAAGATAAAATGAGATGTGTCATTGTCGATACCACTAATTGTTTTTCCTCCTTCTCAACCACTTTTGTCCTCCACTGTACACTGAAATTTCAGAGCGTTCTCTGAAATTGCATAGTTTCTTCTCTTCCCTACTCAGTAAGATATACCTGTAAGCAATCTCATCTATACCCACAGTTTCAACTACAACTACTAAATCTCTTAGTCTTGTAGTTTAGATATTTCTCCAGGATTATGGCTCTAACTACTTTCTGGTATGACTTTCTAAATGTTCCCAGACACCTCTAATGAAGAATGTACAAAACCAAAGTTGTTCTTTTACTTACGGTCCTTATCACCTAAACTGGCAGCACCATCTACCTAGTTACCCAAATCAGAAACACGGTAGTTACCATGACCCCTCCTTTTCCCTGACCCCCACATATAATTAATCACTCACCAAGTCCTTTCATTCAATTTCATAACTATCTTGCTCCAGATGTTCTCAATGGAGGGTGGAAAGGATTAGAAAGAAGATGAAGAGGTTTTAGAATCACTTGGGAGTGTTTTTCAAAACACAAATTTGATTGCCTACACGAAACCCACAAGGGTCCTGAGTCTTTAACTTCAGTTTGAATACCACCAATAATTAAGGACTAGGAGTAACTACATCAGTTAAGGGTGCTTAATGTATATAAGGAAAAGTTATACTCTCATAGCAAGAAATGACATGGTTGACTTGTTCAGAGACTGTTTAATTCAACAGCTACCTCATGGACCCAGAAGTCTTCCCTCCTGCCCTGCTGGGCTAAATTCGTTGGCTTTTTCCTCAGCTATCTCTACTCATGATCACAAAATGAGCTTCCAGAGTTCAGCACATCTCATGAAGATACAGCAGTGTTCAGTGAAGGAAGCCTCCCTTTCTGTCAGTCTTTTTATCAGTGAGGAAACCTCTCCCAGAAGTCTGATCCCTGACTTTCCCATTACATTTAATTAGCCACAGGGTCATAAGCCACTCCTAAACTAATCCCTGGCAAGGGAAATGGTTATCTATGCTCAGTTTAGCCTTAGACTAGTTAGAGTAAAAGTCAGAATTCAACCCATTCGTCTCCCGATAACCATGACACATGTAATTACAGAGAAATACGAGTGAAGTATATTATATTTTATTTCTTAAGAATCCTCATAATGATATTAATCAAATATTATGTTTATACTAAAGTTCTCAATAAAAATATTACACCATATCATATAAGGACAATTTTAAACTATCTGTAATTTTATTTCATATGAATAACACTTTCAGAATCATTTTGCTACAACTAAATGAGCTACTTGTCCATTTTAATCGAATTTTTCACAAAGGCCATGAATTTCTGAAAAGATGATTACTTAATTTTGAATATTATCCCCCAAATAAGTGAGAATTACCTAATACTACACATTCATTCAATTTATTTATACTTTACACAAGAGAGTAATAACTGAGATTCCCGAACAGCACTTAGATGTTCCAGGGCACCACAGCAAACTCTCAGGGACACCGTCAGATATTTTAAATTTTCAAGGGAAACAAAGTTATATTAACAGGGTGATTAAATCAAAATGCATTTTATAGGGAGAATTATATTAATTTGTCAAATTACAGAGACAGCCTATCATCTTTTATTTTTAAGAAGTGTTCTGCTCCCACTTATGAGTGAGAATATGCAGTGTTTGGTTTTCTAGTCCTGTGTTAAGTTTTCTGAGGATGATGGTTTCCAGCTTCATCCATGTCCCTTGGAGAATATATTTTTAAACTTAGGGCCAAAAAGGAACTGTCAGGACAACTATGCCCAGTGTGGAATTTTTCTCTTGGATTTTACTTTTACGTAGTGTTTTTGTTAGAAATAAATCCCTATTTTACCCCTCCTCCTTAAATTAGGGAAAGCACTCTAAGTCTGTGAATTCCAACACTAAAACTACATAGGTTATTAAATCTGATCAAGTTATTTTTCACTATCAAGAATTTAAAATAAATTTATATTATTAGAATATTAAAATAACTGCCATGAAGCAAATACATTCTGCCATAAAAAGAACTATGTTATAAAATATAAATTTCAGAAATTTCAGTTCTATGTGCATAAGTCTTAGGTGATGAAACCTATGCAATCACTTTAGTTTGATCCAATGTCAATGAAAAAGACTAGATTGGAAGCAGTGCAGAGTGACATTACCAAAAAAAAAAAAATCAGAAGACTATGCATCTGCAGATTCAACCAACTGTGGATTAAAAATATTTGGAAAAAATACAAATAATACATATAAAAAACCAATATACTATAACAACTATTAATAGAGCATTTACACTGTATTAGATAGTATAAGAAATCTAGAGATGATCTAAAATATATGGCAGGATGTGCATAGTTACATGCAAAACAGAAGTCCCATTTTATATAAAGGACTTAAGCATCTGTGGAATTTTGGTATCCATGGGGATCCCAAACCAATAGGATTATATATACACACATATATTCCATGTATTTATGTACTTACATATATTATAAAAATATATATGTATCTAAATATTTTGTGTATGTATATATTTATATATATTATCTATATTTACAACAAGACAAGTGGTGTGCTTGGCAAATAAAAGGCAAAATACATTTATTCTCATTAGTTTAAGAAAGAGAAGTATTTTAAAAAATCAAAGTGTATATATAAGAATATGGGTTTCCAAGGGTTGTTTTTTTTTTTTTTTTTTTTCAAAAATTCTATTAAAAACTGTCTTCAAAGTTATGCCCCAGCCAGGCATGGTGGCTCACACCTGTAATCCCAGCACTTTAGGAGGCCAAGGCAGGCGGATTGCTTGAGCCAAGGAGTTCGAGACCAGCCTGGGCAACATGGTGAAACCCTGTTTCTAAAAAATATATAAAAATTAGCCAGGCATGGTGGCATGCACCTATAGTCCCAGCTGCTCAAGATGTTGAGGTGGAAGGATTGCTTCAGCCCTGGAGGTGATCGCACTACTTGACTCCACTTCACTAGGTGACAGGGACCCTCTCTCTTAAAAAAAGTTGTGTCCCCAGGTTAACACTAGCTTTTAAGCAGAGATTTGAATAGAAATTACCCAGCTCTATCTAAGAAAAAGACATTTGGGAAGACTACCACTCTTTTCCCTTGATGACCATATAACGTCCTACCCCCTTCAGACTAAATATATCTCCGCTTCATTCACTCCTATACTAACTAGTAATATTTTCTAGATCAAAGGAAATAGATCATAAAATAGAACACTCCCCATAATATTTGCTTACATTTCTAGATACTAATGTATTTTTAAATGAATATCAAGCAATCATTTAAATCAAGATAAGTAGACTTAAGATAAGTAGGAAAATGCTTCAAGTTTTAGAAAAAGTTTTACAGCAGTTGACTAATGATCAGTTACCATGACTCCAACCCACAGTTATGTGCTATCGAGAGTAAAGGAAATACAATTCCTAATTTTCAAAACTAGGGAGACTTGAGATCATTAGAAAATAGATGTGTGCAACCCAATAAATATGTACATTTTAAAGTATGTGTTTTATTGAAAATAAAATAAAATTATATTCTTAGATTTAAAAAAGAAAATAGATGGATATTCACATGTACACAAGCACACACACATTAGGCAGCATATCAAAGTAGCCAAGTGTATGACGTACTTAACTCATTCAAATTCTGGTTCTGCAAACTACTGGTTATGTGCTCCAGTTTCCTCATCTAGGAAATGGGCAAAAATTACTGTCTATCTCATAAGATCACACAAGGATTTATTTGAGGAATTTATATGAGGATTAAGTGAAAATAAAATAAAAATCCATATAAAATGATTAGGATAATATCAAGCACATTAACCACCCCCAACAACTGTTAGCTCTTTTATTAGTCAGCTATTTGTTCTAATAACTCTTGTTATATGAATTTAAATTCATATATATTTAACAAGTGTTTACTAAGTACAGTACAATATTAAAGGTCCTGTGTCCAATGCCTGTTGCCAAAACTTTAACATACTGAGATATAATATGATGAAAAGCATTATACTGAATAACTTATCTGCTCTTTTGAAGATTTTTTCATGCATTTTGTAAGTAGGTATGGATATAGATACAGATGTATGTACAAATATATATTTGAATATATGCAACTACTTCTATCTAACCAAACACAATAGAAGCAAACACTGTTAACATTGCAAAGTTATCCGATGTACATATCTGATGATTTCATCACACACAAAAAGCTTACTTTGGACTACTACATTAGCTGCTTTCTTTCAAATTAAAAATACCTTCAGAGTCATATCAACAGATATTTTCAATTTAAGGGGGACATACTGATCAAATTCTTTTATTCATGTACTTATTCAACAATCCAATCATAAAGATTAATCACCAACTCTACATAAGGCACTGGCCAGTTTGAGAAACAGAAGTATTTATTGGTCTCATCTACAACCTAAAAGTAGGCTTTGTCTTCAGACTTTGTCTTCAACTATCTTGACAAAGGGTATTGCTAAAGATAACCTTAGAGAACATCCTTTTTCTATCATTGCCTTGTATTACAGAATTTTGGTTTCTATTTTACTTTTGAAGCAATCATTCTTTGTTCTTTGTCAGTCTCTATTTTACATTTCTCCTCAGTCTTGTAGACACCAAACCACCACATTATTTCTCTTAGTCCTCACACCTAGTCTATGTTCATACTATCTTTCTGTCATCATATTCATGCAAATATTCTCCATTAACTGCCCAGGCCATATATTAGAAAACTGATTTTTGTGCAACAGATGGAACATAGTGATAAAATATGTTTCAGAGCAATAAATTATAATTAACCTTGGTTTTTTTGTTTTTGTTTTTGTTTTTGTTTTTCTGGTCCTGCCTGGAACCTAGTTCAGAACTATCCCTAAACTGCTTGTTTTCCCGAAATAGTAAATCCTGTGATAAACCAGATAGGACTCTTGTGGTTTATCTAGTTGCTTCAAGAAAAAATAAGGCCTTTAGTTTTCAAGAATAAATCAGGGACCCTACATTTTAAAGTGTCTGAAAATATACCTTTAGCTAGTTCTTATATTCTGGCGTCAGTGGCATATTATTAATTATTTATTTAAGCCTTGAATGTCCTGGAAGTCTATGAGATCACCCAGTAGAAATGAGATTCATGGTGTATTTGAAAAGTTTGGAAAAATCATAACTGATTGTTCATTCAGTTATTTGGAAGCTTTGTCTAGAGGAACTAAATTATAATTACACAATTTTTAAAAACAGATTATTTAATGAAGACTATTTACTTAAAAGGTATAAAGTCTAGTCAGTTCCACTCATATATTTACAAACTCAATGTGAAATTATACAAATAACTAATTTTTATGTATATTCACTTTGCAAATATTTAATACATTAGAATAGCAATCGCGGCTAATAACAACATAGAGTAAGAAGAGCATTGGTAGGAAAATTGAAAAATAGTAGGGACTCTAGAAGACAGACATATAAATCAATGTGTGGCAGGTCTAGGAGAAAAGTCCCAAAGGAAGAAATCCTATGTAAATAGAGAAATGAAGAGCGAATAAGAAGTTGGCCAGGCTACAGCATGAGGAAAGAGCGGTGGAGGGGAAGTAGGGGTGGTCCTTCCATCACAGGAAAACATATGTGCAAAGAAAGGTCTGGAGTTGAAAAAGAAGTACAAATGTTGAGATAGTAATAAGACAAACTGGATTGAGAAATAACCAGGGGACTGATTATATAAGGCCTTTAGGCCAATTAAAAATTTTGGACTTAATACAAAGGGTAAGGAAACCATTCCTCCTGGCAACACTTTACATGTATCTTCTCATTATAATTATCAGTAGCATTCTCTTTTACTTTCAAAAGTATCTGAGTTATAATTTACATCAGTGGAAATCAGCGAGTGTTTGTCTGGGGTAGGGGGAGGAGTGGAATGAGGAATCAGAATGGATATTAAATAGATTAACCAGGAAGCAGCAGGAGGGGACTTCCTGGAGTGATAGATTAATACAAGGTATCTTGAAAAGAATATGGGTTACACAGTTGTATGCATATGTCAAAACTAATCTCATTGTATATTTAAGATCTGCATTTGACTACATCTAAATTATAGCTGAAAAATAAATTAATAAATATCTCAGTTTGAACAATAAATCATATGGCTACCCTAAGAGAAATAAAGGCAATTTGAAGGGTTTAAAGCAAGGAAGGGATATGATTGGACTTCAATTTTAGCAAGATCACTCTGGCTATAGTGTGAGAAGGCTGAAAAGGGGCAAGACTAAATGCTGGGGGATCAGATATAAGGCTTTTACAGTAATTGAAGTGTATGGTGCTGGCCTGAAATAAGATAGCTGCAGCAAGAATGCAGAAACAGGCACAAAACTGAGATATACAGAGGAGTAAAAACGGAGACATACAAGAGGTAGCTGGATAAAATTTCTGGTGCTCCACAGAGAGAACCTGGTCTGGGACTCGCACTGATTAAAAGATATAAAAGCAGTAAGAGATATTAGTATTGTATTCTCCAATGTTACGAAAGATAAATATCCTTCTTCATATTTTTATACTCCCATCAATAAGCAACTTTATTATCATATTCTCAAGCATGAAATCACTAAATTTTCTCTTACAACGATGAAAACATATATCTTTATTTTCCTAACCACTTGTATCAAGACATAGGTTTTAATGTGTTCAACCACTTTTGATTTTATAATCACAATATGTGATTGATTAGTTAGCAACCAGATCAATGGAGTTAGTGGTGAATCAGAAAGCTCTATTTGTTACAGTTGGAAAGATCAGTTGGAACAAGTATGTCTCCAAAGTTTTTGCGGCTGTTTTCAACTTCGGAGGTGCCCTAGGGCCTAATCAGTGCCTGGCACATTACTCATGCTAAGAAAAAATCTGAACTCATGTAAAACGACACCACTTTAGCACCATCAGAATCAATTTGCCCTGATAGACATTTCAAGTAATATGATTTAAAAGAGTCTGCATGCTTGCTTTATCTTCCTAATAAAGACAAGATAAAATAAATGCTTACTCTGTGCCAAGTTCTGACCTAAGCACTTAGCATACATTATCCCATTTAACCTTACAACAACCCATGTTTCATTCCCTTTTATGTGTGAAAAAAAATTAAATAGAGCGACTGAGAGGCTAAGTAGCTTGTCCAAAGTCAAACAGCTAGCAAATAATAGAGTTAGGATTTGAAAACAAAGCCTGAAGCTTCAAACCATTATGCCCCAACCCTATGTATTTTTTTACATTGTTTTCATCGAGATTGCAATCGATAATCAGCAGATGCCTAAATGTGATGCCTCCTTGATCCTTATACAATGTATATTATCCATATATATGAAGAGTTAAGATTATGCAATAAATACTTCAGAACCAAGGTTTAATCTGGTGTATAAAAAATAAAGGGATGGGGTATGAAAGAATGGTAGGAGATGAGACAATATGTCATAACAAATGTGAGTCTTATCTGCCATAGATTGTTCTATTCCCTTGAAATTATACCGTGAGGCCAAAAAAAGATGCTACTTATATCTCTGCTTATCTGTTACTACTAAGAATATCAGATTTACAGTAAAAACATATATTTAACTCTTTTCAAGTAATAGACTTATAAATAAGAGCTTAAACTGATTCTCACAGATGAGCAAAACACCAAGTAATTAAATTTGAGGCATTTTATTTAAAATCTGGACCAGGCACAGTGGCTCATGCCTGTAATCCCAGCACTCTGGAAGGCTGAGGCAGGTGAATCACGAGGTCAAGAGTTCGAGACCAGCCTGGGCAACATGGTAAAACCCCGTCTCTACTAAAAATACAAAAAATTAGCTGGGTGTGGCAGTGGGTGCCGGTAATCCCAGCTACTCGGGAGGCTGAGGCAGGAGAATCGCTTGAACCCAGGGGGCAGAGGTTGCAGTGAGCCGAGATCGCACCACTGCACTTTAACCTGGGTGACAGTGTGAGACTCCATCTCAAAAAACAAAACAAAACAAAACAAAAACTGAAGCAAATTATATGTCATATTGAGAACAAGAGTCATATCAGAACAAATAAATAATACTAGAATAACAGGCAGGATGAGATTAAGCAAGGTCAATAATAATAGAGAAATATATGGTTGACAGACTATTTCATCTTAAGCTCAGGATTGGGAATCTGTAAATAAGACAAAGCTGTCTATACCTGGTGGTCAGATAAAGACAAGTAACTTGGAAGGGAGACAACCTGGGGTCAGTTGTTATACTTTCAGCAATTTTATTCAGTAAACTTTGTTAGACTTCTTATAACTCCTTCAACTTAAAGCAGGAACTAAGTACTTAGCAAGTAAAATAAAATTATATTCAGGTTTTATTTAGTCAGCAAGGTGTACTAAAAAAAAATCAGGAATCTAGGAGATCCTAATTATGTTCTGTATTTTTAGGTTATCTTAAATTACACAAGATTTTTCTTCTACAAAAATGCACATGCCCATTAATGTTATTTATGTATTCATTTTTTAAGGCTAGTCAAACGAAGTAGTGGAAGTAGAGAAGGAACAAAGAAATGTTAACTGATAGTGATCAATTAGTTGTAAGAACTACTGCACTCAGACCAGCCCCAAAATTTAAAATCTGAAGTCCTAAGTGTTTTTTTTTTAATTGAGTGTTTCTTGAAATTCCAAATAGAAATATTGGGAGCTAATATTTTGCAAACTTATACTACCTTATCCATTATAGAAGACCAACCTCTTGGAATAAAAATTTAGTTCACACTTCCTGCTGATGTAATCTTTGGCCTCTTGCTGAGTTTATAAGTGAAGATGCCAATTTTGTTCTTAGTTCTTATCATGTAGAATGCTTTCTACGATAAACTGAAATATGAATACCAGTTGTTTTTACATAACAGAAAGCCATCAAAGAGCCCTCACCAAATAGCAATGAGTTTTGATCACTCCAGTCTAGTCTGCTTTGGCACAAGAGAACTTAAAGAGAAAACACAATTTCCTAAGTCTCTTACAGAGGATTTTACTCAATAAGGGAGGAACTATAAATAAAATTCCTTAATAAGCTTTCTCAGTTAAAAATAAATAATTCTCCTGAATAAATTATATCATGCCTTCTACTTATTCTTACATTTTACGGAAATATATCATAAATAAGGGACAAAATAAAACAGGAATGACTAATTTATAAAAGCAGATTAAGGTAAATTCTGTAAAGTTAGACTTAACCTTAGATCAGCTAAAAAGAATAACTAAAATAGTTATTCCTTTCACTGAAAATGTCCTTGAAAGCATAATACATTCAACAAGTCTCTACCACATTTTGCTACTGAGTTTTCTCAGCCTGCTGCCACTAGTAATCTCTAGTTTCTACATTTAGTAGCCCTTTTCCATTCTTTATCATATTTAACTTTTCTACAATGTGTGACACCTCGCTCAATGACTTTAACATGTGTTTATTAAGAAATGTACTAAGAAATGTACTATGTATGAAACTAGGATTCAAAGATGAAAGTACTCTGCTCCTTAATCTAAGAAAACCAAGATGTTAGACTAATCTCCTCCCACTGAAAAGTATCTTCCTAGATATCTGTCTCTTTTTTTTTTTTTGTAACTCTCTTCCTATCTTTGTCATTTCTTTTCAGGCCGCTTCACAACTCCTTCTTCATATTGGTGTTCCCTCTGGACTCTGTATTCAGCTCTTACCTTTCCATGGGGAATCTACTCTCACTGCTATACACAACTGATAAAAGCTTGGGCTCTCCAGCCAGAATGCTAGGTTCAGAATCCAGTTCAACGACCTAACAGCTGTGTAAAATCGTTCATGCAACTTTTCCTCTCTTTGCTTCAATTTCCTATTCTGTGAAATAAAAGAGCTGTATTGAGGATTAGATAATTGATATGATACAAATAATGTTCAATACAATGTCTAGCATGTTAAAATGCTTAGTAAATGGGAGTCTTTATTTCTGAAGCAGAATAGTATAAATAGTTGAGAACATGAACACAGAGTTCAGAATGCATTGACTCAAATCAATGTTCTGCCACTTAAAAGCCGTGGAACCTCAGGCGAGTGACATGGCCTCTCTGTGCCTCAGCTTTCTCATCTATAAAATAAGATAACAACTAATAGCTACTTTGTGGTGTTACAGTGATAATTAGATGAATTTACAAGAGTAAAGTGCTTGGGGCAGCATTAGGTAAGGTTTTTCTAAGTATTATCGATGCTTCCAATGTCTCCTCAGAGCTGCATATTTTTTCCATTTGCAACAACTGTTACTTTGATATTTTAACCAGAATGTTTGAAGAAATAAAACACATTATGTCTAAGACTTATCTATTTATCTTCTTCAAAAATTTCTACTTTCCCTTAATTAGTAGCATCACCATTTATCTAATCTTCTAAGCAAGAAATTTCAGTAACTCTTTACTCTTCACTTTCTTCAAGATCTCTTAATAGATGCAGAAAGGCATTTGACAAAATTCAACACTTTTTCATAATAAAAAATCTCAACAAACTACAAACAGGGTGAGACTATCTCAAAATAATGAAGGCCATATATGAAAAACTCACAGTTAACATTAGACTTAATAGTGAAAAACTGGAAGTCTTTCCTTAAGATCAGAAACAAAGCCAAAATGCCTATTCTTACCACCTCTATTCAATATAGTACTGGAAGTCACAGTCAGAGCAATTCGGCAATAAAAAGAAATAAAGGGCATCCAAATTAGAAAGGGAAAAGTAAAATTATTTCTGTTCACAGATGACATGACCTTATATGTAGAAAACCCTAAAGAGTGCATCAAAAATTTATTAGACATACTAAACAAATTCAGAAAAATTTGTTGTAGGATATAAAAATCAACATACAAAATCAGCTGTGTCTGTATACAGTAACATCAAACTATTTGAAAAGCAAATTAAGAAAACAATCTCATTTACTATAAGATCAAAAAGAATAAAATACTTAGGAATAACATTGACCAAGGAAATGAAAGATTTGCAAATGAAAAACTATAAAACACTGATGAAATAAATTTTAAGAGACACAAATAAATAAAAAGACATCCCATGTTCATGAATTGGAAGACTTCAACATCATTACCATAGCCATAATACATAAAGCAATCTACAGATTCAATGCAATCCCTATCAAAATCCCAATGGCATTTTTCATGGAAATAGAAAAAACAAACCTAAAATTCATATGGAACCACAAAGGACCCCAAATAGCTAAAACAATCTTGAGAAAGAAGAACAAAGGTGGAGGCTTCATATTTCCTGATTTCAAAGTATATTACAAAGCTACAGTAATTAAAACAGTACGGTACTGGCAGAAAGACAGACATATAACCAATGGAACAAAATAGAGAGCTCAGAAATAAACCCATGCAAATATGTTCAACTAATTTTCAACAAGGGTACCAGGAACACACAATGAGGCAAGGATAGTCTCTTCAACAAACACTTGGGAAAACTGGATGTCTACATGTAAAAGAATGAAATTTGACCCTTATCTTACACTATACACAAAAATCTATTCAAAATGGACAAAAGACCTAAGCAGCTTTTTGGCAAAGGGTTTGCCACCAGAATACAGGTGTCATGAAAACTACCCCTAAATCAAACCGAAAATGGGAAAGAAAAAGACTCATATCAACATCATCATCACTGGACATGTAGATTCATTCAAGTCCATTACTACTTGCCATCCAGTCTATAAATGTGGTGGAATTGACCAAAGAACCATTAAAAAATGTGAGGACAAGACTGCTGAGATGGGAAAGGGGTCCTTCAGGTATGCCTGGGTCTTGGATAAATTGAAAGCTGAGTTTGAGCATGGTATCACCACTGATATCTCCACATGGGAATCTGAGACCACCAAATACTACTATGTGACTATCATTGATGCCCCAGGACACAGAGAATTTACCAAAAACATGATTACAGAAACATTTATTATATTAGTCCATTTTCACACTGCTGATAAAGACATACCTGAGACTGGGTAATTTATAAAGAAAAGGAGGTTTAATGGACTCACAGTCCCATATGGCTGGGGAGGTCTCATAATCATGTTAGAAGGCGAGGGAGGAACAAAGTCATGTCTTACATGGCAGCAGGCAAAGAGAGAAAGAGAATAAAGTGAAAGGAGAACCTGTTATAAAACCATCAAATCTCGTGAGACTTACTCACTACCATGAACACAGTATGGGGGAGACTGCCCCCACAATTCAATTATCTCTCACCAGGTCCCTCCCACAACATGTGGGAATTATGGGAGGTACAACTCAAGATGAGATTTGGGTGGAGACACAGAGACAAATCATGTCAATATCAAATTGACTGTGCTATCCTTACTGTTGCTGCTGGTGCTGATGAATCTGAACTTGGTATCTCCAAGAATGAGCAGACTCATGAGCATATCCCTCTGGCTTCCACATTGATTGTAAAACAACCAACTGTTCATGTTAACAAAACAGATTCCACCGAGTCACCCTACAGCCAGAAGAGATATGAGAAAATCATTAAGGAAATCAGCACCCATATTAAGAAAACTGGCTACGGACCTGCTACAGTAGCATTTGTGCCAATTTCTTTTTTATTTTAATCCATCCTTTATTAATTCAACAAAACTTAAGGAGTCTATTACCTACCAGGCACTATGCTTGGCACTGAGGTGCAGCAGTGAACAAGAAACAGTCCCTGCCATCAATGTTAGAATGGTGACAATATGCTGGAGTCAAGTGCTAACATACCTTGGCTCAAGAGATGGAAAGACACCTGTAAAGATGGCGATACCAGTGAAACCATGCTGCTTAAAGCTCTGAATTGCATCCTACCATCAATTCATTCAGTTGACAAGCTCTTGTGTCTGCCCCTACCTGATGTCTACAAATTGGTGATATTGGCATTGTCCCTTTGGGGCTAGTGGAGACTGCTATTCTCAAACCCAGCATGTGGTCTACTTTTGCACCAGTTAACACTACAACTGAAGTAGAGTCTGTTGAAATGCACCAAAAAGCTTTGAGTGAAGCTCTTCCTAAGGATAATGTGGGCTTCGATGTCAAGAATGTGTCTGTCAAAGATACTCGTCATGGCAATGTTGCTGGTGACAGCAAAAATGACTCACCAATGGAAGCAGCTGACTGCACTGCTCACATGATTATCTTGAGCCAACCAGGCCAAATAGGTTCTGGTTATCCTCCTATACTTGACTGTCACACAGCTTATGTTGCTTGCAAGTTTGCTTGATTGAAGCAAGATTGATTGCCACTCTGGTAAGAAGCTGGAAGGTGACCCTAAATTCTTGAAATCTAGTGATGCTGCCATCGTTCAGATGGTTGCTGGAGTGTTGAGAGCTTCTCTGACCATCTCCCTCTTGGTCATTTTACTGTTCATAATATGAGACAGACAGTTGCTGTGGGTGTCTTCAAAGCAGTGGACAAGAGGGCTGCTAGAGTTGGGAAGGTCAGCAAGTCTGCCTGGAAAGTTCAGGAGGCTAAATGAATATTATCCCTAATACCTGCACCCTAGTTTTATTCAGTGGTTGAAGAACAGTCCCAGAAGTATTTGCCTGAATAGGCCATTTTAAGTTTAATAGTAAAAAACTGATTAATGATAGCAATGCATTATAAAACCTTCCGAAGGAAAGGAGAACATTTTATGGAACATTTTTGGGTTTTTTTTGTGTGAGAGTTCTTAAGTTGTTAGTCTTTAAAATAATTACTTCTTAATGGAAATAACCTGACCAAAAAAAAATCTGTCATAGAACTTTGAAACCCATTAAAATATATTTTAATGAAAAAAATAGACTTAAACATAAGACGTGAAAAGTGTAAAGCTCTTAGAAGAAAACATGGAAAAACTTTCATGACATTGGTCTTCGCAATAATTTCTTGGCTACAACACCAATCATGGATATATGATACGGATGTTTATAAACATATGCACAGGCAACTAAGGCAAAAATAGACAAGTGGAATTACATCAAACTAAAAATCTTCTGCACCTCAAAGAAAACATCCTGAAGAGTGAAAGGCAACCTATAACATCTAAGAAAATATTTGCAAACCATACATATGATAAAGGGTTACTATCCAAAGCATATAAGGAACTCCTATAACTTAACAGCAAAAAAAAAAAAAAAGACCTGATCAAAAATTGATCAAAGGACTTAAACAGACATTTCTCCAAAGAAGTCATACGAATGGCTAAGAGTTATATGAAAACATGCTCAACATCACTAATTATGAAGGAAATGCAAATCACAGTTGGATATCATTTCACACCTGTGAGAATGCCCATTATCAACAACCAAATAAACAAACAAACAAAGATAAGTGTTGGAGAGAGTGTAGAAAATTGGCACCCTTGTATACTGTTGGTGGGAATATCAAATGCTACAGCAGCTATGGAAAACAGTTTCCCAAAAAATTAAAAATAGAACTACCACATGATCCAGCATTCCCACTCCTGGGTATTTATCCAAAATAACTGAAATCAGGATCATAAAGGGATATTTGCTCTTCCATGTTCTCTGTAGCATTACTCAGAATAGCAAAGATGTGGAAACATCCTACATGTCCATCAACAGATGAATGGATAGTGAAAATGTGTTATATACATACAATGGAAAATTACTCAGCCTTAAAAAAAGAAAGAAAATCCTGTCATTTGCCACAACATGAATGAATCTGGAGAACATTACACTAAGTGAAATAAGCCAGTCTCAAAAAGACAAATACTGCATGATTCCACTTAAATGAGACATCAAAAATAGTCAAACTCACAGAAGCAGAAAGTAGAATGCTGGTTGCCAGCCAGGGTCCGTGAGTAGAGAGAAATGGCAAGTTGCTGTTCAACAGGTACAAAGTTCAGTTATATAACATGAATAAGTTCTAGAGGTCTGATATACAACACTGTGCTTATAGTTAACAATACTGTACCATAAACTTAACAATTTGTTTATAGAGTAGATCTCATGTATCTGTGCCTCCACAATAAAAAAAAAAAAATCTCAAATCCATTCCCTTTCCCACTTTCTCTTTAAGCTTTCTCTAGTTGAGGTTCTCAACAGTTCTACTAAACAATTACCGTAGCCTTCTAACTAGTCTCTATGTCTCCAACAGGCTCCTTTTATCCAATTCAAAGCACCTAAATCTAAAGTTACCTCTTTAAAATATAGATGTGATGTGGAAGCCTCCTAAATATATACCATTTTATGGTTATTTCCTATTAGTCAATGCCAAAGCAGTTAGCATAGTATACAAAGTTCTTCATAATCTGACCAAACTACCTTTGTAGCCTCAGTATCAAGTTCCATAAATCCCACACTCCAACCACATGAAATTAGCAGTTATTTGAACAAGTTCTTGTGCTTAATTTAATATTTTGTTACTTCTTCCATTCCCTATGGCTCAAATTGGAGTTATCTGATGTTAATCTTCCTCCTTAATGCCCCATATCCTATAAATAATAACTCCACAGACAATCATGTAAAACTTCAGACTATTACAATTTGCAATGCAAAACATATTAAATAATCCTAGCTGGTTATATCAAAAGGAGGAAGTGAAATATATTGTTTACCTCTTAAAAACCAAAATATTTACAAGGGTCATAGGGTATGATTATCAAATTATATTTTTCAGTATGGATTTAAAGACATAGGTTGGGGCCTATAAAAGCAGTTGTTCTTGGAGATTCTTTTCTTTCCCTAAACTTTGCCTGGTAAGTTCATCCACAGAAGTAAATTCCATACCATCATCCTCTTCCTGAACTCCAGTCAGAGGTTTCCTTCTACTTAGAAGATATTCCTATTAGAATACCTGGCACATCCAAAATTAAAAACATCATCTTCCCTCAAAATATGATCCTCTTACCATATGCCTTATTTTTACATTTTCATGCTAACTTTTCCCTAATCTAACCTTTTGCAAACTTTAGAATCAGGGAACAACCTTTCCTTTATTAACACATCAATAACTAGTTAAAACCACATGAACTCTGTGTCTGCATTTTACAAAAATGACCACTAGATTGCATTGTTGTCTGGTCAAATAGGCTAAGGATATAGCTGTATGTTACCACTTAGTACTAATTCACCAAGATAAGCTGCAATATTGTCACTTATCTAGAAAAATAAACATAAGTAAACATGTGACTGTGTGTTTAAATAATTGTTAAAAGGTAACAAAATAATTCATACTTTAAATAAAACATTCACCATCACAGTTAGTTAAAATGCTTAAATTTAACAACCATGAAGTTAATTTTTGAAATTAGGTTCATTTAAAGGTGCCCAAATATTAAGCAAATATTGTATACTACTTAAAATATTTTTATGAAATATCATACCTAACATTATGTCTTTAAGATTTAAAATGTCTAAATATGTAAAGGTCTATTAAAATGCACATAATTTATCTGAATCAAAATGAAAATATATCTAATAAGTAATACCATTCATCTGGACTCTTTTAGCTGTCTCTTAATATACAAATGCATTCCTTTTCTCCAAAACATGGCAGCTGGGAATGAAAGATTTCAAATTATCATTTTCACATCATATTCCATCATCTTTTCATCAGTTTCTCCTAGCTTTTCTTTGAGCTCCATTCTTTTACAAGAGGTCTCTTTTTAGATCAGTCCATATTTCCATAATCCACACTGCTGTTTCCTCCTCTTCTCCCCAGGGTAGAATAACCCCCACATCCAGAACTATGGCCTACAACTGTCATTAAGCCTTATAACAATAACAAGATAACAAAAGATCGGGTGGAGAAGAGGCTAGCTGGTAACATATGTTGATCAAGTTCAATATTTTCAGCTAGTACACAATAATTTTAAACTTAAAAATTTTAATAATGAAGTACCTTCATACCTACTTCTTATCCTAAAGTGTATTTCAGGCTTAAATTTTAAATATTAATAAGTAACCTGACAATACTTCCTTTAAATCGTTTATCTATTAATAATGTGAAAGGGGGAAGGAAAAATAGAAATCACACCAAAGAGAAAGGTGAGATGGCAATTCATGGATAATTATTCATTTTATAACCCACTCAACTTAGCCTTATTTTGCTAAAAAAAAATTAGAAAAATTCCCCTAAAAGTCATTTTAAAGCAATATACAGTTATAATAAACAAAATTATTTCAAAGTAACATATTTTATGAGTTAATAATGAGTTTATGCCAATTTTGCAAGACTTTATTTTCTACCGAGTAACATTTTAAATGCTACTCTTGTTGTTTCCATTATTTGTTTCACTTCACAGTTAACTAACTTTAACTTCTTTTCAAACTAAAGATAAATTTGAAATGCAAAACTTTGAACTAGAAGAGAGATTTTCATGTCATGTTATATTTATGTTTTTTCTCCCGACTTCAGGAGAATTGCTTCTAATTCATCAGCCTATGTTAGGTAACCTTGAAAAAATAATTTCTCCACTCTATTTCTCTCAAAGATTCAGAACTCTTTATAGAACTAAATTCCAGTTTCACTTTTGACAAATGTTTACAGCTTAATAAAGAGTAAGCTTTTGGGAAACCAGATTTATTTCTTTCAATCAGAATCATTTATCATTATTTAATTTCTATAGATTGCTGCATAACATCAGACCTTCCAGGTCTGGCTTGAATCATTTATATAGTTAGAATGTAAATTTCACTGCCATAAAAATAGATATAAAAACCTCACCTCTAAGAACTCATTAAAGTAAAAATCTGTTCACCCTTCAACAGAAAAATAAGGTCATTTGTACAGGGGTTTTCAAATACAATTTTATTATCTAAAATGTACGCAAAAATATTCTTTTCAATGGGAGTCTGCTAGATGAAATATTCCAGCAAATACTTCAACTATAAAGCAAAGTTCATAAAATATCACTATGTTTTTCCAAATTAGTTTCCCTGTTTGCATTAAAATTTTAAAATTTTAGCAGTAGAGAATATAAAATAAGCATGCAGGTAAAATAAGAATGTGATTATGTTTTGCCTTGAGCTTCCTAAACTGCGCCTGCTAAAGAAATAAAAATCTAGTCTACATAAGATAGATAGATACAAAGATATGTTTATGATGATGATTTTAGATTTACTTTTATACATTTTTCCACGTTTGCCCCTTATAATGTTTCGTTCTGATTCATCTTTTTTAGTCATAAGAATATACCAATAGTATATTGGTATAGTGGTTATACCACTATAGTGGTTGTATGTACAAAGAAGCCGATAGGAAATAATTGCTATTTTAGCATTACTGAAATATATAACTAATAAAATTTTTGGAATATGAAACCAAGTAAACAGCCATAATATAATTATAATTATCTTACATTTACCCATCATCTCTACAAAATTTATAAATTTTTATTTAATTAAACATTAAGAAATCAATTTGTTTTAGAAATACGAGTTTATATATAATATTCACAGGGTTAGAAAAAGGAGTTTATATATAACATTTATAGGGAATTTACTATTACATATCAAAAATTGGTTCAAGACATTTCATTCTTTACATTTGAAAAAACAATAGTTGATATAGAATGCAATGAAATTATTTCTGTCTCATGTAATTGACTGGTAGTTAAAAATGACAGAATCAAGCCCAAACAACCAAAAAATATCCAATTTTTAGAAATCCACGATCATTTAAATATTTATTTTCAGAGTATTAGAATTTAATAAATTATTTCTGAATAATTTATATCTTCTTTATGATGATGCAAGAAGCAAAATTATAGAATACTCAATGTGTCTCAATTTCAAATAATGAAAAACTAATCATTCCTACCAAATACCTTTTAAATAATACAAAATTTTTTAAATTATGAATGTATAAAAAAATTGTTTACTAATAAAACAGGCATTCTTCCTAAACTATGCAGACCTTAACTCCTACCTGCATCCTTTTTTTATTCAATAATGACCCATCCTTTTTATATTCAATAATGACCCATTAGTCATTATTAAATATAAAAACAAAACTGTATATAGTACTGAGTAGACTGGATTTAATGTCAGCTAAGTAGCTGGCTGCCTGCCATTCATTCCTATGAAGATGCAGCTGAAGGGTAAAATTTAAAATTCTCTGCTGTTTTTGTATAATACATAATTTTTACTACTATTCATTCTTACAGTTATACTTTAAACTGTTTCCAGATAATTTCTACCAAGATTTGATTAATTAATGGAATTTTTATTATTGTTATAATTTAAAATAATCATGTAACATATGCACTTTTCTAAAAGCATTTCTTAATGCATTTTCATTATTTATCATGGAAGCACATACTAGGTTGTCAGTATATACTGAAATTTAATTTCACCTCCTACAGAAATGAGGGACAGAGGAGAGAACAAACAAGTCAGGTACTATCATGAACAGTCAAGGACCTATTAAATCTTCATGCTACCTAACCCCTCTGCTAAGTTACATCATTTCATTCAAACTTTGTTGAATTCCTACGATATGTGTCATAACACCAGTTTGAAATCTTTCCAAATTTAAGGTGAAACACCACTCTTAAATCCATCCTTCTTAAATTACCTTGCCTATTATTTTTCCAAGAAAATTAAGATAAGTTATCATGAGTTTATTCAACTTCCTCTGACTTGTCACTCATTCAACTAGCCGTTCAAAAACACTTATTCATATCTTATGTTCCAGCCACTCTACTAGATGTGGAGATTGAAAAATGAGAAAGTTCTGCCCCTTTTCCTTCAAGAAACATACATACAGCCTAGGAGAGACAGAGACATGCAAAAAAAAAAAAAATGAAAATATAGTTAAAATTAGAGGTACATATAAGAAGCTACGGAAGTACAGACAGGTTGCCTTGGAGGCTCAGGAAAGCCTTCAAAGAAGGATTAATTTTCAAACTGAGTTTTAATTAACAGAACTGGACCACACAAAAGAAGAAACAGAATGGAAAAGTAAAAACAGAAATTCCACAAAAAAAAAAAAAAAAGGAAAAGAAACAAAACCTAAGAAGACAGGGATAGTGTGTGAAGGAAGTCTGACCATGCCCTCTCATTTGCTGAATATCTTCCACAGTGCTTCAGACAGACCTTAACTCCTACAATGAATCCTGTGAACTATCATGTCACTGATAGCAGGGGATTTTTTTTTATGGCAAAACCCATATAACTGACAGGGTTAGGATTCAAACTCATGTCTATATTACCAAAAATTTATGTAAATCTTCAATTAAATAAAAGAAACAACATTCCAACATCTCTATCACTCTACTACAACTTCAAATCATGAATTAATTTCATCATTCTGTCTTTCTGCTACAATAGGGTATCACACTCAATTATCTGAACTATATGGCAGTGTCCTCCACTCTCACCCTAAAAAGAGGACCAACTAAAGGACAAAACTCAGTGATCAAAAAATAAGGCTTAAAGATCACCTTCTATGTACTCCTCCTAAACACCAGCATTTCCTCATGAATCTCAGTCTTGCACTCCAATTAGAAGTAGAGCCAGAACACAAATTGGATAGTCAAGACCCACTGGTGTGCTATATTCAGGAGACCCATCTCACATGCAAAGATACATATAGGATCAAAATAAAGGGATGGAGGAAAATTTACCAAGCAAATGGAAAGAAAAAAAAGCAGGGATTGTAGTCCTAGTCTCTGACAAAATAGACTTTAAACCAACAAAGATCAAAAAAGACAAAGAAGGGCATTACATAATGGTAAAGGGAACAATTCAACAAGAAGAGTTAACTATTCTAAATATATATGCACCCAATATAGGAGCACCCAGATTCATACAACAAGTTCTTAGAGACCTACAAAGAGACTTAGACTCCCACACAATAATAGTGGGAGACTTTAATACCCCACTGTCAGTATTAGACAGATCAACAAGACAGAAAATTAACAAGGATGTTCAGGATGTGAACTCAGCTCTGGATCAAGTGGACCTGGTAGATGTCTACAGAACTGTCTACCCCAAATCAACAGAATATACATTCTTCTCAGTGCCACATCACACTTATTCTAAAATTGACCACATAATTGGAAGTAAAACATTCCTCAGCAAATGCAAAAGAACAGAAATCAAAACAGTCTCTCAGACCACAGTGCAATCAAATTAGAACTCAAGATTAAGACATTCACTCGAAACCCCACAATTACATGGAAATTGAACAACCTGCTCCTGAATGACTCCTGGGTACATAATGAATCAGGCAGAAATCAAGAAGTTCTTTGAAACCAATGAGAACAAAGAGACAACATACCAGAATCTCTGGTACATAGCGAAAGCAGTGTTAAGAGGAAAATTTATAGCACTAAATGGCCACATCAGAAAGCTAGAAAGATCTCAAATTGATGCCCTAACATCACAATTAAAAGAGCTAGAGAAGCAAGATCAAACTAATCCAAAAGCTAGCAGAAGACAAGAAATAACTAAGATCAGAGAAGAATTGAAGGAGATAGACACATGAAAAACTCACCAAAAAAAAAAAATCAATGAACCCAGAAGCTGTTTTTTTCTTTAAATTAACAAAACAGACCATTAGCTAGACTAATAAAGAAGGGAGAAGAATCATACAGACACAATGAAAAATGATAATGGGGATATCACCACTGATCCCACAGAAATACAAACTACCATCAGAGAATAATATAAACACCTCTATGCAAATAAACTAGAAAATCTAGAAGAAATGGATAAATTCCTGGACACATACACACTCCCAGGACTAAACCACGAAGAAGTCGAATCCCTGAATACACCAATAACAAGTTCTGAAATTGAGGCAGTAATTAATAGCCTACCAACCAAAAAAAGCCCAGGACCAGATGGATTCACAGCTGAATTCTACCAGAAATACAAAGAGGAGCTGGTACCATTCCTTCTGAAACTATTTCAAATAACTGAAAAGGAGGGACACCTCCCTAACTCATTTAATGAAGCCAGCATAATCCTGATACCAAAATCAGGAAGAGACACACAAAAAAAGGGAAAACTTCAGGCCAATATCCCCAATGAACACCAATGCGAAAAATCCTCAAAAAATACTGGCAAATCGAATCCAGCAGCACATCATAAAACATCCACCATGATCAAGTGAGCTTCATCCCTGGGATGCAAGGCTGGTTCAACATATGCAAATCAATAAATGTAATCCATCACATAAATGGAGCCAAAAACAAAAACCACACGATTATTTCAATAGATGCAGAAAAGGCCTTTGATAAAATTTGACATCCCTTCAGGTTAAAAACTCTCAATAAAATAAATATTGATGAAACATATTCCAAAATAATAAGAGTTATTTATGACAAACCCACAGCTAATATCACTGAATGGGCAAAAGCTGGAAACATTCCCTTTGAAAACTGGTACAAGACAAGGATGCCCTCTCTCACTACTCCTATTCAACACAGTATTGGATGTTCTGGCCAGGGCAATCAGGCAAGACAAAGAAATAAAGGGAACTCAAATAGGAAGAGAGGAAGTCAAACTACTGTGTCTGTTTACAGACAACATGATTTTATATTTAGAAAACCCCATCATCTCAGCCTAAAAACTCCTTAAACTGATAAGCAACTTCAGCAAAGTCTCAGGATACAAAATCAATGTGCAAATATCACAAAGTATTCCTTTACAAACTACCATCAGAGAATAATATAAACACCTCTATGCAAATAAACTAGAAATAACCAAGCAGAGAACCAAATAAATCATGAATGAACTCCCATTCACAATCACTACAAAGAGAATAAAATACTCAGGAATACAGCTAACAAGGGACGTGAAGGACCTCTTCAAGGAGAACTACAAACCACTGCTCAAGGAAATAAGAGAGGACACAAACAAACGGAAAAGCATTCCATCCTCATGAATAGGAAGAATCAATATCATGAAGATGGCCATACTGTCCAAAGTAATTTATAGATTCAATGTTATTTCCATCAAACTACCATTAAATTCTTCATAGAATTAGAAAAAAACTATTTTAAATTTCATACGGAATCAAAGGAGACTCCATAGAGCCAAGTAAAAAGTAAAACCCTAAGTAAAAAGAACAAAGTTGGAGGCATCACGCTACCTGACTTCAGACTGTATTACAAGGCTACAGTAACCAAAACAGCATGGTACTGGTACCAAAACAAACATATAGACCAATGGAACAGAAAAGAGACCTCAGAAATAACACCACACACCTACAACCATCTGATCTTTGGCAAACCTGACAAAAACAAGCAATGGGGAAAGGATCTCCTATTCAGGAGCTAGGAAAACTGGCTAGCCATATGCAGAAAACTGAAACTGGACCACTGCCTTACACCTTATACAAAAATTAACTCAAGATGGATTAAAGATTTAAATGTAAAACCAAAAACCATAAAAACTCTAGAAGAAAACCTAGGCAATATCATTCAGGACACAGACATGGGCAAAGACTTCATGACAAAAACAACTTCAACAAAAGCCAAAATTGATAAATGAGATGTAATTAAACTAACAGAAAAAGAAACTATCATCAGAATGAACAGGCAACCTACAGAATGGGAGAAAATTTTTGCAATCCACCTATCTGGCAAACGTCTAATATCCAGAATTTACAAGGAACTTAAACAAATTTACAAGAAAAAACAACCCCATCAAAAAGTAGGCAAAGGATATCAACAGACACTACTCAAAAGAAGACATTTATGCAGCCAACAAACGAGAAAAAGCTTAACATCACTGATCACCACAGAAATGCAAATCAAAACCACAATGGGATACCATCTCACGACAGTCAGCATGGTAATTATTAAAAAGTCAGGAAACAATAGATGCTGGCGAGGCTGTGGAGAAACAGGAATGCTTTGTTGGTGGGAATGTAAATTAGTTCAACCATTGTAGAAGACAGTGTGGTGATTCCTCAAGGATCTAGAACCAGAAATAACCATTTGACCCAGCAATCCCACTACTAAGCATATACCCAAAGGAATATAAATCATTCTACTATAAAGACACACGTACACATTTGTTTGTTGCAGCACTATTTACAATAGCAAAGACATGGAACCAACCCAAATGCCCATCAATGATAGACTGGATAAAGAAAATGTGGTACATATACACCATGGAATACTATACTGCCATACAAAGGAATGAGATAATGTCCTTTGCAGGGACATGGATGAAGCTGGAAGCCATCTTCCTCAGCAAACTAACACAGGAACAGAAAACCAAACACCGTATTTTCTCACTTATAAGTGGGAGTTGAACAATGAGAATACATGGATACAGAAAGGGGGACAACACACACCAGGGCCCATTCGGGGGCCAGGGGTGAGGGGAAGGAACTTAGCGGACAGGTGAATAGATGCAGCAAACCACCCTGGCACATGTATGCCTATGTAACAAACCTGCAGGTTCTGTACTTGTATCCCCCCCTTCCCCGGCTTTTTTTTTTTAAGAAAGAAGATAGAAGAAGAAAGAAGAAAGAAAAAGGAGAAAAGCCAGAACAGCTCACATCTGATTCCCAGTCCAATCTTCCTTCTCCTAACAGACTTCTGGAGGGCAAGAACCACATCGTCTTCTTTACAGCTTTATTGTGCCAGACAAGCACCTTTCAAAGTACTCTACGAGTAATTTTAAATTCTTAAGACAACTAGAGCTACATGCTAATTGCCTAGGCTATGTTCATTTGTTTAAAATTTGGTAAAATTTTTCATCTCTAATTTAAGAGTAACAATCAAAAATATAACTTAAAATACCTTAAAAATATAGCATTACTTTTATAATTCTTACAATTTTTCTACATATCTATTCACTCTGTTTATTATACACAGTATAACTAAAAACACCACCAAAAATATTGATGCTTGTGAGACCGTATGTCTATATTTCATAAAGACCTTTGCTCTTGTGTTAGTATGAAATGTTTCCCTATCTCTGGAGTCTATCAATAAAGTAGATTATAAAGCCTCATAAATTAAAGACACTGTTCTGACTAACTTCTAGAGAGAAATGTACACAAACAGAATATTCCCAAAACATCTATAAAATAGGAAGTTGAACTTCTAATATTTCAAATGAGCTAGACTTTCAAAATAATTATTAGAGGATTCAAATTCACATTATTAAGGTAAATCTTTAGAAAACTCAAGTTTTATAACTTTGGCTTAATAAAAATAGCCATGTCTTCTCTGATTTAATAATGTTAAGGACAGAGCAAGTACACATTTTATTCTACTTGGGTATGTTTTTTCCAAATGTATACAAGTTATTGAACTAATAAGCAACTATGACACGTTAAGGTTATATAACATGTAAATTTCTATTTAACCAAACTTAATCACTATTCTGGAAAACTTTATGTCAGCAGTGATTATATTATGTAGTACATCTACTTGAATATAATTTCCAAAATCTTTAGGTAACCAAAATGTGGAATTGATATTAAATTGACTTAATCAATGGATAATTCCTCAGAATGCTAAAACATTAATTACTAAGCACAATTTGTCTATATACTTTTTCTTCTTATTTTTGTATGCCATCAAAAGGCAATTGAGTTATGTTAACAAATGTGTTCACTTTTCCTATTTTACTAAAACATAAAAGAGATATGGGCAGCTCTGGCAGTCTGTTAAAATGCTTGTGTATGACTGAAAGTTCTCAATCATCTACCCCTCAAGTGTTGTTGTTGTTGTTGTTTTCCTGTAAGACATTAGTTACTTAGATTAAAAGTTGTAATTATAATACTATGAGTGTTTAAGACTAAACTAGGGGCAACAGTGTCAAAGAAACAACTGAGTATATACTTTTGTTTTTTAAAGAGAAAGAATTATTTTGCCCTAAATCAGCAGTTCACTTCAGCTTTGCTTTTTTTGTTGTTTTGTTTTTATTTTTGAGATAGGGTCTCACTCTGTCGCCTGGGCTGGAGTGCAGTAGCAGCATCTCAGCTCACTGCAACCTCCGCCTCCCTGGTTCAAGTAATTCTCCTGCCTCAGTCTCCCAAGTAGCTGGGATTACAGGCCTGCACCACCAGGCCCGGCTAATTGTTTTGTTTTTAGTAGAGACAGGGTTTCACCAGTTGGCCAGGTTGGTCTCAAACTCCTGACTTCAAGTGATCTGCCTGCCTAGGCCTCCAAAGTGCTGGGATTATACACGTGAGCCACAGCACTCGGCCCACTTCAGCTTTGCTTTTACAAAAAAAAGAAAAAAGAAAGAAAGAACAAAAAAAAAACACCTCTATACTCCTTTTCTTTATTGGGACTTATTAGGGACCCTGGAGAGCTGTTGTTCATGTATAACTATTGAAATGTATTATATTAGAAATTAAACTTGAAACATTTTTTAAGAGGTATGGATCCATATAATAGCAATCATGAATCTGTTGGATGTTAACACAAATACCATAAATGATTATGGTATTACTTTTCATCATCATCATTTTGACTTTGCAGACCTCTGAGATGTCTTAAAGTGTTTGGTCTTGAACATGAGCACACAAGGGAATAAAATGTGATTTTTGTCTTGTTTGATAATATCTGATTCTAAAAAGAAGCTACAAAAATTGTTAAAATAAACTTCAATCAATTTTGATGGGTTTGCTTCCCTGGCTTACTGATTAATTTTTTTGCCTACAATAACAAAGTTATTCCTACCTCTGGCAATTCTCAAATTTGAATATTCACACTTTTTTATTTTCTTAGGTTGCAAACATTCTCCATTCTTTTCAAATCTCTGATGCCTCCTCTCTTCACTCACATAGAAAATTGTTCAACATTTCTTGAAATGATAAAAATCAAACTCATCCTCTCTTCTTTAGTTTTCTCCATCTCTCTCCAGTCCCTCAAAAATAAACTTTTTGGTCAGACTCATGCCTGTAATCCCAGGACTCTGGGAGACCAAGGTGGAAAAAATCACTTGAACCCAGGAGTTCACGACCAGCCTGGGCAATAGGGTGAGACCCCATCTCTACAAAAAATAAAAAACATTAGCCAGAAGTGGTGGTACATGCCTGTAGTCCTAGCCACTTTGGTGGCTGGGGTGGGAGGATTGCTTGAGGTTGAGATGGGAGGATCGCTTCAGTCTGGGAGCCAGTCATGAGGGCACTACTGCACTCCAGCCTGTGCAACAGGTTAAGAAACTGCCTCAATCAATCAATAAAAAATAAAAATTGTTTTCATGCAATCTCTTTTTTCCCTCACACTTATACTCTTTTCCATTCCTAATGTAACTGACTATTTCAGATCCTTCTTACTTTTCACTGAACTACTAAAATAACTACCAAACTAATTTCCTCGCCTCTAGTTTCTACCAAAACCAATCCATACTGAAATCTCTCCCACTTGAAGGACCAACTCTTTAGCAAGGCAAACTGTGCCAAAACCTAGCTCATTTACTTTTATAGTTTTATCTCCCAATACTCTCCTGTACAAAACCCTCCACTGTATCAAAAAAAGAAAAAATATATAATCAAAGCTCCTGAAATGCCATGTCAGTTGTCCCACTGGTTCCTCAATTGCCAAAAGAAGGAAAACATACTGCGAGAAGCGTATAATAAACCAGTGCCTACGGGTACTAACAACTCCATGTTATGAAAAATGGATTGATATTATTTCTTTGGACTAAATTACATATTGCTTTTAAATTCTAAAGATACCAAGAGAAAAATTATTACAATAATCTTTTTTAAGGGAGCTAAAATAAGTGAGGTAAGTTTGAGACAACATTCCAAGCAGAAAAAAAAAAATAAAGCTAAAAATTTAAGAGTAAACGCTTTTGAGTCAGACAAACATGTCTTCAAATCTTAGCTCTGCCTCTTACAAGCACTGTGACCTCAGGTAAGTTTCTTACTTAAGACTCAGTTCAGGTATAATACTATCTCCTATTAGCCCTGGGAGGATTTAAAAATAAAATGAAGTATGCACATAAAGCACCTAGTATAGTGCCCAGTGCATGGTAAGAGTGAAACAAAGAGCTTTTTAAGATTATAATTACTGAGGTAGCCGCACATCCAGAGAAAAGGCTAGTTAAGGAGAATGCAGTTGGTAGAGAAAAGCAGTAAAAGGGAAAAGGGTTAAGAAATATACACAGAGTACTTGTCTCTTCTGTACAATTCAATAAATTCCCTAAAAAGTATATAGCAAAACAATTATTCAAGGCCCTTGACTAGATTCCCATGTAAAGCTTGATTTCTTTAGATGTAAAATGACATAGATACACAAAATGGTATCTAAAGTTCCTTTCAGCTCTAACCTTCAAGAAGGCTATAAGAATTGTTGTAAACTAGAATCCTAAGAGTTATGAATGTTCACCACCATTACATGGTTAAGCGCTTCTGTATTTCACTAAGCATATGAGGGCTTATTGATGTCCCAGTGATCTCACAATTTCAGAAACAGAACAACAATTAAGCCCCAAATGAAAAAAATCCAAGCTGGACCTGACAAGTACATTATCACTCTCATGTGAACCCAAAGTTAGCAGTCTTCAGAACCCCTAAAAATGCTCAGAGGCAGTTTATAAAGTAAAAGGTAGAAATTTAAAAAAAAAAAAAAAAGACCTGAACAGGAATAGGAGGTTTGTAATTGGTTGAACAGACAAGACAGAATTGAGAAGACTAAAATATATATATATATATATTGGAATGGTAAAATGAGTGAGCAAGGCTCTAGTCTAACTACAAGCTATTTGAGAACAAACGCAAACTTCTTATTCCCAAGTCATGTCTTCACTGTAGGGAGTTCTTTTACATACTTAAGATATTTATAAATCTAAAAAGCTAAAATCAAATTATAATTCTATACCCTCTTTTTATGTGAAACCATGGTCAAAGGTTGTACTAGACGTAATTAATATTTATCACGCCCATTTATCAGACTTTTTGAGTGTAATTTCTAAGTCAGATTGACTTTCACATCTAAAAAAGTATTCTTTCATGTTTATTCAAAATCACATGTCTGTAGGCTTATTTCTGAATGAACTGCTTTAAACACATACTTTTATCAGCTTTCATGTTTGCAAATGGTGAGAACTCCATCTGTGGACTTAAATTATAGCTAAGTTTGTGTATTCTGAATTTAACAGTGACAAGACTGTCTTATCCCATTTATTTGAAGACATAAGAAAGGAACCTGCTCATCAGGCATCCAGCAAAAAGTACTTATTTCTATCAAAACTTAAATTTGTATAATATAAAACCTGGAATAATGCGTGAAGCTAGTAGGACAAAACATAGGATAAACACTTCAGGATGTTGCGTTGGGCAAAGATTTCATAAAGAAAACCTTAAAAGCACAGGCAACAGAAGCAGAAATAGACAAATGAGATTATATCAAACTAAAAAGCTTCGGCACAGCCAAAGGAACAACCAACAGACTGAAGAGACAACCAACAGAATGGGAGAATGTATACGTAAACTAATCATCTGACAAATTATTAAGATCCAGAATATACAAGGAACTCAAACAACAGCAAAAACACAAACAATACAATTTTAAAATGGGCAAATGAGCTGAATAGACATCTCTCAAGAAAAGACATAAAAATGGCCAACAGGCACATCAAACAATCTCAGCATCACTAATCATCAGGGAAATGCAAATCAAAACCACAAAGAGTTATCATCTCACCCCAGTTACAATAGTTATCATCAAAGAGACAAAAACTAACAAATGCTGGCAAGGAGGCAGAGAAAGGGGAACTCCACACACTGTTGGTGGGAATGTAAATTAGCATAGCAATTATATAAAAAATAGTATGGAAGTTCCTCAAAAAACTAAAAACAGAACTATCATATGATCCAGCAATCCCACTACTGGGTATATATCCAAACGAAAGAAAATCAGTATACCAAAGAGATACATGTTTATTGCAACACAAGAGCCAAGATATGGAATCAACCTAAGTGTCCATAAACAAATGAATGGATTAAAAAATATGGTATACATACAAAATGGAATACTATTCAACTATAAAAAAAGAACAAAATCCTGTCATTCATGGCAACACAGATGGGCTTGGAGGATATTATGTTAAGTGAAATAAGTCAGGCACAGAAAGACAGATGTCTCATGTTCTCACTCATATTGGAAGCTTAAAAAATTGATCTCATAGAAGTAGAGTAGAATAGTGGTTACTAGAGGCTGAGAAGGGCAGGCAGGGGCTTGGGGCTGATAGCCAGAGGTTAGTTAATGGATCCAAAATGACAGCTAGATAGATAGGAGGAATGGTGTTCTAGTGTTCTATAACACTGTAGGGTGATTATAATTAACAAGAATTTATCACATATTTTCAAATAGCTAGAAGAGCAGATTTTGAATAATCCCAGTGAAAGAAATGATAAAAGTTTGAGGTGATGGATATGCTGATTACCCTGATTTGATCATTACATATTGTATACATGTATCAAAATATCACATATATGTATAATATCTATATCATTATCACCCATATATATGTGTAATTATATGCATATATTTATATACATATATTATATACATATATATACATATATAATATAATACATATATTATATAATATACATATATTATATACATATATAATATAATAATATAATATAATATAATATAATTATTATATTAAAATCAGAGGGAGGAGCCAAGATGGCCGAATAGGAACAGCTCCGGTCTACAGCTCCCAGCGTGAGCGACGCAGAAGACGGGTGATTTCTGCATTTCCATCTGAGGTACCGGGTTCATCTCACTAGGGAGTGCCAGACAGTGGGCGCAGGCCAGTGTGTGTGCGCACCGTGCGCGAGCCGAAGCAGGGCGAGGCATTGCCTCACCTGGGAAGCGCAAGGGGTCAGGGAGTTCCCTTTCCAAGTCAAAGAAAGGGGTGACGGCCGCACCCGGAAAATCAGGTCACTCCCACCCGAATATTGCGCTTTTCAGACCGGCTTAAGAAACGGCGCACCACGAGACTATATCCCACACCTGGCTCAGAGGGTCCTACGCCCACGGAATCGCGCTGATTGCTAGCACAGCAGTCTGAGATCAAACTGCAAGGCGGCAACGAGGCTGGGGGAGGGGCGCCCGCCATTGCCCAGGCTTGCTTAGGTAAACAAAGCAGCCGGGAAGCTCGAACTGGGTGGAGCCCACCACAGCTCAAGGAGGCCTGCCTGCCTCTGTAGGCTCCACCTCTGGGGGCAGGGCACAGACAAACAAAAAGACAGCAGTAACCTCTGCAGACTTAAGTGTCCCTGTCTGACAGCTTTGAAGAGAGCAGTGGTTCTCCCAGCACGCAGCTGGAGATCTGAGAACGGGCAGACTGCCTCCTCAAGTGGGTCCCTGACCCCTGACCCCCGAGCAGCCTAACTGGGAGGCACCCCCCAGCAGGGGCACACTGACACCTCACACAGCAGGGTATTCCAACAGACCTGCAGCTGAGGGTCCTGTCTGTTAGAAGGAAAACTAACAACCAGAAAGGACATCTACACCGAAAACCCATCTGTACATCACCATCATCAAAGACCAAAAGTAGATAAAACCACAAAGATGGGGAAAAAACAGAACAGAAAAACTGGAAACTCTAAAACGCAGAGCGCCTCTCCTCCTCCAAAGGAACGCAGTTCCTCACCAGCAACAGAACAAAGCTGGATGGAGAATGATTTTGACGAGCTGAGAGAAGAAGGCTTCAGACGATCAAATTACTCTGAGCTACGGGAGGACATTCAAACCAAAGGCAAAGAAGTTGAAAACTTTGAAAAAAATTTAGAAGAATGTATAACTAGAATAACCAATACAGAGAAGTGCTTAAAGGAGCTGATGGAGCTGAAAACCAAGGCTCGAGAACTACGTGAAGAATGCAGAAGCCTCAGGAGCCGATGCAATCAACTGGAAGAAAGGGTATCAGCAATGGAAGATGAAATGAATGAAATGAAGCGAGAAGGGAAGTTTAGAGAAAAAAGAATAAAAAGAAATGAGCAAAGCCTCCAAGAAATATGGGACTATGTGAAAAGACCAAATCTACGTCTGATTGGTGTACCTGAAAGTGATGGGGAGAATGGAACCAAGTTGGAAAACACTCTGCAGGATATTATCCAGGAGAACTTCCCCAATCTAGCAAGGCAGGCCAACGTTCAGATTCAGGAAATTCAGAGAACGCCACAAAGATACTCCTCGAGAAGAGCAACTCCAAGACACATAATTGTCAGATTCACCAAAGTTGAAATGAAGGAAAAAATGTTAAGGGCAGCCAGAGAGAAAGGTCGGGTTACCCTCAAAGGGAAGCCCATCAGACTAACAGCGGATCTCTCGGCAGAAACCCTACAAGCCAGAAGAGAGTGGGGGCCAATATTCAACATTCTTAAAGAAAAGAATTTTCAATCCAGAATTTCATATCCAGCCAAACTAAGCTTCATAAGTGAAGGAGAAATAAAATACTTTATAGACAAGCAAATGCTGAGAGATTTTGTCACCACCAGGCCTGCCCTAAAAGAGCTCCTGAAGGAAGCGCTAAACATGGAAAGGAACAACCGGTACCAGCCGCTGCAAAATCATGCCAAAATGTAAAGACCATCGAGACTAGGAAGAAACTGCATCAACTAATGAGCAAAATCACCAGCTAACATCATAATGACAGGATCAAATTCACACATAACAATATTAACTTTAAATATAAATGGACTAAATTCTGCAATTAAAAGACACAGACTGGCAAGTTGGATAAAGAGTCAACACCCATCAGTGTGCTGTATTCAGGAAACCCATCTCACGTGCAGAGACACACATAGGCTCAAAATAAAAGGATGGCGGAAGATCTACCAAGCCAATGGAAAACAAAAAAAGGCAGGGGTTGCAATCCTAGTCTCTGATAAAACAGACTTTAAACCAACAAAGATCAAAAGAGACAAAGAAGGCCATTACATAATGGTAAAGGGATCAATTCAACAAGAGGAGCTAACTATCCTAAATATTTATGCACCCAATACAGGAGCACCCAGATTCATAAAGCAAGTCCTGAGTGACCTACAAAGAGACTTAGACTCCCACACATTAATAATGGGAGACTTTAACACCCCACTGTCAACATTAGACAGATCAACGAGACAGAAAGTCAACAAGGATACCCAGGAATTGAACTCAGCTCTGCACCAAGCAGACCTAATAGACATCTACAGAACTCTCCACCCCAAATCAACAGAATATACATTTTTTTCAGCACCACACCACACCTATTCCAAAATTGACCACATAGTTGGAAGTAAAGCTCTCCTCAGCAAATGTAAAAGAACAGAAATTATAACAAACTATCTCTCAGACCACAGTGCAATCAAACTAGAACTCAAGATTAAGAATCTCACTCAAAGCCGCTCAACTACATGGAAACTCAACAACCTGCTCCTGAATGACTACTGGGTACATAACGAAATGAAGGCAGAAATAAAGATGTTCTTTGAAACCAACGAGAACAAAGACACCACATACCAGAATCTCTGGGACGCATTCAAAGCAGTGTGTAGAGGGAAATTTATAGCACTAAATGCCTACAAGAGAAAGCAGGAAAGATCCAAAATTGACACCCTAACATCACAATTAAAAGAACTAGAAAAGCAAGAGCAAACACATTCAAAAGCTAGCAGAAGGCAAGAAATAACTAAAATCAGAGCAGAACTGAAGGAAATAGAGACACAAAAAACCCTTCAAAAAATCAATGAATCCAGGAGCTGGTTTTTTTGAAAGGATCAACAAAATTGATAGACCGCTAGCAAGACTAATAAAGAAAAAAAGAGAGAAGAATCAAATAGACACAATAAAAAATGATAAAGGGGATATCACCACCGATCCCACAGAAATACAAACTACCATCAGAGAATACTACAAACACCTCTACGCAAATAAACTAGAAAATCTAGAAGAAATGGATACATTCCTCGACACATACACTCTCCCAAGACTAAACCAGGAAGAAGTTGAATCTCTGAATAGACCAATAACAGGCTCTGAAATTGTGGCAATAATCAATAGTTTACCAACCAAAAAGAGTCCAGGACCAGATGGATTCACAGCCGAATTCTACCAGAGGTACAAGGAGGAACTGGTACCATTCCTTCTGAAACTATTCCAATCAATAGAAAAAGAGGGAATCCTCCCTAACTCATTTTATGAGGCCAGCATCATTCTGATACCAAAGCCGGGCAGAGACACAACCAAAAAAGAGAATTTTAGACCAATATCCTTGATGAACACTGATGCAAAAATCCTCAATAAAATACTGGCAAACCGAATCCAGCAGCACATCAAAAAGCTTATCCACCATGATCAAGTGGGCTTCATCCCTGGGATGCAAGGCTGGTTCAATATACGCAAATCAATAAATGTAATCCAGCATATAAACACAGCCAAAGACAAAAACCACATGATTATCTCAATAGATGCAGAAAAAGCCTTTGACAAAATTCAACAACCCTTCATGCTAAAAACTCTCAATAAATTAGGTATTGATGGGACGTATTTCAAAATAATAAGAGCTATCTATGACAAACCCACAGCCAATATCATACTGAATGGGCAAAAACTGGAAGCATTCCCTTTGAAAACTGGCACAAGACAGGGATGCCCTCTCTCACCGCTCCTATTCAACATAGTGTTGGAAGTTCTGGCCAGGGCAATCAGGCAGCAGAAGGAAATAAAGGGTATTCAATTAGGAAAAGAGGAAGTCAAATTGTCCCTGTTTGCAGACGACATGATTGTTTATCTAGAAAACCCCATCGTCTCAGCCCAAAATCTCCTTAAGCTGATAAGCAACTTCAGCAAAGTCTCAGGATACAAAATCAATGTACAAAAATCACAAGCATTCTTATACACCAACAACAGACAAACAGAGAGCCAAATCATGAGTGAACTCCCATTCACAATTGCTTCAAAGAGAATAAAATACCTAGGAATCCAACTTACAAAGGATGTGAAGGACCTCTTCAAGGAGAACTACAAACCACTGCTCAAGGAAATAAAAGAGGACACAAACAAATGGAAGAACATTCCATGCTCATGGGTAGGAAGAATCAATATCGTGAAAATGGCCATACTGCCCAAGGTAATTTACAGATTCAATGCCATCCCCATCAAGCTACCAATGACTTTCTTCACAGAATTGGAAAAAACTACTCTAAAGTTCATATGGAACCAAAAAAGAGCCCGCATCGCCAAGTCAATCCTAAGCCAAAAGAACAAAGCTGGAGGCATCACACTACCTGACTTCAAACTATACTACAAGGCTACAGTAACCAAAACAGCATGGTACTGGTACCAAAACAGAGATATAGATCAATGGAACAGAACAGAGCCCTCAGAAATAATGCCGCATATCTACAACTATCTGATCTTTGACAAACCTGAGAAAAACAAGCAATGGGGAAAGGATTCCCTATTTAATAAATGGTGCTGGGAAAACTGGCTAGCCATATGTAGAAAGCTGAAACTGGATCCCTTCCTTACACCTTATACAAAAATCAATTCAAGATGGATTAAAGATTTAAACGTTAGACCTAAAACCATAAAAACCCTAGAAGAAAACCTAGGCATTACCATTCAGGACATAGGAGTGGGCAAGGACTTCATGTCCAAAACACCAAAAGCAATGGCAACAAAAGCCAAAATTGACAAATGGGATCTAATTAAACTCAAGAGCTTCTGCACAGCAAAAGAAACTACCATCAGAGTGAACAGGCAACCTACAACATGGGAGAAAATTTTCGCAACCTACTCATCTGACAAAGGGCTAATATCCAGAATCTACAATGAACTCAAACAAATTTACAAGAAAAAAACAAACAACCCCATCAAAAAGTGGGCGAAGGACATGAACAGACACTTCTCAAAAGAAGACATTTATGCAGCCAAAAAACACATGAAGAAATGCTCATCATCACTGGCCATCAGAGAAATGCAAATCAAAACCACTATGAGATATCATCTCACACCAGTTAGAATGGCAATCATTAAAAAGTCAGGAAACAACAGGTGCTGGAGAGGATGTGGAGAAATAGGAACACTTTTACACTGTTGGTGGGACTGTAAACTAGTTCAACCATTGTGGAAGTCAGTGTGGCGATTCCTCAGGGATCTAGAACTAGAAATACCATTTGACCCAGCCATCCCATTACTGGGTATATACCCAAAGGACTATAAATCATGCTGCTAAAAAGACACATGCACACGTATGTTTATTGCGGCACTATTCACAATAGCAAAGACTTGGAACCAACCCAAATGTCCAACAATGATAGACTGGATTAAGAAAATGTGGCACATATACACCATGGAATACTATGCAGCCATAAAAAATGATGAGTTCATGTCCTTTGTAGGGACGTGGATGAAATTGGAAACCATCATTCTCAGTAAACTATCGCAAGAACAAAAAACCAAACACCGCATATTCTCACTCATAGGTGGGAATTGAACAATGAGATCACATGGACACAGGAAGGGGAATATCACACTCTGGGGACTGTGGTGGGGTCGGGGGAGGGGGGAGGGATAGCATTGGGAGATATACCTAATGCTAGATGACACGTTAGTGGGTGCAGCGCACCAGCATGGCACATGTATACATATGTAACTAACCTGCACAATGTGCACATGTACTCTAAAACTTAGAGTATAATAAAAAAAAAAAATTAAAAAAAAAATAATTATATTATATTATTATATTATATTATAATATTATTATATTATAATATATTATATATAATATATTATATATAATATATTATATTATATTATTATAATATATTATATATAACTATTGTTATATATAATATATAATATATTATATAATATATTATATGCATATAATATATACATATATTATATACATATACACCAATAATAAATATCACCCATATATATGTATAATTATATATCTTTTTTTTTTTTTTGGGACGGAGTCTCACATTGGTTGCCCAGGCACGATCTCGGCTCACTGCAACCTCCACTTCCCAGGTTCAAGTGATTCTCCTGCCTCAGCCTCCCAAGTAGCTGAGATTACAGGCGCACGCCACCACACACGGCTGTTTTGTATTTTTAGCAGAGACGAGGTTTCACCATGTTAGTCAGGCTGGTCTCGAACTCCTGACCTCATGATCTGCCCGCCTCAGCCTCCCAAAGTGCTAGGATTACAGGCGTGAGCCACTGTACCCAGCCTTATCAATTTTTAAAAAGCAAAAAATTGGCAAAAAAATCCTTAAATCTGTATTATTTACCATATATTACATATAAAGCAACATCAAAATGATAAATCTATAACATAAAGTTTAAATGATTTTTCTATTTACATATATCATGTAAAACTACTGCATCATTTTGGTCATACTAAATATTTGAGGAACTACAGAAGACTATAACATAAAATGCAAATGGAATAAATTCATCCAGTAGTCTTGCATGCCATATTTTTTAAAGAAAGTAAAGCTATAGGTAAGAACTATTTTAAAATAAAAAAAGTGATAATTCAACTTCTATATGTAAATGACTCAGATACTACTGTGACAAGGAGAGAACTGATCACTTATTTATGGCAGTAACGCTTACTTCTAAGTACACAGAAAGAATAAGAGTATATTTAACAAAGATTTCATATTGTCAACTTTTTATTGTTTTTAATGTTTTCAAATATATAGTCTATAGATAAATTAAACAAGTATAAAATAAGTTGAAAGTTTAAACATCTAGCTCCTATGAGTTTCAATATAAGGACTCCTTCATCACCCATCTACTTGGTAACTTTAAAAGATTCTTCCATATATTCCGCACACATGCATTTTTGTCTCACAGTTGATCAAGAGAAAATAATTTTAGCAATCCATGTTCACTAGTAGTTATACTAGCAACAGCAGCAGTAATAGTAGCAACAATCATAATACTTCAACTTTAAATTTTTTAAAAAATTATGTGGTACCAACCTGGTCTCCAAAGTCCTCTGGGAATTTCCACAATACCACAGGATCTGTAAATAATTGACATGTATAATTAAACAGCAGCAAAAGAACACATTTAAAGGAACAGTCTTGGTTAAACACTCTTAAAATTGTCAAAGCTACTTTAATTACAACATTTAAATTTTTCTTTAAACATTTATAGTTGATGACATTCACTTCTCTTCCTTTCTATAATTAAATATTTTGATTTTTTAAGAAATGTAATGACCTTCAAAATAGAAATAAATGATATTAATAACTTGGTCAGGTTATTAAAAATCATTACTGTATTTCTTTTAGCAACTCACTTTTTATTGACATACTTTAGATTTTAAGATTTTAAACTCTGAATTTTCTATTTTAACTACACTTTTAAAATACTGGTATTCCTTTGAAAAGAAAAATACAAATGTATCAAGTATGTAATAAAATATATTATAGCTCTCAGAGACTAGACCAAAATACACCTTAAATATCCATTTAAAATTCCAATTAAGATTTACAAAAACTGTAATAATATTTGCCTTATATCAGTTTTTAAATCTCATATTTGCAGTAATAGATAAGTTGGTAAGTAGATATAAAGCAGTTCATTTAAAATACAATTGATATTTGCAGGGCATTTCACAGAAATTTTTCTAGCATGTTTTATCTAGTAATTAATATATATAAATCAATATTGTTTATAAATATTCACACCAGTTTTTCATTTTCTTTGTTTCTCACAGTATTTCTCTTCTACTTAGCACACTAAAATGCTAAGATCTTAGTTTAGTAAGCACTAATAAATATTTTAGCCATATACTTATTGTTTAATTCTGTCAAAAATAAACTTCTGAATACTTCAAATGTGTTTTAAAGGGATAGTGTATAATGGATTATTTCTTCTGGGCAAAAAAAAAACAAAACTTGAAAGCCCAAGATAAGACTAATGTGTGTAACAAGTACCACCCATATGACAGGGTTTGAACTCCACGCCAAGTAAAAGGACTTGTGGATCAAAGATAACACTTCATGTACCAATCAGTGAAAACTTACAGCTTGATTCCATTATTTCCAATATTTCATACCATTTTCTAAAAAACACAACCTAAGGATACATATATATTTCAAAATTTTTAATTATAAAACTCAATAAATGTCTAGCAACATTTTTAGCATGAGCTGGCTCCTCTTGTGTTTATACTTAAGTTCCACAGAATTTTTTTCAGGTATTTTAAATTAAAAAGAAAAAAGTAAGCTTTCGACAATTAAACTTTTTATTTATTAAGGACTAAAAAGTTTCCATATAAATAATAAAAATCAATAATTTAAAACATCTTATATAAGAATAATACATTACAAATTTATGAAGGTAATATTAAATGATTATATCCTCATGTAAAACAAAATGCATACATTTCTAAAATGAATGTGGAATGCATTACACATCACCTAAAAACACTCAAACATAAATATCTTGTGGATAATTATATTCCCAATTAAAAAAAATAGACATATATTTATATGGCAGTTTTACCAAAATGGTAGCTGCTAAAATTTGAATCTCATAAAACAAAGGCATATGACAGAGTTTTCATAAAATATTAAATGAAAGTTTTTATCTTCATAAAGTAATACAATTACTAACAGCTACATAAACAAATCCTCATGCAGAAATACAGAACAGTTCTTTCTCATGAATAATGAAATTACAGGGTTTCAATGTGAATATTTAAAATCTCCCTTTTAAGTAACCTCAACTTTGTAATTACTATTTGAGAAGATGTTTGTGACAACTTTCTTACAACTATGTCTTAAATAAGTATACTTATGTTATTGAATAGCTTACAGTTTGCCCTTGCTGTTTGTAGCATTTACCTAAATATGTTTTGCTGCCTGACTTTTCCTCACTACCATTTTTTTTCTGTATACTCTGTTTTTTCGGAGAGAGAACAAATAAGTACATGAAAACTGCATCTATTGGTTTAAGCACAAAGTAGAAAATATCCCAGCTCTTTTCATTAAATGAATTTTACCCTTCAGCACGCAAAAAATTATTATAATCATGTGCATCCATATTTTGAAATGGATTAACTTAGTTACTGCCTATGTGATTAGATTTAGACCACATCTGACACATCTTTGTAGCAACTTTTCAGAAGTACTGCAAAGGAAGAAACAAAAGGGCTCTGAAAAAAATAATCCGATTCAACAACTTTATGCACAAAGACTGAATTTTCTGTTCCCTGAGGATTACTTTCCAGATACTCAATCTGATCTGGCAATGTTAGGTCAATTTTATGCTGATTTTATGGGTGAAAGGATGAGAACTGCTGGTGGGAATCATCGTTGCCAGTTATGACTGATATACACTGTGTTTCTCTTTTTTCCAATGCCTACCAGTAAATCAAAGGAGACTCCATATCGTAATTAAAGAAAAAAATTTTACTGCCAACATTCTAGAAACCAAATAAATATAAAAGGAAGAATACTTGATTTTGACATAAATATATTTAATCTCTTAGTTTAATAAGAGATAATGTTACAGCATAGTAAGAAAAAAATACAAATTTTTATTAAATCAGTAACTTTAGAAGATGAATATTTAAAGTATGATTTGCACATCATCAACATAAGGATTCCAAATTCACTATTAAGGCTTTTTTAAAATGTAAAGTAAGATAAAGTCAGCAATATTTTATTTTCCCAATCAAATATTTCACATTTCCTGGCCCTTAACTGAAAACAAAATTAAAATAACTTAGAATACCAGTGTGATTCTACTACACTACAAAAAGAGTATGCAGTAAAAGAGCTCCAATTTGCACAAAAGGATAATATTTACTTAATTCTGTGGAATTCAAAGATGATTAAATGTACAGTATCTTCAAATTTATGCATTTGTAAAATCTCAGTTCAGAGACTACATACTTTTGGAAAAGTATAATATACAATATTAGTATTTTTCTTGATTACGGGTTTCAGTGCCTAATATACCCACACTGTAGAAGAATATGTATGAAGAAATTGAGGTCAAAACAATGAGAAGTGTGATTTACTCACGTAGCTAGGTAATGTCTGAGGTTACAGCTTTCTTTATTGAGATGTGAGGAGCATATGTTTTAAATAATTTCCAATAATTCACAAATTTTTGTGGCCCATTTAACTTAAGTTCAATTTATTTCATTCAAAAATCTATGCAGTGCTAAAGAAAGAGGAAAAGTCCCTGCGTTACAATGCCCTACAACATTCACAGAGAGAAACGTCAAAGGGCAATTTCGTTTTTGTACAAAATATTCTTTTAAGTGAGGTATCCTGTAGGAACATTTGAACTCAACTTGAAAATTCACTGGCTTAAAAATGTAAAAAAAAAAAAAAAGTTCCTAATGAAGCAATGAAATGAGCAAAAATCATTAAAGAAAATGTGTAATTTTTTGGTAATGTATGATTTTTATTCTTTCACCTGTGGACACATAATGGTGAACTAAACAAAACAGGGTCTACCACTTACAGAGAAGAGGAGCATCTATATATATAATGTAATAAAACTTAATGCATTTTTATGATACTAGAAGAAGGGGTACTGCAGGAGCACATAATAAGGAAATATAATTTAGAGAGTCACTAAAGGACTTCAAAAGGAAAGGACATAAACTGACACAAGTTAGACAAGCAAAGAATAATCTGGGCCATAAAGTGGGCAGGGGAGAACATTCTAGAGTGAAGAACCAATATGCATGACATCTTGAAGGTTAAAAGAAAGCAGAATACCTTTTAGAAACTGAAAAATCATCTAACATATCTGAATGTAGACTAAGAGGGAGACAATGTCTAGAGATAAAGCTGGATTGGCAAGGGAAGCCACTGAAGCAGACAGTAGTATAAATCAAGTTAGAAAGAACAACCAGAAAGGGAGAATGCAGCTAGAGTGTGTGTTATTATGAAAGTCAAGAGAAGAGGGTGTATCTAAAAGAAATCCTCAAACAAATGCTGCAACACATTGAGAGATGATGACTGAAGAATGGCAACTATATTAAAAGACATAACACCACAGTAAGATGAGCCTCAGTGGAAGGGTAGGAAGGAGGTGGCCGATTTAAGATTATGGAATGAGTGAGTATGATGAAAGAGAGGCAGTATGTACAGAGGCAATTTACTTAAGAAAGGATACACAAAGTAGAGGAAAGTAAAGGTAGACAGAAAGCTTAAGCTAGAGATATTTGTTTTTTTCTTTTGACTGGTACAGACTTGAACATGTTTAAAAGGCTATGGGAATTCATGAGCTAGCAGAGAGCCAGCAAAGAAGGAATACAAGATCCCTGAGAAGACAGGAAGGTTGGAATTCAGATCAAGACAGTGAGAGGAGCCTAAGACAGAAGCTGAAGTACGTTTTCCATTGTTATAGGAAAAAGAGAAGAGGAAAGACATAAAGCCAAGTAAATCTGTAGTGCAAAAATATGAGTTTTGTGAAAAAAAACTGCTAATATTTTTCTATGTAGTAGGTAGTTCTCTAAAGCAAAGCTTTCTGCTAAAACACACAAAAAAGCTGTTGGAGCTTTAAGGAGGAGGTATGAAATAACCATTTCAGGCAGAGTTCTCAATATAGGTAGATATCCAACATGGCATTTAATGGCAGCAAAGTGGCATTTCTCTCAATTGGTGGATTCTGTCGGGGTGAGGTTTCTGTTAGTCAGGTGGATGGGAAGATAATCTAAAAGAGTGGCTGCAGATCTGAATTACGTATCTAAAGCTAATAAAAAGGAAGTCATATTTTCTGAAAAGTCCATTAATATTATATATTATACCAAATGATACAAATGTATTTTAAAACAGCATAGTTTCAGTTAAAGGTCTACAACATATAACTGAAGACTGTAGGATTCAGAAATAAGATGACATAAATAAATGGAAGTAGAATTATGAAATCACATAGCTGAAGTCTGGGTCTTCTACTTATGAATAACACAATGCTTTCTGTGTATGATCAGAAGTAGGTTTTGAAAAATAGCAAATCAATTTCCTTGTCTCTTTCTCCCTCAGACTCTCTAGGTTGTTCTTAAAAGAGTCTCATCTATTTATCCAAGTGTACTATATAAATACCTTTTTTGACGTGTGCTATTTTTGAAAAAGTTTGATAAGCATGTAATTTAATAATTATGGTTAAAATGATATTTTATTACATCTTCCAAAATAATTTTCAAACTCATTAATTATTGTAATTTTTTTTGAGACAGGGTCTCACTCTGTCACCCAGGGTAGAGTACAGTGGCATGAGCATGGCTCACTGCAGCCTCACTCTCCCAGCCTCAAGCAATCCCTTCCATCTCAGTCTCCCAAGTAGCTGGGACTATAGGCATGCACCACCATGCCCAACTAATTTTTTTTTTCTTTTTTGTAAAGATGAGGTCTCGCTATGTTACCCAGGCTGGTCTTGAACTCGTGGGCTCAGGTGATCGTACTGCCTCCGCCTCCCAAAGTGCTAGGATTACAGGTGCGAGCCAACATACTCAGACTTACCATAATTTTATATTCAGCCTGATTAAAAAAAACGGTTTAAGGAAACAATTCACTCAATCATTTAGGGCCACAAATGACTTTGGTGAAGCCAGAGATTCAGAAGATCGACACTTTTGCCATTTTTCCTTGGCACAGACTCCGGCAAAACACAGATTTACTGCATGATAGAAAGATATCACTCATTTTGACAAAGTAGTAATAAAAAGCTTCACTGATCCACTCAAAAAAGAATAGTATGATAGACTGTACTATAAACCTTAAGACTATAAGCAACAGTGAAAATAAAAACAAATTCATTGCTGGAAAGTCTTAAATTCAGACTACATCTAATCTTGATAAAACATATATAAGCAGATGTTTGTACAAATTATTTTGAAGTTAACCTATAGATGACAATATTTAATTTTATCATCTTCTTAAAGGTCTAATTCAGTAGTTCTCAAACTTCAACAAAAATATCTACACAAACAGACTGCTGGGTCCCACACACAAAACTTCTGAGGTGGGCCTGAGAAACGGCATTTTTTTTTTTTTTTTTTTTTTGAGACGGAGTCTCACTCCGTTGCCCAGGCTGGAGTGCAGTGGCACAATCTCTGCTCACTGCAAGCCCCACCTCCCGGGTTCATGCCATTCTCCTGCCTCAGTCTCCTGAGTAGCTGGGACTACAGGCACCCACCACCACACCCAGCTAATTTTTTTTTATTTTTAGTAGAGACAGGTTTCACCATGTTAGCCCAAATGGTCTCGATCTCCTGACCTCGTGATCCGCCTGCCTCGGCCTCCCAAAGTGCTGGGATTACAGGCTTGAGCCACCGTGCCTGGCCGAGAAACTGCATTTCTAAAAAGCTCTCAGGTGATACTGATGCTACTGGTCTCAGGACCACACTTTGAGAACTAACAGCATGGACTATGTATCTCTCACAATGATTAGCATTATGCGTCACATGTTAAGAAATTTAATATTTCCTTCAAAAGGAAAGGACATAAATTACACAAGTAAGACAAGCAAAGGATAATCTGGGCCATAAAGTGGGCAGGGGAGAACATTCTAGAGTGAAGAACCAGTATGCATGACATTTTTATATATTTATAAAAAATATAAATATTCTTTAAAATATGACAATAAATAATTTATATTTTCCTTTATTACATATAGACTTGATATGACAACAAATATATCTTCATAGGGCTAGAAACAAACATCAACTATACCACTTACAGCAGAAAATAATTTTAGCAAGAAAAATACCACCAAAATGTTTTTAAAACCCAAATACTACTGATACTATAATTCTAGTTCCATATCCCAATGAAAGAATTTTATTTCAAAATTGAATGTTTTGTGACACTGGAACCACATGATTTAAGGAACAATTATGGAGGACTATAGTTATGTGTACACAAGATATACTGCCTATTATTCCCTCTAACTTTATATGCTGTATGCTGTATACATACATATTGGTAGTCCATATCTAAACAAGATAGATGTCCTTTTGTACTTTTCCAACTCAGACATGTGAGAAAATTTTTCTTGCTGTAATGTCTTACAATGCTTTCTTTCATGAATTTAAGCAATTAGTTCCAATATGGACAACAGAAAGACTATCTGTGAATGCAAAATATAGTAATAATAATAATAAGGCCTCTTTTATTTACTTATTTGGTATTTCAAGAAAAGGTTCATTATATATGGATAGAAACTTTGTATTTTCTGAATGAGAAAGGACATTAAATATTCTTTTTTTTTAATCACCCAAAGTTACACTGTATCCTGTGTCTGGAGCTAGTAACTATTGAAGCCAAGACTAGGATTCAGGTATCCTTGCTTCTTATATAACATCCTTTCTAAAATATGCTGCTGCAATTTGCTATACTTGGTTGATCTTTGATTTTACTGTGCATTCATTAGACAGTAATTTAAAGAACATCCACAAGTCTAAAAGTTTCTTAGTTATCTATAGGAAGACATTCTCACCAAGCCAAATATTTGTATTTTGTAAAACAATGGCCTAAATCTTACAGACTTCCTTTGAACAATACTTGGAAATTTGTATGTGAAGAAACCTAGACAAGGAGATTAATTACTAATAATACTCAAATCAATACCTTCTCAATCTGAAATTAAAATAATTCTTCATTTAATCATGTAAGTTTGATTCACACAAAGACCTCACAGAAATGAAAACATTATTTCAAGATCTTTTACTTTATAATCACTTGCAAAAATAGAGATCACACTTCTATTTGTTATTTTACATAATGCATACATTTAAAATTAAAACTAAGCAATTTTGAAAATATGTCCATTTGTTCACCATTCTAAAAATGCACATAAGCAATGGTGGAAATAAAATTTAATGTAATGATCCACTGTGATTATCTTCATTCGAATAAGCCATCCTGGAAAATCAAACTAGCACTTTAAAATAATTTTGGTGTTTTTGAAACTCAAACCTTAAAAAAACAATTTGGATAATGGATAATTCTAACCTTTCTAAATATTTCTAGAAAGATGTAAAATCAGCATCACAACTTAAAACAAGGAAGCTCTCTTTTGAGCAAATATTAGCAAATTCTAACTAAGGTAATGAAAATGGAACTTCAAAGAACCTTAAGAAAATATAACTCATAGCATGTTAGATATAACATTTTGCTACATCCATTCCTTTTAAACAAGACCTATTATAATAAAATGAAAACCCTCATCAATCTCCTGATAGAGTAATTCCAAACTTAACCAAACAGGGCTAATGGGTGAGAATTGAATTGAAAACACCTTGACAAAGAAAGCAATTTCTTTTCTTCGCACTCCTCTGAAGCTGTGGGTGATCATGGTAATCGAACCATCAACAGTGAGGGGCCATCTGTCCCAAGGGCCCTTCATGAGAGTTTTAAAAAAAACATCAACAATAAAGAAGGGAAAGAAATGCTGTACCACAGATGTTCAATCTTGATTAATCTATCGCAAGGAACTTACAACTGAGAATCAAATGTTTTGACATTTTTCAGATACTAATCATTAAAAGCCAACACAAACGTTTTTATAAGAACACAGGGAAAAAAAGTTAATAGGTTGCTTGTAGAAAGATGATCTGTCATACAGAACCTAATATACCTTTGAGTCAGCTAAGATCTTAAAGTTGCTTTAAGATCATATCCTAAAGCAATAGCTTTTATTATGATTCCTTTAAGGAGGAAAGAAGGTAAGAGGCCATGCTTTAAGTTAGCATGAGACTGTTGTTTGTTATAATTCTTTATAATTTTTATAATTATAAGAATTATAAAAAAGCAAGTATATGGTTAAATAAAAGAAGACATATATTTTTATTCACAACACTCATTATACTTAACTCTTTGAAGTAAAATATTGTCAAGAAACAGTCTTAATGTGAAACTTCAGAATGTAAAATTAACTGAACTGCTCATAAAACAGCTTCATTTTATTCATGGCATTTAAAATCATGTTCATATTACACCAAAAAGTAATTTTGGGTAGATGTGCAAATGCTTCAAAGCTTTCTTGCTTGATATAAAGATGGTCTGAAGTACAGTAAACTTCTAATACTCCTGGATATAACAGACACAGTTCCAATGACTTGAGAATAAGCTAAAATTCATGAATAGAATCATACTAACTACAAAAATGACTTAAAGTTCACTAACATAAAAACATGTGTAAGCTACATTAAGAATAACTGCTAAAAATATTTTAAAATTAATTTTAAAATGAAAAATACATTAAAACAAAACATCAAAGAACCAAATTAAACCATGCATGACCTTTCTTTCAGGATATTTTCAAGTTACAATAAAAGTAAATGTAGAATAAATTTAAGATTCTAATGAATATAATAAAGTCACTAAGAAACTTACTGTAAATGCAATAACTCTTATTTATCTTTGTATCTACAAAGCCTAGGAATGGATCCTGTCACCCTAAAGAGATGGCACCTCAGGCACATGACAAAAGGAAAGTACAAATGCCCTCTTGAAGAAGAAACACTTGATCAACTCAGGTCTTGCCTAACATAAATGGGTAATTCAAAATTACTACAGAAAATCTAAACACCTGTGATTATAACCATCAGACACAAAGAATGGAATTAAGATACTAATTTTTTTTGTTCCTCCCACACAGGCTTCAGATATTAAAATTACCTGAAACAGCATATATTGTAAGGATATTTAAAATGTTATACAATAACATAACTCAAAACATGAACTAGCAAATTTTGAAAACTAGAACTTTTAAAAATATAAAAATATAATCTATGAAATTAAAAGCTCAATGAATAGAACAGCATATCTTATAAAACTGAAGACAGAAATAGTGAACTAAGTCAGACACAAATGATATTAAAACAGATTGAGCCATAAAGAGGCAAAATAAATGAGAAAAGAGGTTAAGAAAAATGGAGACCAGAATAAAATAAATCTATTTAAATTTCTAAAAGATCAGACCAAAGATACCAGACTGTGTATAATGGAAGAGGGAAGAAAATAATATTAGAAGAAATAAAGGCTGATTTTCCAAAACTGATAAAAGACACATCTTTAGATTTGGAAATGACAACAAACCTAAGCAAGATCTCAAGACAGACATGACTAGACACATCACAATGAAATTGCAAAGTATAAAAAGATATGGATACCTTTCAAAGCATCCTAGAGAGAAAAGAGGTAAGTAGAAAACTACATACATTATTACATCGACAGCAGACTTCTCAATAGCAGCAATGGAAGCCAGAAGACAGTGGAATAATATACTCTACAACTTAAGAACTGTGCAAACAGGAATGTAGGGAAAATAAATACATTTTCAGAAAGACAAAACTGAAAGATTTACCAAGAATAGACCCTTTCTAAAGGAGCAGCTAAAGAAATTGTAACAGAAAAATTCTTTTTTATAAAATGCAAGAAATTATATATTTCTTATATGCAAACATATATATAAAACAATGTTTACTGAAGCACTGTTTACAATTAGCAAAGTTTTGCAAGATAACCTATATGCCCATCAATATGAAAATGATTATACCATTATTATTCTATGAAACACTATACAACTCTGAAAAAGACTATAGCCTTGAAAAAAAAAGTTATATTTGTTCATATGAAAAAAAATCTAAAAGAGTGATAAATGAAAATAATGAGACAAGGTGAGGTCAGAGAGTTAAGGGGGAACAAGCAGAACATAAAGGGCCTTGAGAGTGATAAAAAGGAACCTGCTTACACTCTGGGAAAGGGAGCCACAGCAGCATTTGAATAGAGAGGAGACATGCTCTGACATATTTTAACAGGATCACCCTGGCTTCTGTGTTGAGTATAAACTGAAAGGTAATAAAATAATGAACCCAGTTATGATGCTACAGATAATATTTAAAATGAACCTCTTAGGAAAAGAACTTACATCATTCATATATATATGAATGACTCAGATATATATATATACATATACACACACACACACATATATATACACACATATGGATATACACACACATACACATATATATAGACAATTTGTGGTAAAATATCAGGGAAGGAAGCAGATAACATAAAATTTACAAGATGATCTACCCTCTTGAGACAGAATTCATGGCAAGGGCAATAAGGGTCCAAGAGTCCAATGGAAACTCTCCCAGTAGATTATAGTGGGTGTTTTATGAACCTGACGTGGACCCAGTGATCTTGCTGGCATGTAAATACTCTGGAAAGAAAAGAATCGTGTTTTATACAACTAAATGAGTTCTAGATCTGCAGAACTTCAACATAGATGATGAGAAGCCCTCCCTACTCACTTTGCAGAACCGCAACCCAGGCTGTGAAGGATCACATGACATTAAAACTGCAAAGACCTGTGACTAGCAACATCATTATGAATGGCAGTCCAGGAGCCAAGTGCAGCAATAATGAAATAGGATATACTTCAAACAATGGGCTAAGATGAGGGTGAATATCACTGTCAGCACCCACCAAAGTCAGAAGCATAATCCTAGGTGAAGCACTAAAACAAGGTCTAGACAAATGATTGCATCAGTGATATGGAAATAATCGCAGTGAGACATTAAGAGCAAAGGCATGAAGCATAGTAGTTGAGGTAGACAAGCAATTCCTCAGTACTTATGAGATACCCCTGGAGGGCCACAGAAATACTAAAAGAGAATGAATACCTCAAAATGGGATCGAGACCCAGAAGGTACTCAAGAGGTTATCAAGCTGGAAAAAAACTGATTCTAAATATCAATGTGATGTGATGTCATCTATACCTTCATGTTAGAGAAATCTAAGGACTTGTGGGGAACACCTTTCAAATGTTCATAGTAAAAACTAAGAAACTTGTTAACATAAAACTATAATAATAAAATGAACACAACATAGCTATTACATTTCAGTTCACAGGTCTCTGTTGATGTAGAATGAAAAGCAAATGAAAGTAGAGATGTGAATATTTTATTCTGTTTCTAATTAAATATGTTGTTTTATTGCTAAAATCTTCCCTGATCATATCCAGAATTTCCTTAAACTAATAATGGATAAATATCATTAACCTTTGAGGTCAAGATTATGACTGGTAAATACAACACTGTGATACTGGCAAAAAGAATCATTTCCTTGAAGGGGCAGAAAACTATTAGTCTGAACATGCTTACTAATAATTAAGTCCTACAGTAATTTTCACCCATTTTTCTTAAAACATAATTAGCGCCGGGCGCAGTGGCTCACACCTGTAATCCCAGCACTTTGGGAGGGCAAGGAAGGTGGACCATGAGGTCAGGAGATTGAGACCATCCTGGCTAACACAGTGAAACCCCATCTCTACTAAAAATACAAACAATGAGCCAGGCGTGGTGGCAGGCACCTGTAGTCCCAGCTACTTGGGAGGCTGAGGCAGGAAAATGGCGTGAACCCGGGAGGCGGAGCTTGCAGTGAGCCAAGATCGCGCCACTGCACTCCAGCCTGGGAGACAGAGTGAGACTCCTTCTCAAAAAAAAAAAAAGAAAAAGAAAAAGAAAACATATAATTATCAAGTTACTGGGAATTATATTAAAAATGCTATGTATTTCTAATAGAAAACAGTGATCTGATTTTGAGGCCAATTGGACTGGATTCTACTAAGCAGAATTCAAGAGCAAACACAAGTTCACAAAGATAATTTGTCATGTGACATTACACAAAATTGCCATATATCTTAGATCAGCGGTAAGAAGGATCACAAGAGACCTTGTTTCCTCTCCCTACATGGCAGGCTCCTTTATGTTCCACTAAAAAAAGACACATCCTTTTATATTCTACACATATACAGGGACTGCTCCAAATCTCCCAGCTTCCCTCCTAAAGTGTAAACTAATAGTTGAAAGTTCTTCCCAATGTCCAACTAAATATCTCAGAAGATAATTTAACTCTTTTCTCTCTTGTTGAAGAGCTGTGAAAAAAAAAAATGGATCGCCCCTACATATAATTTAAAACAAATTCAAAAACTTTTACTGAAATTCTATTTCCCATTGTTCACAAATTATTTCCTATATATCTACATAGCAGTTCTCAACCCTTTCTGTTCATTAGATTATCTAAGGAAGATCATTTAAATTTTTAAAAAGTGACCCTTCACCCCACCCAATACCATTCTAGACACATCTACAATTGTTTAAAAACTCCCCAGGTGATTCTTATGTGCTGTTCTGGTTGAAAACTACTGCCACAAATCTTTCTGTAAAGAAATTTTTCTCAAGCCTTTTAAAAACCTTCTGCCATTTTTCAAGTTTCAAATATTGTTTTAAACTGGACTAAAAACAAGAACATAATATATAATGTGATATCTAAAACTAAGTGTTTTTGTAGATATTCATAAGCATAAATGAAGCAAAAATTCTATATCTCAAATTCAATTTTCCCAATGACTTGATTACAACATCCCCTTGACTAGTGTCCAACACTGAATCATATCCCTCTCACTCTACCTATGGAACCCAGACACCAATGCTAAAAGTTTCAGAATCAGCCTTCACACGCCTTCATCCTCTACGTCTAATCAGCTGCCTAACCATGTTAGTTATTTCTTCGAAATGCAGTTGTCATCCATTCCTCCTCTTCCATATTCATCTTACTCTAAATTCTTATTGCCTAATTAGTCTTCTTGCCACTCAGCTCTTCTCAACTCACTGCCACTAAATTAATCTTAAGAGTTCTTATTATTCCTCCCTTCACAGAACAATATTCAGTGGCTCACTACTGCTTAACAAAACCCAACTCATCAAACTGTGTTAATATTTAATGCCTCATATAGAACTTTAAAATTTTAACATAACTCCATATACTAAAACCAGTGTTGCAAAATTCTGCACTTCCTACCCAATTCCATCCTACCTATCTAAATGTATTTCCCACCAACTCCAATGCAAATTTTCTACTCAATCCCAGTGTCTTTTCACATAAATAAAATTTATTCCCAATTTCAAGGATTTACTTATACTCCAACACATGCTGCACCCCCTTCTGAAATCCTATGTTCACTTTTCTCTGTCTCTCTAAAATCAATACATTATTCCTGATCTATGCTATGAGACCTTCCCAAAATACTACAACCACACAGACTATCCCACTTCCAGACAATAACCATCGCTACCAAACCATCTTATTTGTGTCTCCTCATTTAAACAAAGCTCCTAAAAGCCAGAATCATGTTTCAAATTTTAATGTACACTTCATAAAGGCAGCTTTTTCAGTTTTTTATTGAGTATATTTTCCATTCTTTCCATTCAATGGATATATATAATGCAAATAAAATTATTCCCTATCATATCAATTTTTCACAGTAAATGTCATAAACTTTATTTGCTTATTTTAATGTGCTTATTTTAACAAGTAGCTGGCTTACCCTAACATAAACCTGATCAATTCTGATTTAAAGGTAATATAATAAATCAAGTAATCCTTAACACCAAAGAGAGGGAAGTGATCTGCCCTTATTTTCACTACATATTTTCACTAAAGATAACAAGCAAATGAGCAGAGTAAAGCTATTACTAATTAAGAAAGCCCCATACTTCAAGAAAGAAATAGGCAATTAAATAGTAATCATGTAGAATAAATAGTAATTATACAAATTATCCTTGGGCATTTGCCACTGACGTGTTTTTAGTTAGCCCCCATAATGTACAGCACAGTACCTCTCAAGCTTTTTGGTCTCAGGACTGATTTATTCTCTCAAATATCACTGAGGTCGTCAAAGAACTTTTGTTTAGGTGAGTTATAGTAAATGACATTTATGTATTAAAAATCAAAACTTAAAAATTAGTAAAGCACAAAAATCTTCAAGTACACACTTCATTAGTCATCAGAGTTATAACTTCATCATGTCCTGAAGCCTATGCAAAAATCTACCATATACTTGTGAGAAATGGGAACGAAAAAGGCTAATAATGCCTCACTACTACGAAAAAAGTTCTGACCTCACAGAACTCCTGAAGTACTCCAGGGAACCGCCACAGACCCCTAGACTACACTTTGAGAGCCAGAGGTATATCACAAAGAATTTTAAAAACAGATTAAAATAATGTTTTTATGTATGGTATAAAACTTGTTTTCTAATTAAGATTTTCTTTAAAACCTGAGAAAAAGTCAAGGTATAATTATTTATACCTTATATATTACACAAATATAGTCCCTTTTTACAGGTAGAAAAGACAAAGGGGAGATTTCAAGGTTAAATGCCTTTAGGATATATAGGTAATAAAAATGAGTAGAGTGAGCCTACAAAAGACAGACTATAAAAGGACATGTAGTAAAAAATAGATCCCATTCCCCTTCCCAAAAAAGCAACCATTATTCAGCTCCATCCATGTGGAATGTGGGCCCAGTGTTGACAGATACTTTTGATTTTTCAAGAAAATCCAGAATATTTATGAAAACAAAATCACCTAATTTTTAAGTTGGGAAAAATAATTAAACATTTCATGAATACCATGTGAGCCAAATAAGGTGTGTCAGGGGGCCATTATTTTTTATCTCTGTATTATGACATGGGAACTTAAATTGGAAAAGAAAAAATTCTTTACGGTTAATCACATGTTTAAAGTAAAGGGCTACTTGAATTTTTTAATCTGTTACGGTGGCTTTTAGACTGAAAATAGTTTTTATCTAATTTTTTTCAAATGTGCCACACTAAATGCAGGAAAATTAATCCTAATTTTGCAGATTCTAAGGTTAACATTTTAAAAGAAAATGAACATGGACATTATTAAACCTGTTTCCTTGACCTTAAGAACTTTTAAAAAAATAAGTTAGACACAAGTTGTTTAATCAGAATTGGTACATATATAAATTATATATGTATATTATTTGACATTTTTGAGATGTCTGAATTTTATAGGCACACTATCAAAAGAAAATACAATCTCAGAATAGGGTTGATCACTTTAAAAATTAGCTTACTAGAGCCCATAATGTTGATATTACCATATGACAACTTCATGATTCAACATAAAGGACAACTGAAATCTGGGAGGATACTGGCTACTAGAAAGTTTCGAGGAATAGCAGACACTACTTTATTCTGGTAACTTCTTGAGAGTATTTACATCACAACTTGTAAGAAACAATGAGAAAATGAGACATCCAAAAGGATTAAAACAGATTAGCAAAGAACTCATAAAGAGAAGAATTATGTCCTTTGGAACAACAAACAGAATCACACATTTAGAAAAATAATTATTGGCTGAGAAACTATAGCAGGAAAACAAACTGAAAGAAAAAGAATAAATTTGAAATTCATGACCTCAGACCAAAAATATGCTTATATTTGTTGTATATTCTAATACTAGTCTATCCTCTAGGAAAGTGAGCAATTAATTCCCATTTAGGTTGTCCTAAAAAAAAGTAGTAAGGAAGTAAAACAATAAAAGAGTTGGGGGATTATCATTTGAAGTCTAAAACTTTCAGTAGTATATAATTATATCTTCAGTGAATTCTTAAAGCATTCACGGCATGGTAGTTACGTGGCTGGATACTGAAGTCAAACTTCATATAGACATGCCATGCATTGTCATTCACTCATTATACACCAGGGGCGTCCAATCTTTTGGCTTCCCTGGGCCACAGTGGAAGAAGGAGAATCATCTCAGGCCCCACATAAAATATACTAAAAATAGCTGATGAGCAAAAAAAAGGAAAAACTTTTAAAATGCTGTAAGAAAGTTTATGAATTTTTTGGCCACATTCAAAGCTGTCCTGGCCACATGCAGCCTGCAGGCCATAGGTTGGACAAGCTTGCTATACATGATCTTTCTCAAGCTACACAGCACTCTGTGCCTCACTTTTCTCCAATGTAAAGTAGTGATAATAGCAGTACCCACCTTGAGAGATGTTGATAGGATGAGTGGAGATTACATATATTCACTATATCATTATATGCATTCACTATCACTATTCGCTATCACTTTATTCATCATTGTAAGGCGAGATGGAAAAAATGCTGAGATACTGATGCAGAAATTTGACCATAGTGAACAGAGGTAATGCATTAAGCAAAATGGTAGGTTATTACTGGCTCTTTCTTTCTCTTCATATAAATTTACCTCCCCTCACCCAGGACCTTCCCAAGTCTGGTCACTTGTTTTGTAATGCCATCCTTCTATACTTCTGTCTTAAAAGAGTAATTCCTTAAGAAATTTTTACATTTATGGTCAACTAATTATTAGTTCAAAACTTAAGAGTGCTGCACAACAGCTCACCACCCATTCCTAACTGGCCCACCTATGTGTTTCACGTGTTCTTCTTTCCTTCAACTCACTCTCAACTTCTATTTTCTATACTTATCTCTTTGCCCTTACCTCATTATCACTCAATGGCCAGCACAATCTCTCCTCTCTGTCACCTTCTCTATCTCCTTTCCTCATTTTCTGTCATGGTAAAAGTGAAACTGGGTAACTACAGGAAGAAATGTGTATTGTTACCAAAGGGAATCGGAATAATAGAAGAAACATTAAGTTAGTTAAAAGACACCATGGCAGACTGATCCTTAGAATATGACTCAAATAATACAATATAAGCTGCTGCTTCCCCATATGCATAGTTATTCTCAGGAATAAGTTACATACATTAATACATCCAAGCAAGAAGCCCAAGTGCATAAAACCTTAATTATTGCTCAAGATTGATATGTGACTGACAAGAGGAGAAGCAATTAGTCCAGGTTGGTAAATAAAAGCAGACAGATGACACAGTTACTAGCAACTTAACTTCCATCACCTCTAAATGGACTGTAACTACATTCTTGGTATTGACAATGCCAATATAAGATCAGACAGAGCCTCCGGATTCTTTGTACACTAAGATGCAACCATCTCCTCCAAGGAGTTGTATAATAACACTGCCCACCAGACCTATGTATCAACAGAATAGGTATCAAAATGCCAAATACCAAATTGGAAAGAGTCTTAATTATGTACCGCAGATATGCAGTGTCCTACTTCTTTATTTCTATAGACAAACATGATCATATTAAACAAGGAAATTGGGGAAAAAAACAATGAAGAAAAAGGATCAAGATTTTGTACTCACACAACAAGAAAATAAATATTCAGAACTTGACAGAAGTCTATAATGGAGCTTTTTAGGAAAAAGAGTAAATACTAGACATCTACTGTTTCCTGCATTTATAGTGTGGTCTGCAATATACACTCTTCAAATTATGAAGTTTAAACACCTATGTTTAAGAATAAGCACAAAAAAAAATTAGAAATATGCATGTATTATTAGACCTCAAGTATCCACCCCTGACAGTTATTTGCTTAACCTGTTTTTATAAACACAGCATACAAACCTTGATGAATGTTTCTCCTGTTATTCTTCTACCTTACCCAACACTTTTTCCCCCTTACCAGCTTATTTTACGGTCAGAGGTTAAACTGCTAACCCTTCACCTTCCAGGAAAGTTTTTTTTCCTCTCTCATAAAAGGTTTTTCACAGTGTGCAGCAGTCGGATTAGCTCTTCTCTTCGAGAACAAAAGCTCTGTCTTTGTCTTCGTTGTTTGGGCATGGAGCCCCTACATCAGAGGAAGCTGCTCCTACTCAACATGCACAATAATGATATTGTGAGGCCCCACGAAAGCCTGGCCTCTCAGTGTCTAGACTCTCATCCAACCAGCTAGCCAAAGAGAAAATCCTGTCAAGCACTCAGCTGAAAATTAACTAAGGTATCCTGTTGAGAACCTGATGAAGATGTTATTTGACCATACGGTAAAACTTTCTATTGTTGAACATAAAGATAAGAGAAAAACTTTTAGAACTCAATGCTTTAACAATCCTGGTCACCAATTCACACATGGGTCAGTAAATGTATTTTACCAACATACAACCCCTTCCTCTATACGTGCTCTTAAAATAATACACAGGCTTATTTATGATATTCTAATCTCTTGCATTTAAAAATCTGTGCAACTAAAAGATACATTCAAAAAATTACAAGAAATTATATTTTATTTGCAGTATTTACATTAAATATTTATCATTAGAAATTCTGCTACTGTATTTTTCACTGAAGGACCCAATCAAAATGCAGAAGTCAAAATAAAACTGTCATATCTTTTCATATTCCTGAATAAGTTTTAAAATATTGAACAGAAGAGAAACAGTAAACTAAAAAGTAGATAACTGATTAAAACTTAGAAATGAAAAGAGTATATAAACCAAACCATTCTTATAAAAACTATCTGTAAATTTTTTAACCTGTAAAAAGTTAAACACATTAGATAAATTTAAATTCAGTCATATGATGGTAGTGAAAGATAATTCTCTCAAGTATATTAAGTTATGGTTGAGTTCATGAATATTTACAAGGGGCTTTGGGGACTGCTGCAGTTTATGAAATATTTTGTAATTTAAACCAATAGCAACAACAAATATTGAAAATTAAGTGAAAACTATATATGATTACAACCACATTTAATAAGCTCATATTGAAATCTAAAAAGGAATACACAAAAATAGATGTTTTGTGTTATTGGTATAAAAAGAAAAATCTTTTTCCTTCTTTCAAAATTGACTGCAATACATTACATTCGTAATTTAAAAAAAAAAACTTTGCAAAATAATCAGAATAGTTCAAAACCCTACAAACAGACAGCAATTAATGAAAGATAAGGGTGTAACTACTGTATACAGGATTCAGAATTAAAGAATACATCATTTGTTACATACTCCATAGAGTAATATAAATTGATTTCCCAAATTTTAGGAGAAACATAAATATGCTTTTTTTTTAACCTACAACAAACTTAACAAAAGAAATACATTTATTCATAAGGGGGAAAATAATCAATGCTTATACATAGCAGATGTCTGGCATGGAGGAGTATGTTCCTACTCTTTTAATAGACACATGAAAATCTAAGCCTGGCAAACAAAAATATTTAAATTAAAGACTCTGGAACACAGTGGATAAGTAAGAACTGGCAGAAAATGTTAAATATTTCATTCCTACTTCTGTAGAAAAAGCGGACAAAATTTTAACAAAATTTAAAAGAACATTTCATAAAACAATAATATGCAATTTTAAGAAAATAGATTTGGTTAAATCTATATTATATATGAATAATACAAAAGTTAACAGAAAGGTACAAAAAACAATATTGAATGGGTCCAACATGCCTACCATTGAGTATCTTTTACATCAATGAATTAGCAATCTGTAAAATGATTACAGTACCAAATACATCCACCCAAATACTGGAGGCAGAATGGCTTTATTCTACTATACCTCTGCTTCAAGTGGTTTTATTTCCTCAGAATGCTACACAGCTCCACCTTGGCTTTTGGCAATTAAACTAAATAAAATTTAAAAGTCCAAGACCTCAGAGAATTCACTGTTAAAAAAAAATACTCTGAAGCTACTTCTCATGGGTTCTCGGGTACATTTCCTTTGTTAGAAGAAGTGATCTAAAGTTTTGCTTAACAGTTTATGTTTACTTTAGTGTGAACTATGAAACATTCCATTTACAAAGTGTTCTTAGACTTTTATGAATTCTAAAGGGTATTACTCGAAAATACAGGTTGGGGCCATCTTTTCTCCTCCCGTGGAGCTGCCGCCATGAAGGTCGAGCTATGCGGTTTCAGCCGGTACAAGGTCTACCCCGGACACGGGAGGCGCTACGCCAGGACCGACAGGAAAGTTTTCCAGTTTCTTAATGCAAAATGCGAATCGGCGTACTTTTCCAGGGGGAATCCTCGGCAGATAAGCTGGACTGTCCTCTACAGAAAGAAGCACAAAAAGGGACAATTGGAAGAAATTCAAAAGAAAAGAACTTGCCGAGCAGTCAAATTGCAGGGGGCTATTACAGGTGCCTCTCCTGCTGATATAATGGCCAAGAGGAATCAGAAACCTGAAGTTAGAAAGGCTCAACGAGAACAAGGTATCAGGGCTGCTAAGGAAGCAAAAAAGGCTAAGCAAAGTATCTAAAAACACTGCAATGGCTGCTGTTAAGGCACCTACAAAGGCAGCACCTAAGTAAATGATTGTGAAGCCCGTGAAAGTTTCAGTTCTCGAGTTGGTGGAAAACGCTAAACTGGCAGATTAGATTTTTAAATAAATATTGGACTTAAAAAAAAAAAAAGAAAATATAGGTTGGAATACTGCAAAACAACCCACTCTTTTGATTTCAAGCTCAATTTTAAGCTGCAGATTCCAACTTTTATTGAACTTGAATAGCAAAAATTTTGAGTCAGAGATAACATAAGATCTACTCATTTTGAGACTTGGGATTAAATGGTTTGCCCAATTCTTTCTACCTGTCTGTCTGTCTCTCTATCTATCTATCTATCGAGACAGGATCTTGCTCTCTTGCTCAGGTTGGAGTACAGAGGCACAATCATAGCTTACTGCAGCCTCAGTTGAGGCTGCCTCAGCCTCCCAAATAGCTAAGACTACAGGCGTGTGCCACCACACCCAGCTAATTAAAAAATAATAATAATTTGTACAGACAGGGTCTCACTATGTTGTCCAAACTGGTCTTGAATTCCTGGCCTGAAGCAATCCTCACACCTTGGCCTCACAAAGCACTAGGATTAGAGGTGTGAGCCACCATGCACAGCCTCTTATGTTTTAAATTAAAATAATAAATTCTATGTATGTCATAAAAATCATCCCTGAGATAATCTGTGATAAATTTGTTACTGTAACCTTTCCTTACAAATGCCCATACTGCATTCCTGTTGTACTGGAATGTCTATTCATTAGCCCCAAGGCTCTACTGATCTTGCTTGCCTTTCTCTTAGACTGCTATTCAGATTTTTGTTATACCACTCATTCTGAAAACAGCTTCCTTTTTATTTGCGACTGCTGAGTACACACCCAAGCATCTATTCTTTTGAATGTCTCTTTGAGACTACTTCATAAATGAGATTTCTCAATACTAGCATTTATGCAAGACATCAAAACTATTGCTATGTCTCTTGAAAATCACTGAAGACTGACTAATTGCACATAAAAAAGCCTATTCTGAGTCTAAATCATACTTCATCTTTGATAAGCCCTCATCCATTCCTAACTCTATCCCAGTTCTTCCAATTGCACACATAGGGCATATCAGAGACACTGCTCCTTTCCTACAATCAGCTATAAGGCAGCACACCAATAAACCTGACAGCAACATCTCCAACAGAATAGTGGGAAAATCATCTGCCCTATGTCGAAGTGGTTGGATCTAAGCACCACCATAGCCCTATTCCTTTAGACAATGGCTTCAAACTTTCAGATGCATAACAATCACCTGGGAAACTTTTTCCAAAATGTAGATTACACTCCCACCTCCATCCTTAAAATAATCAAAGTATGTCCCAGGATCCTGACTTCTCAATAAATCATCTATAGCTCTAAATCACATACTGACAAACACTGAATAGCAGCTCTTTCTAAACACTTGTGGACATCTGTCTAGCAACATTAAACATTCCATCTTGGAGGTATGACAAAACTCCACAGGCCCCTGAAAACAAGGAGATTTTTTGCACTCTATTAGACTTGTTTGCCTCTATCTACTAAGCATTATAGGAGATTCTCCTACTTAATCATTACGGTGAGAATGCAACAATGATTCTTATTCATTTTTAGGCCTTTTCTTAGCTAGACAAGAAAAACATTCACATAGGTATCCAGGATCTAATTTACTACAGGTAGGGAAGCCTCAAGATTCTAATTATGTAAAAATTGGTGAATTTAAAAATAAATACTTAGAATTCTGCTTCAAAAAAAGAAAAACAAGTAAAGCTATGTCTTCCTGTTGAGTTACAATACACATCTCCCTTTAGTCTGGTAGAACTGTGTTTTCCAATCACCTTGAGGAAATAAAGCATTACTTAGTTCTAAGATAAAATTTCCAGTATTATGCTGAAATTTTATTAGAAAGGAGAGGGTAACATAGATATCTGACCTGGAAGCAGATAACCCAGCTCATTTTCTTCCCGCAGGTTTTGATTGCCTCCTAATTTCCTATAATTTATTGTCCCTATTTACTTTCCCCTTCAACTGTATTTACACAGATTTCTCTGACACCTGTTTATTACATTTCTTCTCCTCTCTGTCACTGATCCAGTATGAATTAGCATGCATGAGTACCCTCTGTTATATAACAGGACAAAGGGGAGTATCTAATATTATAACTGGAAAAGAAGCTTTCATGACAAATGATTTTGAACCAATGCTGAATTTTGAATTTAAGGTGCTATTTTTCTCATTTAGACATAGAAGTATTTTCCTTTCAAAGCCAAAAAATATCAACATTAAATCCACATAGAGAATGACAGCCAGGTCACAACAATTCCCTCGTTTCTGGGAACTACATCTTATACCCAGGGTGGGTTTTCAGTAGTTGCATCCACAATTGGTGAATGTGACCTCAGGCCAGAGCTGATAAGTCAAACACATGACCTAATCTGGCCAGTTTCTTTCTCATAGAAGACTTGGGTTATTAACTGTGAAACACAACATGGAAGATGCTGATGCAGAATCACTTTTTGGCAGAAAGATGACAGAAGATCCTCAGAACTTCCATGGTAACTATATTCCCAAACATTATTTACCCATGTACTTAGTTACCATAGCTTTTCTTCTAACCATAGATGCAGAATGTTAAAGCAGCACTTTTACATCCATAAACAGGACATCTGCTTCCAGCCAAGAGAAAGTACAAACTGTATTTGCTCTCTCTCTAACAACTAAAAATCTAAAAAAATACATTAAACAATTTTCAGACATTAGTAAATGCAGGACAGTGATCCCTGACAGAGATAAAACAAACAAGGTAAGCCTTACAATTGGTCTTAATATCTGGAGTTTCCAGGATGTGGCACAAGGTGGGAGAAACCCAGGCAGAGCCCAGTGGTCTTCCTGAGATGAGGTTGGAAGGCCAAAGCATCTAGACTCCACAAAGAGAACAGAGACGAAGCTGCACAGGAATAGAGCTCTGGAGAGCTGCAGAAGGTTCACCACCAACCCACCCAAGACTTTAGTGCTGATGATCAGTGCACACATATGAGGAAACTACCAGACACTGAGGAAAGAATCACCCAAAAGAAATGGGGGGGAAATCCCAGGATCAGCTGACATTCACACCACCCAGAGTGGGAAAACCTCATAATCAACAAGAGTATCCTGTACAGTACTCAGAGGGTAACACCTTAGCAGTGGGACAAAATCAGCACTGGACTGAAGATGACTCTGGTTTCACCTACCAAAGCTTAAAAGCAAGCCTCAAATGTTCAAACTGTTTCCAAATAACTTAACTGTAATCTAAAACAAAACCTTAAGTGCATATGGGACATATACGAGAAGAAATCATATAATGCACCATAAAGCAAGTCCTAACTGATTTAAAAGGATTCAAGCCATACCATGATATTCTCTGGAATTACATTATCAAAATATAACAGAAACATCACAGGAAAATCCCCAAATATTTGTAACTTAAATAACATACTTCTAAATAACCCAACGGTCAAAGAAGAAATCAAAAGGAAATGAAAATCTAAATGAACTCTAAATGAAAATAAAAACAAAACTGATAAACTGATCAAAAGAAAGGACTATTCTCTGTGAAAGACAATGTTAGTTAAAAGCATGAAAAGACAAAATACAGATGGGAGAAAAAAATGCAAATCCAACAAAGTCATTGTATCCTGGATATATTAAAATCTTTCAAAACTCAGTAATAAGAAACCAACCCAATAAAGAAAATATAAGAGAAAGAGCTGAACAGACATTTCACCAAAGAAGATATACAGATGGAAAATAAGCAAATGATTTCATCTTAATAAAACATAATTGAGTCTTAAAATGCTTCCACCAATTTCTAAGAAATCAGACCTTTACCTCTAAATTAGAATATGTAATGTGCTAAGATATTCTTAACAGTTCCTTTCAGTTACCCTATGAAAATTTTGCACTATCAAATATAATTTTGCATCAGCAAAGACAATCACTACAGCCCTGAACTTGTGTTTGATTTGGGGCTGGGCAGGCATATAACCTAATTATGAGCGCAAAAGGAAGGAGAGTGCGATTTTAATTCTGTTAAGTTGGTTAAAGTGAGACTCACTGACAATGAGCAAAAACTTGAAAAAGGTAAAGAAATTACTTGTGCAGATATCTTGGGAAAGTGTATTAGAAGTAAACAAAAAATGCAAACCCTTGAAGGAGCATGCTTGATGTTGTTCCAGGGATAGCAAGAAGCCAGTGTGGCTGCAGTTAAGAGAGCAAGGGAGAAAAGTGGGAAAGGATGAGGTTAGAAATGTAAACAAGGGGGATTTGAGCCAGTTATATGGAGCCTTGTGGGTCCCTGGCAAGTCTTTTATTTGAATGATTTGAAAAGGCAGAGGGATGAATAAAAAAGGAATTATGAGCAAGAGATCCCTATATGGGGAAGACTGAGTCTCAGAAAGTCAAGGTTTGAGAATTGAGGTTGTAGACAAATTTCTATTACTGTATCGAATATGCTACACAATATATTTTGAAAACTATCAAAAGGAAGATGAAATCCTTGCTTCAGTGAGTTGATAATGTAGTTGAAGAACTAAACAATAATACAATTAAAATGACAGAATGTTTAAATTACAAGGGGCTTTTGGATAGTCTATAGCTTTTGTTTACCTGAAGGAACTTGAGTCAAGAAAGGAAAAATGATTTATGCAAGATCATATAACTAGTTGTTGGTTCAGGCAGAACTAAATTGCCACCTTCATTAATAAGTTCTTTAAAGTCCAGTTTATCAATGGTATGAAGGACAAGCTGAAGAAAAGACTATACTTATGAAGCACTTTTGCAAGATAAATAAGCATTTGTCACATTCACTTGCTTTCCTGACTTCCAAATTTCTGTCCTACAATTTTGAAGGAAGGAGTGAAAAGCAAAGCTAACACCTATGTTGATAAGTAAATTTAGTAGATCAAAAGATAAAAATCCTTCTGTATTTTGATCAGAAAAGCACACAAAGCTTTTCATATGAAGACTATATTTTCTTCCTAAAAAAGAAAAAAAGACTATTTTCTGGAATTTCTCTAGGCTACAAAGAGAAAGGATAAGACAAGTAAATCATTATCCTCTATGTTGATAAAGCTTGCTTCCTTCAAATCAAGATAAACACCGCTGGCTGGTAAAAAATAACATCTCCTGCCAGAGTCCTCTCACTGAAGCAGTAGTACTTCTGACATATCCCAAGATAGAGTAACCAATTAATTCATGTGCATATTCCAAAGATCATCACTTCCAACTCAACCCAACTAAGGATGTATTACCCAAAAAAGGGTTTAAAGCGATTACAATGATGCCATCCTTATTTATGCATATTTATAGAGCAAATAATCATTAAAGCAGTTTTAAACTACAAATATACTTTTAAAATTCTAATGTTAGAATATTAATCTTCAAAGTAGAACAAGCCTAATGTGAGAATGTCAATACACAATCTTTAACACATTTCTGCACAATCGTTTGAACCTAATTATCAAATTGACAATTTAAAGTAATTATAAAGTAACACAAAAACATACCTTTTATGCCATTACCAAAGATTTACTATTTAATAAAACTTCTAAAAGTAGTTTCAAATATTTAACAGGCACAAAACTTAAAACATTGGTATCTATACAATCTCACCAGGTAAAGAATTTAAAATTTCAGTTTCATAATCCTATACACAGAATGAATAAAATGGGCATAAACTACATACACTCAAAAAGAAAAAAAAGAACTAAAATAAACGTGGCAACCCACACCTATGGTATGCAGAAAGGCAGAAAGAACATTAAACTTCATTTAGAGATTCGATTTGCAGTCTCAGCTCTTCCACTTTATAACTTTGGAATCTTAAGTATGGAAGAACTTCACTGAGCTTTAATTTGCTCAATAAAATGAGGATAGCTACTGAACCTAACATAGAGAGTTGCTGAGAAAATCAAAATTAATTTAAAATAATATATGTAAAATCCCTTTCAATCCGTAAATTAGTACACAAATTTACATTACAAGGAGAAATGTTAAATATAATACAATGGCACTATTTCAAGTCTTGGTCGATACCATCTAACATAGCAATCTAATTTCTTTAGTAATTTTTTCTTTCAAAAACTCAGTTCATAAAATGCTTTATGTTATCAACTGTAGGCATATGTTTACCTAGAGGTAAATAACCACAAACTAATCTGTCATATAACATCCTAATTCTCATCATTACCATAACAATAATATCAAGGGACAGAATTTTTATACTTTAGTCTCATATTTCTACTGTGTGCTTTGTGGAACAAGACACATTTACTGAGTACCCACTTATATAATACTCTAAATAATTTTTAAAAGAAGAAAAGATAACATCTCTGACTTTACCAATCTTGCAGTCTAGCTGGCATAATACTGTATATTCATAAATAATGCAAATTAAAGTGATAGGAGACTTCACTTTTGGTCATGAGGCAGTAACAGGCACAAACCAGCTGGCCCACTATAAACAATGTAAAATAAAGTAAAACTGTACAAAATATTTGAAACAAATATTTTTAAAAGTTGAGCAACAGGAAAAGCAAGACTGTGGTCTCTGGGAAAAAAAGCACTACAATCTCCCTGGCTTTCTGTCTGAAGGCACTTTCAGAACTGTAGCACACAAAAAACTACAGTCTTTCTGAGCAGCGGAAAAAGAGAATAAAGTCTGGAGATGAAGCAAAATTTGTGGAAGATAATATCAAATACAAGGAGCATCAGAAATCTGTATAAGGGTCATATTAAGTCTCTGGCCAAACACTAGGTTGCATATGTGCAGGGTGACACTCTTGACAATGTCTGGCAGTGAATAGCTGAATGGAGATTCTGGTGGTCACATAGAACCAAGAGACAGAACAAGCAGATAAAACCATGGACATGTGAGGAATTCAACTGAGACACCTCAGAAAGGTCACACTGTTAGGAGACAATTCCAGGGGTCTCTCACTTCACTTCACTTCTTTAGAGCCCAGATAGATGACTGGGTTTTATTCCAGACTATCTTTTCCAGGATGACTGACTGACAAGGGAAGTAATCATTAACAAAGTTTTAAGTTATTAACATGATATTAACAAGATTAAATCAAACACCCTTAGAAAACAGTCTCCATCCCAAGCAGAGCGCACATTACCTTATAGCCTTGGAAGACAGAAATACAGATATACCTTGAAGATATTGCAGGTTCAGTTCCAGATCAACTCAATAAAATGAGTATCACAATAAAGCAAGTCACACAAATTTTGTGGTTTCCTAGTGCATATAAAAGTTATGTTCACACTATACTGTAGTCTATTAAGTGTGCAATAGCATTATGTCTTTAAAAATGTAAAAAACCCTAATTTAAAAATATGTTATTGCTTTAAGAAATGCTAACAATCTTCTGAGCCTTCAGCAAGTTGTAATCTTTTTTTTGGTGGAGGGTCTGCCTCAGTGTTGATGGCTGCTAACTGATCAGCCTGGGGGTTGCTGAAGGCTAGGATGGCTGTGGAATTTCTTAAAATAAGGCAACAATTAAGTTTGCCACATCAATTCATTCTTCCTTTCACAAAAGATTTCTTTGTACCATAAGATGTGGTTTGATAGCATTTTATCCACAGTAGAACATCTTTCAAAAGTAGTGTCAATCTAAGCTGGTTACAATAGTGCAGGCCTGAAGTCCTAGCTGCTACGGAGGCTGAGGCAGTAGGACTGCTTGAGCCCAGGTGTTCAAGGCCAGCCTGGGCAACATAGCAAGACCCCATCACAGAAAAAAAAATTGGAGTCAGTCCTCTCAAACCCTTCCCTGCTTTATCATCTAAGTTTATGTAATATTCTAAACCCTTGGTTGTCATCTCAACAATGTTCAGAGCATCTTCACCAGTAGATTCCATCTTAAGAAATCACATTCTTTGCTCATCCGTAAGAAGCAACTCCTCATACATCAAAGTTTTATCATAAGATAGCAGCAATTCAGTCACATATTAAGGATTTACTTCTAATTCTAGCTCTCTTGTTATATCCACCACATCTGTGTTACTTACGCCACTGAAGTCTTAAATCCCTCCAAAGTCATTCATGAACGTTGGAATCGATTTGTTTCAAACTTCTGTTAATGTCGATATTTTGACCTCCTCCCATGAATCATGAAATATTCTTAATGACATCTAGAATGGTGAATCCTTTCCATTCACCAAAGAGATTTTTCAATGTGCTTTGCCAAGATCCATCAGAGGAATCAGTATCTAGGGCATCTATAGCCTTTCAAAATGTATTTCTTACATTTAGACTTAATGATATAAAACTTGAAAGTCAAAATTACTCTTGGATCCATGGGCTGCAGAATGGATATTGTGTTAGCAAGCATTAAAACTTTTGTCTTCTTGTATATCTCCATCAGAGCTCTTGGTAAACAGGTACATTGTCAATGAGCAACAATATTTTAAAAGAAATCTTTTTTTCTAAGCAGTAGGTCTTAACAGTGGCCCTAGAATATTCGATAAGCCATGCTACAAACAGATGTGCTGTCATTCAGGCTTTGTTATTCCATTTATAGAGCACAGGCAGAGTAGATTTAGCATAATTTGTAAGGGCCCTGGGATTTCTGAATTGATAAATGAGCACTGGCTTCAACTTCAAGTCACTAGCTACATTAGCCCATAACAAGAGTCAGCCTGTACTTTGAAACTCAGAAGGCAGTAACTGACTTCTTTCTAGCTCAGAAAGCCTTACATGGCATCTTCTTTTAATATAAGGCTGTTTCATCTACACTGAAAATCAGTTGTTTAATGTAGCCACCTTCATCAATGATCTTAGCTAGATCTTCTGGATAACTTGCTACAGCTTCTACATCAGCACTTGCTGCTTCACCATATACACTTTCATGTTACAGAGATGGCTTCTTTCCTTATCTCATGAACCAACCTCTGCTAGCTTCAAATTTTTCTTCTGCTGCTTCCACATCTCTCTCAGCCTTCACAAAATTGAAGAGAGTTAAGACCTTGCTCTGGATTAGGCTGTGACTTAAAGCAATGTTGTGGATGGTTTGTGGATGGTTCCATCCAGACCACTAAAACTTTCTCCACCTCAGCAATAAGGGTGTTTTGCTTCCTTATCATTTGTGTGTGCACTGGAGTGGCACTTTTCATTTCCTTCAAGAACTTTCCCTTTGCATTCACAACCTGACACAAACAGTTAGTCGGGTGCAAAAGGCCTGGCTTTCAGCCTATCTCAGCTTTTTAAATGCCTTCCTCACTAAGCTTTATCACTTCTAGCATTATATTTCAAGTGAAATACATGTGAGTCTTCCTTTCACTTGGACACTTAGAGGCCATTGTAGGGTTATCAATTGGCCTAATTTCAATGTTGTTGTGTCTCAGGGAATAGTGAGCCCCAGGAGAGGGAGAGAGATGGGGCAACAGCTGGTCTGGGGTGCCCCATCTCTCTTGTTAGAACACATACATTTATCAATCAAGTTTGCCATATTATATGGGCATGGTTCATGGTACCACAAAACAATTACAACAATAACATCAAAGATCACTGATAACAGATCACCATATATATATTATATATATATATATATATATATAATATATATAATAATAATGAAAATTTTTAGAAGGTTCAAAGTTATATTATCTTGAGTTATAACTGTCTGCTTAATACAATTACACCATTTTCACTTCTAAGAACCATCCCATAATTTAAAGAATGGCATGGCTGAGAAAGATACTTAGGAAGACATTTTTAGGCATTGCTGAATTTAAATCATCTTCCAAATACTACATTCTGCCCCTTTCTTTATTGTAACAGTTTATCTGAAAGTACAAAAAAAATTAGTAAATTGCTTTTACTATGCAATTCTGAAATATCAAGTCTACTGCTTCCAATAAAAAAATTAGTAACTCCTTTTATAACATTAAGGTCAAGTCATTTGTAAAGACAGTGTCAATTGAAACTTTTTGGCATTTACGACTAATCCATTATAAACAACTGTTAATCTTAAAAACACAGTACCAGAAAACGTGTAGTTACACTGGATACAGATAAGAAAGTACAAGGCCAGCATGTTTGCTCATGCCTGTAATCCCAGCACTTTGGGAGGCCAAGGCAGATGGATCATATCAGGCCAGGAGTTCAAGACCAACCTAACCAACACAGCAAAACCCGTCTCTACTAAAAATACAAAAAGAAATTAGCTGGGCATGGTGGCACTTGCCTGTAATCCCAGCTACTCGGGAGGCTGAGGCATGAGAATCACTTGAACCCAGGAGGCAATGGTTGCAGTGAGCCAAAATCATGCTACCGCACTCTAGCCTGGGTGACAGAGACTGTCTCAAAAAAAGAAAGAAAGAAAGTATGAGAAGATCACTGACTACACTAAACCAAATGAACGAAAAACAGCAAAACTGATTTTATACCATGGGTCTATACAAATAAATAAACAAAATTCTATCCTATTTTTCTATATTTTTTCTTACATTTCTTATACAAATATGAGAATGCTTCATTTTATTCACTTCAGTACGACAAAGCCCTTAGAGAAAGATTGAAAAGAGCTGATAATCAAACTCCCAAATTTTATGCTTATTTTTGTTCTAGTGCTATCAATTTTCTGACATATTTAACACAGGCTGGAAAACGTTCTCAGTAAATTGAGCATTTGAGTCCACAAATGTCTTGAAGCACTCTGGCAAGTTATGCATATCCCATGTCACTTTGGGTTTCCCATCTCTTCTTTGCTTCAAACCCCCATGCAAGTTTCTTCTTTTTGGGGGCAGCCTGTGAATTTTCAACCTCCTTTTTGGCTTTTACAAAGTTGTGGCAGGCAACTGCTTTGGCAATCTTTACACCAAGCTCTCGAGTAGCTAGCTGGTTTTTCTGAGTTCCTCAGTCTTCTCAATATTCCACCCCTCCACAGCCTGGTCTATCCTCTCTTCAAGGCCTGATTTCTCAACATTTTTCCTTTTAACATGGCGTTCAAATCAATCATTGACTCCAAAATACTGAGTAAGCTCCTTCCACTGGGTTTCATTTGAGAACTGTTCACTGTGAGATTCTTTTTCATTCCTCAATTTATCTTTTCTGGAGCGTTTTCTTTTTTTCCCTCTGAATCTTGAGGTTGCGTTTTTCTGTTCAGAATGTTTTTTATGCAATTCTTGAAATATATTCTACATATCTAGGGGAATTCCAGAAGGACACTCTTCATAGGCATTTACATTCGACTCTGTTTCAGTTTTGGGTTCATCTATCGAGAATCTATGATTTCTGTTTTTCTGATGCTCCCATCCTCTTTATCTTCTTGTGAGTTAAGTCCAGAGTTCTGCAATGTAGCTTCATCTTCAGAGTTTCACTCAACATCACTTTCATTTAGGCCAGGAGGTAGCAGCCCACTCCACATCTTTTCGTCTGTCAGGAAGCGGTCACCTGGCAGCCATCTTAAGACCCCGTCAGAAAATGTTTTAAATATTGGGAGAGTTACCAAAATGTGACACAGAAACACAAAGTGAGCACATGCTGTTAAAAAAAAATGGCACCAGTAGACTTGCTCAAAGCAGGGCTGCTACAAACCTTCAGTTTTTAAAAAATGCAATACCTAAAAAGCACAACAAAGCAAAGTGTAATAAAACAAGATTTGCCTAAAGTATCTGCCTCCAACAGCAAAAAGCAGGCATGCTTACTGCACACTACATGCTACTTGGGTTTCCTACACTCAGGGTTCCTCTTCTATAACGTATCCAACTGCATTTGCAGGCAACCACCTGGGTGCATTCACACCCCACTCCTGTGATTCAGGGGCAAGGAAAACTGACACAAATTATTGATGCTCATGTCACTTGTGCCATAGATAATAAAGTCCTCTATTTCTGATCATGGAAACTCATGTCTTCTGATAGCATCAATGAAACCATAAGAGGCTAACCAGTTAGCACGTAAATAGAATAAAATCTCAAACTCTACACAGTTGTTGACACACAGCTTAGGAGTAAGGCTACTTTAGCCTTAGAGGTAAAATACTCTAGACCCACCTAAAGATTAAAAACAAACATTGAAAAGATCTAATTGGTCCATCAAAAATTTGATTGCCCAACAAAACAAAATGTGATACTTAGTTAAAAAAGATAAATTTCAAACGGTCAATAATATGATATCCAAAATATTCAGCGTGTAACAAAAAATTATCAGACATGCAAGGAATCAACAAAATATCAGGGAAGTAGGGGTGGGGGGGTGGGGGCATGAAAAGTAAACAGAAACAAATCCAAAATGAAACAGATATTAGAATTACCAAAGAAGAATTTTTAAAAAGAGTTATGCAGTAGGCAGAACAGTGGCCTCTCAAAGATATCTATATCCTAATGCCTAGAACCTGTGACTGTATTATATAACATAGGAGAATTAAGATTGCAGATGCAGTTAAGGTTGCCAATCAGCTGACCTTAAAATAGGGAGCATATCCTAGATTATCCAAGTGGTACAATCACAAAGATCCTTAGATGTTGAAGACAAAGCAGAAGTGTCAGTATCAGAGGGACAAACTAGGAAAAAGACTCATCGGCTATTGTGGGCTTTGAAGACAGAAGGAGGCCAAGAGCCAAGGAAGGCAGGCAGCCCCTTAGAAGCTGAAAAAGGAAAGAAAACACTTTCCTAGAGCTTCCAGAAAGAAACACAGCCCTGCTGACATCTTGGTTTTTGCTCAGTGAGTACCATTTCAGCCTTCTAATTTCCAAAACTGTAAGATAATAAATTTATATTATTTTAAGCCACTATGTTTATGGTAATTTGTTATGGCAAAACAAGAAATTAAAACAAGCTATTAAAACTACATCTAAGTATTTAAAGGAAAAGATAGAATGAATTAACAGATAGAGATCCTCAGTAGAAAAACAGAATCTATTAAAAAGATTCAAAACGAAAATCTACAATTTAAAAAATACATTATTTGAGACAAAAACATTCACTGTATGGGCTTAACAGCAGATTGGATACTGTAGAATAAAAGATTAGAGAACCTAAGTACAGAATAATTGAAACTGTACAAACCGAGACACAGAAACAAAAAATACTGAGAAAAATAAAACAGAGTCCCTGTGACTCATGAAACACTATCAGTCTAACACACATGAACTGTGTCCCCAAGGGAAAAAGAATAAAGGAGGATAAACAGAAAAACAGCTTCAATAAAATAATGTTCAAAACTTTTCTGAATATGTATGTACATATATATAAATTTATAGACCCAAGAAGCTCAAAAAGTCCCAGTCAGGATAAATACAAAGAAAACTAAACCTAGCACATAACAACCAAATTTTTGAAAACCACAATAAAAAGGGAAAACCTTAAAAGCAGACAAAGGAAAAAAAAAGATATCACATAGATAATGATTAAAAACTTCTGCTTAGGTATCATCAAAAACTATGCAAGCCAGAAGACAACAGAACATTATTAAAAATGCTGAAAGAAAAAAACTAGAAATCTATTCCCAAGTAAATTATCCTTCAAAAATTAAGATATAATAAAGACATTTTCAGATAAAATCTGAGAGAATGTGTCACCAGCAGACTTGATGTACAATTAATACTCCAGGCTAAAAGAAAATGAGGCCAGATCATACTTCAAATTTACATAAAGGAAGAATGCAAGAAATGGTAAATAGTAGGTACATAAGATTTTTTTTTTCATTTCTTAACTTTTTAAAAAAGGAACTGATTGTCTAAACAAAAATAATTATGGGGATTCTCTTACTTAATAATTTCAATTTATAGTGAAGTTTTTTGGGTTTTTTTGTTGTTGTTTGTTTGTTTGTTTGTTTTTGAGACAGGATCTTGCTCTGTCGCCCAGGCTGGAATACAGTAGCACCCTCAGGGCCCACTGCAGCCTGGAGCTCCTGGGCTCAAGGAATCCTTCCCCTAAGCCTCCAGAGTAGCTGGGACTACAGGTCCACACCACCACACCCAGCTAATTCTTTTATGGTTTGTTGAGATGAGGTCTCGCTATTTTGGCCAGGCTGGTCTCAAACTCCTGGTCTCAAGCAATCCTCCCACCTCAGCTTCCCAAACTGCTGAGACTATAGGCGTGAGCCACCAGGCCTGGCCAGGATTTTCTTTCATATAGAAAAAATAGTGTATGACAGCAATAGCACAAAGGAAGGAAAGGAGTAAAATATAAGTGAACTCTTGGAAGGCTCTTATACTCACAGTGGCATAATTTTAATTCACTGTAGATATGATCACAATAGATATGACATAATCATCAAGTACAATGTAATCCTTAGAGCTACTAAAAACAAAGCCAAGAGAAGAGAAAAGCATAAAATACTAAAAAAAAGAAAAATACATTAATCTAGAAGAGAAGGAAGCAAAAAGGTAACAACAATCCAAACAAAAACCAAAAGTACAACCATAAAACAAATAAGATAATGAATTTAAACCTAACCATATCAATAATTACACTGAATACAAATGTATCAAACATTCTAATTAAAGGCAATGATTGTTAGACTGGATAGAAAAGCAAACCTAGATAGATAGATAGATAGATAGATAGATAGATAGATAGATAAAGATATAGACATAGTTTAGACATAAGACAATTTAGAAAACAAGAATGGAAAAAGAATTTCATGCAAACACTAATTATGAGGAAGGCAGAGCAGTTCTATTCATATAAAAGTAAAGACAAAAAGCATCACAAGCAAATTTCTGAAAACCACAATAAAGAAACAACCTTTTGAACTAACCCTTTTAACATATGAAATTTCTCTGTCAGAGAAAAAGAGACAGAGACAGAGAGACAGAGAGAAATTTCATATGTTAAAATGGTTAGTTCATAAAGAAGACATAATAGTTGTAAATGTGTATGCTTATTACAACAGAGCTTCAAAATGCATGAAGCAAAACCTGACAGCACTAAAGGAGGGAACCAAGAAACCCACAATTACAGTTGGAAATTTTAACACTCTTCTCCCAGTAAGTGAAAGAAACAGATCCAAAAAATAAAAACATAAAAGGTTCGAAAAGCACTATCAATCAACTTTATCTAACTGGCATTTAAACAATACATCCAACAACTGCAGAATATATATTCTATATAAGTGCACACTGAATTTTAACCAAGATAGACCACCTCGTGGGCCATAAAACAAATCTCATATTTCCAAGGATTGAAGTCATACAGAGTATGTTCTCTGACCTAAATCAAATGAAAAATAACTAATAAAAATATATCACAAAGAATCTCAAATATCTGGAAAGTAAGCACTTCATTTCTAAATAACCCACGGATCAAGAAAGAAGTCACAAGTGAAACTAGAAAATATTTTCAACTACATAACTATGAAAACACACTATATCCAAATTTGTAGGACACAGCTAAAACACTGCTTAAAAGTCAATTTACACATTTATGATTACATTAGAAAAAAAGAAAGGTTTAAAAATTAACACTCTAAACTTCCACATTAAGAAGCTAGAAAAAATTAAATCCAAAGTAGAAGAAAATAATAAATGTCAGCCAGGCGCGGTGGCTCACACCTGTAAGCCCAGCACTTTGGGAGGCCGAGGTGGGTGGATCACTTGAGGTCAGGAGTTCGAGACTAGCCTGGTCAACATGGTGAAATCTTGTCTCTACTAAAAATACAAAAATTAGCAGGGCGTGGTAGCATGTGCCTCTAATCCCAGCTACTCAGGAGGCTGAGGCAGGAGAATCACTTGAACCCAGGAGGCGGAGGTTGCAGTGAGCCAAGATCGTGCCACTACACTCCAGCCTGGGAAACAGAGACAGGGGAGGGGAGGGGAAGGGAAGGGAAGGCAGGGGAAGAAGGAGGAGGAGGAGGAGGGAGGAGGAGGAGGAGGAGGGGAGAAGGAAAAGAAGGAGAAGAAAGAGAAGAAGGAGGAGGAGGAGGAAGGGGGGAGGAGGAGGAGAAGGAGAAGAAGAAGAAGAAGAAGTAGAAGGAGGAGAAGAAGGAAGAGAAGGAGGAGGAGAAGGAGAAGAGGAGGAAGAAAGCAGAAATCAATGAAAACAGAAAATGGAGACATGAACAAAATACTCTATTGGCTCTCTGAAAATATTAATGAAATTGATAAACTCCTAAACAAGACTAATAAAAAAAGAGAGGTGATATGCGAATTATTAATATTGGAAGAAAAGGGGGCTTATCACTGCAGATCTTATGAAAATTAAAAAGATAAATATTATGAATGGTTTTGTGCCAATACCTTTCACAATTAAATAAAATTCCTGAATTTTGTTTAAATTTCAAATTCCTTGAAAATTACCAAAACTGACACAAGCAGAATCCAAAAGTCTGATTAATCATTTATCTGCTAAAGAATTTGAATTCATAATTAAAATCCTTCCCACAAGAAACATTTGGGCCTAGGTAACTTCATGGGTGAATTCTATCAAACGTTTAAAACAACAGTATCAGTATAATTCAACTAAATTAAGTTTCTATATACATTGAAGATGTAATTGTAATAAAGCAATTTTATCAGAAATATATTGAAAACACTAACTTCTGATTTTCCCTGAGTTTAGTAGCTCTTTGGCAAAAACACCAAAATAGAAATTTTTTTCAAAGACTAATTTTTTTTCTTTATTATTATTATACTTTAAGTTCTAGGGTACATGTACACAACATGCAGGTTTGTTACATATGTATACATGTGCCATATTGGTGTGCTGCACCCGTTAACTCATCATTTAGGTATATCACCTAATGTTATCCTTCCCCCTCCCCGACCCCACGACAGGCCCCGGTGTGTGATGTTCCCCACCCTGTGTCCAAGTGTTCTCATTGTTCAGTTCACTCTATGAGTGAGAACATGCAGTGTTTGGTTTTCTGTCTTTGTGATAGTTTGCTCAGAATGATGGTTTCCAGCTTCATCCATGTCCCTGCAAAGGACATGAACTCATCCTTTTTTATGGCTGTGTACTATTCCATGGTGTATATGTGCCACATTTTCTTAATCCAGTCTATCATTGACGGACATTTGGGTTGGTTCCAAGTTCAAAGACTAATTTGACTACAAAAAAATTTAAACTTCTGAATAAAGAACATAAAACAAAATTAAAAGATAAATGTTAAATTGGAAAAATATCAATATGCGATAAATAATTGGTTGCTACAGATAAAATTAAAGCCTTTATCAAACGTGCAAAAGACAAAAATATAAAATGCACCAAAGAATTATTAATGCCAACATGAAATACTGGCCAACTTTTCTAATTAATCGAAATATAAAGTAAAGCAAGACAGGCAAAAATGCTTTCAAAAATTAAAAAAGGGAAATATCTCTGGAAAAGGCAAACTGTAGAGACAGTAAAAAGATCAAGGGTTGGAGGTAAGAAGGGATGAAAAGGTGAAGCACAGAGAATATTTAGGGCAATAAAACTATTTCTGTTTGATACTATAATGGGGGATACGTGTCATTATACTTTTGTCAAACCCATATAATATACAACATGATAAGTGATCCCTAAACTATGGCTTTGGGTGATAATTAAGTGTCAATGTAGATTCATTGCTTGTAATGAATTTACCACTCTGGTGGGGGATGTTGATAGTGAGGAAAGCTGTGCAGATGTCAGGGCAAGTGATATATGGGAAAACTCTTTACATGCAATTTTGCTATGAACCAAAAACTGCTTTAAAAATAAAGTCGATGGCCACGCGCGGTGGCTCACGCCTATAATCCCAACACTTTGGAAGGCCCAGGCAGGCAGATCGCCTGAAGTCAGGAGTTCGAGACCAGCCTGGCCAACATGGTGAAATCCCGTCTCTACTAAAAATACAAAAAAAACTGGGTGTGGTGGCGCACATCTGTAGTCCCAGCTACTCAGGAGGCTGAGACAGAAGAATCGCTTAAACCCGGGAGGCGGAGGTTGCAGTGAGCCGAGATCGTGCCACTGCACTCCAGCCTGGCAACAGAGCAAGATTCTAAATCAAAAAAACAATAAAATAAAATAAAATAAATAAAATAAATTCTATTTTTAAAATACATATAGGACTTAAAAGACTAAAAAAAACCTGTAAATTATTTTAATAATATTTCAATATTGACTATTAAAATTATGTTTTGGATATATGGAATTAAATAAAATACATTGTTAATATTTTTAAAAAGAGGATTAATACCCAGTATTGTGGAGAACTGTGGTACACAGAGGCTCTCTAACTATTGATAAGACTATATATCTTTTCGGAAAGGCAATCTGCCAATACATATCAAAAGTCCAACAATGATACTCAAGAACTTATTTGAAGTAGATAATAATACAAGTATAAATGAGATACATACACAGTCGGCCCATATAATAAAATTCCAGGTAACTATTAAAACTGATAAAGTAGGCCAGGCACAGTGGCTCACACCTGTAATCCCAACACTTTGTCAGGCCGAGGCAGGCAGATCACTTGAGGCCAGGAGTTCCAGCCTGGGCAACATGGTGAAAAATCAGCCAGATGTGGTGGTGCACACCTGTAATCCCACTTACTCAGGTGGCTGAGGAATGAGAACCACTTGAACCCAGGAGGCAAAGGCTGCAGTAAGCCAAGATCGTGCTACGCCGCACTCTAGCCTGGGCAACAATGCGAGACTCTGTCTCAAAAAAAAAAAAAAAAAAAAAAAAAAAAACTGATACAGTAAATCTATTTTCAGACATGAGAAGATGTTCATAACAAATTATCAATTGGTAATGGTTAGATAATAGGATACCATGAACAGATGAACCAGTTTACGGAAAATGCATATTCATGCAAATATACTCATATAGAGATGTGTAACAGATTGTTCAACAAAATATTACCCATTATATTCTCTGGGTGATAGAATTTTAGTCTCTTCATGTTATTTTCTTCTTCTATTTGAATCTTTTGCAATGGGCCTGGAGTTTTTTGATAAAACATAAAGGCATTTACACTCATATACATACATAGGCATACATATACAGACACACATACTGACAGTATTTGGCTACCCTAACTTCCAATTTCTCCTAGCAAAGAAAAACTTCATTCTACCTAAAGAAATCGTTCACTTGAATCTGTAATTCCAGGCAAGTCTCTCAAGTTACTATACTTATCTGATACAAAATTGAGGTTTACTGGAAAAAGTGTGGGTTTTAGAGTTGAAATCTTGGTTCAAGTCTGCCAGTTATATGTATCAGCCTGGTCACTTCACTTTTCTGTGCTCCAGTTTCCTCAAACATAAAATAGGAATACGAGTATATAGCCTACCAAAAGATAGGTATGAGAATCAAATAAATAATTCATATGAAAAATACTTTCTCAACATACTTTCTAAATTAGTAGTAGTGGAAGTATCTAAATTATTAATATTGGTAGTATACACTTAAGAGTAGTATACTGCCCAACAGAAAAAAAAAATACAATGGTACAGGATGCCAAAACAAAAGAAAAAAAAGATCGGACTTTTAAAAATGGGAAGAAAACTAGTAAAGAGAAAATATGTGAAGAAATATATGCAGACAATAAGGAAATAAAATGAGCTTAAACTAATAAGAATTTCCATTTTTTAAAAAATCAAATAAATGAAGAAGTAGTTGTATTAGTCTGTTTTCACACTGCTGATAAACACATACCCGAGACTGGGCAATTTACAAAAGAAAGAGGTTTATTGGACTTAACAGTTCCACATGGCTGGGGAGGCCTCACAACCACGGTGGAAGGCAAGGTAGAGCAACTCACATCTTCTGTGGATGGCAGCAGGCAAAGAGCAAGCTTGTGCAGAGAACTCCCGTTTTTAAAACCATCAGATCCTGTGAGACCCATTTACTATCACAAGAACAGCACAGGAAAGACCCATCCCCAGGATTCAATCATCTCCCAGCGGGTCCCTCCCACAACATGTGGGAATTATGGGAGCAACAAGATGAGATTTGGGTGGGAACACAGAGCCAACCCATATCAGTAGTTACAAAGTAGTCACATAGAGAATAAAAAATCTGTACATTTAAAAGTATAGGGAAATATACACAATGTATAGTAAAACCAAAAAATCTTTTTCACCAATGGCATCAGGCTAGTTCTTCATTAAGAATGCCAAGAATTATCCTACACATAGTCTAGGAAGGAAGAATTAAGGAACAGAATATTTTGATTAACTAACTGATTGATAGAATTAATACATTCACCTGTTCCTCTGTGGATTTTAGCCTACCAGGCCAGACGCTGTTTGTTCCTAAATGTTTTTCCAACAATTAGAATATGCTTTTATTAGGCTGGGCATGGTGGCTCAGGCCTGTAATCCCAGCAGTCTGGGAGGAGGAGGCAGGCAGATCACTTGAGGTCAGGAGTTCAAGACCAGCCCGGCCAACAAAGCGAAACCACATCTCTACTAAAAACACAAAAATTAGCTGGGTGTGGTGGCATGCGCCTGTAATCCCAGCTATTCAGGAGGCTGAGGCAGAAGAATCTTTTTGAATCCAGGAGGCAGCAGTTGCAGTGAGCCAAGATCGCACCACTGCACTCCAGACTGGGCAACAGAGCAAGTCTCCATCTCAAAAAAAAAAAAAAAAAAAAAAAAAAAATATGCCCCCATTAAACAATTAGATTTACTATTTAGGGAAAACAATGGCATAAACAGCCAGACTTTCAGAAAAGCATGGGTCACTAATAATAAACTAATAATAAATTTTATTCATTATCCTTTTTATTTAAAAAAATTCATTAAAACAGATGAACATTAGATACTTGTGTGTAATAATTATCAGAACCCATAATTAGAGTTAATCATTATTAAAGAAAATACTATGCCTGAAAGGGAAAGAAATATTTGCATAAATGTAATACATCTCTCATAATCCTTAATTTTTATTGCCAGTGTTAAATTTTGCAATCCTCTCTCCTAGCTTTGGAGTCAGAAGTCCTCACTGATATACTGTGACACTATGCCATTATATGTTAAATATATTTATATATATATATACACACTATATATATACACAGACACATATATGTATATAAAACAAAAGAATCTATTTCTTCTTGCAAGTTACAAAAGAGATGTACCTGCAGTTTGCTTAAATTATATTAAAAATAACCTTCTATTTAAAAGCATATTCATATAATTTATTATCTCTATTGATCATCATAGGTTTACAGAAGAAAGAAAAGGAGGATCATAACTTTTCTCATTTTAAGACAAAGAAACAGGCTCAGAGTGGTTCAACTGGAACTCCAACCCAATTTCTAACTCCAATCTAACTCTAGAGTTCTGCCATCCTACCTAGTAGCATAAAACAACAGTGAACAAAAGCAGTGAATAAAAAGCCAGTCTCACCAAAGAAACCATAAAGAGAACATCCCAGCCTGTGCCTCTCTAATGGGTAAGAAGAAATAAGAACATATTGATCCCCTCAACCCTAGCAGACCCCAGGCCATTTACCTCCTATCATTGCATGAAGTCCATTTGCCCAGAAGTACCATACAAATATTGTCATTTTCTATGTGTTATAAATAAAATTAAGAAACACTGTTATTGAGAACTCAGGAATCTACAGAAGGGTCTTACATAAATTTGTCTGACAAAATATAAACTTCATCAACATTATTAAATTACCTATAAAAAGGAGATTTATATCAATGATATAACAGAATCTTGCTTCAAGGATAATTTCTGGACTTAAATTCAGCATTCACTCAAGAAAGTTATACAGGAATTCAAATAAATGGGAATAATGTCATTACCAAGATAGCCTTGAATTTTCTGTATTTTTTAATCATTCAGAAGTTGCAATACTTAGTATTTGTTTACACAGACCTCACAACCAATTGCACTATACCTCTCAACTAATATTTCCTTTGAGAACCCTACACTTTTGTAATATTATCCTTAATTTTAGCTCATCATCATTCCTTCAAGGATATAAGCCCAGTGTTATTTCTATTCTAACAACTTTCTAGCTTATCAATATTAGCTCTTAGAAGTTTGAAAACTTACACATATATGGAATTCTAACTTTGTTGCTGAAGTTGTACATGTGAAAAATTTGGAAGAAAGGAGCGCTAAAGAAAAGTCACATTGTAATTTTCAACTCCTGTTTGACCTCTCTGGACCTCACCAAATATTTATATGGATGCTGTCAGATTCGGTACTACAAACTTATTCTCTGCTAAATATCCTTTTCAAAGTGAAATTCACTAATCACAGCGCAAAATACCAAAATACGTGTCTTCTATCCTCCTTGTTCCTGACACTTCTGCAATATTAAAGAGGGGACTTGGAAGTTACTATGTGACCTTTCTTTAGCATTCCTGTCTTCCAGATTGATCACATACATCAAAATAGGAGGAAAGTTTTTTACTAACAATTTCTGTTGAAGTGATCATACCTTTTTTCATACGGCTAACAACCACAACACAGAAACCAAATAAAAGTTTCTATCTACATGGTGCAATTTATGAAGCATTTTCATGCTATTATGTATTTGACTCTCATAACAATTAGAGATATGCAGTGCAAATATTTTACAAATGTGAAAAATGAAAGTAATAGAATTTAAAGGACTTGATCAAAGTCAGACATCTAACAAGTGATGAAGCCAGTACCAAGAACTATGTTTCAACTCTCGGTCCAGTATCTTCCCATTCCACCATGATGTCTATCAGGTAAAATATCTGTCTTATCTTTAAGAGGATTCCAGAGTTTAGGCTTTTAGAAAATCGTGGCATCAAACCCATTACTCCTGTTCACCTTGAAACAGAGATTTAATTACTTATTCACAGTCCATTAAAGCATAAGTATTAGTTTTATTAAAATGTGTCTGCTACATCTTATGAAATTCTCTCTCCTTGTTTCTCACTAAAAAGGAAAAAGGTTCAAAAGGCACACTAATTAGAATAAGAAAAAGCACAACTTTTCCCAAAGAATAGAGTACTTCATTAATTTTTTTTTTTTTTTTTTTTTTTTTTTAAGATGGAGTCTCTCTCTGTCGCCCAGGCTGCAGTACAGTGGTGTGATCTCGGCTCAATGCAACATCCACCTTCTAGGTTCAAGCAATTCTCCTGCCTCAGCCTCCCAAATAGCTGGGGACTACAGGTGCACACCACTACACCCAGCTAACTTTTGTATTTTTTGGTGGAGATGGAGTTTCACACGTTGCCCAGGTTGCTGGAACTCCTGGCCTCATGTGATCCACCCACCTCAGCCTCCCAAATTGCTGGGATTACAGGTGTGAGCCACCATACCTGGCCTTAAATACTTCTTTAAAAAATTTAAAAAACCAAATAAAAGAAATTAATATAAAATAATAAAAAGAAGCAAAATACAATTAAAAGTAAAATTAGGAACTAAAGAATTAAGCTAAAACATTTTAAAGTAACATAAAAATATTAAATATATAATAAATGAAAAAAAAACACCAAATATATTCAAGATAAAAGTGAAACAAGGCAAAAATACAAATTCCAAAATGAAAGTATCTGCACCATCTTCATGCAGGTGGCATGAGGTGGTGCAAAGAACCAGCAGGCCATCTTTGGTGAAACTCCGTCTCTACTAAAAATACAAAAAAAAAAGTTAGCTGGGCATGGTGGTGGGCGCCTGTAGTCCCAGCTACTCAGGAGGCTGAGGCAGGAGAATGGCGTGAACCCGGGAGGTGGAGGTTGCAGTGAGCTGGGATCGCACCACTGCACTCTGGCCTGGGTGATTGAGCAAGACTCCGTCTCAAAAAAAAAAAAAAAAAAAAAAAAGCATGCGGGAGGAAGATACCTCTTAGAGAGCACCAGCTTATTCATCTCTTCCCCATAAACTAGGCAAAAGCACCCTCAATCTACTCTCCTCAAACCCAGCTTTTAAATTTTTAACTCAGAATGAGATTGAAAAATCCCTTAACAGCAATACATAAATAATTTTTGTGTTTTGACCAATTCAGCCATACCTTAAAAAGATCGACTTTAATCATACTTAAAATTGTTTTAAAATAAATTTAAATTATATGTTTAGTCTGTCATATATATTAAACACAATGTAAATTATACGTTTTTGAAGAACTAAGATACCCTGAAAAGGTAAAGTGTAAGCCATCTTAAAATGTATAAGATGACTAGAAAGCAATTCTAATCTTCATGATTTGGAAGGCATTCCAGAAGAGTTCAGTGACTTCAAACATTTTTAATGCTTTGATCAATATTTTGAGTATATCATAAGAAAGTAGCAGTAAGTGATGCAAGGTTTCAGGTAGAAAATTTGATATGAATGCCATCTCCTCTCTTTCTCTCCATATCCATTTATAAACAAAATGGTCATTGTTAATCTGGACAATTACTGAGAGAAATGAATCAAAAAATTACTGGCCAGTCATAGTGGCTCACACCTATAATCCCAGCACTTTTGGAAGCTAAGGTAGGCAGGTCGCTTGAGCTCAGGAGTTCAAGACCAGTCTGGGCAAAATAGCAAAGCCCCATCTCTACAAAAATTAGCTGGGCATGGTGGTGTGTACCTGTAATCCCAGCTACTCGGGAGGCTGAGGTGGGAAGATCATGCTGGGCCCAAGAGGTGGAAGTTGCAGTGAGCCAAGATCACGTCACTGCACTTCAGCCTGGGCAACAGAGTGAGACCTTGTCTCAAAAAAAAAAAAAAAAAAATTACCCACAGATTTTATAATCCCCCAAGAAGAGTAAATTATTAGTCAATGGGTTTAGTAATGGGCTTTATAATGAATTTTAAACAGCTATATCAGCTCTATCAAAGGCAAAATTTAGAACAATGACATCTTAAACATTATACTGCGGGCTCATTTATGTCTTCAACTATTAAGCTAAAATGAGACAAATATTTACAAATTAAAATTTTGTCTTTCAACTAGCATTCCATTTCAATATTTCCACGTTTAGGGTATACAGTCAACATCCCTAACAAACACTACAGTAATCATTAAAAGTTGGAAGCTAGTATTTTTGTACGTAACAGTTCTTAGCTTATTATTTCTTCTCTAACATGTCTAAACCTGTACACAGTGAAAGAACCAACACATAATCTTGATGAAATTGTGCTGCTCCTTATTGTCAGTGATTACTCTGCAGGTATTCATCAACAAAATCACACATTTCATAGTAAAACTAAGACTCCAAAACTTAGTTCTCAAGTCTTGAAGTAATAAGAACAAAAAAATTTTAAAGACATTATTTTCTAAAAACCAAAAAAATTAACTTCATTAACTGCTTATAATTATTAAACAGAAATTGCTCTTTTAATATGAGTAAAAATGATGAAGACCTTCAAAAATATTTTCTAAATATTATATTACTTCCTCTTCCAAATATCATATCTAAAATACACTGTAATCTTGAAGAAGAAAAAAAAAGAATCCTTTCTGAACCACTTCCATGCAAGTTTAAGAGCACCTATAATTTTAATGCATAGACCTTGAGGACATATGATGTTCCCGTGTATTAAAACACATTTGAACTTATTTGGCTTTCATTTGAACCATGTTTCCTGTATAAACATGTAAGTTAATTTCAAATAACTTATAATTAATTTGATGATAATCTTAAGAAAATAAAAGTCATCTAAGTTTTTATAACTACCCACGTGATAAAATTTTAAAGGACTGCTTAATTCTAATTAATAGTAAATTTGTATACTAAACACACCCTCATGCTGGTGCATTTCTGCTACCAAACCAAGATAAAATTATTATTTTAATGAGTAATTTCTGGAATCATATATATCTGCAGAAGGCTATCAGATGAACTAAACTGGTTGTTGTGTGCTTTTCTTCAGATTCGAGTGATAATTAAGAAGGAACTGAAAAAGGAAAAGGCTCTATCTTGATCTTTACCAGTTCTGCCTACAAAGTTACAGTTTGTGGTTTTTCAACAGCTCTATTTAAAAAAAAAAAAAAAGTTTTTTTTAAATAAAGTGCCCGTTGCTTGTGATGACAAAAATCTGCAAGCTTTCAAAGTCCTTTACATTCAATTTTTTTTAAGATTTAAGAAATCTTCAGTAGGAATTGATAATCAGAACAATCTTTTACTAATTTCACTGTAATAACAATATAACTTATAGCAAGTAATCATTGAACACCATTCTCGTGTAAGATACCTTCCCAAAATCTACAAGAGATTCAAAGAGGTACTTGTCCTTAAAAGCCTGAAATCCAATAAACAACATAAATCAGGACAATAAAGACCTAGCTCAAGATAGACTATAACTTCCACGAGACAGACACCAAAAGGCTTATTAGTCAGCATTTTTTTTTTTTTTGAGACGGAGTCTCGCTCTGTCGCCCAGGCTAGAGTGCAGTGGCACAATCTTGGCTCACTGCAAGCTCTGCCTCGCGGGTTCACGCCATCCTCCTGCCTCAGCCTCCTGAGTAGCTGAGACTACAGGTGCCCGCCACCAAGCTTTTTAAATAAAATTGTACTGTGTTTATTTGAGGTGCTCAATATGATGAAATACATATAGATAGTAAAATGGTTGCTATAGTGAAGCCAATTAACGCATCTATCATCTCACATACTTACCTCTTTGCAACAGGAGCAGCTAAAATCCATGTATTTAACAACAATCCCTAATACAATACAATTTTATTAACTTTGGTCCTCATATTGTATATTGGATTTCTAGACTTGTTCATTCTATATATCTGCTATTTTGTGTCTTTTGACCTACCTTGCCTCATTTCCTCTACCCCCACCCCACCCATGGTAACCACTGTTTCATTCTCTGTGTATCCGAGCATTTAAAAATATATATTCTACATATAAGTGAGATCATGCAACTTGTTCTTCCTGGGTCTGACATATTTCATTTAGCATAATGTACTCCAGGCCCATCCATGTTGTAGCACACGGCATTATCTCCCCCGTTGTAAGGCTGAATAATATTCCATTGCATATATGTATACACACCACATTTTCTTTATCCATTCTTCTGCTGAACTACTACAGGACCCAGCAATCCCTCTTCTGGAAAAAAGATAAAATCACCACCTTGTAAAGACATCTGCCAGCTTGGCGGTGGCTCACACCTGTAATCCCAGCACTTTGGGAGGCCAAGGCAGGAGGATTACTTGAGGTCAGGAGCTCAAGACCAGCCTCCACAACAGAGTGAGACCCCATCTGTACAAAAAATGTAAAAATTAGCCAGACATGGTGACATACGCCTGTAGTACTGGCTACTCAGAAGACTGAGGCGGGAGGATCCCTGGAGCCCAGTTCAAGGCTGCAGTGAGCTATAATTTTGTCACTTCTTTTTATATATATTTTTTTATTTCTGAAGCTTCACTTTAACAAATCTTACCTGTTTAATACTGTAATTATACTTCTTTTAAAAGAAAGGAATTTAACAAAAATTATTAAGCCCATAATACCCTACACAATTTCCATTCCTTTTCTTTAAAAGCCATCTCAGTACCTTTATCAGTTTAACAATCCAACAAATATTTACTGAGCACATACTATGAGTCAGACACTGTTTTAGGCTCTGAGTAAACAAAATTAAATGCAACAATCCCCTGCCAAGGCAAGTTACACTGTAGCAGAGAGATTCTTTATCTTCTTCATCAGATGCAACTATTTATACCAAAAGCAATATATTCTTTACTCTTAATTATTCACACAAGATTTTGAATATGAAGTAAAACTCCAGTTAACTTTAGAAAAAGATAACCACCTGACAACCAATTGTCTCTCCCTCTATTATCTCACAACTACCCGCAAGATCTCCCCACTCCTCTACTGTTCCCTAAGCAATGAGCTGAATTAGGTGCCTTCTTCGTACTTCAGTGCTATATGCACTATACAACCTCTACCACAGCCTTTACTACTCTTACAATTATTGACTTGAAATTGACGCTTCCCCTTCAAGAATGCCATCTCAATTGCATTTCATCTGTGCATGACGCATAACTGGCACTCAGAAACATTCACTGAAGGAATGAGAGGGCTGAATACTTTCTATGGTGTTTAAGCTCTTCTTCTGATGTCTGTTAAGAATATCACAACAATTCTGGTCAAGCCTAGAATCAGTCAGGGGTTTTCTAAAACGAGTGGCTTTTTAAAGTTGCTGCAGAAGATTTCACTGCTATTGTTCTAAAGGTAGCACAGCATAATTGTTAAGAGCTCAGGCTCTAGTACCATAGAGACAAGTTCAAATCCTAGTCTTACTCTTAAGTCTGTGTGCTTTGGGCAAGTTGTTGAACTTGCCTCAATTTCCTTATGCTTTGAAAAGAATAACAGTCAGTAAATTTTATAGCTGAAGTGAAGACAAATGGAAGATGTAGGCTCTTGGCACATTTTCTGACATATTATAAATACCAAATAAATAGTTTCTATTACTATTTATGTAGAACATCTAACTGGAAGCCTAATCAGAGAAAATAAATTGAAAAATAAGGTCCTGTAACCATGACATTATAGCTTTAGCTCATTAACTAGGAACTTTAAGCAATAAAAACAAGTCTTTATGAAATTCACTGAATTAATACTCTGACTAAATATACTTATACACTTACTAAAGTTGTTAATCACAATTACAAGAGTATCAACACGTATGGTGGAAAAATGGTAAAATGAAACCAGGATTTGGCAGTTACAGATACATTTGACCCTTAGTCAACAGATCTTTCCATTATAAAAACTGCTTCTTTTTAATTGATTTGAGTTTACAAGGTTTTCTTTAAAATTAAAATGTTCCCTTAAAAAATACATAATAAAAAATAAAAATAAAAATAAATGTTTCCCTGAAGGCTATCAGTTGTTCACACCTCACTGTTAATTAATCAGATACACACTTTAAGTAACACCGGTGTACTTAAAAGGAATTGTTAGTTGAAAAGTGGTGAGAAGAGGGGTAATCTTAGTGGAGCAGGCCTATATAATGCTCATTGTGAGAATTTTTACCAGTCACCAGGCAGCATGATGATAATGGCACCTACAAGGTGACAGCAGAGGGGATCCAGGAATTGTAAAAGGCATCAAAGCAATTCCCTCCATACTCCATGGGATTATACTAAGTGCTCTTTAAGGAAACTCAAGTTCTGTTATTCTACTCTTCTCTTATTCAGTGTCATAAGAATTAGTACCACAGTCTCCTAAATAAATACTTTTAAAAGGTCAAGTCAGGATCACCTTTTAGCAAGTTCCCCCACAAGGCCAGTGACTGACCTATCACAGAAACGTGAACCAAGACATTACTTTCTATAGATAAAATTAAATTACTACTTGAGATAAATCAAGAGTTTGAAAGTGGGAAAAGTTTTTCAATGTTAAACATTAAGCTTATTTCCAAGGAAGAAGTATTATTTTGGAAATGATTAAAAATCCAAGAGCTCAAATGTGATATTCTCATTGTTATCTGAAGTACCATGGCCATCTGCGTAAAGCACTCTAAACATGTCTATTGCTAGTATTATATGAACACTTTAAAATGTATACTGTACACAGTAAATTATTATCCCCTAACTTGCAAATAAAACATGAAAATTTAGAGAAAAAGAATATATTATCTGAGCCTAAGAAAAATCTGAAAATGAGAGAATATTATCAAAAGCACATCAGGAACATATCACCTTGAAAGTCAAGAAAACAAAGTTATAAGAAAAAACCTGAACAAACTTGCACTGTGGCAACACAGCAGTGACAAAACAACAGTCTTAAAGCATACCACTGTGAAATCTGCAGCAGAGGCCAAGCAGCCTCTGACATTTTACAGTGGAAATCATGAACATCAAAAACCAAGAGGTCACCTTAGATTAAAGCGGCAAAAATAAAGAACATGTAAACAAATGAAAGCACCTAATGAGAAAGTGATAACCAAACTATTAAAATGTAAAATTTGCAACACACCTATGAAAGTAATAATCAACAAATACTGAACAGTGAAATTTGATTTGCTTTTTACACTTGCAGGCAGCTATGTGAAGGAGGATGTAATGCACCAAGCCACATATAAAAGTACATATATTCTCAACTATTTTCTATATAAATCAAGAAGGGCATAACCCAAGGACATGGTTCTGAAGAATCACATTACATTTTGTTCCTGGCTAGCAGTGCAAAAGAAAAAACAGTTTCATTTTATTTTATTTTTTAATAGAGATGGGAGCCTCGCTATGTTGCCCAGCCTGGTCTTGATCTTCTGACCTCAAGGGATTCTCCCACCTCTTCCTCCCAAAATGTTGGGATTACAGGTATCAGCCACCATGCCTGGTCACAGTTTCATTTTCTTCAACAATTTAGCTTATACAGTTTGCATTACTCTAATTTATCCTAGTGCATCTGAATTGAGAGACTCAGAGTTCTTAAATGAACACAAAGTTACAGCAAAAACAACTATCATGGTAACCACATTTTACTCAGACTTTTTCCATGTTGGACAATAATGCAATACCTCCTAAACTACTTTATTATCTGTATGATTCCTCAAGGTTCTATTTTCCAAATGTTAGAGTTTTGTTGGGTTTTAGTATGTATGAATGGTTATAGATGAGTTTTAAGGTAAATTCACAAACATATATAGCAACTGTTCTTATAAATATTTTGCTATGAAGAGAGGAAAGGAGACATAAGCACTGAATGAAAAGAGTTTGAGGATGGGGTATTCCAAAACAGCCCATTCCAAGACATATATGGACTTCTATTTCTAATGCCCCTGTACTGTCATACCAGCACACATTTAAAATCATTTCTACAAGCAGCTCTCTGTGGATTAATGTAATCAACATTCATTTATTCAATGGCCAAGCATTAAGCTAGATCCAATTTATTTTTATTTTTTATTTTTTAGAGATAGAGTCTCCCTCTGTCACCTAGACTGGAATGCAGTGACACAATCTCAGCTCACTGCAATCTCTCTCCGCCTCCTGGGTTCAAGTGATTCTCCTGCCTCAGCCTCTCAAGTAGTTGGGACTACAGGCTCTTGACACCACACCCCGCTAAATTTTGTATTTTTAGTAGAGACAGGGATTCACTATGTTGGCCAGGCTGGTCTCAAACTCCTGACCTCAAATGATCTACCTGCCTCTGCCTCCCAAAGTGCTGGAATTACAGGTGTGAGCCACTGCACCCAGCCCCAGTTTCTTTTATTCATTCTGTAAATATTCATTAAACATGTCAGATGTGTTAAGTTTTTTCTTAAGAATACAAATTAATAAGTTCTGGTTCATGAAGAACTTACCTCAAGCAGGGCAAACATACATTTAGACACATCAGTATTTCTCTAAATGACCATATTAAACATATCTATAATAGTACAATAAGTGCTAAAATACCAAGCAGAAGCAAAATGTTGTAGAGTCTAGTGTAGATAGTATCACTATAGACAAAAAGTTATCAAATGCAAAAAGTAAGTTTAGAGATACCTTTCTTGTGCAGGGCATGGAGGACACTAAGAATTCTTTGGCTTAAGGCTCTAATTTAACAAAAAAGTGAAAGGCAGTTAAACTGTTAACATAAGTTGCAGATAAGAAAAATTGATAATTTGAGACTGGGTTGGATAGGCAGATCAAAGTAGAAAGCTGGTAGCAAAGAAGAATTTGTTCCTAAGAGAAACTGTTCTAGGTAAAAAGAAAGGAATAAAGAAAACAAGACGTGCTAAAGATGTTTTAAAACTACTATTAAATAGCCAGAACTATTAGATCAAAGATTCACTAAATATGAAGATGCAAATCCTAAAAATGAAAAGTGACAGGGAGGGAAATGGGATGAGTTAGGCTCTGCAACCACAAAGAAAAAACTCAGTAATTGTTTTAGGTGGAATTATATTGGATTCATTAATTTTAGGGAACACACTGTATTCCCATTTGGAAAAAATGATTTGTACCACATACAGTTTATACTCAAATATTTCCTCGCATGATAAAACCACCTATACACGTGAAGTCACTATGCAATGGGAGGCAACACAGCAGTAGTTAAAATACAGACTCTGGACAGACTACCCTGCGCAAGTTTCATCATTTCTCTGTTCTTCAGTTTCTTCATGTGCCAAATGGAAACAAGCATTTCCTATATCATAAGATTTTTGTGAGGCTTAAATAGTACATGAAAAATATCCAGAATTTTGCCCAGCACAGAATAAGTACAACATATTAGCTGCTGCAGCTGCTGCTGCTGCTCCTCCACCTCCTTTTCCTCCTCCTCCTCTTCGTCGTCCTCCTCCTCGTCCTCCTCCTTCTCCTCCTCCTCTTCCTCCTGCTCCTCCTCCTCCTTCTCTTCCTCCTCCTCCTCCCTTTCCTCCTCCTCCTCCTCCTCCTACTACTACTGCTACTATTACTACTTGGAATAAACTATCAACAAAATTAAAAAAGAGAAAGCTAGAGTACCAAGGCCACTTCCCAGAAGAGAAATGCTTAGAGGCATACCCAATCTTTTATTGACGAAAAGTTACTTTTCATTTCCCTGAAGTCTTAAGTCACTTTGGGGAAGGTGGGGACAGTATGGTAACAATGACTTCTGTTAACAGAATTGAGGAGAGGCCATCACTGCTGGCTGTACTTCCCTGCCTGCTAAAAGGAAGACAGACAACAAAAAGAATAAGAACACTAGCAATTATCTTGGAGATCTACCAGGAAGAGCATTAAGATCTAAATTTTGGCACTTCACTTTTGGACAGCTGGAGCAGAAGTTACTGGGAGGTTGTTCTGCCAGGGAAACCTCCATTAAAAAAAAAAATGCCACAACTAATCTGTCAGACACCACCAGAACAAATTCTACTAACACATAGGGGACACTATAGGGAAATACTACCAACCCCTCTTATGGCATTTTTTTAGATTTGTAGAGCACTCCATATGAAACTAACAAGCTATTTTCCAGAATGTTCTGAAATGTGTTGTTCTCAAAAAAAAAAAAATCAATATAATGCCTCTGAAACAAGTCCAAATAGCAGTAGACCAGATAAAGATCACAATCTTACCAGAGGAGCTTTATCAAGTTATATTTTAAAAGCTAATGTCATTTCACACTGTTAACTAAAATTTAATTAACAACCTGTCTCTGAAGATACTTATCTAAGCTATTCAGGATAAATGAAAACATTTAGACTTACCTATGAAAAATGAACAAGAGAAGCATGCCAAATACCTTAACATAATGTCACCAATCTTAGTATAAACCAAATTTACTCTAAATACATTTTCTATTTGATCAGTCAACAAAAAATTATATATTCTAAAAGTTCTTTAACAAAAGCATTTTAATTGATTTCTCAACATCTATTCATTGCCAATTTAAATAAATCAATCACAATAGTCTTGCCACCAACCCCTTTACCTCTACCCCACCAATGATAATTTCAGGAGTGGTCAGGTGCATGCCAACTTAGGCTACCAGGATCTAAGGAAAGGCTTTCTAGGGGATTTGAAAAAAGAAACTTTCTGGCTCTAAATAGAGACATGTAAAGCCAGTGTCTGTCACCCCCAGAGTCACAAACAAAAAAGCAGAGTTCCAACTTCCACTGACAGTCTTATAACCGCAAGAAATCTAAGCCCTCCAATGACACCATTACTGTGAGTGGCAGAAATGAGAAGCAGAAAGCACCTGGATGTTTGACGACTTCTTGTATGAACTATATCGATGTTTGACGACTTCTTGTATGAACTATATCAAGTTTCTCTAGTTTCTCTATTATTTAAACCAATCTTATGTTTGTACTCCAAAGCATCCTAATTTATACATTTTGTTTTCCAATCTATTACTATTTAAGAATTTCACCCATGATCATTTAATGTTAGCAAAAAAAAAATTATCGTACCTTAAACAAGCTGATAATGCACATATCAGAGCCTCATTAAAACAAATAGGTACTAACAGTTAAATATGAGGATTCCAATAACTTTTAAAATATTTTTCATATATTTTTCTATTTAAGATTTAGCTGTAAAGTAGAACATTGATAAAATATTACAGAAACATAAATCTCTCAATTTGGCAAAAAAATTTACTTTTATAGCCCTCTTATAGTTATTGATTTTATTATTTATAGCTACTAATTTATCATTTGTTATTTATTATAGTTACTGATTATAGTTATTACTTGTTAGATCCTAAAATATTAGCCATATTCATACTATTTAAGTCATAATAAAAGAAGAAAGGTTACTGCTGCTTACATGGCTGAGTTTAGTTTTTTAAAATATCTTTAGAATTTTCTGCCATTTAGCCATATAGAATGGATTATTTGCAACCTACAAAGAAGCCAACATTATTTACTTTAACCATTTATCATATTTACAACTTTACCAGGCTAGATATAAACTGTTAAAATACAAATGAAGATGTTTCTAAAAAGTAGTGATTTAAATAACAACAGCAAAAAGACAAGGTGTAATATTAAAGCAGGGCAGAAGTAGAAGATACAAACTGGAATAACTAGCTCATGAAAAGTGGAAAAGAGCAAAAAGAGGAAGAAGGGAGTAAACCACTCAAAAGCCTTTATAAGAAGACCACAATCTCTCTGACACATGCATAGATTGGGTGTTATATAAGGCAAATTGATCTTTTAACAAGATCACTTTAATACACATTTAAAATTAGAGAATCCATATTTTCCAAGTGAAATTAGCCTGTTGTGTGTGTGTGTGTGTATATATATCTATAAATATATATAAAAATATATATCTATAAATATATATCTATAAATATATATCTATAAATATACATATCTATAAATATATATCTATAAATATATAAATATATATCTATAAATATATATAAATATATATATCTATAAATATATATAAATATATATCTATAAATATATAAATATATATCTATAAATATATATATAAATATATATGTAAATATATATCTATAAATATATATAAATATATATCTATAAATATATATCTATAAATATATGTATCTATAAATATATCTATATATCTATATAGATTTTTTTTTTTTTTTGAGACAGAGTCTCACTTGGTCACCAAGGCTGGAGTGTGGTGGTGCTATCTCGGCGCACTGCAACCTCCACAACCCCAGTTCAACTGATTCTCGTGCCTCAGCCTCCCCAGTAGCTGGGATCACAGGCATAGGCCACCATGCCTGCATAATTTTGGTATTTTTAGTAGAGATGGGGTTTCACCATATTGGTCAGGCTGGTCTCGAACTCCTGGCCTCAGATGATCTGTCCACCTCGGCCTCCAAAAGTGCTGGGATTATAGGCGTGAGCCACCGTGCCACGCCTTTACAAGCAATATCAGATGAGCGTTACTTCACGCACCTTCGGTAATGTTGTGGTAGATATTTTTTAGATTAACTTATATCATAAACCACTATAGAATAGAATTAAATTGGAGCTGAAAACATAATGTATCCATTTGAGTATCCATTCTACCTAATATATCCATTCTTCAAAGAGGACCCGGTTGGGGCTCAAAATAATGCAAATGGACAAACTTTACTACATACAGGACAATAAAAGATAACTTCATCAACTAGAAAAGGCTCCCTACAACCTAGGATCACTCCTTGCCAATAGACAAACCTGACCACAGCTGCAGTTCAGATAGACCAGGAGTACAGTAGTAGGGCTGGTGGAGCCAACAATATGTGACTTCATACTAAAATTAGCCATGCCCATTTCACCACAACTGGGTTGGGCTTCTCTATTTTAAGGTGTGCAGCTCCAAATTACTTAAGAGTAGGTAATTGCTGGATAGTTTCTGAAGCTAAAATTGTCAGCAGACTTTCCTCCAAGGCTTTAGGATGGCCAATCAGTCTCCACGAAACCCCTATGCTTAATCATCATGCTATCCAGGGTCTAAGCACACAGCAAGTAAAGACATATACTTTAAGTATCTAGAAAGACATACCATGCAAGAACACATTAAAAGAAAATAGGCAAGAAAAGAATTCCTTATTCTTGTCTGCTAACCCTGCCGCCTACCACACATATGCACAATACACAATATGACAAAAGTGGAGGGAAATGATGAAAATCATGACATTAAAGTATTATGCTCTCATCTTTTCAGGAAATTGTACGGAACTGACAGCTGAAACCCTTCCAAGTAATTTCACACTATCGTTTACCTCCCTGCAAAAGTGCTGTGCTATTGGAGTAAATCCAACAGAAGGGGCTACTCAGTCTGCATTCTGCGTTCTGGAAACATCAGAAGGGAAGTGGTGTAGTTTCCATTGGTACTAGCAGGAGAATGTGCACTAATGTTTAAAAAAAGACACTAAATTTCCAAACATAAATGAAAGAAAATGAAAAGATTCGCCCTTTCACCAAAACTAATGATAACTTTACCAACGAATGGTGAAGCTGAGTTGTAAGTTATATGGGCTTAACAACACACCTGAAATTCAAGCTGCACTGATAACATTCATGATTTTTACAATCCCAGGGCAAAGACTTAACACCTATTTTATTACCAGCAACTTGAGACACTCAATGCAGAATACACATTTAGTAGTATTATTTTCCTATTACTACCATGTTCCAGCAGTCCACAATATTAACACTTGCTTTGACAGATTCAATCAATTATTTTAAGAATTAACAGAACAGGCCAGGCACAGTGGCTCACGCCTGTAATCCCAACAATTTGGGAGGGCAAGGTGGGTGGATCACTTGAGCCCAGGAGTTCAAGACCAGCCTGGGCAACGTGGTGAACCCTGTCTCCACAAAAAAATATACAAAAATTAGCTGAGCATGGTGGTGTGCATTGGTAGCTCCAGCTACTCGGGAGGCTGAGGTGGGAGGATCACCTGAACCCGGGAAGGAGAGGTTGTGGTGAGCCCTGATCATGCCACTGCACAGCCTGAGGAACAGAATGAGATCTTGTCCCAAAAAAAAGAGACCTTGTCAAATAACAGAACACAGAAGACACATACCTTCATTTTCAGAGGCATGACATTTCACTTTCAACACCAAGTCAAAGGTTCTGTCTGGATTTGCCCTAAAAGGAAAAAGTTTAAATTAATTTCCTATGACAAATAAACATCTCCATGAAACTTGTATTTTCTTAATTCTAAAACTAATCTTGTTTTTGTCTCAATACATTTCACGTGACTGTATTACTACAGTATAGTAGAAATAACAATGAAACTGTTTTCTCAATTGAGCAACTTAAAAGAGCTGAGACTTAGGAATTCTGAAACTTGGGGCAAAGCATTTAAACGCTGAGACTGTTCTCCCTTACCTATGAGGTGCCTTGTCCACTTCACAGAATAATAGTGAGGATTATAAATCAAATAACATATGTGCAAGTACTTCATTAAGTACTAAGTGCTACAAAAATGCAAAGTATTGGTTTTATCTTATTGGATCAAATTTAAAAGCCAGAGTGTCCCTAAGTGTCATTATACCCTGCCAACAGAGTTTGACACAGGTTCTCAGGCTGTCTCCAAAGGACTTGCAATATAAGTGTAAATGATGAATACATGGTTCCACCTGCCAAGTTCTAGATCACCATAAAACATTGATAATGCTCCATGAATGTGATACGTTGCATATACTTTTCTTAAAATGTATTTACTGTACTTATGCATATTTAAAGTAGCAAACTATTCATAGCTCTAAGGCTAGCAACATAAAAAGCCTTCTTTTTATCCATTATCTTTGGAGAAACCAGCCATCTGCTTCCATGTTAGATTTTCCCACTAGAAACTGTAAGTTTACTTTGCTTAATTCAGAAGTTATTGACTTTTTTACTAACTTGCCATATTTGCAAAATTTCAAAGCAACATTGGTTAAATTTCAAAAAGTGAACTGAAATATACTGAGACACTTTTTCTTCATAACATTGCTGTTTAAATCTCTCGTTCCATCATAAGGTAAAAGATTAAGTCTGTTACCACAACGGCCAATGTGTTAATATCTCAGTTATTCCTGCTAACAAGACCTTAGTGCCTTTGTACATTGGCTGTATTTAATATGTACTTCCTTCAAGAAACGAATGCCAGCTCTGACTTTAAAAAAAAGCATTTCTTTTTTTGGAAGCTTTTCTTATAAGATATGAATCTGGAAACATAGGAAGTGACAAGACATATAAATTAACATGCAAATATACATTTTTTTAGCCTTTCCGCTATTAACTTGTTTCAATGGGAATAATCTGGGCTCAGATGACTTCCTCCCTCTTAAAACAATTAATGTCAAGAAGCATACTATTTTTACTCACTTACCCTGCCCACCATGATGTCAAACACACTGAAGAAAATAATTCTATTACATAATTTCCCTCTTTCCCTAATATTCTTTAGAATTTCTCTTAGGTGTAAAAGTTAAATATTGACTCAGTTTTACTTCTGTGAAATTCAAACGGCCTTTCACAATAATACAAATATACATGGCATTATTTTAAACTTTTTGAGAAGGAGATAGTAAAGGGTGGGTAAGCGAAGTAAAAAGGAATTCTTTCCAAAGTTAAGTTTCAGAAGAAAAATATAAAACTCATGCCTCTAAGATACCTAGAAACAAAATCACCACCGTTATTAAAATTGCTTTTTACCTAATCTCCTGAGCAAAGTAGTCGTTGATAAATACTTTAGCACACACATAAAAGTACCCTCTAATTGGATACCGTTTTGCAAGAACCATGCATCTACAGTTGCTGCATAAAGAAACACCAGAGACCAATCTAATTTTATAAGCAGAATCATAAGAAAACATCCAAGACAAAAGTAACAAACGGACTTAAGAAAACACCGGTTATATTTAATGCTCAGAGAGCACTCGGAATAATAACCTCTTAACCTCAACGCTGACTCCCTCCCGGACACCACACGCACACAGGCAGCCCCAGGAGAGTCACATCTGACACACTCGGGGGAAGCACGAGAACCCCTCAGCGGCGGTGTCAGGGGCCGCCCGGCCTCCCCTGTCCCCCGAAAGGCGGGCGTCGACAAGGCGCTAGTGGCCTCTCCGGGAGGAGCCGCGCCAACCACGGAGGGCCGGGGACGCAGGGCGGGCAGGCTTTGCGGCCTAGCGCCGTCCCGCCGGCCGGCCAGAGGCTTGGGGGCCGGACCGCACCCCCAGCCCGCCCGGCCAACCTCGGCCGCCCGGGGAGCCGGTTGAGCGCGGAGGCGCGGAGGAGCCGAGCTGGCCTGGGAGGGGCCGCCGAGGGACGCCCGCCCCCGACGCGCCCGGGCCCCCCCACTCACTTGGTCCTGCAGTCCATGGTTACATGTCGGTGTGGGGCTGTCCGTCCGGCCCCCGCGCGCTGGCCTGGAAGCCCGCAGCCCGGCCGCGCGAGGGTCGCGCCGTCCCCGCCCACGCCGGCGGCCACACAGGGAAAGAGGCTGCTCACAGCAGCCGTGGCGGCGGGCCCATGTCGGCTGCGCCCCCGGCACTTCCCCGCCTCCCACCCCACCCACCAGAGCCTTTCTGTGACAGCAGCGGTGGCGTGGCCGCCGCCCCCGTCTCCGCCGGTAGCCGCCACCAAAGCTGAGGCCTCTCAGTTCCTGCGACCGGGGCCGCCCGCTGCGGCTCCTGCACCTTCTTGCAAATCAGGAAGTCGCCGGGAGGGGGAAGGGGCGCGCGGGGACGCGCCCAGCGGCTTCACCTGGGCCGTGCGGCTCGCAAGTCGGAGACTGTGGAGGAGGCGGGGGCCAGGTCCCCGCGCCCGGGCGGCCAGAGGGTGCAGGGGGAGCGCTAGTGCCTGCTGGGATGGCCCACGTACCGCTTTGCCACCTAGCCAGAAAGGCAAGGTGCCCCCTGTGTCCTCAGCATGAACCAAACCGGCTTCCTTTCTGGGTCCAGTCCAGATTCCAGGGCGTCGGGGCTGCAACCCCACAAAGGGCGAAGTACCTGGAAAAGTACCTCGACCTGCAGTGTTTTCCACACACATACACACGGACTTGGGTTCCTTTCATTTCATACTACAAATTCAGAGCTCAAGTTGATGCCCCTGGCTCTTGCGTCACTCCAGCTGTGGCCTGCTTACAGCTCTCTGAAATCCAGAGCTACCCCCTCCTGATTCAGGAATGTTCAGACATGTGCACCTGCTAAATAGCCCTGTCAAGTAGCCAAATGGTAGTGCCCCACTTGTCTGCGCATGTGGGAGGCAGACATTCCTATACCACAGACTGCAGTGATAACCAAGGACTAACTTTTGAACACATGTACATAGTCGCAGGCCTCATAGTCTGGCAGTTTAGGCGAGTTCAGAGAGGGCACCACTGAATAAGCGTGGGAGGGACTGATTTACACAGCCCTAAAGCACATGTGAAGCAGGTTATGTGCACTCTCACCCAGTACTTGTCATAGGTGTGTGATAGATACTTTCATCAGCATTTTACAGATGAAGAAACCAGGGAGTAATGGCAAAGCTGGAGTTCACACCAGGTCTATCTGATGCTGATTATTTACTTCTACCTCATATTGCCTGTCTCCCTCCTCTGCTGTCTCATATTTAGGATCTACTGAGAAGACAGGTAGAAAAGTCTTATGATGGACATTCAAATGACTGTGGAAGGCCAGGCTCTTACACAGAGATCTTCTGGGAAAGGCCTTCTCCCAGCTAACACTGCCACCCTTGACACATAGCCACAGTGTTTCTTCCAAAAGGTGGTTACTTCAGACTTTATTCATGCAGAAGTTAAGATGATGAGAGGAAACCAAATGTGGTATGAATGTAGTGTGAGTCATAAGACATAAAAGTCAGAAAAGGAGTCTTAAGAATTAAAAAACTCAAGAGTCAGAGAACCTGAAGTTGCACTCAGTTATATAACCTTAAACTTTCTTGCCAAAATTGGGTACTACTTGGTCAACAGGATCAGAAATATTGTATAGCCATGGGCCTGTTAGTAAAAAATGAGGACGGGCCATAACTGGGAAACAAACAAACAAAAAAAAAATGTGTTTATCATAAAGTGTTGTCATAGCTTGACTCGGGGTGAGACACTTCAGTTTCTCGGTTCCTACATTTGTAAAATGGGAATTATTACTTGTACATCACATGAGCAGTGTGATGTTCAAGTAAAACAGGTGCTACAAATTTGTATTATCTTTTGAGAAATTATTCTGTGAATTTCAGTTTCACAATTAGGCAAACTATACTACATAAGTTTTCTTTTCCCAAATAAAGATTTTTCTGCATAAGTGACCATACTCCAAAGCCTTGAAAAAAAAAATTCGTAAGCTAAAAGCCACTTCTGCCCCAACTGTTACTGAATTTCTCAAACTTCTCCTTTCATTATAATTAATTATTTCCAAAGAAAGGAACCCTACTTGGGGTGACCATATTGAGGACTTTTTAATTTGGTGTGAGGAGATAATAATACAATTGTTTTCCTCATCCATTGTTGGGATTTTATTTTAAATGACAGTCATACCCTTGAACAGTATAAAATTGTTCTTCATTCCATTTATGTTAAGTACATCGAGGGAAATACTACACATTCGCATCCCAAAGCAAATCTTTTTAAGTGAGCTTTTAGGCTGACCATAATGAAGAGATTTATCTGTTCTGTTATTACTGAAATAAAAGGGATAGGAACATAGGTGTACATGATCTACATGCATGAGGTGTTAAAAAATTAGAAAACAAATATCATACACTTACCTTGGTAATAGCTTTAATGAAATCGATGGTATAACTTTAGTAATACTCATTTCATATAGAACTTCCCATATGACTGATAGAGAAGTGTACAAAGGGCAAACCTTCAAATTAGTCTTAAATCTTCCCAAGATCATATTTCAGCAATGATATTTCCTACTCGACAATTAATATTAACAGTTTTCAGGACCATACCAGTCAAAGAACATAGTCTGTATTGTTGTCAAAGAACATGGTCTTTATTTATTAATTAATTTCTTATTAATTAATTAATTTAGTTAATTTTTTAAATGTTTCAAGACTTAAATGTTGTATGTGGTTTGTAAAGAATATATATTCTGCAGCTTTGGGGTACAGTGTTCTAAATATATGTCCATGATCAAATACGATGATTGTGTTGTTGACATCTTCTATTACTGAATTTGCATCTGCTTGACATAATTCAATTAATGGGAGAGATGAGTTTAAATATCCCAACATGATGGTAGATTTTTCTATTTCAGCCTATAGTTCTTTCAGGTTCTACCTTACACAGTTTGGGGCTGTGTAATAATATACACATCAGTTTATAATTTCTATATCTACCTAATAAATACAACCATTCATCATTATGTTGTTACTTTCTTTACCTCCAATCGTACTTTTGCCTTAGATTCTAAACAGTTTTCTTCTGAATAGTATTTGTCTGATGTTAGGATATCTCTTTTCATCCTTTTACATTCAAACTTTCTAAACCATCATGTTTCAAATTTATCTAAAATTTTTAGTCTTGATTTTTAATCTAGTCTGATCATCTTTAGCTCTTACATCAAACCCCTAGACAATTTGCATGTATTAAAACTGTTGATAAATTTAGGCTGGGCGCAGTGGCTCATGCCTGTCATCCCATCACTTTGGGAGGCTAAGGCGGGTAGATTAGTTGAGGCCAGGAGTTCAAGACCAGCCTGGCCAACTTGGTGAAACCCTGTCTGCTAAAAATACAAAAATTAGCTGGGTGTGGTGGGTGGTGCAAGCCTGTAGTCCCAGATAATAAGGAGGCTGAGGCTTCAGAATCACTTGAACCTGGGAGGCAGAGGTTGCAGTGAGCCAAGATCATGCCGCTGCATTGCAGCCTGGTTGACAGAGTGAGACACTGTCTAAAAAAAATTAAAAAAAAAAAAGAGAGAAAAATGCTGATAAATTTAAATCTATTTCTGCCATCTAATTTTGTACTTCCCGTTTGTTTCTTCTGATCTGTTTTTTTCTTTCACTTTTGCATTCTTTAGGATTACTATTTATGCTTTCATTTCTGCCCCCACCTCTTCTAGTTTGGAAGTTATTTACTCTGTTTCTATTCATTTAGGAGTTATCCTAGAAATTTTAATAGGTACATTTTAACTGATTAAAGCCAGAGTTCACAAGGATATCCACCCTCTCTCAAACAATACAAGAACCTCTAAAACCCCCTCAAAACTAAAATCCCCCCAAAAATGCATTATGAATGTTGTTTTATACAGTCCATGTTTGTTTAGATTTACTCAGAACTTTACCATTCTTTTGTATTTTCATTTTAGATCTTCTGTGTAGGATCACTTTCCTTCTGCCTAAAATTCTTTCCCTTTTTGTTTGAGTTGGAATGTATTTATTTATCCCTCACTCTTGAAAAATATTTTCACTGATGAAGAATTCAAAGTTTACTATTATTTCTTTCTGCATGTTATCAATATCATTACACTGTCTTCTAAGTTCCCTAATAACAATTGGAACTTTGAAAGTAATCTTAAAATGTCATCTGTTTTTTCTCTCTGACTGCATTTATGATGTTTCATTTTTGTCTTTAGTTTTCTATAGTTTCACTGTGAAGTATCTAGGTGTAGATTTTTATTCATCCATGTTTCTTGGTTTCTTTAATTTTCTTGACTCTGGATTGGTGACTTTCATCAGTTCTGGAAAATTCTGGACTCCTTTCTTTCCATTCCTTCTGGGACTCTGATAACACATGTGTTATTCTACCCTCCATGTTTGTCAAACATCTCTTTTATAGTATGTCTCTCTTTATCTGTCTACGCTGTATTCTGGAAAATTTCAAAAATATTCTGTTCACTAATTCTTTCTTCAGCTTTGTCTCATTTTCTGTCAAAGTCACCCATTTAGTTTTTAATTTATATTATTTTTATTTCTAAAGTTCTGTTTGGTTATTTTCCAAATCTGTATTCTCTTAACTCATATTTTCAGCATCTCTTTAATTTATTAAAAATATTTAATATATATACTTTAAATTCTATTTCTAAAAATTCCAATATCTGAAGCATTTGTGGGTCTGCTTCTACTAACTGATCTTTTTTCTACTTGTTCATACTTATGGTCTCTTGATTTCTTCTATGTATGTGATTTCTTTTTATGTTATGTGATCCTTAGAACTTTATATATAGAAATTGAGTGACAGCTGAAATGAAAATGAGTTCTCTGGAGAAGATATTAATTTACTGCTGGTAGATGCTTGGGATCACTAGCAATTCAGAAACATAAACACTAAATTCTCAGCTTGAAATTCTTCAGACCATTCATGTGAGACCTGGTTTGTAGCTATGAATCCTCTGGGAAGCTTTTTTCCCCTTAACTATGCTCCATTGTTTGAGACAATTGTCCTTGAATACCTTTGGGGTGTATCAGCTTTATGAAGAGTATCCTGTTGGATTTCCCACATTAGGAAGGGTCTGAAGACCCATAAGACCATGATAACAGTTCATGGTCTTCCAGTTCATCCAGCTTAGGAAAAACCCTAAAGATGAAGATGAAAGGTGGCTTTTCTTTTTTTTTTTTTTTTTGAGATGGAGTCTCGCTCTGTCGCCAGGCTGGAGTGCAGTGGCGTGATCTTGGCTCACTGCAACCTCCACCTCCTGGGTTCAAGCAATTCTCCTGCCTCAGCCTCCCGAGTAGCTGGAACTACAGGCACCTGCCATCACGCCTAGCTAATTTTTGTATTTTTAGTAGAGGCAGGGTTTCACCATGTTGGTCAGGACGGTCTCCATCTCTTGACCTCGTGATCCACCCACCTCGGCCTCCCAAAGTGCTGGGATTACAGAGAGAGGTGGCTCTTGTAGCTACTTTTATTTGTCCCCCATCCTCCACCCCTAAGTATTCTCACTTGATTGCCTGCTCTTCAATGCATTGCAAGCTTTTAAAAATACTTAATTCTGAATTTTTAGTTGATTTTCATGCAAGTTTTGATCAGACTATAATGGATAATTACTTGGTTCTGACTATAGTGTCATGTAAAATGGACTAATTGCAACTTTTTAATCCACCTAATAAGGTCCACTTTCCTCAAACCAGGTCCAAAAAGTCCCCAACTTATATATCCCTATATATTAATGGTGTAGAGAAACCCAAGTTCAGGGCTTTTAGTGAGCCAACTGCCCTGATTTCCAGTGTACTATGACAATTAGAAAGGTAACTCCTGGCTTCCCAACCCCAACCACTTATTCATTGAATCCTTGTAGTAATATGCCTTAAACAAAAGTGAAGAGTTACTGATACCCAGGACTACTAAAGTTGACAGCTCCTTTCCCTTCTGAATGCGAAATAATAAACACTATTGTAAACTCTAGAATGGTATTTTTAAAAATAATAATACTATTAATAATGCTTCAGGTTCAGTATAAATTAACTCGACTAGACTCATAAGCCTCACCAATGTATATGAAGATTTTGAGTTCCAAACAATTAACTTAGAAATGAATTTTTTGAGGCAAGCATCTCATGAGTTGTAGCTAACATGTATCCAAGTCAGGCATTTCCTAGACTAACTCTGCACAACCTCTTATTACTATTCTTAGGTGAAATTTATTAATAGTATTACCACCTTCATTTATTATAGAAGAAAAGTTATAAAGTATTTAACAAACTGAATTTATTGAAGCTCTTAGGAAACTATCTTTAAATTATTTTATCAGGACCTGCCTTTTAATATTGACTGAGATAGTGTTGTTAAGGAAAACATCCTCCTGGCATGTTGTCCTTTTTATACTTAGCAGCAATATCATGAATTTCAATCTGAAGGTAAAATCTCCCTCAACAAGACATGTGAAATACTTTTAAAATAAAGAGAAGATGGAGGTGGGGATTCGGGATCAATATCTTCCCTGAAAGTTTGCCTTTCTGAGTTGTTTCACACCTCAAAGCTCATAGAGTTAGCATTCTATGTTGATTTAAAATCCAGTTTAATAAAAATGTTGTCTTCCAGTTTGTGGACAAAAGAACTCAGATAAATTTTGACACCTTTACTACCAAATCTGAACATATCCAAATATTTCTAAAATTCAATGGGTCGATGATGATATTTGTATATCTTGCTGTTAAACTTTTAGTAAGAAAATACAGTAAAATTCTCAAAAATAATACAGCACAGCAAAAGATCTTCTTCTGCCTTTTTCAGGTGATTTGCCAAAAATTGTAAATAAATTTTCTTACCTCTGACCAGTTTCTGCTTGTTCTCCCTTATCTTTGTTCCTCAATCTGCCAGACATTGTAGAACTTAAAACAGTCCTTGGAGTTCAGAACAAAGAATAATTGAAGCAGAGTGTCACCAACAGATGGTAATCAGTGGAGTCAAATTTTCTTCAGAGATTCTTTGAGGATTCTCCTTTGGACTTCAAGAAAGAGTGCTGTGTTTGTGTAACCATGTGGCATTGCATGGGAAATAATTTCCCAACCCCACCTACAAGATACTCCACGTAAATACAGTCTTCCTTGTATGGCAGCTCTGCTCACACCCATTTAACACTCTCAGGAGAATGAGTAATCACATCCAATGAGCAATGTCATTAGAATTTTCTGGAAGGAAACATAAATGATCATCTAACATGATGATAATAGTTCAACAAAATCAGCAGCCCCATAAGCAACCCTAATCCTAACGTAAATAGAGAGATTATCAAAACAAATTGCTGTGTGCCAAGTTTTGCTTTCCTAAAATATGAGAAAATAACTAGCCAAACATTACATGCATTTGTATATGATCAATTCTAGAAGGGGAAAAGTGCAACATTCCAGCAAATAGAACTCAGTCAAATACCAGGTCAAATGGTATAATTCCACAGCACAAGTTCATATGAAACAGAGACTTGTAACTCCAAAACAGATGACAAACTCTCCCCATCTCTTACTATTGCAAATTATAACAAGATAAAAATGAACAAGGACTGAGAGTTCTTCTGGGCTTCAAAAGTATGGACATCATCTTTCTCTCTGCTGTTGTTTCTGATGTCACAGACCCAAGTCTTAGGCAAGTAAGACTTGCCAAAAAATGGTCTGGTAAGACCATTTTTGCTTGTAATCTTCTCTGGGAAAGAAGGAACAGAAAGAAGGATCTGTGAAACTGATCAACGTCTTCTTAGTTTGGTGAGAACTTATATGTTTCCTTTGTAAAAAGGATGCAGTCTCACCTGACTTTCTTCATTCACGGTGCATAATTCCAGAAGTTTCTTCCCTTCTTCTCGAGACTGCCAATCAGGACAGCTGGGCTTGGCTGGAATGGAAAGGAGGAATTTGGACCCATGATCCTGTCCATTTGCCTGACTGTATGCAAGTGACTTAATAAAATTACTGCATCAGTGTGTAGTGACTTCTTTCTGCCTGCTGCACAGCTGTTTCCTGGGCCTTCCCTTCACTTCCCTCTTGGACTGAGTTGTGGATCAGGAACATATGACATTAGTATGTATACTGTGCATAGTAATTATACTGTGTTCTCCCTATGGTTACTTAATAAAACTACCAAATAGGTGCTGCTAATTCAGATTCTGTGATGATGTAGGTACAGCCATTGATTACTACACAACCCATTTATATGCCTATCTGATTTTTGACACAAACATGTTGTACTTCCTCTTTAAATAAGCAGGCATTAATTATTACATAATGTATGCAGGAATTCATGAGGATAGGCTTAATATTAGAATTAGTAGGAAGGTTTTAAATCAAGTGGCCTACTATTGAGCTAGAAACAACTCACTCCAGCAAACCAGCTGGCTTAACTACTCCCAGTTTGTGAAAGAAAAAAAAACTTTAACATTTGAGTCACTGTATCATTTCATGCACAAAGACTTCATGGACATACCAGAAAGACAAGCTTTACCACATTTGCATTTATTCTTTTTTATAGTTGTTGTGATTTTGCCAAGTGCTTTATGACCATTTTTTATTAGCTAGGCCTCTCAATAGTTCTGTGAGGTATAGATTAGGAGGTAAAACAGGTACTATAAATGATGAAGCAGGAAGCTAACTCTACAGGGACATTTTATTCCAAGAACGCCTGTGTGGAAGAATGCACTTTCCCATGTCTGCCAGAGGCACCAGGAAATAAAAGTCAGTCTGCATACTACTGAGTCATTTACAAAAGCCATTTTCTTCATAAAGCACATATGCATCTCTCCTCACTCACTCACTCTTGCTTTCTCTCTCTCAAATCAAAAGCGAGCAAAGCTCAAGTGAGTCTATATTTCAATTCAGAAACATTTATTATCATATGTCATCTCCCTTGTTAATATCGTATTTTTTTAAAATCCTCAGTCAAGGTGATACCTTGTTGATATCTTTAAATATGAATTATAAGCCACACTAAACACTTCTGTAATCATACCTTTCTTTAACAGTTTTTTGTACAAGTTGGAGGATTAAAAAAGGCATTTATGGGCTGGGCATGGTGGCTCATGCCTGTAATCCCAACAGTTTGGGAGGCTGAGGTGGGCAGATCACTTGAGGTCAGGAGTTCTAGACCAGCCTGGCCAACATAGTGAAATCCTATCTCTAGTAAAAATATAAAACTTAGCCGGGCACGGTGGCATGGGCCTGTTGTCCCAGCTACTCTGGAGGCTGAGGCAGGAGAATCGCTTGAACCTGGGAGGTGCAGGCTGCAGGAAGAAATCATGCCACTGTGCTCCAGCCTGGGAGCAGAGCAAGACTCTGTCTCAACAACAACAAAAAAGGCATTTATGTAAGAAACTGAAAGAGATATTTGGGTTTTTTTTATTACTTGCTATTACTGTCTCATTTTACAGATAATGAAAGCTAATGTTGAAAGAACGTTTCTAATGAAATTAGTCTATAGACAAACTCCATCTTTTAGAGAAACTCTTTGTCCAAAAACTGGATTTCATGGTTCTTAAAGATGAAAATAGAAAACTAAAACTAAAGAATAATTCTCTATGGACATTTATACAAATTGAAAATAAATCTGTCATGATTCTGTTAATGAACCCATTGACTATTTTTCATTTTATATTCATTTTATTGTGTATTTGTGGTATGATACTTCACTTAACATACAGTTTTTAACCCTTATGTAAAAAATATATGTGAAATAGTTTTGTTCTTTAATGGAGCATGGGGGCCTAAAGGGAAAAAATGCCAATGAAGATAAGCCATGTACATAGTCAAGATGTACATTATTGAAATGGATTCTAGAACCAGCTGCTAGGGTGGAATTGATTTGGCATTATTTTATGATGGGCTCAATCACTTGCCCTGAATCAGTGTTCAAATCTCATCTTTTTTGGTTTGCCCATTGTGTTTTCTACTTCTTCTCCAAGTTGCCTCCTCTGGTTCTAGGCTATGCTATGTAGTTGCCCTTGACTTATCCAGATCTTGCCCTATTCCTTTGAATGAACAAAGCCTTCAAAGATAGCTTCCTTTTGTTTTCAGCTATCTTGCGTATTTTTCTGCATGCCTTCACCTCTCCCAGATGACCATATGTGTCTTGGCTCCCAAAGCCAAGGAGTAGTTGATACATATTCTTTACATGGTTATAAAACTAATAATATTCTTTGCTAAAGTTTGGCTTCTTTGCCTAAACTAGTATTATTTTCATCACTAGAGACCATATAGTTTCTGCCCTCATGGAGATTATAGTCTAGTTAATAAAGACCAAATATAGGCCGGGCAGGCAGATCACGAGGTCAGGAGATCAAGACCATCCTGGCTAACATGGTGAAACCCCGTCTCTACTAAAAATACAAAAAATTAGCCAGGTGTGGTTGCAGGCACCTGTAGTCCCAGCTACTCGGGAGGCTGAGGCAGGAGAATGGCCTGAACCCCAGAGGCGGAGCTTGCAGTGAGCCGAGATCGTGCCACTGCACTCCAGCCTGGGTGACAGAGTGAGACTCCATCTCAAAAAAAAAAACTATATATATATACACACACACACACATATACATATATATAAGCATGTAAATATATAAATAATAAAATTTCTGATGGTAATGAGTGCTAAAACAAAAAGAAACAGAATAATGAGATAGAGCGATGGGCAGAAGACTATTTTGGCTAGGATAGACAAAGCAGGCCTCTCTAAGATGAAGATATTTGAACTGCATCTGGAATGATGAGAAGACAGCAGTTGTCTAAGGATTCAGCGAATAAGCCTTCCTGGCAAAGAGAACAGGTTAATCTAAGTCCCTGAGGCTGAAACAAGCTTGGTACATTTAAGGAAAGCTAGGGCGACAGGCAAGGGTAGTGGGAGATAAGGCCAGAGAGGTAGGCAGAGGCTAGATTGTGAAGAGTTTTTGCAAGCCATGGTAAAGACTCTATTTTGTTCTACTTGCTATAGGGAGCTACTAGAAGGAAAAAATCATGGGGCAAAGTCAGGGTTTAAGGAAGGCTATGAGGGTGCTGCTGTGTAATTCAGGAGAAATAATAATATTCTGGATTATACTTGCAGTGCAAATGATAAGAAGTAGACAGATTTCAAATACACATAGCAATCTACCCATCGGAATTACCAATGGATTGGATGTGGATAGAAGAAGGTGACTATTAGCTTTTGGGCCATTTGATAAGGAATAGAGGTATGGATAGATGTGTGGGTATGGGGTGAGAAAGGAACCAAAAGTTCTACTTTAAGCATTAAAATGTTGAGATGTCTATTAGACACCACAGTAAAGATGTGTCATAGACAGCCTCAGGGACTTGGATTAACCTGTTCCCTTTGCCAGGAAGCCTTATTCTCTGTCTTTAAGCATTAAAAGGTTGAGATGCCATTAGACACCAAAGTAAAGATGTGTCCTAGACAGTTGTCACTCAAGGAAATCACCCTGCATATTCCATCCTATGAACCTCAGCTAATAGCATTATAATTTCCAGGCATTGTAGGAAGACAACTGAAGTTTTTGAGGCATGCTTTTGGCTTACTGGTACACTAAGAGCCCATTGCTTGGTAAGGCTTTCCAGACTCAGGTTATCAGAAAGACAGATGAAATTTTCAGACTTTATCCTCTTCCCTGGGCTTTCTTTAATGATTGATTGCCCCCAGGAGACCCTTTGCAAAAGTGAAAGATAGAGCCCCATTATTTTGGTAATATGTACCAAAAAGCTTAAAACACATAGCAATAACAGCAACCATAAATTCCACCAAAAGAAGAGGACAGTAGTGTCCTTGCACTCACCATGGAGGCATTAAGATGCTCTCTGATTGTCTCACATTCTATGACACTAATTCAGGGGTACTGTGGGGGTTATGGGAGTGGGTGGGTGCTTGGCATCTTAATAAAGCTTGGATAGGATCTATAGAATCACTAAAATTAATTGTAAGAGCACCCCAACATGTCCTGAAATCAGGCCTTAAGTCCTGTAAACATAAGGGCAGAAGTCCCCCCAGCCAGACACACACACTGCAATGGGCACCTCTGGTTATAAACAGTTCCTATAAGAAGCACAGAGTAGATTAGCCATTGTTGACTCACTCTGCCCTGGGCTGTCCAGTCAGATTCAGGCATGTGCTAATTAGTATGACAGGACAGAAGCTTCTTGAGCTGAGATCTTCCGTTTAGACCCTCCATTTAGTTTGCTTGGCAAGCACAGAATCAAGTTCAAGTGGTAAGTTTAAAAACACGATATTAAATGCTACCAAATACTAAGGCCAGCATAGGTGAAACTCGAATCATCATAACAGAAGGTAGAAATATTCCTATGGAAACTTTACTGTGTCCCTACTCCCATCTTTTAACAAAGAAGTCTAAAAAACAAAAAAAAGTGAAATAATAATGAAATGTCAAAAAGTCTCTAATAATTAAACTATTCCTATGTGTTACCTCACTACTTTATGCTACAATGCCCCTAGAAACCCCTCACAGCAAAGGCCCTCAAATTGGAGACTGGTTAGGAGCCTAGGACTGTGGATAGTGGCCTCATGCCTGAAGCCATGGGGGCCGACCTGGAGCCTGGGGCTATGGGGCCAGCCTGGAGTCTGGGTGTTTGGGTGCTGGCCTGGAGGTTAGGTGCAAGATCTGGCCTGGATACTGGGGCAATGGGAGCTGGCCTGGACTTGGATCCACTGGGGCAGTCCTGGATCCTGAGTCTGTGGGGCTAGCCCAGTACTAGGGTATACTGGGAGAGCCTGGACCATTGGTATGCTGTAGTATAGGGATGTAGAGCCCAGCTTGGAAGATGGGGCTGCAGGGACTGGCCTGGTATTGGGCAAGCCTGGATCCTGTATCAGTGGGTGCTGGCCTTGGGCCTGAGGCCAGAGGACTTGCCTAAAGCCTGGGGCTGTGTGGGCCGACCTGGCTCTGGGCTGGTCTGGAACCTGGGGCACGCATGAAACCTGGCGCTCCAGGGACTGGCCTGGCCTGCATGGGCCTGGAGTCTGACTGGAGGCCAAACTAGAGGCTGGGAGATTATATCTGCAGGGAAGTTCTGAGGCTGGAGTCTGCAGAAGCTGGCCTGGAGCTGCGGTGGGTGGGCCTGGAGCCTGGGGCCTGGGGCAACAGAGGCTGTACTGTTGGAACCTAGGGCTGTCTTGGAACCTGGGACAGTGGAGGCCAGCCTGGTGCTGGAGTGGGCCTGGAGCCCAGGTCTGCAGGTGCCAGGCTGGTGGCTTGGTCTAGCCTCGTGCTGGGGTTCACTGAGATGGGCCTGATGCTGGGGTGTGCAGCAAAGTTGGGTGCTCACTTCATTCTCCTTCCCTCATGCGAAGGGTATCTCTCTCTGAGCTGCTCTATCTGAGCTTGGGGAAGGGTGTAATATGAAACTGTCCTTCCTACCCTCTTCAATGCATCTTATTTCCATGCTTCACCCAGGTGGCATAATCTCTCACCTTAGTTCTTGTGAAGGTATTTTCTTGCATGGATGGTTGTTCAAATTGATATTCCTGTGAGGGGATAAGCCCTGGAAAGTCCTATTCTATCATCTTGCTGATGCCATTCTCTATTATATTCTTTATCTGCAAACTTTCTGGCTACTCTGTGAAATTAGGGAGACCAGTAATTGGAGGATAAAAGGGCCAGATCGCTATATATTTAGATTCTAGAGTGATTAAAGTTTGGGGACACAATAGATGTAAACTCACAAACCCAGGCTCAACACCTGCCCCAGCAGCAGGCCAGCCCCAAGCTCCACACTGGTCCTTGTGGTACTAGGTTCCAGTAGACTCACGGTCCAGGCCTGCTCCAGGAGACTCAGGATCCAGGCCCACCACCATAGTATACCCTGGTGCTAGACCAGTCCCTGTAAACTGAGACTCCAGGACCACCCCTGCAGATCTATTTTCCAAGCCAGCCCCTATGGACCTAAGACCCAGGCCTTCCCTCACAAATTTAATCTCCAGGCATGCCTTAGCACCAGATAGGCTCCTGTGGACTCAGGCTGCAGGACCATCCCAGTGGACCCAGATGCCAGGCCAATCCCAGTACCTGAATGACCCCTGTGGACTCAGGCTCAAGGCTCACCCCAGCACCAGGTTAGCTCCTGTAGACCCAGGCTTCAGGCTAGGTCACACAGACATGGGTTCCCAGCCTGCACTCACAGACCTAGACTCTAGGTGCACTCCCATGGACTCAATCAACAGGTTCCACCCCAGTGAATTCAAGTGCTAGGCCCAACTCCATGGACCTGGTGCCAGGCCCACCTACCTGCTAACCCAGGCACTAGACCATTGTGCCTAAGAATGAACAGTAAGCCTATCCACAAACCATACCAGACAGCTTGCCAAGAATTTCTGCATAGGCTGACTGGTGAAGGGCTTTTCCCAAACCAAGTCAGTATGCAAAGACTGGAATAAATCTCTACTTCAAATGTGCAGACACTAACAGCCACAGAGATCAAGCACAATCAAGGAAATAGGACACCACCAAAGGAACAAATTAAAGCACGAGTAACCAATCCTAAAGAAATGAAAATTTATGAACTCTCTGACAAAGAATTCAAATTAATTGCTTTAAGGAAGCTCAGCAACTTTTAAGTTGTATAGCATGGTGCTTTATTATACATATACATTGTAAAATAGTCACAAAAATCACACTAAATAACATATCCATCAGTTCAAACATTTGGTTTTGTTTGTGTGTGTGTGATATATATACTTGAGATCTCTTCTCTTAGCAAATGTAAAGTATACATCACAGTATTATTAACTATAATCACCATGATATACATTAAATCCCTGGAATTCATTCATCTTATGATTGAAAGTTTGTGCTCTTGAAGCAACATTTCTCCATTTCTCCCACACTTCAAACTTTGGTAACAATCCTTTTACTCTCTGTTTATATGAGTTCAAATTTTTTAGATTCCACATATATGTGGGATCAAGCAATGTATGTTTTTCTGTGTCTAGTTTATTTCCTTTAACATAATATGCTCCAGGTTCATTCATGTTATTTCAAATGGCAGAAATTCCTTAAAGCTAAATAATATCTCATTGTATATAAATACATGACTTTTTTTTTTTTTTTTTTTTTTTTTTGAGACAGAGTCTGGCTCTGTTGCCCAGGCTGGAATGCAGTGTCATGATCTTGGCTCACTGCAACCTCTCCCTCCCAGGAACAAGTGATCCTCCCATGTCAATCTTCTGAGTAACTATGACTACAGGCACGCACCTGGCTGATTTTTGTTTGTTTGTTTATTTGTTTTGTAGAGACGGGGTTTCACCATGTTGCACAGGCTGGTCTTGAACTCCTGAGCTCAAGTGATCTGCCCACCTCAGCCTCCCACAACGCTGGGATTACAGGCATGAGCCACCGCACCCAGCTGACATTTCTTTTTGTCCATTCATCCACTGATGGACACATAGATTGATTCTGTATCTTGGCTATTGTGAACAGTGCTGGAATGAACATAGAAGTGCAGACATCTCTTTGACACAATGATTTCATTTTCTTTGAATATATACCCAGTGGTGGAATTGTCAAATCATATGGTAGTTCTGATTTTTATTTTTTTTATTTAGTGTTTTTTTTTTTTTTTTTTTTTTTGAGACGAAGTCTCACTCTGTCGCCCAAGCTGGAGTGCAGTGGCATGATCTCAGCTCACTGCAACCTCCACCTCCTGGGTTCACGCCATTCTTCTGCCTCAGCCTCCCAAGTAGGTGGGACTACAGGTGCCTGCCACCACGCCTGGCTAATTTTTTGTATTTTTAGTAGAGACAGGGTTTCACCATGTTCACCATGTTAGCCAGGATGGTCTTGATCTCCTGATCTTGTGATCTGCCCACCTCGGCCTCCCAAAGTGCTGGGATTACAGGCGTGAGCCACCATGTCTGGCCGATTTTTATTTTTTGAGGAAACTTCACACTGTTTTTCATAATGGCTATTCCAATGTAAAATCTCCCCTCCCCCAATAGTGTACAAGGGTTCCCTTCTCTCCACATTTTCACCAATACTTGTAATCTTCTGTCTTTTTGATAACAGCCATCCTAACAGGTGTGAGATGACACCTCATATTGGTTTTGATTTGTATTTCCCTATTGATTAGTGACGTTGAGCCCTTTCTCATACACTTTTTGGTCATTTATAAAAGTGTAGTTTTGCATGCAATAGAAATTATGTTCTTATCAGCTTAAAATATACTTTTTTAAACTATGAGATATTTATGTACTCCTCATGGTAACCACAAAGAAAAAAGCTGTAGTAGATACACAAAAGACATATATAAAGGAATCAAAGCATACCAAATCATTAAATGGCAAAGGAAGACAGTAAGAGGAGGAAAAGAACAACAAAGCAATACAAAAGCAACTAACAAAAATGCCAATAGCAAATTCTTACCTATCAATAATTATTTTAAATATAAGTGAATTAAATTATCTAATCAAAGATATACAATTGCTGAATGGATTTTTAAAAACTATATCTGACCATATGCTGCCTATAAAAGACTCACTTAAGCTTTAAGGACACATACACATTGAAAGTGATGGAATGGAAGAGAATACTTTAAGCAAATGATAACCAAAAGAGAGCATGAGTGTCTATAAATATACCTGACAATATAGACTTTGGCCAGGCACAGTGGCTCATGCCTGCAATGCCAGCTACTCGGGAGGCTGAGGCAGGAGAATTGCTTGAACCTGGGAGGCGGAGGTTGCAGTGAGCTGAGACTGCACCATTGCACTCCAGTCTAGGCAACAAGAGCGAAACTCTGTCTCAAAAAAAAAAAAAAAAACTTTAAGCAGAAAACTGTAATGAGACACAGAGAGGGTCATTATATAATGATAAAGGAATCAATCCATTAAGAGAACATAACAATTGTAAATACATATGTACCCAATATCAGAACACCTATATATATATAGTAATTAACAGAACTAAAGGGAGAAACGAAGAGCAATATAGTTGTAGTGAAGGATTTCAATATCTCACTTTCAACAATGGATAGAACATCCATACCAAAAAATAAAAATAAAAAATCAATAAGGAAAGAGTGGATGTGAACAACACTGTATACCAAATAGACCTAACAGATACATATAGAATATTCTATTCAACAGTAGCAGAATACACATTCATTTCAAGTGCACATGAAATATTCTGTAGCATAAATCATATGATAGGTTACAAAACAAGTTTCAGCAAATTTGAGAAGATTGAAATCATATCAAATATCTTTTCTGACCACAATGATATAAAACTAGAAATCAATAGCATAGAAAATTGGAAAATTTACAAATATGTGGCCATTAATACATGTCTGAAAAGTCAAAGAGGAAATGAAAATAAATTTTAATTGTATTTATTTATTTATTCATTTATTATTTTAACTTTTATTTTAGGTTTAGGGGTACATGTGCAGGTTTGTCGTATAGGTAAATTGCATGTTACAGGGATGTGGGATACAAATTATTTCACTACCCAGGTAATAAACATAGTACCCAATAGGTGTTTTTCCTGATCTTCCCTGTCCTCCAATCCTCTGCCCTCAAGTAGTCCCCAATGTCTGTTGTTCCCCTCTTAGTGTCCATGTGTTCTTGTTGTATTGCTCCCACTTACAAGTAAGAGGATGCAGTATTTGGTTTTCTGTTCCTATGTTAGTTTTCCCAGGATAATGGCCTCCAGCTCCATCCATGTTGCTTCAAAGGACATTATCTCATTCTTTCTTATGACTGTGTAGTATTCCATGGTGTATTTGTAACACATTTTCTTTACACAATCTACTGTTGATGGTTATTTAGGTTGATTCCACGTATTCACTGTTGTGAATAGTGCTGCAATCAACTTATGCATGCATGTATTTTATAGTAGAACAATTCATATTATTTTGGGTATATACCCGGTAGTGGAATTGCCGGATAGAATGGTAATTCTAAGTTTTTTGAGGATTTGCAACTGTTGTTCACAATGGCTGAACTAATTTACACTCCCACCACCAGTTGATAAGCATTCCCTTTTCTCTGCAATCATGCCAGCATCTATAATTTTTCTTTTACTTTTTAATAATAGTCATTCTGACTGGTGTGAGATGATATCTCATTGTGGTTTTGATTTGTACTTCTCTAATAATTAGTAATGTTGAGCATTTTTTCATATGCTTCTTGGCCACATATATGGTTTCTTCTGAAAAGTGTCTGTTGGCCAAGCACAGTGGCTTTTACCTATAATCCCAGCATTTTGCGGGACTGAGACAGGTGGATCGTTTGACCTCAGAAGTTTGAGATGAGCCTGGGCAACATGGCAAAACTCCATCTCCACCAAAATTACAAAAATTAGCTTGGTGTGTTGGTATGTGCCTGTGATCCCAGCTACTCTGGAGGCTGAGATGGGAGGATGGCTTTAGCCCAGGAGATGGAGATTTCAGTGAGCCAAGATTGCACCACTGCACTCCAGACTGGGCAACAGAGCAAGAGCTTGTCTCAAAAAAAAAAAAAAAAAAAAGAGAGAGAGAGAGAGAGACAGAGACAGAGGCAGAGAAAGAGACAGAGACAGAGGAAAGTGTCTGTTCATGTTCTTTACTCACTTTTAGTGAGTTTTTTTTTTTTTTTTTTTTTTTTTGCTTGTAATGTTTAAGTTCCTTATAGATTCTGGATATTAGACCTTTGCTGGATGCATAGTTGGCAAATACTTTCTCCCATTCTGTAGGTTGTCTATTTACTCTGTTGATAGTTTCTTCTGCTGTGCAGAAGCTCTTTAGTTTAATTAGATCCCATTTGTCAATTTTCTGTTTGTTGCAATTGCTTTTAGCATCTTCATCATGAAATCTTTCCCTGTACCTATGTCCAGAATGGTATTTCCTAGGTTATCTTCCAGGGTTTTTATAGTTTTACATTTTATATTTAAGTATTTAACCCATCTTTTTTTTTTTTTTTTTTTTGAGACAGAGACTCGCACTATTGCCCTGGCTGGAGTGCAATGGCACAATCTCAGCTCACTGCAACCTCCGCCTCTGGGGTGCAAGCAATTCTCCTGCCTCAGCCTCCAGAGTAGCTGGGATTACAGGTGCCTGCCACCACACCTGGCTAATTTTTTGTATTTTTAGTAGAGACAGGGTTTCACTATGTTGCCAGGCTGGTCTCAAACTCCTGATCTCGTGATCCGCCCGCCTCGGCCTCCCAAAGTGCCGGGATTACAGGTGTAAGCCACTGTGCCCGGCGTAATCCATCTTAAGTTGATTTTTGTATACGGTGTAAGGAAGGGGTCCAGTCTTGATCTTCTGCATATGGCTAGCCAGTTATCCCAGCACCAATTATTTAATAGGGAGTCCTTTTCCATTGCTTGTTTTTGTCAGCTTTGTTGAAGATCACGTGTTTGTTGGTATGCAGCCTTATTTCTGGGCCCTCTATTCTGTTCCATTGGCCCATGTGTCTGTTTTTGTAGCAGTACCATGCTGTTTTGGTTACTATAGCCCTGTAGTATAAATTTGAAGTCAGGTAGCATGATGCCTTCAGCTTTATTCTTTTTGCTTAGGATTGCCTTGGCTATTTGAGCTCTTTTTGCATTCCATATGAATTTTACAGTTGTTTTCTTCTAATTCTGTGAAGAATGTAATTGATAGGAATAGTACTAAATCTGTAAATTGCTTTGGACAGTATGGCCATTTTAATGATATTGATTTTTCCTATCCATGAGCATAAAATGTTTTTCTATTTGTTTGTGTCATTGCTAATTTTTTTAGCAGTGTTTTGTAATTCTCATTCTCATTTTGTCACCTCATTCTCAGGTGACAGTAAAAATTTGTCACCTCCCTGTTAGCTGTATTTCTAGTTTTTTTATTCTTTTTGTGGCAGCTGTAAATTGAATTGCATTCCTGATTTGGTCCTCAGCTTGGATGTTATTAGTGTATAAAAATGGTACTAATTTTTGTACATTGATTTTGTACCCTGAAACATTGCTGAAGTTGTTTATTGCTCAAGGAAATTTTGTGCAGAGGCTATGGGGGTTTCTAGATACAGAATCATGTAGTCTACAAACAGGGATAGTTTTGAATTCCTCTCTTCTCATTTGGATGCCTTTCATTTCTTTCTCTTGCCTGATTGCTCTGGCCAGGACTTGCAATACCATGTTGATCAGGAGTGGTGACCGTGGGCATCCTTGTATTATGCCAGTTTTCAAGGGGAATGCTTCCAGCTATTGCTCATTCAGTATGATGTTGGCTACAGGTTTGTCATAGATGGCTCTTATTACTTTGAAGTATATTCCTTGAATGCCTAGTTTATTGAGGATTTTTAATATGAATTGATGTTGTATTTTATAAAAAGTCTTTTCTGCATCTATTGAGATAATCATGTGGTTTTTGTCTATAGTTCTGTTTATGTGATGAATCACTTTTATTGTTTTGTGTCTATTGAACCAGCCTTTCATCCCAGAGGTAAAGCCTACTTGATCACGGTGGGTTCCCTTTTGGATGTGCTGCTGGATTCAATTTGTTAATATTTTGTTGAGGAATTTTGCATCAATGTTCATCAAGGATATTGGCTGGATGTTTTTATTTTTGTTGTTGCTTTTCTCTCTGGTTTTGGCATCAGGATGATGCTGGCCTTGTAGAATGGGTTGGAGAGGAGTCCTTCCTCCTCAATTTTTTTGGAATAGTTTCAGTAGGAATGGTACCAGCTCCTCTTTATATATCTGGTAGAATTCAGCTGTGAATTCATCTGTTCCTGGACTTCTATTTTTTGGTATGTGTTTTATTACTGATTTAATTTTTGAACTCTTTATTGGTCTGTTTGCGAATTCAGTTTCTTCCTGGATCAGTCTTGGGAGGTTTTATGTGTCCAGGAATTTACCAGTTTCTTCCAGATTTTCTAGTTTGTGTGCATAGAGGTTTTCATAGTGGTCTCTGACAGTTATTTGTATTTCTGTGGAGTTGGTAGTAATGTTTTCTTTGTCATTTCTAATTATGTTTATTTGAGTCTTCTCTTTTTTTCTTTATTAGTCTAGCTAATTGTCTATCTTTTTAATTTTTTCAAAAAAGCAACTCCTGGATTTATCTTTTGTATAATTTTTTTTTTGTCTTAATTTCCTTCAGTTCAGCTTTGCTTTTGGTTATTTCTTGTCTTATGCTAGCTTTGGGTTTGGTTTGCTCTTGCTTCTCTAGTTGTTCTAGTTTTGATGTTTAGTTGTTAATTTGGGATCTTTATAACTTTTTGATGTGGGAATTTAGTGCTGTAAACTTCCCTCCAAACACTGCCTTAGCTGTGTCCCAGAGATTCTGGTATGTTGTATCTTTGTTCTCATTATTTTCCAAGAATTTCTTGTCTTCTGCCTTAATTCATTATTTATCCAAAAGTCATTCAAGTGCAGGTTGTTTAATTTCCATGTAATTGTATGGTTTAGAGTGATTTTCTCAGTATTGATTTCTGTTTTTCACCATGGTCAAAGAATGTGGTTGGTATGATTTGGGATTTTTTTAATTTGATGAGTATTGTTTTATGTCTGATTGTCTGGTTGATTTTAGAGTATGTGCCATTTGGCAATGAGAAGAAAGTATATTCTGTTGGTTTGGGGTGGAGAGTTCTGTAAATGTCTTTTAGGTCCATTTGGTCAAGTGTTGAGTTCAGGTCCTGGATATCTTGGTTAATTTTCTGACTCAATGATCTGTCTAATACTGTCAGTGGGATGTTAAAACCTCCCACTATTATTGCTTAGGAAACTAAGTTGCTTCATAGGTCTCTAAGAGCCCGCTTTATGAATCCGGGTTCTTCTGTGTGGGGTGCATATATTTAGAATAGTTAGGTCTTCTTGTTGAATTGAACCCTTTACCATTATGTAATGTCCTTCTGTGTCTTTTTTGATCTTTCATGGTTTAAAGTCTGTTTGGTCTGAGATTTGGATTGCAACCCCTGCTTTTTTCTGTTTTCCATTTGCTTGATAGATTTTTCTCCATCCCTTTAATTTGAGCCTATGTGTGTAACTGCATGTGAGATGGGTCTCTTGAAGACAGCATACCATTGGGTCCTGGTTCTTTATCCAGCTTGCCATGCTATGCCTTTTCTTTTTTCCCTGAAATAGCCCTCAGGAGAACCTAAGAACATGTGCCCATCACTCTGTCTTTTAATTGGAGCATTTAGCCCATTCACATTCAAGATCAGTGTTGATATGTGTGGGTTTGATCCTGACATGTTGTTAGATAGTTATTATGCAGCTTTGTTTGTATGGTTGCCTTAGAGTGTCACTGGTCTATATACCTGTGTTTTTTTAGTTGCTAGTAACAGTCTTTCCTTTCCATATTTAGTGTTCTTTTAGGGAGCTCTTCTTTAATACATGTCTCATGGTAATGAATTCCCTCAGCATTTGTTTATCTGGAAAGGATCTTATTTCTTCTTCAATTATGAAGCTTAGTTTGGCTGGATTTGAAATTCTTGATTGGAAACTTTTTTCCTTAACAACACTGAATATAGGTCCCCATTCCCTTCTGGGGTGTAGGGTTTCTGCTGAAAGATCCACTGCCAGTCTAATGGGGTTCCCTTTGTAGGTGACTTGTCCCTTCTCTCTAGCTGCCTTTAACATTTTTTCTTTCATTTTGACCTTGGAGGATCTGATGATTATGTGTCTTGAGGATGGTCTTCTTGGATAACATTTTGCAGGTGTTCTCTGCATTTTCTGAATTTGACTGTTGGCCTCTGTAGCAAGGTTGGGGAATTATTCATGGATGACATCCTGAAATATGTTTCCAAGTTGCTTGCTTTCTCCCCATCTTTTTCAGGGATGCCAATCTGTCATATCTCTTTCCATAATCCCATATTTCTTGGATATTTTGTTCATTCCTTTTTATTCTTTTTTTTTTTTAATTTCTGTATGACTGAGTTGTTTCAGAGAGTCATTCTTCAAGCTCTGAGATCCTTTCCCTTGCTTGGTATATTTTGCTGTTAATATTTGTGATTAAACTATGAAATTCGTATAGTGTGTTTTTCAGCTGTATCAGATCAGTTTCGTTTTTTTATGATGGTTATTTTGTCTATCAGCTCCTGTATGGTTTTATTGTGATTCCTTGGATTGGGTTTTGACATTCTCCTGAATCTCAATGATCTTCATTCCTATCCATATTCTGAATTCTGTTTCTGTCATTTCAGTCATTTCAGTGCAGTTAAGAACCCCTGCTGGGGAACTAGTGCAATCATTTGGAGGAAAGAAGACACTCTGGCTTTCTGAATTGCCAGAATTCTTGCACTGGTTTTTTCTCATCTGTGTGGGCTGATGTTTCTTTAACTATGGTGTAAATTTGAATACAGTCAGTAGACTTCTTTTCTGGATGTTTTCAGAAAGTCTAGGCTTTGTGTCAGGTCTTTATTTGTAGCTGAATTATTATCCTTGGTTTAACAGGGGGGTTATATTAGCAAAGTATTTTTAGTGTTGGAGTTTTGGGCTGTGATCCAGTAAGTGGCACTTAAGCATAATGGCCAGTAGTTAGGCTGTCACTCAGTCTGTATTTCCTCATGATTGTGGCCATGTTCCCTCTCAATTCTCTGAAGTTGCTGTTCCTCTCCCACTTGAGTGCGGCTGCAGATCTTGGGTTAGCCCTCCAAGGCTGCACACTGCAGTTCTGGGGTTCCCTCCCAGCTTGGAAACAGCAGGGGAAGGGACCTTAGCAGTGGTTATGGCAGATGATCTTTCACTTGTCTCTTGGGGCTCCACCCCAGAGAGATGCAGAGCTGCAATCAAACAGTGCAACTGGTCTCAGATGGGGCAGTTGTGCTATTAGCCCAAATCAGGGGATCCCTGCCTGATGATAAGCAGGGGTGTGGGTGGGACTCAGGGGAGACAGACTGGCCTCTTCTCCTTAGAGTAACTGTGGCTTGCTGGAGGTGTGGTTAAAGTACTTAGGGTCTTTGCTCCTTTCCCAGTCTGAGGGCAGCAAGGGCAGTACCACGGCAGTGGTACTGGCAGAGGGGCTTCTGGGAGCTCCACTTCAGAGAAATGCAGAGCTGCTGCTACTCAGAATGTTCAGCCAGGGGTAGTGGCAGCTGAGCTGCTGGCCTGAGCTGGGGACTCCACTTATTGAGGAGTTGGGTGTCGAGGGCTCACAGGGAAGAGAGACTGGATTCCTCTAAGTATGGTGACTGTGGCATGCTGTAAGTGCAGGTAAAGCCCTAAGGCTCTTTGTTTATTCCCCAGAACAAGGGCAGCAGGAAAACTGCTGCTGTGGCTGTAGAGGAGGGACTTTTGGTTGCCTCTGGGAGCCCATCCCCAGGGAATCTCAGAACCACTTCCAGTAAGTGTTCTTAGCTGTGTGTGGGGTGACTCATCTGCAGTCCTAAGTTGTGGGCCCTGCCTGGTGAAGAGTTGGAGGTGGGGACTCACAAGAAAGAGAGACTGGACTCCTCTCCATGTGGTAGCTTTGGTGTGCTGGAGTTGCCAGCCTATCAACCAGGCCCTTTGTCCCTACCCCAGCCTGAGGGTAGTTAGGGCAGTACCACTGCAGCTGCAATGGCAGATGGGTTGTGAGTTGACTCTGGGATTTCCTCTTCAGAGAAATGCAAAGCCACCTCCAACTGACATGTTCAGGTGGGGGCAGGGTAGTTGTACTGGAGTCCCAGACCCATCCAGTGAGAAGTGGGGATGGGGACCTATATGAACAGTCAACCACTTTTCCAAGGGGTGGCTGTGTTGTGCTGGGAGTCCATGCCAGTCCCTAATCACCATGCACCCTTCAGAGCCTGAAACAAGAGTGACAAGAGCTGTAGGACAGCAAAAATGGTGGCCTGTCTCTCCCTCTGAGAACTCTGTCCCAAGGGAGTCCAGAGCTGATGCCAGCCTGAGAGGCCTGGCATGGGGTAAAAAGAAATTTTAAAAATCTTGAAACAAAGGAAAATGAGCCCAACATATTAAAACTTATGGGATGCAGTAAAAGCAGTTCTAAGATGGAAGTTTATAGCAATAAACACCCACGGTATGAAAAAGAAAGATTTAAAATAAACAGCCTAACATTATATCATGAGAATAAAAAAAGAATAAGTGATTCCCAAAGTTAGTAGAAAAAAGGAAGTAATAAAGATCAGCGCATAAATCAAAGGAATAGAGACTAAAAAAAAAAAGAAAATATAAATAAAACTGAGTTACTTTTTTGAAAGATAAAATTGACAAATGTTTAGCTAGAATAATTTTACAAAAAAAGAGGGAAGAGACTTGAGTAAATAAAATTATAAATGAAAGAGGAGATATGCAACTAATACCACAGAAATATAAAGGATCATAATGATGGCAGTGGTGGGCTGTCCAGAGTGCTGGCATCATGTTGGCTGCAGCAGGGAGGCACAGAAGGTGGTGGGAGGAGCAGCAGTGGCAGCGATGGGACCCATGTGCCCCAGGTCCCCAAGGCAGCCAACTGTGCTGCCCCCACCCTTGCAGGACTGGGCAGGACCTGCTCCCAGGCCTGAAGCCTCTGCCACAGCCTCAACTTTGCTCCTTACTGCATCTTGGGAGCCTGTGAGCACCTGGCTAAAGTGCAGCCAGGACTCATGGGGCCAGCCCTGAGAGCGTCGGGTTCATTTGTGCAGGGTTGGCCAGGGATACCACACTGTCTTCACTTTGCCTGCCACCACTGCAGGGAAAATGTGGAGAGGAGGCAAGCAGTCCCTGGAGCCTGCCCCTGGGAGCCACTGTGATGAGGATGGACCAAGTTGCCCACCAGTGAGGGAGCCACTGCAATGGGGCCAGGTTGAGTCACCCACTGGTGGAGGAGCAGCGTGATCAGGCATGGAGGGGCAGGTATACAGGAGCCCTGAGGTGGAGCTGGTCCTGGGACAGTGCCATGCTCCACGAAGCCAGCAGAGCTGCAAGCAAGTAGAAGCCTCACCCTCCCAGGCACAGCTGCAGCTGCCCAAGTTGCAACTGCGAACCCAGGAATCTCTGCACTCTTGGGGGCCCAGGAAGACTTCCCCTTTCCAATGCAGGCTTGATGGTGTCTGCTCCCACTGCCTACCTTCTCCCCACTCCCAGTGCCCACTCTGATCTCAGAGCAAGGTTGGGGCTGAGCCTGGGTGCTGTCACAGCACAGCTGGGTGTGTGCACACTCAGGGCAGTACTAACATGCCAGGCCTCTACTTGGCTCCCTCCAGACTTTGGGCACCAATGAACATGGGAGGGAGGCCAGAGGGTGCTGAAAGCAGCTCAATGCTGGCCTGCAGGCACTCCTTTGCATGAACAGCCTGGGTGACATGAATGGTGGCAGGAGGCAGACAGGCTCCTGGGCAGAGAGGGATGAGTCTCCAGTGAAACCCCACCCAGGGAGGGCCTGAGGCCTAGGGGCTGGGCTGGCGGTCCTGTGGACCAGAGTGGCAACTTGTGTTGCTTTTTCTGGGCCCACCTATGGCCACCCATGGACCAATCAGCACACACTTCCTCCCACTGAGGCCCATAAAAGCCCTGGACTCAGCTAGACCAGAAGGGACGATGGAACAACCAGCTACAGAGGGCCAAGTGGGCAGAACGAGCCCAGTGGGCCTGAGCTAAGCTAGGGCAAAGGCGCCACTGCTCACAGAGATTTCCATGGTCCCTGGTGTCTCCAAGCTTACAGGCACCATCGCATTCTCCAGTGTCAGCCATGGAAGCTGCTTGTGGTACGCCTGGTCCAGCCACAGCCTCACAGGGAGCCAGCACCCATACTGCTGCCTGGAGCTGCCTATGCTGCTGCAGCTGGCATGCCTGGCTATGTGCAGTGGCAGGACCCCATGCTCACTCACACACCCCTTGCTGCTCTGTGCCTGGCTGACCTTTGGCAGGCATGGAATCCAGGCCAGCAGCACAAGCTGAGTGCAGCCTGCAAGGCCAAGTGTGCAGAACGAGCCCAGTGGGCCTGAGCAAAACTTGGGCAAAGGCGCCACTGCCCACAGAGGTTTCTGGCTGGCAAAGAGACACCCCAAGAATCCTGTAACAAGAGACCACTATGAATAATTATATTTCCCCAAATTGGATAACCTAGATGAGATGGATAAATTCCTAAAAACTTACAACCTACCAAAACTGAATCACAAAGATATAAAAGTCTAAACAGATCAACAATGAGCAAAGATAATAAATTTATAATTTAAAAAAATCTGCTATCAAAGAAAAGCCCAGTACCTAATGGCTTTACCTGTGAATTCTACCAAACAATTAAAAATTAATGTCGGAATTCGAGGGGAGGAGCCAAGGTGGCCGAATAGGAACAGCGCTGGTCTACAGCTCCCAGCCTGAGCGATGCAGAAGACAGGTGATTTCTGCATTTCCATCTGAGGTGCCGGGTTCATCTCACTAGGGAGTGCCAGACAGTGGGCGCAGGTCAGTGGGTGCACGCACCGTGCGCGAGCAGAAGCAGGGTGAGGCATTGCCTCACTCGGAAGTGCAAGGGGTCAGGGAGTTCCCTTTCCTAGTCAAAGAAAGTGGTGACAGATGGCACCTGGAAAATCGGGTCACTCCCACCCAAATACTGCGCTTTTCCGACGGGCTTAAAAAACGGCGCACCAGGAGACTATATCCCGCACCTGGCAGGGAGGATCCTACACCCACGGAGTCTCGCTCATTGCCAGCACAGCAGTCTGAGATCAAACTGCAAGGCGGCAGCAAGGCTGGGGGAGGGGCGCCCACCATTGCCCAGGCTTGCTTAGGTAAACAAAGCAGCCGGGAAGCTCCAACTGGGTGGAGCCCACCACAGCTCAAGGAGACCTGCCTGCCTCTGTAGGCTCCACCTCTGGGGGCAGGGCACAGACAAACAAAAAGACAGCAGTAACCTCTGTAGACTTAAATGTCCCTGTCTGACAGCTTTGAAGAGAGCAGTGGTTCTCCCAGCACGCAGCTGGAGATCTGAGAACGGGCAGACTGCCTCTTCAAGTGGGTCCCTGACCCCTGACCCCCGAGCAGCCTAACTGGGAGGCACCCCCCCAGCAGGGGCAGACTGACGCCTCACACGGCCACCTGGCCGTGCTGCAGGGGGGTCCTGTCTGTTAGAAGCTACCAATGACTTTCTTCACAGAATTGGAAAAAACTACTTTAAAGTTCATATGGAACCAAAAAAGAGCCCGCATTGCCAAGTCAATCCTAAGCCAAAAGAACAAAGCTGGAGGCATCACCCTACCTGACTTCAAACTATACTACAAGGCTACCGTAACCAAAACAGCATGGTACTGGTACCAAAACAGAGATATAGATCAATGGAACAGAACAGAGCCCTCAGAAATAATGCTGCATATCTACAACTATCTGATCTTTGACAAACCTGACAAAAACAAGCAATGGGGAAACGATTCCCTGTTTAATAAATGGTGCTGGGAAAACTGGCTAGCCATATGTAGAAAGCTGAAACTGGATACCTTCCTTACACCTTACACAAAAATCAATTCAAGATGGATTAAAGACTTAAACGTTAGACCTAAAACCATAAAAACCCTAGAAGAAAACCTAGGCATTACCATTCAGGACATAGGCATGGGCAAGGACTTCATGTCTAAAACACCAAAAGCAATGGCAACAAAAGCCAAAATTGACAAATGGGATCTAATTAAACTAAAGAGCTTCTGCACAGCAAAAGAAACTACCATCAGAGTGAACAGGCAACCTACAAAATGGGAGAAAATTTTTGCAACCTACTCATCTGACAAAGGGCTAATATCCAGAATCTACAATGAACTCAAACAAATTTACAAGAAAAAAACAAACAACCCCATCAAAAAGTGGGCAAAGGACATGAACAGACACTTCTCAAAAGAAGACATTTATGCAGCAAAAAAACACATGAAAAAATGCTCACCATCACTGGCCATCAGAGAAATGCAAATCAAAACCACTATGAGATACCATCTCACACCAGTTAGAATGGCAATCATTAAAAAGTCAGGAAACGACAGGTGCTGGAGAGGATGTGGAGAAATAGGAACACTTTTACACTGTTGGTGGGACTGTAAACTAGTTCAACCATTGTGGAAGTCAGTGTGGCGATTCCTCAGGGATCTAGAACTAGACATACCATTTGACCCAGCCATCCCATTACTGGGTATATACCCAAAGGACTATAAATCATGCTGCTATAAAGACACATGCACACGTATGTTTATTGCGGCACTATTCACAATAGCAAAGACTTGGAACCAACCCAAATGTCCAACAATGATAGACTGGATTAAGAAAATGTGGCACATATACACCATGGAATACTATGCAGCCTAAAAAAATGATGAGTTCATGTCCTTTGTAGGGACATGGATGAAATTGGAAACCATCATTCTCAGTAAACTATCGCAAGAACAAAAAACCAAACACCGCATATTCTCACTCACAGGTGGGAACTGAACTATGAGAACACATGGACACAGGAAGGGGAACATCACACTCTGGGGACTGTTGTGGGGTGGGGGGAGGGGGGAGGGATAGCATTGGGAGATATACCTAATGCTAGAGGACGAGTTAGTGGGTGCAGTGCACCAGCATGGCACATGTATACATATGTAACTAACCTGTACATTGTGCACATGTACCCTAAAACTTAAAGTATAATAAAAAAAATTAATGTCAATCATTCTCAAACTATTCCAAAAAATTGAGGAGGGAACACCTTTAAACTCATTTTATGAGACGAGAATTTATCCTGATACCAAAGCCAGACTTTGGGCGTTTTAAGAAAATAAAATTATAGCTGGGTGCGGTGGCTCATGCCTGTAATCCCAGCACTTTCAGAGTCTGAGGCGGGCAGATCACGAGGTCAAGAGATCGAGACCATCCTGGCCAACATGGTGAAACCCCGTCTCTACTGAAAGTATAAAAATTAACTGGGCATGGTGGCATATGCTTGCAATCCCAGCTACTCGGGAGGCTGAAGCAGGGGAATTGCTTGTATCTGGGAGGTGGAGGTTGCAGTGAGACGAGATCACGCCACTGCACTCCAGCCTAGTGAAAGAGCGAGACTCTGTCTAAAAATAAAATAAAATAAAATAAAACTCCAATATTCACAATGAACATCATTGCAAACATCACCCTAAAAGCCACTCAACAAAATACTAGCAAAACAATTTCAACAGTACATTAAAAGTATCATACACCCTGATCAAGTGGGATTTATCCCCAGGATGCAAGTGTGATACATAGACCAGTAAGTGTGATATACCACATTAACACAATGAAGGACAAAAATCATATTATTATCTAAATAGATGGGGTTGACTAAACTCAACATCCTTTTATGATTAAAAAAAAAAAACCTCTCAACAAATTAGGTATAGAAGGATTGCACCTCAACATAATAAATGTGACAAGCTCATACCTACCATCATATTCAATGATGGAAAGCTGAAGGCTTTTCCTCTAAGATCAGGAGCAAGACAAGCACGTCCACTCTTGTCACTTCTATTTGATACAGTGCTATAAGTCCTAGGCAGAGCAATTAGGCAAGAAAAAGAAATAAAAGGCACCCAAATCAGAACACAAGAAAAATTAACCCTGTTTGCCAATGACATAATCTTATATATGGAAAACCCTAAAGTCTCCACTATATCCATCTTTTCCTGCTGCTATAACAAAATATGACTAACTGGGTAATTGATAAATAATAGAAATTTCTTTTTTTTATTTCTTTTTATTTTTTGAGTCAGAGTTTCACTCTTGTTGCCCAGGCTGGAGCATGAGTGCAATGGCACGATCTCGGCTCACTGCAACCTCTACCTCCCAGGTTTAAGCAATTCTCCTGCCTCAGCTTCCTTAGTAGCTGGGATTACAGCCATGCACCACCACGCCCGGCTAATTTTGTATTTTTATTTTTTATTTATTTATTTATTTATTTTTTATTATACTTTAGTTTTAGGGTACATGTGCACATTGTGCCGGTTAGATACATATGTATACATGTGCCATGCTGGTGCACTGCACCCACTAACTCGTCATCTAGCATTAGGTATATCTCCCAATGCTATCCCTCCCCCCTCCCCCCACCCCACAACAGTCCCCAGAGTGTGATATTCCCCTTCCTGTGTCCATGTGATCTCATTGTTCAATTCCCACCTATGAGTGAGAACATGCGGTGTTTGGTTTTTTGTTCTTGCGATAGTTTACTGAGAATGATGATTTCCAATTTCATCCATGTCCCTACAAAGGACATGAACTCATCATTTTTTATGGCTGCATAGTATTCCATGGTGTATATGTGCCACATTTTCTTAATCCAGTCTATCATTGTTGGACATTTGGGAGCCGGGGTTTCTCCATGTTGGTCAGGCTGGTCTCCAACTCCCGACCTCAGGTGATCTGCCCGTCTTGCCTCGCAAAGTGCTGGGATTACAGGTGTGAGCCACCATGCCGAGTCAAAATTTATTTCTTATAGTTCTGGAGGCTGGAGAGTCCACGATCATAGTACCAGAAGATTAGGTATCTGGTGAAGACTTGCTCCTGCTCTCCAAGATAACACTTTGCTGCTGTGTCCTCACATGGCAGCAGGTGGAATATCAAAAAAGATTAGCATGCTCCCTTTAAACTCTTATAAAGTCACTAATTCCCTTTATGAGGGTTTCACTCTTATGACCTAATCATCTCCTAAAGGCCCATCTCTTAATATTACCACATTGGCAATTAAGTTTCAACATATGATTTGGCGGACACATTCAGATGGTAGTATGTACCAAAAAATGATTAGCACTAAGAAGCATATTTAGCAAAGTTGCATGATATATAATCAGCATGCAAAAATCAGTGGCATTTCTATACACTCCCAATGAACTATCTGAAAAAGAAACTAAGAGAACTATCTCATCAGGGAAATACAAAGCAAAACCACAATGAGATATCACCTCACACTTGTTAGAATGGCTATCATCAAAAAGACAAAAAATAACAAATGTTGGTGAGGATGTGGACAAAAATGAAGGCTTGTGCACTGTTGATGAGAATATAAATTGGTACAGCCTTTATGGAAAATGGTGTGGAGGTTCCTCAAAACATTAAAAATACAGCTACAATATGATTCAGCAATTAATTGCACCACTAGGTATATATCAAAAAGAAATGAAATTAGTATGTTCAAGAGATGTATGCACTTCTATATTCATTGCAGCATTATTCCCACACTGATGGGAGCTTCTTTAATCACTAATTAAGTATCTTCAGCACACTTGTTGCAGGCACAAAACATAAATACTCAAATTAGTCTCCAAACAATAACGCCACCTATCTATTTACTGAAGCAGCATTTCTCCTCATGTATTAATAGCCTGGTACTTTCAGTCGGTTACTTGTTGTGAGAGTCACACCTCACTTTGGCTTCTAATGGGGGAAGTAAGTAGCAAGCGTCAGCATTGTTTTTCTTCCAGCTTCCATGCCTGTGTTCCTGCTGACCCATCCCATTTATATGACCCTGCCTCTCCCTCCTACCCATCCTTCTGGGTCCAGCTCAGGTCTTCTCTCCGTAAAAACTTCTTCCACTAGTTTAAGTCAATAGTAATATGTCTCTCCTTTGTGTTCCTATGGCACTTTTAGCCAATTCTTAGCTGTTCAATATTTAACTGCTCCTTGCTTTATTATATGTACAATAATTTAAGCACTTCCAACTATAAATACCTTAGGAGCAGGAACTGTGGTATCTACTTTGTGTGTGTGTTCCCCCCTCTTTGGGGACCATTTGATATTCAGTAAATGTTTACTGATTGATTAATACAATAGTGTGACAACCACCAGGCAAGGAAAGGAAGAATGGTAAACTGTTGCATGGTAGACACACCTGACAGTGATAACTTGACTTGGGCATACCCTGAGAATGACCCTGTATAGCAGATGCACCTGAATGTACGTTCGGAGTTCTGAGCTAAGGGAATCCAGAAGTGGCAAACCTGCAGATCCATTCCTTATCTATGAAGAGCCATACAGCCCTCCACCCCTCATTTCCCCATGGAACACTGGCCATATAGAAGCTCAAGGCCCTGAATTTTGCATTAAATAAAGGTTGCCAGGTGGAAGTTGTTAGGGAAAGTGTTAAGTGAAAATGCTATATAAACTGCATGCCTTTTGCAAGAAGTTGCTGTTCTCCTGCCAAGCGGGCCGCCACTGGGCTCTCTTTGGTGTATGTAAAAATAAAACCCCATGTCTCATTTCCTGGCTCTAGGTTTCTTCTTCAGCCTCTTGAACCTGGTGCCGTGCTCACTGAAGTCAATAGGGATTTGGCACAACTATTATTGTTATTCTGAAACTTTTAAGACTCTGGATTTTACTGTTTACAGGGTGGGGTTTATTTGTAAAACTTTGTTTCCTTAAGAGTTTGATAAAAGGCATTCAGCTCAATGCATAAAATTATGCTTGAGTGAATTAAAAAGCTAAAAGCTGAAATGAAAAATGAATATAAATATTAACTGAATATGAATTTTTCTGTAAAAAGATTTTAATCCATAAAATCAAAATGGCTTAGAATATGAATGCTTAATTATTTTATTGTTCTAATAGTTTGAGGATGGGGAGAAAAGGAGCATTCCTCAGCAAGTAATAAGGATACATCAGTCAATTAAAGTTTAGAGATTTCTCACAAAGGCACCAGATTAACCTTATCGAATATAAGTTTCTGTACCTTCCAGACTCTTCTGCTTCTCCTTTCCCCCAAATTTTACCAAACCTACTTAGCATTTCATTCATTCGTCTCTTTTTGAGTACTATCTTTTAGTACTTATTTTCCTAGCTTCTTGGTATTTAAAAACCATAGTGACTGAGCTGCATAACCCTAGTATTTGTTGTTAGAAAGCAGTTAAGTTTTGTTTGAAAAATGTGTCTTCTGTACTTCCATAGAGCAATGAGTTGTGAACCTCTCACAGTTGTAGATCATGTTGGTGCTGCCCCTTAGTCACACCTCGCCTTTCAGCCTGATGAAGTATTTTGCAGCAGATGTGGCAAATGTAGAAGTGGAGCTGTTATGAGCATTTTCTACATTAAGTGGTAGGGGTTTCCCCTGCTGTTCCCTTTGGCCGACTGGCTCCTCTCAGGGTGTTGTTGATGAAATTTGGTCTCTTGTCACATCATCTTCCGAGCTTTGCAGCAGCTACTCCCTCATGGTTTCTCATGCATGATCATGAATTTATGGATAGAGTAGCTCAGCTGTGATGTTAAAACCTCCAGTTAACTGACACATTCCTTAATAGAACTTTGACCAACATGATCAATAGCAATCAGCTTTTGCTTTCACATAAATAGTGCTTTGTTCTTTAGGTACACAAAAAAGCTTACTTTTCTTTTGATAACAAGTGTACCAAAAGCTTACTTTTTCTTCAAGCATTTCACTATGTCAGAATCTTTGCAGTTGCATTTAAACCTATATTCCCTCTGCAGCACCACGTGAAATGTACAATAATCATGATCTCTCACCATGCATTTACACTAGCAGGGCCATCAATTAACACGTTCCAGCACACCTGTTACCTGCAGTGCTTGGTATCTACATTCAAAACCTTTGCCTGATATATTCTAGTGAACAACATCTATGTAACTAGTCCATAGTGTTTTATATTCACAAATTGACAGGAAAAATACAGTCTTCTATCCTATCATCAGGCACGTTAACCATGCAAAAATAAATATCTCAGCTATCTGGTGTATTCCTGTCAGCGGTTCTTTAAAATATCACCCCTAAAAATCATTATTTCTATCAGTGACTGAACTTACAATTTCTAGAATGAAAATAATCTATTTTAATGCTAACTTTTTTCTCTTAAATATTTTGTTTTTAGATTTTAATAATTACCAAGTATATAATTTTTTAATAAATTTAATTTAAATAAAACAGCTATGATATAGAATAGCCTAGAAAGGAAATTTGACATCATTTTTATGGCACAGGCTAACTTTGAAAATTGACTTAAATAACTTGTGAGTCCATAAAAATTTTAACGTTGATCTCACTTAAGCTGCCTTGAACCTTACCTTTTTGTGATCCCGTATTACTGTCTCACATTTCTAACAAGCCTTTGCCTAATGACCAATTTACAGGTAGATTTGCTTCAATATTGTGTTAGAATCTCAGACTACATGATGTAATTTATGTGAATCAATGTGGATTCAGTCTCCCCTCTTAGCCCCTAAGAAGGTGGCATATATAGAAACAGGTGGAAAGACTTCCTCATTGGAATCCTATACATCCTCAAGAATAGAGGCTTCTCTTTGTTCTTTTAGTCCTTTCACATCAATCAATCTGCAAAATATGTACTCAGCCAATGCCAACAAAATAGAAGCATATCCATTTAGTTTAGTTGTTAGGCATGAGGGTGTGAAAGAAGAGTCATTAAAACACTCACTAAATTCACATATTGGTAACTTGGATCCCTCAGTCATGGACCCAGAGGCAAGAAAAAAACCCAAGAAAAACCAGTCCTCAGCAGGGCGCAGTGGCTCACGCCTGTAATCCCAGCACTTTGGGAGGCAGAGGCAGGCGGATCACGAGGTCAGGAGTTCAAGAACAGCCTGGCCAACATGGTGAAACCCTGTCTCTACTAAAAATACAAAAATTAGCCAGGCATGGTGGCAGGCGCCTGTAATCCCAGCTACTGGGGAGGCTGAGGCAGGAGAATCGCTTGAAGCCAGAAGGTGGAGGTTGCAGTGAGCTGAGATTGTGCCACTGCAGTCCAGCCTGGCCAACAAGAGGGGAACTTAGTCTCAAAAAAAAAAAAAAAAAAAGGAAAGAAAGAAAAAAGAAAACCAGTCCTCTCTCCAACCTGTAGTACATCAGTCCCGAAGGCACACAGCCCAAGTTGTTTACAACCATTCAGAATGTCGACATTTTACATCCTGTTTGAAAGTTCAGGTGTAGCCCCAGCCGTATTTCCCAACAAAATTACAAAGCAAGAGGAGATGCTATTTGCATGATAAGAAGGGGTGAGTAGGCTATAAGGAGAGTGTCGTGTAAATGGGGAGCCTTGAAAGAGCAATCTCCTTTGGAGAGGGAGAAAGGCAGCTGGAGAAGATACTGCAAGGAGGGAGTCAGAGGAAGAAATACCTTGTTCATTTCCCCTTCTTTCTTGAATCTCCTGTTGCAGCTTTCCTTAGGTTGGATCCAACAACAACAACAAAAAAAAACAGCTGGCATAAGAACTTATCCAGTCCAGGTGCGGTGGCTCATGCCTGTAATCCCAGCACTTTGAGAGGCCAAGGTAGGCAGATCACCTGAGGTCAGGAGTTTGAGACCAGCCTGACCAACATGGTGAAACCCTGTCTCTACTAAAAATACAAAATTAGCCAGGCATGGTTGTGCATGCCTGTAATCTCAGCTACTTGGGGGGCCGAGGCAGGGTAATTGCTTGAAACTGGAAGGCGGAGGTTGTAGTGAGCCGAGATCACACCATTTTACTACAGCTTGGGCAATAAAAGCGAAACTTCATCTCAAACAACAACAACAACAACAACAACAACAAACTTGGATCCAAGTCAGTCTCCCAGAGCAGAAAGCAGAGTAAAGAAGACTAGACGAGTCATCTAGAGGGGCAAATAGAAGATATTCAGCTCATGGTTCATTTTGTATTATTTAACATATTAAACTACTTCTACCCTTTTGAAGTAAGCAAGTCATAAATCCTAGATTCAAAATTGATGTATACTAAAATAGCAGCATGAATGCATTTGCTTATTTAACTTCATTTTTTTTTTCATCCAGCATTCAAATAGGCATTGAGGGAAAAACATTGAAAAGGAGAAAAAAAATCTTCTTGATGACATGCTTATTCAATTTGTTTCTTCTTTCTCTCAGACTGGTTAAAGGCCAAAACTTGCCCTTCCTATTTGTGTCCTCATGTTCTATGTATTTATTTGAATCATCCAAAGAATGTTAAGTATCATGCTCTCCTCCTATCCTGTACTTTCTTACCTCTGGGCCTTCTTGGGTAACAATTAACTCATACTGAATTGTACTATATGACCAGGCTGTTCATGAAGTCTCAGTGACCATGTCTTTTAAATGAAAATGATACTCTTTATAATGTCCTTGAGCATGAAGCTAAAAGAATGAGACTCACATACTCGCCCTCAGACTGTCATTTAAAATGGAAAAAAAGGGAGACATAAGAGAGACTGTCATTTAAAGAACAAAAACATATTTCCACTCCCTCCTCAAACCCTGCTACAAGGATTGCAAAGAGGAAAAATGGCAAACATACACATAAACTAGAAAATATAATATATGCCAGCATACAAAAGATAAAATCTTGAAACAGAAAAGGGAATTGACTTAGGAGTCCAAAAGAAAGCTGAAATGTAAGCATCTATGTCCAAAAGATGAAAACCAGTTCCCATTGCAGATTTGTGGAAAGACAAAGGAATTGGAGGCAATGGGTACTTCAGAAGACAGGGTTGTGGATGAGACTGAAAAGAAGAAGACTTGACAGTCTTTTAAAGTAAGTGGAATTTTAACCCTGATCTCTCCTACCTCATACAACAAGACAAATATGACTTCCTAACAGAAGATGCATTTACTCTCTACAGCAGTCAAACCACAGGGGTTTAAGTACATCTGGCAGAGCTAATGTGGTTGGGGGGGTGGGGGGGAGGGTAAAGTAAAAGGGAGACACCCCAGACTTAAAATGAGAATTAGTAAAACTTAACATACTAAATGTTGCAATCTCTGGCTCCTTTTTCCCAAAACACTAGCAGCCAGGTCTGGACATGGTGGCTCACACCGGTAATCCCAGCACTTTGGGAGGCCAAGGTGGGAAGATTGCTTGAGCCCAGGAGTTCAAGACCAGCCTGGGTAACAAAGCAAGACCTCATCTCTATTAAAAATAATAATATACATTGCTTCTACCAGCATCCCAGGAAGTTGGAAGATAATGGAAAAATGCCTTTAAAATTCTAAGGAATTTAAAATTCTATACCCAACCAAACTATTAGTCAAGTATGAGAATAGAATAAAGACATTTTCAGAAATATAAGCTCTTAAAATTTACCTCCCATGATCTCTTTTCCAGAAAGCTATTAGAGAATGTGCTCCGATAAAACCAAGAAAGACAAAGATATGGGATTCAGGAAACAAGGGATACAACTTAGGGAAAATGTAAAAGGAATTTGCAGAATGATGGAGAACAGAAATACCAAGATAAAAGCAGTCAGCAGACATAGAAAAAGACCAGAACAGAGCAGGACAGAGACCTCTAAGAGCAATGTCTCTAAGATGAATATAAAACTGATTGAGTATAGCTAATATTTACGAACATGTTTAGAGGAGAATTAGTTCTAATATTGGAATGAGATAATTGCTACAAAAACTAAGGAAATAAAAATATGAGGCAACTGTTTGCATCAAGCAAAAAAAAGTATATGAAATAAAATATAGAGTAAACTATAAGACTCAGCCATGAATATTATCCTGTGATTATATTGCATGTTGATTTATCTAAAAATGTCACTATCACTACATAAAGAAGGTGAAATGAGGGGAAGCTGTGGTAGAGACAGAGGATAGAGAAGTGCTATGCAAAATAGAAAAATCCTCATCTACCATAGCAGAAAGTCAGTGGGTAATGCCCCATATTGAATTTCCCAAAAGCAGACTCTGAGACGGAGATCGACATGCTAGAAGTTTATTGGGGAATGTTCTTTGGAAGGAGAAAAAAAGCAGAATTGGGCAGAAGGAGCAGCTGGGCTGTAGTAGAGTCTCAAAGAAGGCCTCTGCTAATTCTACAGGGAACTGTGATGCTGGATAGTTCCACAAAGTTGTTTGGCCCACGTTGGGGCAAGGGGACTAGTCATTTATGCTCCTGTATATATAACTTCACTGAATGTAGGCCTCCCTGGTAAGAGGTTGTGGGGTGCGGGGGGCGGGGGCAAAGGCATTTCTCTTCAGATGCAGACGCCTGAAAACTTAGGGTTGTCTGACAGAAGCACTCACAGCAGCTAGGAGGGTAAGTCTTTTTATTCCTAAAGGTGCAGCTCATCACAGCACCCTCAATCAGTATATCAAAAAAGCTAAAATCCGGAAGTTGCAGACTAGGCATACTTTTTAAAATTACAGAAATATATAAAATAAAAGAACTAAAAAAAAATGAAGGTACTAAATGGAATGGGAAGAGAGAGTGGGGAAGAATGGGGCAGGTACTGACTGCTGTTTTTCATTGTAAGGCCAGTACCATAGGACTTTAAAAGCTTGAAGGTCAGAGCTTTGACCTTTTTTTTCTTTTTTTAAAAAAAATTTTAAGTGTAGCTAAGGCAGTAGCCATTGAGATGAATATCACTATAATGATCATGGTCCTTAATCCTATTAGGACTAGAGGTCACAATGTAGAAAGGGATAGTGGTAGAGTTTGGGAAAGGAGGAACATAAATAACTTAAAGCATTCTGCATAATAATGTGGAAGGTTAACTCCATTGAACATGAGCAATTTAAACATTTTGCATAGTAATGCAAAAGCTAACTCTGTGGACGGCAGGGGTAGATAGCCTTGCAAAGGAAGAAGTTAGGAAAGTGATTATCTTTCTCCTTAAGGGTCTAAAAAGTCTGTACTCTTAGAACTAACATCTGTCTTGATTCAGAGATTACTATTTGGTGGGCGCTGCACTCAGCCTCATGAGATAAAGGCAAAAGGTTATTTCAAATGCACTTCTCCACTTTGGCTTTTTGATGAGATTTGGAGGGCCAAAGCCTGTCCCGGACTGGTCTGCTGAAGTTATTAAAACTGAATACCAGCTGGGCGCGGTGGCTCACGCCTGTAATCCCAGCACTTTGGGAGGCTGAGGCGGGTGGATCACTTGAGGTCAGGAGTTCAAGACCAGCCTGGCCAACATGATGAAACCCCGTCTCTACTAAAAATACAAAAATTAGTCGGGCATGGTAGCGCACGCTTGTAATCCCAGCTACTCAGGAAGCTGAGGCAGGAGAATCGCTTGAACCCGGGAGGCAGAGGTTGCAGTGAGCCGAGATCGCGCTGCTGCACTCCAGCCTGGGCTATAAAGCAAAACTCCATCTCAAACAACAACAAAAACCCCTGAATACCCAGGTTTAGGGATATTAACTATAAGACAAAAGAGGCTGGATCCTGGGATAATAACAAACTCTGATAAGTATGCAATTATGAATTCTCCAGAGACAAGTAAAAATTTTGCACAGAATTTAAAGGAAACAAACCCCCTGGAGGGGGACAAGGACATAAAACACAAGTTAGAAACTGAGACCATTTTCAGGATAATTCTAGGTAAACCGATCAACTTCTTTGGTGTTAGAACATGAGAAATGGTGTTTGAACCTTTGTGTCCCTTAAGCACGGGAAAGTTATAGCTGAGGAATCTTTTGCCTATTTATTTTATTTGTTTATTTTTTCCTTCAAACATTTATGTCCCAGTACCATAAGGAATCGTTTTACATTGTTTTCTTCCTCTGCTGTTATTCCTTTTATTTTCCCTAATCTTCAGTAAAATTAAACATGTCTACCCTATTGTCAGGAATCTCCTTCTGGACTGTATGGCCCTTCTGTGGTCTTTGCCATCACTTCAGAGTTTGCCATGACCCTGAGGGATACTGTGTAGTCCGCCCATCCAGCAAGACCTCCACAATAGCCAGTGGTCCTCCAGATTTAGACAATTCTTATGCTTGTTCATTCTGGTGTAGCAGCGGATGATGGGATAGGAAACCAACAGAATGGCCCTGTGCCTCTGTATCTCTCATCCATACCCAATTGAGCTCCTTGGCTCCAAAACATGTTTAGAGTTACTCTCCTGAGGGAATTTGGGCATAGCCAGTAATCTCTAAATTGAGTTATCAGTTGGGGGTCTCAAACAGGAAGCAGATGGCACTCTCAAATTGGGATCAAATTCAAGGAGGGTTGATTTGCAGAGGGACTAATTGAGAAGGTGTGGCAGTATTGGAAAGCCACAAAAGAACTTGGGCTAACAGCAGCAGAACTATCCCACCTCTAGGGCCAAAAGGCTGAAGGCAGAGATTATCAAAACCCAGGAGAGAAAATTAGATTGAGCAGAGCAGTGACCTGTAGAAGAGGGACATGGCCAGCTCGAGGGAGCTCCTCAGGAGAAAAGGCAGGGTTATTGATAACCTGTCCTCATTCTCTTGCTTCCTGCCAGGGATTCCCAGTGACTAAACCCTATTGCTAGTCAGAGGGCAGAGGCCCCTATTGATTTAATCCATTAAAGTTTAGCCTCATAGAGTAAGAAGCAAGGTGAAGGGTGATGAGTGGTAACAAGGGACAAATGGAAGATACCCAGCACACCATAAAACCATTCAGATTCTGATAATTGACCGAAGTTACTAAGTAGCTCAAATTATGAATGATTAACATGTTTTAATACAGAATTTCTCAAATGAAGGTTAAAGAACTTACATGTGTTCCCACATGTAAATGCTTTCCAAGAGGTATACAGGCAGGGATAATTGTAAAAGAATCAATTTCCAGATGTTCAACTTTCATATGTGTACATTTTTAAAATGTTCAGCTTGAAAATGAACCTTTCATTTTGCAAAGGCAAGTACTATATTTCATTTATCCAAAATCTTAAAAAAAAGATATTTTACAAGGATATATAAAACTCCTTGGGCTCCAAATAAAGGGAGAGCATTTCTTAATGAGAAAGCCCCATAAATCTCTGGAGCTTCCTGCCTCTTCCATTCTTACATTTATTTCTGTAAATGTGAAGCCTGTTAGAAACAGGGTATTTTGGACCATATTGGGATATTATTAATTTAAATATATGAAAGAATGGATTGTTAAAGTGGTAACAAGTTTTGTTATATGATTTTGCCTCTTCCTGTGTTTAAAATGAAAAATAATTCTTTTTGGCCATTATCAACATTCATCCATATAACATAGTTACTTGAAAACTACAGTTAGAATGTCATTAGTCAAAAAGTCAGGTACTTTTGAACTGTTGAAGAACTGTATGTTCGTGATAACTCTTAAATATAACAGAAATACTTCTTGTGTTAAGAAAACTTATCCACATTATGAAAATAAGGCAAAATGATAATTATGTGCCTTTTAAAGTCATTCTGAAACATTGTCTTGTCTTATAGACCAACCTAAAGAATGTCTAATTCTCTCAGGGAATGTACCTTCATAATTTTTTTTAATGTTTATCTTTTTATAAAAGAGACAGTAGTCTCGCTATGTTGCCCAACCTGGTCTTGAACTCCTGGCCTTGAGTGATCCTCTGGCCTTGACCTCCAAAAATGTTGGAATTACAGGCATGAGCCACCATACCCAGCCATAAATGCACATTTGACTTGCAACTTACTGGTTTTTGAAGAGACAGGGTCTTTCTATGTTGTCTAGTTCCAAACTCCTGGCCTCAAGCAATCCTTCTGCCTTGGCCTCCCAAAGTACTGGAATTATAAGCATGAGCCACCATACCCAGCCAATAAATTATGTTAAATACACATTTTAATATTGACTGCTTTAATAACTTATTTATTTATTATTTGTTTATTTATTTTGAGACGGAGTCTCGCTCTGTCACCCTGGCTGGAGTGCAGTGGTGCAATCTTGGCTCATTGCAATCTCCGCCTCCCGGGTTCAAGCGATTCTCCTGCTTCAGACTCCCAAGTAGCTGCGATTACAGGCATCCGCCACCACGCCCGGCTAATTTTTGTACTTTTAATAGAGATGGGGTTTCGCCATGTTGGCCAGGCTGGTCTCGAACGCCTGACCTTATGAGCTGCCCACCTCGGCCTCCCAAAGTGCTGGGATTACAAGCGTGAGCCACCGCACCCAGCCAATAACATATTTTTAAAGCATATCTGGCAATATATTCCTGAGAGTTTTTTTTGAAGTGCATTGAAATTCATATTACACATTTACTTGAAGAATATAAGTAGACACTTTACAACATATTTGGCTATAAGATCTGGCTTTGGGAGGCAAAGCTTCAGAAATGGGGGTAAAGGAAGATGACCCAATAGAAGCCTCCAGCGATCATTCCCTGCTGCAGGAACACCAAATTGAATGACTATCCACACAAAAAAGCACCTTCATAAGAATCAAAAATCATGTGAGCAATCACAGTACCTGGTTTTAACATCAATATTAAGGAAAGTGGCACTGAAGAGGGTAGAAAAGACAGTCTTGAATTGTCTACACCACCTCTCCCCCATCCTCCAGCAGTGGCTGCATGGCACAAAGAGAGAATCTGTGCTTTGGGGGGATGGAGAGCATAGTGATTGTGGGACTTTACATTGAAACTCAGTGCTACCCTGTCACAGCAGAAAGCATCATAGGGCAGAATTTAGCTAGAGCCTGTGGAGGGGGCATTTAGACCAGCCCTAGCTAGAGGTGATTCGACAATCCCAGCTATCAAAACCTAAGATCCAGCAAGTCCTGCCACCATGAAGGAAAATACTCTGGGATCCTAAATAAACTTGAAAGTCAGTCTAGGCCTCAAAGTACAATTCTTGGGCAAGTCCCGGTGCTGTCTGCTGGGCCCACAGCCAGTGGACCTGGGGGACACATGACCTAGCCTGGGTGGCTAAAGGAGTACTTGCATGGCCCCTCTTCCAAGTCCAGGCAATACAGGTCACAGCTCCAGGGGAGAGTCCTTCCTTTTGTTGAGGAGAGGAAAGGGGAGAGGAAAGAGAACTTTCTCTTGCAACTTGGAAACCAGCTCAGCCATAGTGGAATAGGGCACCAGGCAGAGTCCTGAGGCCCCCATTCCAGGACTTAGCTCCTGGTGACATTTCTAGACACACCCACAGCCAGTAGGGAAACCTCTGCCTTGAAGGGAAGGACTCAGTCCTAGCAGGATTCATCACCTGCTGAATAAAGAGCCCCAGGGCCCTGAATAATTGTGAGTGGTGGCCAGGCAGTACTCACCGTGGGCCTTGAGTGAAACTCAGAGCAGTGCTTGCTTTAGGTGTGACCCATGATGTTTCCACTTATTGCGGCTACAGGAGAGCCTCCTTTTGCTTGAGGAAAGGAGAGGGAAGAATAAAGGAGACTTTGTCTTTCAGCTTGGCCACAGTGAAGTAGAGCACCAAGCTATCTCCTGGGGTTGCCAGTTCCAGGCCTTGGCTCCTGGATGGCATTTCTGAACCTGCCCTGCGCCAGAGGGGCACTCACTGCCCTGAAGGGAGAGACCCAGGCCTGACAGCATGCACCGCAGCTGACTGAAGAGCCCTTGGGCCTTGAGTGAACATCAGTGGTAGCCAGACAGTACTTGCTGTGGGCCTAGGGCGGTGGTGCCCATGGGGAGAGACTCCTCTGCTTGAGGAAAGGGAAGAGAAGAGTAGAAAGGACTGTGCCTTGAGGCTTGGGTGCCAGCTCGGCTGTACTAGAATAGAGCACCAGGTAGGTTCCTATGGTTCTGAACTGCAAGCCCTGACTCCCAGATAGCATCTCTGGATCTGTCTAGGGCCAGGGGAATCTCACCACCCTTAAGGGAAGAACAGAAGCCTGGCTGGATTCACTCCCTGCTGATAGTATAGCTCTTGGGCCTTGAGTGAACATTAGTGGTAGCCAGGCAGTGGTCACTGTGTGCCTTGGGCAAAACCCAGTGCTTGGCTTGCTTTGAGTCTAACCTAGCACAGTCCCAGTGGTGGTAGCCACAGAGGGGCTTGTATCACCTCTCCCTCAGCTCCAGGAAGCTCAGCCCAGAGAGAGACTCCATTTGTTTGGGGGAAAGTAAGGGAAGAGAACAAGAGTCTCTGCTTGGTAATCAAGGAAATTCTCCCGGATCTTACCCAAGACTACCAAGGTGGTACCTCTGTAAGTCTGTAAGAGCCACAGCATGACTCAGCTTTGGGTGCCCCCTAATGCAGATATGGATGCAATGATTAAAGACTTAGATCACAACACCTAAGTCCCTTGGGATATTTGGAAAGCCTCTTCAAGAAGGACAAACAAGCCCAGACTGTGAGGACTACAATAAATACCTAACTCTTTAATACCCAGACACCAACAAACAAGCATCAGGACCATCAGGAAAACATGACCTCACCACACAAACTAAGTAAAGGACAGTGGCCAATCCCAGAGAGACAGAGATATGTGACCTTTCAGACAGAGAATTCAAAATAGCTGTTTTGAGGAAGCCCAGTGAAATTAAAGATAAGAGAAGAAATTCAGAATTCTATCAGATAAATTTAACAAAGACATTAAAATAATTACAAAGAATCAAGCAGAAATTATGGAGCTGAAAAATACAATTGACATACTGAAGAAGTATGAAGAGTCTCTTAGCAGAATTGATCAAGCAGAAGAAAGAATTAGTGAGTTTGAATACAGGCTATTTGAAAATACAGACAGAGGAAACAAAAGAAAAAAAATAACAAAGAATGAAGCACGCCTACAATATCCCGAAAATAGTCTCAAAAGGGCAGATCTATGAGTTCTTGTCCTTAAAGATGAGGTAGAAAGAGAGATCAGGGTAGAAAGTTTATTCATAGGGATAATAGAGAACTTCATAAACCTAGAGAAAGATATCAATATTCAAGTACAAGAAGCCTATGGAAAACCAAATTTAATAAAGAAAATGTGGTACATATAAACAATGGAACACTATTCAGCCACAAAGAAGAATGAGATCCTGTCATTTGCAACAACATGGATGGAACTGGAGGACATTATGTTAAGTGAAGTAAGCCAGGCACAGAAAGACAAACTTCATATGTTCTCATTTATTTGTGGTAGCTAAAAATTAAAACAATTGAACTCATGACATAGAGAGTAGAATGATAGTTACCAGAGGCTGAGAAGGGTAGTAGGGGGTAGGGTGAGTGAGGATGGTTAATGGGTACAAAAATATAGTTAGATAGAATGAATAAGATCTAGCACGTGATAGCACAACAGGGTGACTGCAGTCAACAATAATGTATTGTACATTTAAAAATAACTGAAAGAATATCACTGGATTGTTTGTAACACAAAGAAAGATAAATCTTGAGGTGATAGATACCCATTTACCCTGATTTGATTATTATGAATTGCATGTGTGTATCAAAATATCTCATGTACCCCATAAATATATACACCTAGTATATACCCACAAAAAAAGATCTGGCTTTGCCAGTTAGGTTACATAAAAGCGCTTTTTGTAAACTGAATAATAATGTAATGTTTTTTAATAAGATACATTTTATTATACTAAAGAAAACAAAAAACCCAAAAGTTTCATGAGATTAAACATTTCTATTTTCCGAAACTTTTCTTAATATATAAAAATAAACAATATGTCCCTAAGTGAAAGAGTAACTAGTACAATTAACAGGTATCTACTTCTTGGTAACAACTATTTGGTGTATATTCCAAAAATAGAAAAATGACTCTAAAAACTAGTAATAAATCACCTTATACATAAGATGTTTTCCAGTTGATTGCTCTTAAAAAGGCAAAATTGAAAAAATAAGATCCAGTACAATTGTTAGCTGACATATTACTAAAATAATTTTATTTTTAAATTGACAAATAAAAATTGTATATATTTATGGTATACAACATGATGTTTGAAATATGAACACATTGTAGAATGGCCTAATGAAGCTATTATAATTCACATATGCATTGCCTCATGTACTTTCTTTTGTGGTAAGAACACTTGAAATCTCTTAGCAACTTTCAAATATACAATATATTTATAAAATAATTTTAAATGATAGATCAGTTTTTGATTTTTGATGTATAACTTGAAAGACAGTCAAATAATTGAGTGACACTGCTACAACAAAACTTCCTTTCCCACCTATGTATTTGCACGGGCAATTAATATTCCCGCACTTCCATCTATAAAAACTGTTCAGGCTGAAACTATGACAAATTCAGGTTTAATTTTGTTTCATATTAGCAAAAAGTCATATTTATCCACAGAGACATACACTATCCTTAAAGCCTATTAATTTTGTTAAAAGTTGCATTTCCATTAAAAATTTACTCATTTAACAGCATATTTATTTTTAAACTTAAAGAATTAAAACATTCACATTTAAATATTAATATTACCATTCATAGCAAGTATTTATATTACATTTTAATCCTCTTGTACTAATCAAAATTCAGTCCAGAAAAAAAGTTTAACACTATGTCTAATACATGCAGCAGTTAAAATAAAATTTTAATATCAAATAAATATTTGAAAATATTCATATTTCATGTTGAAAATATGAATTTATACACATTTTTGTGAATAGAAGTATAATAGAGTGTTCAATAAAGACTATAAAGCATAAAAATATTACATTGTGATAAAATGTAAATATGAATTTAAGGCAAAAAAGGGAAGAAATTAAATTTCCATATGTGGAAGCAAAGCTTGTTCATATATTTGTTAATTAGATGAAAGTAGGGATCAAATTGTCAAATATTTGTATTCCAATTAATACATTTATGAAAGTAAAGTAAACAGGTTTTTCTGGTGGTTGTTGTTGGTCTTGCTATGTTGACCAGGCTGGTCTCAAACTCTTGGGCTCAAGATATTTTATTAAAATTAAGAAACATTTTTATTAAAAGAGATTAAAAAGTCAAGGTACAGATTGGAGAAAAGTATATATGTGTATGTATATTCTCTGATATACAGATATTTGACATAGCTATATCTGGTCTATATAAAAAAATATGGCTAACAGACTGGGTGCAGTGGCTCATGCCTATAATCCCAGCACTTTGGGAGGCCAAGGTGGGTGGATCATCTGAGGTCAAGAGTTCAAGACCAGCCTGGGGAACATGGTGAAACCCCTTCTCTACTAAAAATACAAAAATTAGCCAGGCGTGGTGGCAGCCACCTGTAATCCCAGGCACTCGGGGGCTGAGGCACAAGAATCACTTGAACCCGGGAGGTAGAGGTTGCAGTGAGCCAAGATTGTGCTATTGAACTCCAGCCATGGCAACAGAGCGAGACTCTGTCTCAAAAAAAAAAAAAAAAAAAAAAAAAAAGCTACCATATATATACATATATGTCTTCATCTGACATATATACAATTAAACCCAACATATATATTTTGGTATCTTACAAATGGCTTATATTCAAAATGTTTCAAAATCTCCTACTAACCAATAAAAAAGCAACTCAATAAAATGGGCAAGAGACTTGGTCACTTTGTAAAAGAAGATATCCAAATGAATAATAAGCACATTAAAAAACTGCTCAACATTATTAGTCATCAGGGAAATGTAAATTAAAACAAAGAAATCTTACAGTATATTTTTCAAAAGACTAAAATTATAAAAAGATTGATAATACCAAGTGTTGGCAAGGATTTGGAACAGCTGGAACTCCTATACCTTTTGAGTGGGAATGTAACATGCTACAACCACCTGGAAGAAGTCTTTGGCAGTATCTATGGCAATATGACATGTACAATACCCTACAACATGAAAAATTCCACTTCTAGGTATACACCCAAGAGAAAGAAGTATACATATCCACCAAAAGACATGTCCGAGAATGTTCATAGCAACTCCATACATAAGAGCCAAAACCTGAAAACAACTCAAATGTCTATCCATAGGAACTTATATAAATAAATTTGAATATATTCATATAACAGAATACTACTCAGCAATATAAAGAATGTACCTTTTCTATATGCAACAACATGAATGATTCTCACAGAAATAATATTGAGCAAAAGGAGGTAGTCACAAGAGTATATTCTGTGTGATTCTATTCATACAAAGCTGAATAGGGAAATTTAGCTACGGAAGAAAAGCTAAAAAATAAATATGGTATCAATAAAATAAATTAGTAATGAGTACTAATGATAGTACTTCTATCATTATAGACTAAATGAGCAAAGCTTTTTAAGTGATGGAAATGTTCTAATCTAGATCTAAGTGGTGGTTACTTGGGTGTATATATATATGTGAGAATTTATTGAACTGTTTTCTTAATATTCGTATACTTTACAGTATATAAGTAATGCCTCAGTTAAAAGGTTAAAAGAAGATTATCAAGTATAAATTCTTGTTTTCCTCTTTTCTGTCACAAAGTTAACATTTTCCACATTCCCAAATTACCATACAGAGGTACACTATTTAAGATGACAGAAGATCTCAGTTTATAATGGCAGATGTATTCTAAAATTTGTAGCCTCTTAAAGATAGAAAAGGCCTAATATAAAAGGACGATATCATAAAAGTACAATGGTATATAAATCAGTGAAGAAGAAATCTTGGCCCATCATACATACACAGTGGTACATAACAATTGTACATTCACAGGTTTAGCAATAAGTCATTCAAAATGAAAGGATGAGGTACACTGTGGAGGAAAGATGATGGAGAACTCCAGAGCAGCCAATTAGGGTTCAAAGAGGAGTCTATTTTTGGAACTGTTCCTTAATGATTAGGCTCACCCTAGTCTGTGGGGAGAGGCCAGTGAATTGCAGAGTATTAACATCCTTTCTATTCTCATTCTGGATTGGAATTCTTAGAATGATCATATGGGACAGATGAACAATTGCAGCTATAGGCTGAGGCCATTTCTGTAATCCTCAGCCGAATTGTCCAGACTTTGAAGAGAATGAGGATCTACGACTTCCTAGACCAACGTTACTTCTAAGCAACAATAAAGATGACTGGACCAGGCAAAATATATTCATATTTAATCACAGGATTTATTATCTACACTTAGCCAAAGTCTCCAACATCCCACAGGCACTTGAGCATGCAGGCTTTATTTTACCTTTATAACCTATAACTTCACTTCTTTTCTTCATGATTTAATCTTTTTTTCTGTAGCACCACCACCTCCCAGACTAACCCCCCTTAACTAGACATATGTTACTCAGTTATAATTACTATTTGCTTAATTTGCGTGCATCTACTTTCATTTTAATGTCATTATCATGGGGAAGAGCCTTCTGCAAAGGCAACTAGGAATGCAGTATTTTTAATTCAACCTTTACTAAAACCCTGAATCTACTTGGGTACTTGGCTCATCTTATCTCTGTGGTTCAAAGAAAGTAAATACTCTAGAGTTTCTTTTCCTGGTGTTGTCTGTTTCTCTTCCAGCCTTGGTAACCTACTTATACTTCCCTGAATTCATACATTTTCTTTCTAGTCACTAACCCTGATAAAATATCCTCTCCTTCCGACCAAGACTACCAGTTCAACAAAGGGCATCTGCAGCAGGTTATCTCAGGGCTAAGAACTCTAACTAGTGCACAGCAATGAACTGCACAGTTCACTTCTGACCAGCCCTTAATGAGACAAGACTGCAAATCCAGGATGGGGAGAAACAGGAAGAGATTAAAAATATTATTCACCAATTATGTAAGAATCATATGTTAAATGTATGAGTTGCTTTCTATGAATCCTTTTACAAAACAAAATTTTATACACACACACATACATATATACACATACATATGTATATACTTATATACACACATATATACACACATACATACATCGGTATAATCACTCTCTAATTCGTCTCTTTTATATGATGTTTTCCAATTTTATGACTCATCTGTACAGCTGATACATTATGCCTAGAACTGACAATACTGTAGTGGCCAGCTTTCTACTTTAAGACAGGGTTAAAGTATTTCCCCTCTAATCTGTACCAAGAAAACCTCACAATATCTACAATTTTAAGAAATCTTGCCATTTGAGTCTTTGTTGCAACTTAGACATTGCCTCAGAGTCCCTAAAGAGGATCTGATTTCCCTGAGATTTATTTCAACACAAAACCGTAGAATCAGATAATCCCCACCCAGATGCTACCATGCTGCTGCCTTGGGGTTTGGGATTTAGCCTTGGGGGCTGTAGCAATATTCTAATTTCCAGAAATACATGTTGACAACCAAAAATTTCCTGGACTTACCATTAATTATCATGCTTTTCTTTATATCAAGTCCTTATCCATGTGTTAATTATTTCTTTGCTGGGTTAAAGAGGGGCTATGTTGTAGTGAAAAAGAAAAGGTGCGAGAACATAGATGAAAACATTTAGGGAGATCAGGTGAAGATAGAGTTTAAAGAATATTAATAGGTTCTGTGTTTATTTTTCTTGTCTTTTCCAGCTGATCGAATTAATCTTGTCCAAACTTAGATCAAAAACAAGTTTAATTAAGATAGAGTTCAGAGAAGTTAATAATACAGTGATTTTTTCCAATCTAAAATTCTCTGTGTTCTGTGCCCACCAATTCATTTACTGAACCATATTTTAGAAATATAACTAAATGAGGCCCAAGAATTATTGTTTACCTAAATTTCAGCACAAAAAGTTGCTCTTCTGTATCTGATGTTGAGAGTGGCAAACTTTTGCCACTTCCAAGAAAGTGTGGTCTTGGAATATAAACTGAACTATAGAGAGCTTTAAAAAATGGTAGGTGACAAAACAAAATAGAGAAAAATGAGTATGTGGGAAAATAAAGCTACAGAAGAAAAGCTAAAAAATAAATATGGTATCAATAAAATAAATGCAATATTTTCAAAATAGCTTTCAAAAGTATTTAGTTGAAATAGCCAGGCGTGGTGGCTCACACCTGCAATCCCAGCTACTTGGGAGGCTGAGGTAGAAGAATTGCTTGAACCTGGGAGGTGGAGGCTGCAGTGAGCCAAGATCATGCCACTGCACTCCAGCCTGAGTGACAGAGTGAGACTCCATCTCAAAAAATACATAATATATAAATAAAAGTACTTGGTTGAAATTAACTTATGTTTATTCAATATTATGCTGTAGAATTTAACATACAAAAGATGAGTTATCATTAGTGTTAAAATGAAACTATATATTAAAATGAAATAGGGATTTCATTAAGAAACATTTAAGTAGAGCTTAGAATAGCTGATTATTAAAGGATCACATTTGATATTGCCTTATTTCCTATGGCTGCTGTAACAAATTACCACAAACTCAGTGGCTTAAAACAATGCAAATGTATTCTCTCATAGTTCTGGAGGTTAGAAATCTGAAATGGTTTATGGGGCCAAAATCAAGATTGGCAAGGCTGTGTGTCTTCTGGAGGCTCTTGGGGGAGATTAGGTTCCCTTGCTGATGACCCTTATAGAAAGAATCTGTTCCCTTTCTTGTCCAGCTTCTAGAGATCACCTGTGTTCTTTGGCTCATGGCCCCTTTCTCTGCCTTCAAAGCCAGTGGTGTAGAATCTTCAAATCTCTTTCTCGCTCTCTCTCTCTCTCTCTCTCTCTCTGACCTCTGCTTTTTTGTCATTGTATCTCCTTCTCCATCCCTGATCTTCCTGCTGCCTATTATAAGGACTCTTTAAATTATATTGTCCCCACCTGGCTAATCCAGGATACTCTCCCCTTTTCAAGACAATTTAATCACATCTTCAAAGTCTCTTTTGCCATGCAAGGTAACATTTTCACAAATTCCAAGGGTTAGGACCTATGAGAAGATGGGAGAGACATTATTCTGCCCACTACAGGTATATTCATATTCTTAAATGAAATACAGTATACTATGTTTCTATTAAACACTGCACATTTGAAAAACATTTAATTTTAGCTTTGTTGGACAATCAATAGAATTCCAACATAGTTTAAAAACAGATTATACCATAAAATTACACATGCTCTATGACAAAACCATTCTACTCCTAGATATACAGCCAACACATCATGTATGTTATGTTCATCAAAATCATGTACTCCAATCTTTAGAGCAGCATTGTCCAAATATCTGCAAACTAGAAACTATCTGAATTCCCACCAACAATTGAACAAATAAATAAGTTGTGGTGTATTCATGTATGGAAATATTATGTAGCAATGAAAAAAATACCTAAATCTACACAAAATTATGAATGAATCTCAGAAACATAAGGTTGAGTAAAATAATCCAAACAAGAAATTAAATAGTTCAAAAACAGGCAAATTAGTCAGAAGGGTGATTACCCTTGGTAGGAGGTAGTGACTAAAAGAAGGCATGGCAGGAACTGCTGAAGTTCTGATAACATCCTATTTCTTAATCTGGATGAAGGTAAACTGAATGTGTTCATTTTGGAAAAGTCATAGAGATGCACACCTATGATTGATGCATTGTTCCGTAGCTGCATTTTATTTCAATAAAGAGTTTAATAATATAAAAAGTATTGCTCTCATTTTTCTTTTCTTTTCTTTATTTTGAGATGAAGTCTCTCTCTTGTCTCCCAGGCTGGAATGCAATGGTGCAATCTCGGCTCACTGCAACCTCTGCCTCCTGGGTTCAAGTGATTCTCCTGCCTCAGCCTCCTGAGTAGCTGGGATTACAGGCACCTGCCACCACACCAGGCTAATGTTTGTATTTTTAGTAGAGAGGGGGTTTCACCATTTTGGCCAGGCCAGTCTAGAACTCCTAACCTCAGGTGCTCTGCCTGCCTCGGCCTCCTAAAGTGCTGGGATTATAGGCATGAGCCACTGTGCCCGGCTGCTCTCATTTTCTTAAAATATAAATAAATACAAATAGAGACTTCTTTCAAGTTGTAAAACTTAATGCCAAAACTTACTGCTAAGATTTTTTAATGCTATTTTTATATGTTCAAGTTATATACATTGTACCAAGAAAAATAAGCAAGTTAGTTCTTACAGTTTTGTCTTGTCACAAATAAGGCTGCAATTGAAATGCTATCTCATACATGGCATTTATGAAAAGCCTAAGAAATATTTGCTAATATTCAAAAATATTAGCAAATAAAATTGGAAAGCAAGGTCTCTTTTTCTGATGCAGATATTGACAGTTGTAATATTCATATTAGCAAAGTAGAACCGAGCAAACAGCTTTTACACAACTATATCCAAAAGGATTTGATTGAGTCTATTTATTGAGCAAATAATTATGGACTTAAAACAATCTACTAAGGCACTGTGCTAAGCACTGGGGATAAAATGAACAAGAAAGATGAGTCTTTGTCCTCACAAAATTTATATTATTGTGGGTGAAACCAAAAAGTACATGAACAAGTGACAACAAGGAAGTGATAATGAAATGTTTCTATCGAGCCATGAAAAGACATACCTGCATCTTAAATGCATATTGCTAAGTGAAAGAAGCCAGTCTGAAAAGAATCTACACTATTTCATTTCATTTATATGACATTCTGGAAATGGCACAATTACAGAGATGGTAAATAGATCAGTGGTTGCCAGAGGCTCAAGGGAGGGGGTTCTGTAGGTGATGTGGTTTGGTTCTGTGTCACCACCCAAATCTCATCTCAAATTGTAATCCCCATGTGTGGAGGGAGGGACCTGGGCGGGGCAATCAGGCAAGAGAAAGAAATAAAGGGTATTCAAATAGGAATACAGGAAGTGAAATTGTCTCTGTTTGCAGATGACATGATTGTATATTTAGAAAACCCCATCATCTCAGCCTCAAATCTCCTTAAGCTGATAAGCAACTTCAGCAAAGTCTCAGGATACAAAATCAATGTGCAAAAATCACAAGCATTCCTATACACCAATAATAGAGAGCCAAACCATGAGTAAACTCCAATTCACAATTGCTACAAAGAATAAAATACTTAGGAATAGAACTTACAAGGGATGTGAAGGACCTCTTCAAGGAGAACTACAAACCACTGCTCAAGGAAATAAGAGAGGACACAAACAAATGGAAGAATGTTCCATGCTCATGGATAGGAAGAATCAATATCGTGAAAATCAGAGGGAGAAGCCAAGATGGCCAAATAGGAACAGGTCCGGTCTACAGCTCCCAGCATGAGCAACGCAGAAGATGGGTGATTTCTGCATTTCCAACTGAGCTTTGAAGAGAGTAGTGGTTCTCCCAGCACGCAGCTTGAGATCTGAGAACGGGCAGACTGCCTCCTCAAGTGGGTCCCTGACCGCCACGTAGCCTAACTGGGAGGCACCCCCAAGTAGGGGCAGACTGACACCTCACACGGCCGGGTACTCCTCTGAGACAAAACTTCCAGAGGAACAATCAGGCAGCAGCATTTGCGGTTCACCAATATCCGCTGTTCTGCAGACACCACTGCTGATACCCAGGCAAACAGGGTCTGGAGTGGACCTCTAGCAAACTCCAACAGACCTGCAGCTGAGGGTCCTGTCTGTTAGAAGGAAAACTAACAAACAGAAGGGACATCCACACCAAAAACCCATCTGTACGTCACCATCATCAAAGACCAAAGGAAGATAAAACCACAAAGATGGGAAAAAAACAGAGCAGAAAAACTGGAAACTCTAAAAATCAGAGCGCCTCTCCTCCTCCAAAGGAACGCGGCTCCTCACCAGCAATGGAACAAAGCTGGATGGAGAATGACTTTGACAAGTTGAGAGAAGAAGGCTTCAGACGATCAAACTACTACGAGCTACAGGAGGAAATTCGAACCAATGGCAAAGAAGTTAAAAGCTTTGAAAAAAAATTAGATGAATGGATAACTAGAATAACCAATGCAGGGAAGTCCTTAAAGGACCTGATGGAGCTGAAAACCAAGGCACGAGAGCTACATGACAAATGCGGAAGCCTCAGTAGCTGATGCGATCAACTGGAAGAAAGGGTATCAGTGATGGAAGACGAAATGAATGAAATGAAGCAAGAAGAGGAGTTTAGAGAAAAAAGAATAAAAAGAAACAAACAAAGCCTCCAAGAAATATGGGACTATGTGAAAAGACCAAACCTATGTCTGATTAGTGTACCTGAAAGTGACAGGGAGAATGGAACCAAGTTGGAAAACACTCTGCAGGATATTATCCAGGAGAACTCCCCAACCTAGCAAGGCAGGCCAACATTCAAATTCAGGGAATACAGAGAACGCCACAAAGATACTCTTCGAGAAGAGCAACTCAAAGACACATAATTGTCAGATTAACCAAAGTTGAAATGAAGGAAAAAGTGTTAAGGGCAGCCAGAGAGAAAGGTCAGGTTACCCACAAAGGGAAGCCCATCAGACTAACAGCGGATCTCTTGGCAGAAACCCTGCAAGCCAGAAGAGAGAGGGGGTCAATATTCAACGTTCTTAAAGAAAAGAATTTTCAACCCAGAATTTCATATCCAGCCAAACTAAGCTTCATAAGTGAAGGAGAAATAAAATACTTTACAGACAAGCAAATGCTGAGAGATTTTGTCATCACCAGGCCTGACCTAAAATTGCTCCTGAAGGAAGCACTAAACATGGAAAGGAACAACTGGTACCAGCCACTGCAAAAACATGCCAAATTGTAAAGACCAACAAGGCTAGGAAGAAACTGCATCAACTAACGAGCAAAATAACCAGCTAACATCATAATGACAGGATCAAATTCACACATAACAATATTAACTTTAAATGTAAATGGGCTAAATGCTCCACTTAAGAGACACAGACTGGCAAATTGGATAAAGAGTCAAGACCCATCAGTGTGCTGTATTCAGGAAACCCATCTCACATGCAGAGACACACATAGGCTCAAAACAAAGGAATGGAGGAAGATCTACCAAGCAAATGGAAAACAAAAAAAGGCAGAGGTTGCAATCCTAGTCTCTGATAAAACAGACTTTAAACCAACAGAGATCAAAAGAGACAAAGAAGGCCATTACTTAATGGTAAAGGGATCAATTCAACAAGAAGAGCTAACTCTCCTAAATATATATGCACCCAATACAGGAGCACCCAGATTCATAAAGCAAGTCCTTAGTGACCTACAAAGAGACTTAGACTCCCACACAATAATAATGGGAGACTTTAACACCCCACTGTCAACATTAGACAGATCAACGAGACAGAAAGTTAACAAGGATACCCAGGAATTGAACTGAGCTCTGCACCAAGTGGACCTAATAGACATCTGCAGAACTCTCCACCCCAAATCAACAGAATATACCTTCTTTTCAGCACCACAACACACCTACTCCAAAATTGACCACATAGTTGGAAGTAAAGCACTCCTCAGCAAATGTGAAAGAACAGAAATTATAACAAACTGTCTCTCAGACCACAGTGCAATCAAACTAGAACTCAGGATTAAGAAACTCACTCAAAACCGCTCAACTACATGGAAACTGAACAACCTGATCCTGAATGACTACTGGGTAAATAATGAAATGAAGGCAAAAATAAAGATGTTCTTTGAAACCAATGAGAACAAAGACGCAATATACCAGAATCTCTGAGACACATTCAAAGCAGTGTGTAGAGGGAAATTTATAGCACTAAATACCCACAAGAGAAAGCAGGAAAGATCTAAAATTGACAGCCTAACATCACAATTAAAAGAACTAGAAAAGCAAGAGCAAACACATTCAAAAGCTAGCAGAAGGGAAGAAATAACTAAGATCAGAGCAGAACTGAAGGAAATACAGACATAAAAAACCCTTCAAAAAATTAATGAATCCAGGAGCTGGTTTTTTGAAAAGATCAACAAAATTGATAGACCACTAATAAGACTAATAAAGAAGAAAAGAGAGAAGAATCAAATAGACACAATAAAAAATGATAAAGGGGATATCACCACTGATCCCACAGAAATACAAACTACCATCAGAGAACAGTATAAACAGCACTACGCAAATAAACTAGAAAATCTAGAAGAAATTGATAAATTCCTCGACACATACATCCTCCCAAGACTAAACCAGGAAGAAGTTGAATCTCTGAATAGACCAATAACAGGCTCTGAAATTGAGGCAATAATCAATAGCTTACCAACGAAAAAAAGTCCCAGACCAGATGGATTCAGAGCCAAATTCTACCAGAGGTACAAAGAGGAGCTGGTACCATTCTTTCTGAAACTATCCCAATCAACAGAAAAAGAGGGAATCCTCCCTAACTCATTTTATGAGGCCAGCATCATCCTGATACCAAACCCGGGCAGAGACACAACCAAAAAAGAGAATTTTAGACCAATATCCTTGATGAACATTGATGCAAAAATCCTCAATAAAATACAGGCAAACCGAATCCAGCAGCACATCAAAAAGCTTATCCACCACGATCAAGTGGGCTTCATCCCTGGGATGCAAGGCTGGTTCAACATACACAAATCAGTAAATGTAATCCAGCATATAAACAGAACCAAAGACGAAAACCACATGATTATCTCAAGAGATGCAGAAAAGGCCTTTGACAAAATTCAACAACGCTTCATGCTAAAAACTCTCAATAAATTAGGTATTGATGGGACATATCTCAAAATAATAAGAGCTATCTATGACAAACCCACAGCCAATATCATACTGAATGGGCAAAAACTGGAAGCATTCCCTTTGAAAACGGGCACAAGACAGGGATGCCCTCTCTCACCACTCCTATTCAACATAGTGTTGGAAGCACTGGCCAGGGCAATTAGGCAGGAGAAGGAAATAAAGGGTATTCAATTAGGAAAAGAGGAAGTCAAATTGTCCCTGTTTGCAGATGACATGATTGTATATCTAGAAAACCCCACTATCTCAGCCCAAAATCTCCTCAAACTGATAAGCAACTTCAGCAAAGTCTCAGGATACAAAATCAATGTACAAAAATCACAAGCATTCTTATACACCAACAACAGACAAACAGAGAGCCAAATCATGAGTGAACTCCCATTCACAATTGCTTCAAAGAGAATAAAATACCTAGGAATCCAACTTACAAGGGATGTGAAGGACCTCTTCAAGGAGAACTACAAACCACTGCTCAAGGAAATAAAAGAGGATACAAACAAATGGAAGAACATTCCATGCTCATGGGTGGGAAGAATCAATATCATGAAAATGGCCATACTGCCCAAGGTAATTTATAGATTCAATGCCATCCCCATCAAGCTACCAATGACTTTCTTCACAGAATTGGAAAAATCTAATTTAAAGTTCCTATGGAACCAAAAAAGAGCCCACATCGCCAAGTCTATCCTAAGCCAAAAGAACAAAGCTGGAGGCATCACACTGCCTGACTTCAAACTATACTACAAGGCTACAGTAACCAAAACAGCATGGTAGTGGTACCAAAACAGAGATATAGACAAATGGAACAAAACAGAGCCCTCAGAAATAATGCCGCATATCTACAGCTATCTGATCTTTGACAAACCTGACAAAAACAAGCAATGGGGAAAGGATTCCCTATTTAATAAATGGTGCTGGGAAAACTGGCTAGCCATATGTAGAAAGCTGAAACTGGATCCCTTCCTTACAACTTATACAAAAATTAATTCAAGATGGATTAAAGACTTACATGTTAGACCTAAAACCATAAAAACCCTAGAAGAAAACCTAGGCAATACCATTCAGGACATAGGCATGGGCAAGGACTTCATGTCTAAAACACCAAAAGCAATGGCAACAAAAGCCAAAATTGACAAATGGGATCTAATTAAACTAAAGAGCTTCTGCACAGCAAAGGAAACTACCACCAGAGTGAACAGGCAACCCACAGAATGGGAGAAAATTTTCACAACCTACTCATCTGACAAAGGGCTAATATCCAGAATCTACAATGAACTCCAACAAATTTACAAGAAAAAAACAAACAACCCCATCAAAAAGTGGGCAAAGGATATGAACAGACACTTCTCAAAAGAAGACATTTATGCAGCCAAAAAACACATGAAAAAATGCTCACCATCACTGGCCATCAGAGAAATGCAAATCAAAACCACAATGAGATACCATCTCACACCAGTTAGAATGACAATCATTAAAAAGTCAGGAAACAACAGGTGCTGGAGAGGATGTGGAGAAATAGGAACAATTTTACACTGTTGGTGGGACTGTAAACTAGTTCAACCATTGTGGAAGTCAGTGTGGTGATTCCTCAGGGATCTAGAACTAGACATACCATTTGACCCAGCCATCCCATTACTGGGTATATACCCAAAGGATTATAAATCATGCTGCTATAAAGACACATGCACACGTATGTTTATAGCGTCACTATTCACAATAGCAAAGACTTGGAACCAACCTAAATGTCCAACAACGATAGTCTGGATTAAGAAAATGTGGCATATATACACCATGGAATACTATGCAGCCATAAAAAATGATGAGTTCATGTCCTTTGTAGGGACATGGATTAAACTGGAAACCATCATTCTCAGCAAACTATTGCAAGGACAAAAACCAAACACCGCATGTTCTCACTCATAGGTGGGAATTGAACAATGAGAACACATGGACACAGGAAGGGGAACATCACACACTGAAGACTGTTGTGGGGTGGGGGGAGGGGGGAGGGATAGCATTAGCAGATATACCTAATGCTAAATGACGACCTAATGGGTGCAGCACACCAACCTGGCACATATATATATATGTAACAAACCTGCACGTTGTGCACATGTGCCCTAAAACTTAAAGTATAATAACAATAAAATTTTTTTAAAAATCGTGAAAATGACCTTACTGCCCAAAGTAATTTATAGATTCAGTGCTATCCCCATCAAGCTACCATTGACTTTCTTTACAGAATTAGAATAAACTGCTTTAAATTTCATATGGAATCAAAAGGGAGCCCATGTAGCCAAGACAATCCTACACAAAAAGAACAAAGCTGGAGGTATCATACTACCTGACTTCAAACTATACCACAAGGCTACAACCAAAACAGCATGGCACTGGTACCAAATCAGATATATAGACCAATGGAACAGAACAGAGGCCTCAGAAATAATGCCACACATCTACAATCATCTGATCTTTGACAAACCTGACAAAAACAAGTAAGGGGGAAAGGATTCCCTATTTAATAAATGGTTTTGGGAAAACTGGCTGGTGATATGCAGAAAACTGAAACTGGACCCCTTCCTTACACCTTATACAAAATTTAACTCAAGATGGATTAAAGACTTAAATATTAGACCTAAAACCACAAAAAACCCTAGAAGAAAACCTACACAATACCATTCAGGATATAGGCATGGGTAAAGACTTCATGACTAAAACACCAAAAGCAATGGCAACAAATGCCAAAATTGACAAATGGTATTTAATTAAACTAAAGAGCTTCTGCACAGCAAAATAAACTATCATCATAGTGAACAGGCAACCTACAAATTGGGAGAAAATTTTTGCAATCTATCCATCTGACAAAGGGCTAATATCCAGAATCTACAAAGAACGTAAACAAATTTACAAGAAAAAAAAAAACCACATCAAAAAAACAGATACTTTTCAAAAGAAGACATTTATGTGGCCAACAAACATATGAAAAAAAACTCATCCTCACTGGTCATTAGAGAAATGTAAATCAAAACCACATTGAGATACCATCTCATACCAGTTAGAATGGCGATCATTAAAAAGTCAGGAAACAACAGATTCTGGAGACAATGTGGAGAAACAGGAATGCTTTTACACTGTTGGTGGGAGTGTAAATTAGTTCAACCATTGTGGAAGACAGTGTGGCAATTCCTCAAGGATCTAGAACCAGAATACCATTTGACCCAGCAATCCCAATACTGGGTATATACCCTAAAGGATTATAAACCATTCTACTACAAGGACACATGCACACGTATGTTTATTGCAGCACTATTCACAATAGCAAAGGCTTGGAACCAACCCAAATGCCCATCAATAATAGAGTGGATTAAGAAAATGTGGCACATATACACCATGGAATACTATGCAGCCATACAAAAGGATGAGTTCATGTCTTTTGCAGGGACATGGATGAAGCTGGAAATCATCATTCTCAGTAAACTAACACAGGAACAGAAAACCAAACACTCCATGTTCTCATTCATAAGTGGGAGCTGAACAATGAGAACACATGGACACAGGAAGGGGAACATCACATACTGGGGCCTGTCAAGGGGTAGGGGAGTAGGGGAGGGATAGCATTAGGAGAAATACCTAATGTAGATGACGGGTTGATGGGTGCAGCAAACCACCATGGCACGTGTATAGCTATGTAACAAACCTGCACGTTCTGCACATGTATCCCAGAACTTAAAGTATAACTTAAAAAAAAAAAAAGAACTAGATATACTCTTAATAATTCCTGTCAATCAAACTGATGCCCAGTATTTAAAAATTGAGAATTCATATATTGGATCTTTTAAGATGTTCTCCTCTCCACACACTAACCTTTTGTTAGGTCCATATAAATTAATTGTATATTAGTGATGCCTGCCAGAAATTGAGACTGGTGAACTGAAAGAACTCATCCATAGCCAACCAGGTATTCCCACAACCTAGTCCTGAGAGAGGTATAGAATTCTAACTCATAAAATTTAAAGGCCCATGAAACTTGATTTTGATCCAGACTAGGGTGGATATCTAAAAACTACAATGGGTGGCTTTCCAAGGAAGAGAAGATTCTTGTCATCAGGTGGGTCTCAGAGTCACCATCCCATAGAAACCTGTCTTCATTGGTGCGAGAGCCAATCCATACTTGGAGGATCCTGAAATTACCATCTAGAACTGGGATGAGGGAAACTGAATTCTGGTCAAACTGAGAGAGTAAGAATTGTGGTTCACAGTGAGGCTACTAGACTAAAAGAGACCTGAATTTAAATCAGAAATAAGGAAAAGAGTTATTGAAATTTGACACATAAAATAGCCATTATATAGAGATGCTTAGGGTCAATGCTTCCCCTGTTGCTCAGGGAGATAATGTATATAGTGGTAATAATAATATTAAAAATAAAGACATATGATAGTAGCTAATATATATTGATCAATTATATAATAAAAATCATAATCACTTATTGGCTGCTTTCTAAATGCCAGGTACTATTCTAAGTGTTTTACTTAAATTAATTTAACCCCCCTCATCTATGGGGTAGATAGTATGTATTACTCCTATATTGCAGATGAGGAAACTGAGACACAAAGAATATAATCAACTTACCTAAAATCAAATGGACAACAGTTAGCAGAGGTAGAATTCAAACTCAGGCATTTTGGCTCCAAAGTCTGCTTTTAATTAGTTTGTTATGTGTTACTTCATTTAATCTTCACAGCAACCCTCTAGGTTAGTTACTATCATTAATCACATTTTCTAAATGAAGGAATTGAAACTTAGAAAGCTTAATTTTCTCAACATCATACAGCAGGATGCATAATCCAAAGAAAAGTCCTTTTGATGACAAAGTCCACACTCTTAACTATGACAGTGTGGCACCTTCTATGGCACATTTCAGGGAGGAGTTACAAACACACTGACAAGACCTGCTTTCATTAGCCCTGGGTGTTGGGCAAGGAGTAAACAGAGCCTATGGATGATATCATCATGGGCTCTGAACAAAGCTAGGGTAGACAGGATTTGTGTCATTAGATAAGGATCTGAATGTTAAATTTTAATTTATCAATCCTACAGCTTGTATTACTTATTTTGGCCCAATTTTCCAATCTGTAAAATTTTTAAAATCATGTTAGCTCGTTGCTCTGCCTATGCAGTAGCCATTCTTTAGTCCCTTAACTTTCTTAATAAACTTGCTTTCACTTAAAAAAATCATGTTATCCCTTCCAAAGTTTGATCTTCTGAACATTTAACTTATCAATGTTTTGGAGTATTCATTCAAAAACAGTCAAAGAAACAATCAGGGCTGGGCACGGTGGCTCATGCCTGTAATCCCAGCACTTTGGGAGGCTGAGGTGGGTGGATCGTTTGAGCCCAGGAGTTTGAGATCAGCCTGGGCAACATGGCAAAACCCCTTCTCTTCTAAAATTACAAAAATTATCTAGGCATGGTGGCACACCCTATAGTCCCAGTTACTCATAGGGGCTGAGGTGGGAGCATCCCTTGAGCCCGGGAAGTCAAGGCCACAGTGAGCTGTGGCACCACTGCACTCCAGCCTGGGCAACAGGAGTGAGACCCTGCTTCAAGAAAAAGAAAAGAAGGAGAAGAGGAAGAAGAAAGAAAGAGAGAAAAGAAAAGAAATAATCAAAGAAAAACTTTCCCAGATGTTGTAACTTTCATTAAAATTTCTATAAAATTATTCCCAGCCACTCTAAATTAATACGGAAGAAGCAATTCTTTTAAAATTTCTCTCCTTCAGCTTCCTTCTTTCTCCCCTCTTTCTCTATGGACTTCATTTCTCTTCCCATCCCCCTCTTTATTTTGCCATTTCTCCTCATCATACCACTGACTCCTGAAGCTGAATCCTGTGAGTCAGAGACATGTACTTCTGGCCTTACTTCTGACTAATAACATTTCCTTGAGGACGTAACTTCCTCCTTTTTTTTGTTTTGGGTTTCTTGATCTTAAAGATGGCCACAACAATACAAGATATCCTAAATATCTCAAGCAATGATATAAAAAACAGAACCACTGCATTACTAAAAGCAGTATTTTTCCTCGTAAAATTTAGATTTAGAGTTCATCAGGTGAGCCATTATGACACTTCCTGGGTTGCCTCCTGGGGCTATAATATTCCATTTTTAGTTTTACTTTGCCTTGCAGCAAAACAATCATTTAATTTAATGAGTGCTAGTAGAACAAGGCTCCATTCAATTATCAGGTCAGATTCCTCCTATTTTTTTTTCCTCATAGAAATGTGGTAAAATGCACAAAATTGAATTAAATTTATTTCTATTAAATATCTTACCCAATGGCACCTGAGTCATTGCTTCATATTTTAAGCTTCTTTCTAAGGAAAAGAAAATCACTTGTCAAAGGATTTATGTTTTGGGTAACACACCAAAGCAGTATGGGGGAACACACACACACACACACACACACACACACACACAGAGAGAGAACAAAAAAGCCACTTACATGAATTCCTTAAGATTTATTTATACCCAAGAGATATACTGAATTTGAGTCCTTGAAATATTTTCTACCTCTCCTCAAGGTAAAGCACAAGCTACATGAAATTCTTCACTTTTCTTATGTCAGCTCCCTGAATGAGAAGACTGCTATCAATTTTCTGATAGGCAAGCAAACTAAAATAGCAATCAGAGAACTTTGGTACTGGGGTGATATAGTTTGGCTGTGTCCCCACCCAAATCTCATCTTGAATTGTAGCTCCCATAATTCCCGCGTGTTGTGGGAGGGACCTGGTGGGAGATACTTGAATCATGGCGGGGACTGTTTTCCCCATACTGTTCTCTTGGTAGTGAATAAGTCTCATGAGATCTGATGTTTTTATAAGGGGAAACCCCTTTCACTTGGCTCTCCTTCTCTCTTGTCTGCCATTAAGTAAGATGTGACTTTTGCCTCCTGCCATGATTGTGAGGCCTCCCCAGCCATGTGGAACTGTGAGTCCATTAAATTTTTTTCTTTATAAATTACCCAGTCTTGGGTATGTCTTTATCAGCAGTATGAAAACGGACTAATACATGGAGTTTTGTTTTTGTTTTGCCAGTTTATGCATTAGCCAAGTAGCATATTTTCGGATTCAGCTTGCGTTTATTGAACCTACTATGTGCCAGTCACATTTTGTCATTTAGGACCCACAAGAGCAAGCTTAGGATCCTCTGCTACGAGGAATCAATGTCTGCTGTACTGTTCCTTCTTGGCACTCATCAAAACTACAACCAACTCATTATTAATGCAATTGTTTGTTTAGTATCTATTTTCCTCCATAGGCTATAAGCTTCACAAAGGCAGAATCTGTGTGTAAATTGTTCATTTCTATAACTTCAGTGCTTAACTCAGAGCACACAGTAAATATTGCTTGAATAAATGAGTTGACAAAAACAAAAACAAAAACTGAAGCTCAGAGGTTAAAATTGTACAAGACCATACTGTTTTGTTTTGTTGTTGTTGTTTTTTGAGATGGAGCCTCACTCTATCACCCAGGCTGGAGTGCAGTGGCGTGATCTCGGCTCACTGCAAACTCTGCCTCCTGGGTTCACGCCATTCTCCAGCCTCAGCCTCCCAAGTAGCTGGGACTACAGGCGCCTGCCACAACGCCCGGCTAATTTTTTTGTATTTTTGGTAGAAATGGGGTTTCACTGTGTTAGCCAGGCTGGTCTCGATCTCCTGACCTCGTGATCCGCCCGCCTCGGCCTCCCAAAGTGCTGGGATTACAGGCGTGAGCCACCACGCCCGGCCACAAGACCATACTGTTAAATGGCAGAGCTGTGTCTAGAACTCAGAGCTTTACTCCAAGAGGAGTGCCCGTTCTCATGTTATTTTCACTTATGTTTATCAGCTGCTTTTCAGAGATTAAGAGAATACAAGAAGGAACATGGAGGCGAAAGATGGCATCCCTGGCTTAACAAAGCAGTATAGAGGGTGTTTTATTCTCCCTGATTGCCCAAACTCCAGGTCTACAAGTCCTCTGTAGACTGTTATTTATTATTTTATTTTTATTTATTTATTTTTTATTTATTTTTAGAGACAGTGTCTCACTCTGTCATCCAGGCTTGAGTGCAGTGGTACGAGCATAGCTCACTGAAACCTCAAACTCCTGGGCTCAGATGATTCTTCCACCTCAGCCTCCTGAGTAGCTGAGACTACAAGCAAACGCCACCTAGCTGATTTTATGTTTTGTAGAGAGGGGTGTCTCACTTTGTTGCCCAGGACGGTCTCAAACTCCTGGCGTCAGGCGATCCTGCTGCCTCAGCCTCTCAAGGCACTGGGATTACAGGCTTTAGCCACTACATGTGGCCTTTTCTAGACTTTTAAAGAATACTATTTCTGCAGAGAAAGACCTCTGGACTTGCACACGCTACTTACTATAGAATAAGGTGGAATTCGTCAGGTTCCCTACTGTACACTGCCAAAAGAAATCAACTAGGAAAATGGCAAAACTGTTTCACTTGTAATTTGTCTCTTTTCTGCTGTGGGGTCCTAATTACAGGAGGTTCTAGGTTAGCCTGACTTGCTACAACAAGTTTAATACTTGAAAGTGGAAATGTTTAAACCATAAACATTAGTAGATTCTAAATATATTGTGTTTTTTATTTTAAAGCATTTCACAGGAATACATTTATAACATTCTTCAAAAGAAAAATCTTCATAGTGAGAAAAAGAATTTAAAGTTTTAATAGCACACAATAAAGTCTGAAATTGTTTTACAGCATAAAATCCTTCAAAGTAATTCAGGAATAAACATCATTTTTCCTGCAAGTGTGAGTCAGGGATAAACATTACAGTAAAACATACTGTAGAGGAGTTTGTGGGACAAAGTCTGCTACTTTGTTCTGGGTTAAGATTCTGAAGTACTCTCATTCACAGTAATGATTGCCAAAATATGGGGTCATTTTCCAAGAAATTTATGTTTCTTGGACTTTCTGCCCAGCTGGTGTATTGACTTCACAGTGTTCTGTTCCAAATCTCAGTTACAGCTCATCACCAATTCAATTCTGTAGTGATCACAAAGGATGGTGGTACAGGATCTTGAGCATGTGGAGGAGGGAAGAGGAAGGGAGGTGAAATCCATCTTAACTTTGAAAAGCCCAGTGTTGATCTGCATTTTTTAGGGTGATATAGTCATTTAGACATGCTGATTGACTACAGATCCTCCCTGCTTCTGTTTTTTTTTTCCACGCAAGAGAAGACAGGCTGTTTTCGCAATAACTTTTCTCACTTCTGCCCACACTGGTGACTCCACTCCATGCTTTAAATCATTGTGTTCATGAGGTTTAAGTAAACCTCCTTCCAAAGCTCTTCAATTCAGTGGCATATTGTAAATCACCTGCTGACTTTTTCAATTGCCTGGGTATTATTTTGAGGGTCTATGACTATTTCTTTTTAAGCAGCAGATTTGTGGCAAAAGCTTGGCTGAATTTTCTTTATCATTCGTCCGATTTTAAATTTTAACCACAGAATTTCCATTAATCTCAGTCGTAGTTTAATGGATGTGCTCTCTCTCATGTTCACTAAATAATTATTTCATTTCACTAATTATGACATTGTTCTTCAGACACTTCTTGGGGGCTTATAATGCCTCACAATGACTCCTAATCAGGTTCAAACTTTTCATGTGTCTTCCTAAAGTCTAGCATTATGAAATCAAATGGTCACCAAGCTTACCTCCCACTCCTGCAAAATTACTTTCACCCTTTCAGGGCCACCGTCCTCCACATACAGCATGCTACTGCTACTTTCATGCTTTTTCCTCATAGTCTCTACAGCTTTCTAGTATGCCGCCCCCATCCTCAAGTTCCATTCAAATGCCACTACTGGGACCCATGTTGGATTCTAACTCAGATTTCTCTTTCTTCCTATTCTTCCCTTTATTGTCCACAAGCGTTTTAGATATCCATTGTGTATCAGCTTGGGCACCAGACAGACCTAGGTTGAAGTATATGTTCTACCCTTATCAATGTGACCTTCTTCACATTATTTCATACCTTTCACCTTTGCCCAGAATCTTTATCTATAAAATGAGAACAGTAATAGATTATTATGTGGATTACATGTGTATCTTGAGCGAAATGCCTAGCTCATATTATGTACTAAATATGCAAATCCCATTCCTTTTTACCCTATAATTTAATTGTTTTATGTGTCTAAGTCCTGGTATTTCAATGGAATCCCCCAAAAGAGGAGTAATTATATACACTTTTTTTTGCAACCTACAAAAAGCCTATTCTATATTGAGGCATATAGGACATGAGGAAAAAATAATAAACTGGAATAGAAATTGATCTGCTTCCTAAAAGCAAATAAATGAAGAGTGTTCAAAGCCTGTGGACACTGGGATATGAGATCTTATGGTAGCAGAGGTCCCTAGTGAAGGTTGCTAATTCTAGTACGGGTTGCTCAAGACTCTGGAGCCACACTGCCTGCCTGACTCAATGCTGACTCTGCCACTGACTAGCTGTCTGCCCTTGGGCAATGGCCCTGTGCCTCAGTTTCCTCTTTTGTGAAATAAGGGTAATGATGGTACCGACCTTATATGTGTGTTGTATTAAATGAATTTAGATATATATAAACATTGTGTGGCACATAAATGCCATATAAGTGTTTGCTGCTATTACAACATTGCTATTGTTGCTGTTGTTATTGAAACTGGATAAATGAGAAGCAATGTAACATAGTGGAAAGAGAATAGAGTTTAGAATCAGATAGACTTGGGTTCTAGAAGGCCTTATTTCTTACAAGTTAAAGTCTACTGGTCTCAGTTTTCTAATACATAAGGTGACACTGATCCTCATATGTTTTTGTGAAGATTACTTAAGATACTAATTGTAAAGTACTTAGCACAGTGACTAGTACAAGTAAGGTTCTCAAAAAGGCAGCTATTTTTGTCATGAATATTGCGTTATTTTTCCTAATCTATTATAAAATGAACCATTCTTTTGTTTCCCACCAAGAACAAAAGGAAATATTGCCAACTAAATAATGATGGGCCATCAAGGTAAATTTCATTTCACATGAATAAAAATGTGAAAAAATATTAAAATAGATGAAATGTACTAGTTTTGCTAAGTGAGGGATCACAATACAGCCAATTTCAGAGGCGCCATGGATTAGGAAGTTTAGGAAGTAGAGATAGTGCGAAGAAATGTGTAAAGGGCAGTCCCTTGCCTTGTCACGGATTTCAAGGCCTGAATTCTTAGGTTTCTAGCCTGAGTTTGTGACAGTACATCATGTTCATGGCTATATGCACTGTAGAAAGCTACCAGGAACTCATGACTTTGCACTCATTCTTTTTTCTTTCCCAAATATCTGGCCGTAAGAGTTTCAACTAAGTAAACACCACTAAACTAAACTCTCTATGAAATATTTTATTATTGTCTCTTCTCAGGCATCTCCACTTTAAATTCAAAAATAGCCCAGACACAGAAATTGCATAGAGGATTTCTTAGTTTTTGAGGTTTTTCTTTTTAACTACAGCTGCACAAGGTTTTCATTCCATTTCCTCTGAGTGACCATGAGAAAAGGCTTTCCTTTGTCTTTTTCTGGTTCTAAGACCCTAAAGAATAAATTGAGTTTTTGGGACATTGCCAGATACGTGATAGGTCCACAAGGAAAACAATAAGCAATCTTTTCTGTTTGGAAAGACTAAATTCAGAGACTACTGCCCTGACAGGTTAGACATAAAACTAGTCCTCTCTCCTCTCCTCCAGCTCCTCTTCTGATTAGCTTTCCTTTGAAGGTTGACGGAGATGAGTTAGAGTATCTTTTCTAATTCAGATCCAGTGGGTGTGGGGGCGTTACAATTTACACACAGAACTAAAAACTTTGCAATGCCAGATTCTAAATCATCACTATCACTGAGTTTAGTCTAGTGCCACTGGCCTCATCAGACACATATTTCTCTCTGTCATAAGGGATTTTGGTCAGCTTATTTTAAAGTTTTAGAACACAACTGTTTCCTTTTCATTCCTACACATTCTTTGTTCAATATTAATCTAAACCGCTTTTTAAAAACTGTACCTTATTTTATTGCCCAGAAATGCTGCAATGTTCATTCCTATTCCTATTTCTAAACATATGGCACTCATCTTCTTGCCATTATAGGGAAGGGAAGAAAGGGCTGATTATCAGAGATCAGGAAAGGGATTTCAGAACAGTAACGTGTGTGGTAGAAACAGACGAGCACTCCACGCATATTTGCACAGCCTTTCTATTTATAGATGCAGCAGCACTTAGATGCTGCCCCCAGCAAACGGGGACACGGCTGATGTAGACAGCGGAGTCCCAGCTAACTAGCTAAATATTGGAAGAAATTTTCTCACTCACATAACAGTCATTTCCTAGGGCCATTTTGAAGTAATGTGGGAAAGATTCTGTTTCACCAATAAGGAATGATTTCTCCCCTTAAGTAAATCTAGGGACAGTCATTTTCTAGAGGTAATGGTGTCACCACGTAAAACTGGAAATAAAAAGTTTCTCAGCAAAGCTAATTTGATCAAACCAAATAAGATAGAATACAATCAATTGGTCAAAACACTCCTACAAAGTATCTCTCACCTTGATTCTAGTTTGTAAGATTTTTCATAGCAAGGACAATTTTACTTGTATTTGAATCCCCTTACTGTTCTAGAATGACACCTGGCAACTTGTGAGTTCTCAACAAATGTTTGTTGAATTGAATAGAATTAATGTTCAAGCTCCCAGCCATTGTTATAAACACCCATCCTAAAGAAACATACTTTTTTACATAACTCACATAAAAGTAGAGTAAGTTAATTATAGATCAATGATAAAATACAGATAAGTAAACAAAAATTTCAGCCACAATTTTACCAACCAAAGCAACTTCTTTCTTTTCTTTCTTTTTCTTCCTTTTTTCCTTTTTCTCCTTTTCTTTCCTTTCTTCCTCCTTTCCTTTCTTTTCTTTTTCCTTTCCTTTCTTTTTCCCTTCCCTTCCCTTCCCCACCCTTCCCTTCCCTTCCTCTCCCTTCCTATCCCCTCCCCTGCCCTCCCTTCCCCTCCCTTGCCTTCCTTTCCTTTCTTTTTGAGACATGGTTTCACTCTACCTCCCAAGCCGGAGTGCAGTGAGGCCATCATGGCTCACTACAGCCCTGACCTCCCCGGCTCAGGCGGTCCTCCCACCTCAGCCTGTGTAGCTAGGACTACATATGCGTGCCACCATGACCAGCTAATTTTTTGTATATTTTGTAGAGATGGGTCTCACCATGTTGCCCAGCCTAGTCTCAAACTCCTGGGCTCAAGAGATCCACCTGCCTCGGCCTCCCAAAGTGCTGGGATTACAGGCTTGAGCCACTGTGCCCAGCCCTGACAACTGCACCTAATATTTCAGCGAATAATTACTTTTAGAATCAAGTCTGAATTCAGTGTTCAGAATTCCAAACTCAGTGGAATTGTATGCAATCCCTACCATAACATGATCATGATCAGCAATTCCAACAAAAATGCAATGGACTCATGTCATAGAACTTTTTAAATAATAAAGGAAAAAATCCTGTTCTAACTCAGTTATAAAAATTAGTGAAGGTGGGGTTCCCCAGGAAGCAGACCCTGAGATGAAGTCAGGTGTGCAAAAATCTTACTGGGGTTTAACATCTAAGAATGAAAAAAAGAGAGCAGGACTGGCTGCCAAACCAAAAACAGATTTGATACATTTCTACAAGCCCAGGAGGGACTCCAGAGCAAAGAGTGCCTATCCAAGGAATCCCGTGTTGGGTGGAAATGGCTTGAACATTGACTACCATCTTGCTCACTCATTGTCTGGTGGCCCCTACAAGAACAGCATGAACATGAGCTAAAAGCTGACGTGGATCCAGACAAAGCTAACAGCTAGAGGCTGACAGCTTTCCACACTTATTGCAGCTGACCAATGAGACCTTTACTGAAAATGGATCTGGGTGATACCTCCTTGTTGGCCACATAGACTTTCTCTTACATTTTCTTTCAGAAGAAAAATGTGGGCTGGGCACAGTGGCTCATGCTTGTAATCTCAGCACTTCGGGAGGCCAAGCGGGGAGAATGGCTTGAGCTTAGACGTTTGAGATGAGCCTAGGCAATATGGTGAAACCCTGACTCTACAAAAATCTGAAAAAAATAGCCAGCCATGATGGCAAGCGCCTGTGTTCCCAGGTACTTGGGGGGTGGGGGTGGCGTTGCTGAGGTGGGAGAATCTCTTGAGCCTAGGAGGTCGAGGCTGTAGTGAGCCATGTTCATGCCACTGTACTCCAGCCTGGGCGGCAGAGTAAGACCTTGTCTCAAAAAAAAAAAAAAAAAAAAGAAAAGAAAAGAAAAGAAAGAAGGGGGAGAGAGAGAGAGAGAGAGAGAGAGAGAGAAAGAAAAAAGTGGAAACGTGGGATTTCAAGACCAACCAACCTGGGCAACATGATGAGACCCCATCTCTACAGTAAAATATACTTTTTAAATGCATTGTCCTTTGATATCTTTAGTCAAATATTGGAAGAACGTATCCTCAAATTTTTATGCTATTTGCAATCAACATAATGGCTATAGACATGAAACACTTTTTTTATTATTATTATCATTTTGAGACAAGGTCTTGCTCTGTCAACCAGGTTGGAGTGCAGTGGTGTGATCATAGCTCACTGCAGCCTCAAATTCCTGGGTTCAGGTGACTCTCCCACCTCAGCCTCCAGAGTAGCCAGGACTACAGGCCTGTGCCATCACACTCAACTAATTTTATTGTATTTTATTTTATTTTGTAGAGATGGGGTCTTGCTTTTTTGCTGAGTCTAGACTTGAATTCCTGGCTTCAAGTGATCCACCTGCCTTGGCCCTCCAAAGTGCTGGGATTACAAATGTGAGCAATCATGCCCAGCATGGCATGATACACTTTAAAAATTAATCTGCATTATTAACATTTTCCCCTCACTTTCTCAAATCTAGACCATCAACAAAACAATAAATTAAGTGCTGCTTTGTATTATAGAAGTGTCCAATTTCTGTGGTGTAAATACTCCCATCATGCTAATTTCAAGCTACCAATGTGATGCCACTCAGCTCAGAGTTGGGAAGAGATGAGTGATAGCATGCTGTTACATAGTATTTCCTCCATACAGATTTACAATAGATGTACGTAACCCCAAGAGCACAGATAACTGTAGTATGTACAATAGGAACATAGTAAATCGGAGTAAAATAATTAGCAAGTGATGAATTTTAGGTATTTATTACTTTTGTTCTTAATATAATTTGCATAATTATGTTTATAGAATTTAATTTTTAATAATTTTTATTTTTAATAACCACCTTACAGAATTTTGACAATTTAATAGGCTCCCATGAGACAGCATGAGTTAACTCCAGCACATGACTGCAACTCAGAAATTTCCCTTTTAAGTACCTACCCTGGAGTAACTTGAGTCCATATGCACAAGGACTCAGGCACAAGAATATTCATTGCAGTGCTATTTATAATAGGAAAAAGTGAAACTGACATGCTTGTCCAAAAGTAAAGATATTGATAAAATAAAGTGGGATTCATTCATATAATGCAATATTAAACTATAGTTTTAAAAGATGAATTATATTCTTATATATTGACATAGATCAAACCCAAAAGAAAGCTGTAAGTGCCTTCATGCAATGTGACAACAAATGTGTTAAATTTTTAAACATAAAAATACTTTTTTTTTTAGATAGGGTCTGGCCCTGTTGCCCAGCTGGAGTGCCATGGCATGATCGTGGCTCACTGCAGCCTCAACCTCCCAGGCTCAAGTGATCCTCCTACCTCAGCCTACCAAGTAGCTGAGACTACAGGCATGCATCACCACACCTGGCTAATTTTTTTTATTTTAATTTTTGTATAGACAGAGTCTCACCATGTTACTCAGGCTGGTCTCAAACTCCTGGGCTCAAGGGATCCTCCTGCCTAGGCCTCCCAAAGTGCTGGGATTACAAGAGTGAACCATTGCATCTTACTGTAAACACAGTTTAAATCTAGTTTATAAAAATCTGCATATAAAGCCCAGGTGTAAAAACATGTATGGACACAAAACATACAAAGTTCAGAATAGTATTTACCTCTAGGGAGGGAAAGAGGGTGGGATAGGACTTTAATGGTATCTATAACATTTTACTTCTTTAAAGAGAGGATGATAAAAGAGAAAATGCTCAGATGATCTTAGCAGTAATCACAAGAGAAAGACAAAATCAACATTATATGCCCCAAATAGAAGTACACAAGGTATTTATGAAATATTCTTGCTCAAAAAAAGAGAGCTTATCTCCATATAAACGTCTAGATTCAACCCCCAATTTTTTGAAAAACAGGGAACACAGAAAAGTGTTAAATGGAGCTATTGGGATGCAATCAGAAAAATTTAAGAGTGTATAAATTATGAGAGCTAAGCAATTTATCAACTAATTGCAATGTACGGACATCACTTCGGTTCTGATTCAAACAAACTTATAAATTATGAAAAACACAGGAATTGTTGAATACTGAGTGAATACTCAAGGATGTTAAGGAATTACTATTAATTATTTAGGTGAAATATGGTAATGTAGATCTTTTTTTAAATTAATCCTTTTATTTTAAAGATCGATGTTTAAAAATGTATGGATGAAGTGATAATGATGTCTAGGACTTGCTACCAAATAATCTAAGGAGATAGAGAAGTGGGTAGTTATAGAGATGAAACAAGATTGTTGTTTCTTCTTTTATATGTTTGAAATGTCATATTAATACTTTTTTAAAAAAGGAGGAGGAGAAGAAAGAAAAATGGATGCAAGCAAGAAAAGTGTAAGCATCTATTACAACCAAGTGGTTAAATATGTATCATATCTAAGTGAGTGTCATTTTATTTTTTGTATATTTGGTGAGTGTGAAATATTACATAATTTAATTTTTTAAAGATTTAAATTTGTATAAATACCTCCATAGTGTCACAAACATAAAATATACTCTGACTATATTTTAAATACCATGATCCAGCCTCAATGCAGGGAGACAGATATGTTATCAGCAGTCAAACGAGGGCTTCCCACAGCCTGCTGCTCATATACACCAGACACTTTTGATTTACCCTCCTACCGGATTCCCCCGGCCCCTCCTCAGATAGTGAACCACCACTATCTAGTGCCATGAACCAGAAATTAACCCTTCACATCTACCTAAACAAAAAAGCCTTAGTTCTAGCTGAGTAGATTGACTGTCTCTTTCAGTTAAATATACCTTCAAATTATTTATACTTTGCTCCCCGGTGAATGTCTAAGTTACAAGATTAGTTCATCAAAGACAGTGTTGTGTCCCTAGAGTGCAACGTGCCTCGTTCTTGTGTATGTGAAGAGGGTATTTTCATGTTCTGTTGTGTTTGCTGCAGTGTTTATAATTTAGGTATTTGAGTTGACCATAATGGACCCCCATCAGAAGTTTTCTATAAATTAGTCACGTATTTCTAAGTCTGTCCAGCCATCTAGGATGAGAACAGAACATTAAAACATCTGGTATGTTACTCTGAAGTGTTATCAGGCCACTTAATTGTTGCTGAATAGTTTCAAACTCTAAAGAATGATTTAAACATTCCCTATGCAACAGATACTCTCATATTCATTACGACATATTAAAGACTATAAGATAATCTCCTTCATAGCTATTCATGAAGATAATAAGTAAGGCATCTTCAAAATTAAATTAATTTTAAAAAATGCTGATCAGAGGCAGAGAATAGCTTCCACATCCTTCCGAAGACATTATGCTTGACTTTTTTTTTTTTTTTTTAATGTAAAAACCTTCTTTCTGAGCTTGGAATCATCAGAACCTTGTTAATCTAATTTTGCAGTAAAAACAAAGAATTTTCCATTCATCTGCAGATATATAGAGGTGCCTGAATACATCTCCAGGTGAAAAACCAAAAGGTACAGAGGTCACTGGGTCAGGCTGCTCTGTGACAAATGATTCACTGGAGAGGCAATATGGAGTTATTCAGAGTGCAGATTTAGAAACCAGAATGCTTGTGTTCAAATTCCATCTCTATCATTACTAGTTAATTGACTTGGGAAAGCTACCAAACTTTCTTGTGTCTCACTTTCCCTTCTTTATAATATGGGGATAATAAAGTTAATATATGTAACGTACTTAGAACAATGCTTGTCATATAATAAATGCTACATAAGCATTAGCTATTGTCATTTAATTCTCCAAATGACCAGCACCATTTCACAGATAAAGTAACTAACTTATTCAAGATTAAAAATTTATTTATTTATTATTATTATCTTTTTTTGTGAGCAACATGGCTGTTTATTTCACCTGGGTGCAGGCGGGCTGAGTCCGAAAAGAGAGTCAGTGAAGGGAGATAGGGGTGGGGCCATTTTATAGGATTTGGGAAGGTAATGGAAAATTACAGTCAAAGGGGGTTGTTCTCTGGTGGGCAGGGGTGGATCTCACAAAGCACACTCTCAAGAGTGGGGAGAATTACAAAGAACCCTCTTAAGGGTGGGGGAGACTACAAAGTACCTTCTTAAGGGTGGGGGAGATTACAAAGTACATTGATCAGTTAGGGTGGGGCAGGAACAAATCACAATGGTGGAATGTCGTCAGTTAAGGCTGTTTTTACTTATTTTGTGGATCTTCAGTTACTTCAGGCCATCTGGATGTATACGTGCAAGAGTCGCAGAACAAGGGTTTGAATCCAGGTTCTGTCCAAAGCCTGTGTTTTCTTCACTGCACATCCTGTCTTCCATGTCTTTGTGAGTACATACCAAGCTCCTGTGTCAACAGGAGAGCCATACTTATAATATGACATGACATTTAACCTAAAACTTAAGTGACTTTGAAATATTTTAGAATAAAGGAACTGAAAATGACAAAACTTAATTGTTCAATTAATAGATTGAGAGATTCTGATCAGACATTGAGAGAGATTTGGAAGAGAGTTTGGGTATCAGATGATGAACACTTTGATGTAAATGTTCAGAATATGTAAACTATTTCATGTTGCAAGACTTTTAGTGAAGAAGTTGTATTTCACATACTAGCAATAAATATTAATGGTTCCAGGATTAAATATGAGACAATTATGAGTCATAATAATTCCCTTCAATTCATCATGAAAAGAAAGATGCATAGTGAAAGAAATGACAAGTTTGAAAACAAATGAGAAAATGTAAGAAACGTAAGAGATAGACACAAGGGAAAATACTGTGTGAAGAAAGAGGAAGAAATTGGGTGCATCAGCAAGCCAAGGATCATCAAGGATTCCAGACAACCACCAGAAGCTAGAAAAGAAACATGGACAGATCTCTTTCAGAACCTTCCGAAGGTACCACCCCTGCTGACACCTGGACTTTGGACGTCTAACCCCTAGAAGTGTGAGAGACTAAATCTCTGTTGTTTAAAGCCACCCAGGTTGTGGTATTTTGTTAGGGAACCCCTAGGAACCTAATGCACATATATACATAGGCTAATTCAATAACCACTACCAATAAATGATCAATGATTTAATAGAAGGTTTCTGCACGGAGAATACTCTTCTTTAACACACTATTTTTAGCTGTTCTCATTTGAAGTGTGTCAGAATAGTTTAAACCACAAATGAACATGTACATAAAAAAATTGTACTTGAAAACCTAAGAGATGACAGAAGTATGATTTGGCATTAAAGACTATTTAATATTAAACACATTAAACATGCACCATTCATCAAATAAGTAAAAGAGTATGCCGATAAGAATAGTGCAATCATAAGCACATTTTTTAAAAAAGACCAAAAAAAGCCTGCTGACAGAATGTGCAATTACTTGAAGATGCCTTTAAAAACAAAGGCTTTAGGGCGTGGTGGAGGGCGCCTGTAATCCCAGCTAGTGGGGAGGCTGAGGCAGGAGAATGGCATGAACCCGGGGGACGGAGCTTGCAGTGAGCGGAGATCGCGCCACTGCACCCCAGCCTGGGCGACAGAGCAAGACTCTATCTCAAAAAAAAAAAAAAAAAAAAAGGAAAGAAAAAAAAAGGCTTTAATTATCCTTACTTTAAAAAATCTTATAAAAACATAAATAAACACTGAAGGAATAACTTGAACCTAAAGCATAAAGATTTTATCAAGTTACCTTCTATAGAGTACCATCTTAAGTCTTTTAGTAAACAATTTGATAAATTCCTGACAATTTGCTTGCTGCCTAGGATAAAAAGAAAGATAAATAAGTATCTTTAAGGGGCATCGCACAGATTAGATTAATACTTTGTTTCCTGTGCTCTCTGCACCTAAGCTATATCCAGAGCATCTTTAAATATAAGTAAACAAATACAAACATCATTTCTTTGCTTGTTTATATACATTACTTAAAGATGCATATGGCTACTTGCAGTGAACATAAATATGGAAAACATAAATGTTGTAAACATAAAAATTATACTTCTGAGGTTTGCTTTTAGATTTGTTTTTGTATTTGCTGTGTTTTTCTTTGAATTAATTATTTATTTCCTTATCGACAAGCCAGTGATATAACATGTTTAAGATTTTCACTGAAGAAATAGAAAACTCATAAAAGGGAAAAAAATTTAAACAGTATCTTAGGGATTCAAATCCAGTTATAAGTATGGAGATGTTGGGTTCATGAATTCTGAAAGACAGAAGAACATGAATCCAAAATCTATACTATTTTCTTTTCAGCAGATGCTACGTCAGGAGAAGAGATGCAGATAAATCTCTTGTGCAACCTCAGAAATCAGGCATTTCAACATGTCAAACATATTCTGTTCAAGAAAATGACATGAGAAAACATTATACAAACGGTCCCACTGAAATGGCAATGAAAAATCGAAAATACATAAACTTCGTTTTTCTTCCATTAAAAAATTAAGCAATGTGAAGCAGAATTAGAGTTATATAATTAATTCTGTAAAAAGTTTTCACAGCATTTGTACACATTTAATTTCATCTCCTATACTTTGTAGCATTTGCATCAGACTTACTTAGTGAATCTTTAAATATATATATAGTTTACCCTTGAACAACTGCAGGGGTTGGAAGTACCAACACTCGCGTAGTCAAAAATTGGTGTATAAATTCAACTCCTGAAAACTTAACTACTAATAGCCTACTGTTGAACAGAAGCCTTACCAATAATATAGTCAATAAACACATTTTATATGTTATATGTATTATATACTGTATTCTTATAATGAAGTAAGCTAGAAGAAGAAATGTTATTAAGAAAATCATGAGGAAGAGAAAATGTATTTACTATTTATTAAATGGAAGTGGATCATCATAGAGGTCTTCATCCTTGTCTTCACGTTGAGTAGGGGTGGCAGAGATGGAAGAAAATCCAAGTATAAGTGGACCTGTGCAGTTCAAACCCATGTTGTTCAAGGGTTAACTGTTCCTGGAGTAGTGAGTTTACATAGAGCTGACACTATATTGGGTCCTCTAAGAAGCAGATACTGGTATAGGGTTAGGAGAGCCAATAACACCAGTGAAAGATTAAAAAGAGGAGGCTGAAGAATTGGGCAGGGAAAGCCTTCAGACCGTGATGCTCATGTGAAAGGAAAGGGAGAAAGGAAGAATGTGGTTCTAACCAGGAGGCATCTCTGGCAAAGTCTCAAGCAACCCAATGGATAGCTTGGAAAAAATATTGCCTGTTAGAAGAGTTCCATGTTGGACAGAAATGACAAGGTCTTATTACCTCTTTAGTGTTCCGTAACTGGTTGGAAGCTGCCCAGGAAGAGCATCTCCTCAGCCCCAAAGCTAAGATGTATCCTGAAGACACTGCAACTGGAGGCTGGCAGCTAGCTGTACTCCTTTTAGCTAAATTGCCTTTATTCTTGAAGGTAGAGCTGAGTAACGCCTGGCTGCTACACATAGAAAACCTTGCAGCTCTCCTTCCCACACCACTGGAGACTTGATCTCACACCCTGTCCTGCATCGCCTTTACAGCCCTACCCCCAATACTCTCACTCTCTCAGCCCTCTATAAATGTTACCATTTGTACTGTCTATTAGAGAGAACCCACTTTTCAGACACCCTAAACCACTCCTTACCTCCACTCTCACTCATATACACGTTGCGAACGATTGAAGACCACACAGGCTGTCAAGAATTGGAAGTTGTATTACAGCCAACTACTTATGGGTTAAAAAGGCTTTTGCCAGATGGCCTAGCATTGCATTTTAGGTAAAGATGTAGTTCAATCTTTTAACAAGTAACAAACAATTTCATACCCTGCCTACTTGCTGGTAAGTTAGAGAGAAAAAGAACTTCCTACTTCCTATCTCATTTCTTTGTTTTACATGTATCTATTTACATCATCAACAAAATAACTCTATATTTTCAAATAAATTGAATTAACTTTCTATTTTTTAAAAAAGAGCTCTGCAACATCACGGATCATTAGAGAAATGCAAATAAAAACCATAATGAGATACCATCTCACACCAGTCAGAATGGCTATTACTAAAAAGTAAAAAATAACAAATGTTGGTGAGGTTGTGGAGAAAAAGGAACACTCATACACTGTTGTTGGGAGTGTAAATTAGTTCAACCATTGTGGAAAGAAGTGTGGCAATTCCTCAAAGACCTGAATACAGAAATATCTTTTGACCCAGCAATCCCATTCCTGGGTATATACCCAAAGGAATATAAATCATTCTATTATAAAGACACATGCATGCATATGTTAATTGCAACACTATTCACGATAACAAAGACATAGATTCAACCTAAATGCCCATCAATGGTAGACTGGATAAATAAAATGAGGTATATGTACACCACGGAATACTATGCAGCCATAAAAAAGAAGGAGATCACATCCTTTGCAGGGATATAAATGGAGCTGGAGGCCATTGTCCTTAACAAACTAACACTGAAACAGAAAACCAAATACCACATGTTTTCACTTATAAGTGGGAGCTAAAAGGTGAGAACACATGAACACTTAGAGGGGAACAACAAACACTGGGCCCTTTCAGAGGATGGAGGGTGGGAGGAAGGAGAGCATCAGGAGAAATAACTAATGGGTACTAGGCTTAATATCTGAGTGATGAAATAATCTGTAAGATAAACCCCCATGACACAAGTTTACCTATGTAACAAACCTGCACGTGCACCTCTGAACTTAAAATAAAAGTTAAAAAATAAATAAGTAAAATAAAATTTGAAAAACAAGAGTTTTGACTTTGAACTAATAACTATAGTGGTTTACTTCTTACACAAATGAGTCCATTATACTCTGCTCTCTAGATTCCTCAGAATATATCTCAGAAGAAACGCTCACTTGAACATTTATACAGTAGCAAGTTGGTGGCAGGGTAAATTATCTCATGATTCCTGAATCATAGCTCCCATATCCTACTACTGATGAACAGTCTGGCTTTATTTATTTATTTATTTTTTGAGACGGAGTTTCGCTCATTGCCCAGGTTGGAGTACAAATGGCGCAATCTCGGCTCACCGCAACCTCTGCCTCCCAAGTTCCAGCCATTCTCCTGCCTCAGCCTCCTGGGTAGCTGGGGTTACAGGCATATGCCACCATGCCCAGCTAATCTTTTTTTTTTTTTAGTAGAGACGGGGTGTCTCCATGTTGGTCAGACTGGTCTCAAACTCCTGACCTCAAGTGACCTGCCCGCCTTGGCCTCCCAAAGTGCTGGGATTACAGGTGTGAGCCACCGTGCCCGGCCAGTCTGGCTTTCAAAATCTAGTTGCATTTTCAAAACCCTGTATAGATTTTACCCATTTATTCCCCCCACCCCCGCCCCCAGCTTTTAAAACTACAGAGGAGGAGTTGAGCAACCATTTTTTTTTCTGGTTATTCCAAAAACAACCACTTATTGGGAAGTGGTTGTTTTTGTTTGTGTGTTGTTGTTGTTGTTTGTGTCACTGTTTGTGTGCTATGTGTTAAGGCAGGAGTTGCAAACTCAAGGCCTCATGAACTACGTAGGTATCTCAAATTAAAGAGACAGGCAGTAGGGACGGGGGGGGCACAATAATAGTGAACTGGACCACACAGGCCCAGTTGAAAGCCTGAAGCCCTTGCTCAACTGCTGCACATTGGTTACCTAGTAGGAATTTAGGCCCAGGATGGCCAAACTTTCAATTTTCCAAGAGAAAACAGAAATACAGATTTTTATGTGGCAAACATTTTTGGAAGGCAATTTGTCAATCTATCAAATTATAAATTGTGCATTCTCTTAATGTTTCCTGTAGAAAAACCCTATCGGGTACACAAGGATATATGTAAAATTGCACTTATTTATAATAGTGAAAGTGGATGAAAAGTTAAAAGGCCACCAATATAGGATTGAGGAAACAGATTGGGTATACTACAAAATGAAAAAACTATAAACGTGTCTATCAAAGCATTTTTAATTTTTTTCTTTCCTTTTTCCTTTTTCTTCTTTTCTTCTTTCCTCCCTTCTATCAGTCTATAAGTGGAAGCACCTAAATTTTGCTCATTAGAGCATCTGTCACAAAGAACAACTACAAAAAATTGTTGCCTCCAAGCTGACTTCCCTTTTCTGCTAGCCTTCAAGTGGTACTATTTAGTTATGCAAATGTAAGACAATAAGTCACCTGCTTTTGGAAAGAATAACAGCACCTTTTATTTAACAAGGTTGTCCTCTTCCTGGCACATAAAGAACCAACTTGCATTAGACGCCACTGAGAAGGAATGACCTGTACCCCCATTCCTATTCTCTGATACTCAAAGTCTACAAGAATTCTGGAAAAAACAGATGGGCTCCTTCCAAAATGCAGTGGTAGAGCAGGGTGGTAAAATCCTATAAATAAATTTACCTTGAGGTAACAAAGAAAGAGCATGGATAAGCCAGCCCCTGCAACTGAGTCTTTGAGAGAAAGGGAACTGTAGTTCTTGAAGCACTGTTGCAGTCCTCCTGAGGCTGACTTCAGCACTGGGCAAAGTGACTGTGTGGAAAGTCAGAGCGGGTCATTAAGAGCTATAGGCCTTGAGATCCCAGGCGAACTTTTCTTTCCCTGAGGAATCACTTTCCCTCCCAGGGCTGCTCTGGAGGGGCAGGGCCTTGCCCCAGCATCTGAGATAATGGCCAAACTGGGCACTTAGTGTAATTCTTTTTTAAAAAATATCAACTTTTATATTAGATTCAGGGGGTACATTTGCAGGTTTGTTACATGGATGTTGGTTACATATGTGATGCTGAGGTTTGGTGTATGAATGATCCAGTCACCCAGGTAAGAGAGCATAGTATCCAACAGTTAGTTTTCTAATCCTTGCCCCCGTTCTTCCCTCCTCCCTCTAGTAGTCCCCAGTGTCTATTGGTCCCATCTTTATGCCCATGAATACCCAATGTTTAGCTCCCACTTATATATGAGAACATGCGGGATTCGTTTTCTGTCCCTGTGTTAATTTGCTTAGGATAATTAATTGGATAAAGGAAATGTGGTACATATACACTATGGAATACTACACAGCCATAAAAAAGAACAAAATCGTGTCCTTTGCAGCAACATGAATGCAGCTGGAGGCCATTATTCTAAGTTGAATTATTTACGCTGTGGATTACACCCTTGAAGATGGCTGCTCCTTCAGAGAGAAAAGTTCCTGTAGGCTAGAACCTTTGGAGACATTTTCGGGAAGTCATTAGGCATTTGAACTGAGTCAAACACTAATCATCCCAAGAAAAATACTTTAACTATTTCACAAAGTTTGACCAAAATAAATAAAAACAACCATGATAAATTTAATTCAACAAATATTTGTTGAGACAACAACTGAGTCTGCTAAGTATAAAGCTATATACTGGGCACGATGGGATATAACGGGGTAAAAAAGATAACCCAAAGTTGGTCACTGGCTTCAGGGAACCTACTGTCTAGAACTAGGCTGTCCAATATGTAGCCACTTGTCTCATGTAGCAATTTAAACTTAAATTAACTAAAATTAAGTAAACTTTAAAATCCAGTTTCTCAGTCACAGTAACCACATTTCAAGTGCTCTATAGCCACATTAACATCACAGAAAGTTCTATTGGACAATAGTGGTCTAGAGTTGAGGGGCGGTGGCTGTGGTTTTCAGCTTTGCAAACCATAAAATCACTATTGTAACAACTCAGCTCTGCTGCTGTGGCTCAAAAAGCAGCCATATACAATAAGTAAATAAATGAGCATGATTATATCCAAATAAAACTTTATTTTCAAAACTAGGTGGCAGGCCAGCTTGTCTTGTGAACAATAGTTTGCTGAGCTACTATCTACAGAAGGAAACCACTAACTATAGTAAAAGAGTGCAAGATAAGAATAGAGAATTGAGTAACTTTCTGTGGGAATTCAAACGGTCTTTATGGATGCATTACCTACAATAATAAAGTATTTTTGTCTTAAGCCACTGGCTTTGGGGTGATTTGTTAGACAGCAATAGATAACAGATAGAGTTAATCATACTATGCCCTTAATACCTTATATAAACAACTTTCCGAATACCAAAATATAGTTTATTTACCATATTTTATATCTCCCAATGCTCAAAATTCATATCCTTTATGGAGCCTTTGCCACTTCTCCATGCAAATCTGTGAGTCTACCCTCTAACATTTTAAAATCTCTACTACTGCACATTGAATTGTAAGTATTTGCTATATGCCTTTCTCCCTATGTATGGAAGTAAGCTCTTCAAGAATAAAGTTTATGACTTTATCTTTGAATCCCTAGTGTCTAAGACAAATTTGGCACCTAATAGGCATTTAATAAATGTTTGTTAAATTAGTACAGCCAATGACTTGATATTATTGTCAGCAGCCTCAGAGCTTACATACTTAGCATTTTATACAGCTTTTGCACACTAGGTATATAATAATGTTTATTTAGCCATTGCTTACATCCTTGCAATAGCTCAATATTTTATCTGTTCAAAGAATCACTGAAGGCCAGGCATGGTGGCTCATGCCTGGAATCCCAGCACTTTGGGAGGCCAAGGCAGGCAGATCACTTGAGGCCAGGAGTTCAAGACCAGCCTGGCTAACATGGCAAAACCCCGTCTCTACTAAAAATACAAAAAAAAAAAAAAAAAAAAAAATTAGCCGGGATGGTGGCACACATCTCTAATCCCAGCTATTTGAGAGACTGAGGCAACAGAATCACTTGAACCAGGGAGGCGAAGGCTGCAGTAAGCCGAGAGAGTGCCGCTGCACTCCAGCCTGGGTGACAGAGCCAGACTCTGCCTCAAAAACAAACGAACAAATTAAAAAAAAAAATCACTGAAGCCATAAATCTCTATGTATTGTGCTTGATTTATCTAAATTTTCAACCCATGCCCTTTTTTTTCATAAATATAACAGTCTTGAAAGAAATTACAGTTACAGTTTTTGTGTTTTTTTTCTGAAGAAAATTATGCAGACTTATTTTATAAAGTGGCATGATTTACATTTTGGCATTAGCTGAAAGGTAGTTTTGTTTTCACCTAAAGCTGCTGTGAATATATTTACCGAAGTGAATTTAATTTGCATATTAAATTTGCATTTTTATGACCAGGAGTTGTAATTGAAAACAAGAGAATTAGACACACACAAGAAAATGGGAATTATTTACTGTTTAATAATTCAATTGTATCTAGTTGAAATCCTTCTAGTATAGTAAAAGCAATCACAGTGTTAGATTATAAAATATTACCAGATTAAATGTATTTTCACAAGAAACGGCCCAAGTAAATGATTGTATTCATTTTTCACAGTGGAGAAACCCATTCTGTTGTAAGTGATCGCATTATGTTAAAAGTCTAGGTAAATGACCAGAATTGTCTATTATTGAACAAATAAATAAATGACTTCCTCCTTAAAATTAGTGTTTCTTAAAATGAATAAAGTTCATTATCTGGTTGATATAACTTTAAATCTTTGATTAATGTTAAATAATAAATCAGAAAGCAAATAGACCAGCAAAAAAAGATATTATAAGGGATACATTTTTAAACACACAGTTATTACTTCAAAGTAGATATTAAAAAGGGGCCATTCATAACGGCCTTCCAGAGTCACACAGAAATATGAATCAGATAAAACTGCCCTAGACTGTATTTATTTTCTATGTATTAAATTCAAATATTATTAATTTGTATCAAGTGATTTACTCTTAAAATTTGCAAATTATTGAATATATGTATCAGAAAAAAAGCAGTCAAGAAATAAACATTTACATCTCTAATTGTCTAAAAAACACTATCACATTAAATGTTTCCTATGATTTACAAATAATTGTTTTTATTAATTTGTGGCTCCAGTTATAGCAACTACTGCAGATGTGTCTTTTTCCTGGAGCAAACTGATACCACTGGCACATGACATGCAGCTATTGGGGCGGTAAATACTTTCATTCTATGCTAATCAAAAAACACAGTTTCTTTCACCTGAAAGGACAGCAGGATACCTTTTCTATCTTGTTCCAGAGTGGTGACAACTCACTGGTTCTGTGCCACAATTGAGCTCATGGAGACATTTATTGTATTGTCATTTCACAGGAGCTCATGCTGGTCCCTTACATTGATGTCAATGTAGTGGCAGATATGCATGATGCCTTGATAAAATTCTTGTGTGCCAGAGCATTGGATACTAATTCCACCAAAATACAGGGATCTGCCACTTCCATAAAATTCCTGAAGAGCCAGTGAAATTTAGTATGTCAAGATACCTTCTCCAAAGGAAAGGAGAAATTCTTGTACCTTCTCACTGCCTACTATTAAAAAAAGGCACAGGGCTTGGTAAACATCTTTTCATTTTGGAAGTAATGAATATCATATTTAAGCATATGATTTATATCCATTTGTCAGATTTGCCAAAAGACTGAATACTGTTTTTTTGAGACAGAGTCTGGTTCTGTTGCCCAGGCTGGAGTGCAGGGACAGGATCTTGTCTCATTGCAACCTCTGCTTCCTGGGTTCAAGTGATTCTCCTGCCTCAGCCTCCGGAGTAGCTGGGATTACAGGTGCACGCCATCACACCAGCTAATTTTTGTATTCTTATTAGAGACGGGGTTTTGCCACGTTGGCCAGGCTGGTCTCGAACTCCTAGCCTCAAGTGATCCACCTGCTTTGGCCTCCCAAAGTGTTGGGATTACAGGCATGAGCCACTGCACCCGGCCAAGACTGATTATTTTTAATGGATCCCAGGGCAAGTGTAAACTGAACAAAAATGCAATGCAATTACAGTGAAGCTTTACTCATACTCAAGTGTCTATGATCAGTTGTGACACTTTTGGCAAATCTGGAGGAAAAAAGTCTAGTGTTGGCTCCCAAGGTCTAAGAGCAAAGCCATGTATTTTAGCAATAACAATCCTCTTTTCAGAAACAGCTCTTAACTTGATTGGTCCCTGGCAGAGAATGAAGTCTGACTTTGGTATGTTCATAATGTTAGGTTCAGAAATAAAAACAACAACAAAAAGAAAGTCTGACTTTGGAACATCGGGTGGCAACATGACACCATTGCTATAACAAACCGGGGTTATTTGACATCCTAGTCATAGATTTAGACAAACTCAGTGGCATTACATTATTCAGATGGAAGTGAAATATATGGCTCCAGAGAAAGTAGACCCTGAAAACATAAGCAAATTGAGTTAACAACTGATTTTCATTCCCAACTTGCCTATGTATTTTGCTCTGCCATCCTCCTTCAATCTCTATTTATGACTCATGGGGAGTTTCTTATTATTAATTGACCAGAAGGGGAAAAGTTCAAGCCTTATTTACAGGTATTACTGTATAATTTACTCACCAGACAGAAATTCACAACTGACACTTTACAGCCCCATCCTGGGTTGACCCTTTAAAAAGCATGTGTGGGAGAGTATGAAGACAAAACCTTTTAATGGTTTATCTTGTCCCCTCTGCCTTGAAGGAGAGATAGCCTTAGGCAAATATCTATGCTTTTCTTTCCTTGAGTAATCACCTTCCCTCCTGGGACTTCTCTGGGTCCTGTCCTAGCATCTGCGGTGGTGCTCAAAGCTGGGAACCTAGTTGGAGCCTCCGTGTGATGAACTAGAGGTTTGTAGGTGACATACTTTCTGTAATGGTGAATCTGGGATCTAACGTTTTGGAAACATCAACCCTTAGGGAAGAAATGGTTCCTCTAGGTACACAAAAATGGTACTATTAAATTGGAAGCCAAGACTACCACTTGGATATTTCAGATTCTTCATGTCTTTAAGCAAATAGACCAAAAGTGAGCTGATCTTTATTATTGGTTTGGATGATGAATCCTGGATATTAAGAGAAAAAGAAATACTAGAGACAATGGGATATGAAGCTGTATAGACAGAAGCCAGAGAAAACAATAGATCTTCAATTTTCAGTGTTAAAAATTAATGGCATTTTAATTTTGACTACCATGGAGTAACAAGGGCCAGATTAATCCTCCAATGTTAAAGAACTGGAAACATTAGATGACAAGCAGTATAGAACAATAATCTTTGAGAAAAGGAAACAAAAGAAGCCCCCTATAATCACCCCAGTTTATTGTTTAAAGAGAGGGCTTCCAGACTATAGTAGTGAGAAGAGGCCCCAAACAGACCCTGAAAGTAGTGCTGAGCTGAAAAGACAGAATTCAGAGTTAAGAAAGGCAAAACAGCTAGATTTCTGGGTGTAACTTCAGGAAGAAGAGTGCTGCACAAAAAACAAACAAACAAACAAATAAAAAAATGGGCTCCAAAGATCTGTCCAGGTCCAGGAGTCTGCTTTAGTCTATGGCAGAGTATTGATCTGCACATGGAGATTGTGGAGGAAACTACATAAAGCCTCAGAAAGGATCAACGGAAGGGAATAGGTGGACTTTTCCCTGGAGATCCAAGGGACAGGAAATCTTTCATGTTCTAATCAATCAGAGGGGAAAGACTCCTGATTAAGTAGGGAATTGAGTAGACTCCTTAGACGGTTATTACCTCAGCAGTGGAATTGCATAAGTCCTCAGAGGAACAGCTGCTCTGGACCTGCCCTAACAAAGTTTGGGAAAAGAGACTTAAAAGGATAAAATTGTTTACAAGTAATTTAGCAGAATCCTAGAATAAAATCTAATAATATCTAAGGAGATTCAGCAAAATACAACAGCAACTACAATGTTTGGAATTCAGTCAAAAATTTGCCATACAAAGATACCACTACATACCCACTAGCATGGCAAAAAGTTAAAACTGTAAAAAAAAATTAACTCTTTTCAATACTTTTATTGTTGCTAGTGGGGTTAGCACTGTTATTGTGTGTGTTTATTGAGAATATGGCAAATAAGCAAGTATGACATAGTCTAATTATATTGTCCTTCATAGCCTTAAGAACTAGGATTATCAGCAGTGTAAAGGATATATTGATGTGAAATAGAAGCACTACAGATGTAAGACTGCTCTAACTCTGAATTGAAAATATAAATATGAGCTCATAATATATTTTGTTTGAAAAAATAATCCCTACTGTGTTCACTGAAAAGGCCTGGAAGTAGTCACCCTAATAGAACTAAAAACTCACTAAAAAAAAACAAACTAAAAAGAGCCTTGGCTAGTGCTATTATTTTGCTGTGTCCTCATCCTAATCTCAGCTTGAGTTGTAGCTCCCATAATTCCCAAGTTTTGTGGGGGAGATAAGGTGGGAAATTGAATCGTGGAGCAGTTTCCCCCATACTATTCTCATGGTAGTGAATAAGTCTCACGAGATGTGATGGTTTCACAAGGGCAAACCCCTTTTGCTTGGTTGTCATTTCTCTCTTGTCTACCACCATGTAAGATGTGCCTTTTGCCTTTTGCCTTCTGCTATGATCAGGAGGCCTCCCCAGCCATGTGGAACTGTGAGTCCATTAAACCTCTTTTTCTTTATAAATTACTCAGTCTTGTATATGTCTTTATCAGCAGTGTGAAAACGAACTAATACAGCTAGTTCTAAGTGTAAGACAGCAAAAGTACAAAATGAGTGTGGAACACCTTGTCATACCAAGTAGCAAAGAAACCATCAAAGGTTATTAAGATCATGTCGACAGGACTCACACCATTTAGAACATTGGCCAAGAAGAGCATCAGTACGAATAATAGCTGCATGCCAGGCGTGGTGGCTCATGCCTGTAATCCCAGCACTTTGGGAGGCCGAAGCAGGTGGATCGCATGAGGTCAGGAGTTTGAGACCAGCCTGCCCAATATGGCAAAACCCCATCTCTATTAAAAATACAAAATTAGCCGGGCATGGTGGCAGGTGCCTCTAATCCCAGCTACTTAGGAGGCTGAGGCAGGAGAATCGCTTGAACCCGGGAGGCAGAGGTTGCAGTGAATTGAGATTGCACCACTGCACTGCAGCCTGGGCAACAAGAGCAAAACTCCGTTTCAAAAAAAAAAAAAAAAAAGAATAATAGCTGCAATGGCTTAAAACATAACTAAAATATGTTTAAACCCATATGTTTGTAGTGATGAAAAAAAAACTCTTAAAAACCTAATTAATCACTGTTGGATGATTCTAGGGAACAAATACATTATGAAAATTAGTAAATAAAGGGATACGATCAAACATTTATCTTGCTTTCTTTATATGAACTGTAACGCTGAGTAACTAAATGATAGATAAGTAGAATTTTTCTCTTTAGAGAGATATTTCAGCTAATAAAGAACAAAGGTTACAATTAGAATATCACTATTTTGTGATAAATTAATGGAAGTAGATACTAAGCATTAACAGCCAATAACATCACAAAAAGAGAGCCAGTCAAATATTTTGTGCCTCCCAATAAAATATAACAATATCTATAAAGTGTCTTGGCAAGAAAAAACAAACTAATCTAAATCTGATCAGTCTCTAGAGCCGAAGTAAAAACAACTCAGTTTATTCAACAAATAAATTTCAAAAGGGAAAACAGTGTACTATAAAAAGTTATGGCATTTAAGAGACTATTAGGAATTTTAACAGTACCTGTTTGTTGATATTAAGAAAATATCCCTCTTTGTTTAGGTACACTTATAGTATTGTGATTATGTTTTAAAAGAGTTCATATCTTGTAGGCATAAGTACTAAAACATTTACGGTGTTTGGTATCTGCTACAAAATATATTTAGAGGATAGATGGGCTGTAGATGAAACAAGAATTGCTGTGATACATGGGGATTCATTACATTTTTTCTGTATGCTTTTGTATTTCTACAGTAAAGATTTTAAGGTAATAAAAAAAAGAACAAAAATAGAACTCAGAAAAGTAATGGAAGACATGGCCAGGAGCGGAGGCTCACGTCTGTAATCCCAGCACTTTAGGAGGTCAAGGGGGGCGGATCACTGGAAGTCAAGAGTTTGAGACCAGCCTGTTTAACATGGCAAAGCCTCATCTCTACTAAAAATACAAAAATTAGTGGGGTATGGTGGCACGTGCCTGTAGTCCCAGCTACTCATGAGGCTGAGGCAGGAGAATCACTTGAACCTGGGAGGCAGAAGTTGAAGTGAGCTGAGATCCCGCCAGTGTACTCCAGCCTGGGTGACAGAATGAGACTTCAAGTCAAAAAAGAAGAAAAAATAAATAAATAAAGAAAGAAAAAAAATAAAAAGAAAAATAATGAAAGACAATAACAACCCTAAAAAGGTTCACCCAGAAATCAAATCCTTCAGAAATGATATAATTTGTTCAACTACAGAGTTTACATAATTTTTTAAAACCTTAAAGATATACCATTTTAGGAAAAGAAATTTCAATTAGTTTATATGAATGTTTAATAATAGTTAATTGTTACTACTACATGAAAAAATCTTGGTTATATTTGCCTCTTTTTAATGAATTTCAATTAATTAATGTATTTTAGTCATTTTTTTGCCCTTGTCCACATAAAGTCAGAGTCAAAATATTCTAGTTTTCTTTTAGAGCACATGCCATTATTACTTACCATAAGAAGAAATACTGCTGCTGCTCCTAATATTTATCAACAAGGAAGGAAGGAGGGAAGAAAGTAAGGAAGGAGGAAGGAAGGAAGGAACAAGGGAGGGAGGGGGGGAGGAAGGAAGGGAAGAAGGCATTTGGTTTTTGTGTTCTTTCTGAACAGCATGATCTAGGAAGCTCTATGTCACTAGAAATGGCAGAACTTTACCGTATAAGAGTTGGAGGGCCTGTATTCTACTTAAAAATAGTTTTTTACAAAATATTTTTAGAGTTTGAGGTGAAAAAGGGAAAAAAAATGAACTGCTTTTTGTATCACTTTCAGACTTGTAAAACATTTTGACTGGTAATATGTTTCCATTTTCACAAAAATACTTTATTTTTTTGAGGTGAAGTGGGAATGAAAAAGCATAAGGAAGAAAGTTATAGAGGAGGCAGAAGAAAAAGGAATAATGATAAGCACAGGAAGGGAGAGTGGGATTATTTTTCTCAAGAAATTTGCATTGTGCCAGAAATTTCAGAAGGAATCAAGTCTCCAGCCTTAAGACATAAAACATTAATGGGAAAGATTAACATAATACCATTATATTTTCAAAGTCCCAGTCAAATCCATCAGTGAAATGCATGTTCCTATTGTGCATGTATTATAATAGGTACATTTTTGTAATTATTAAGTTCTTTAAATAAAATTATTTCCTTCTACTTTTTCATTCCAAAAAATTTCATTTATTGCATGTAAAAAAATGCAAAAACATATATAGAAAACACTGATTCTCTTTTAGCCCCAACACTGAGGTAACCCAGGTCATCGACCTGGTGACCACCCTCACTTCTCCCTTTACATATAAAAGCATGCAAAGGCAATTTGAAGTTTTTGTTTGTTTGTTTGCTGTTTCAAACATCAAATATACCATAAATATTATGCTGGAACTTACTTTATTCACTTAGCAGTACATCACGGACCTCTCATGTCAATAGATAGAAATCTAAATCATTTTTTTAAACAGTCACTTAATAATATTCCATTGTAAGAGCTTACCGCATTTAAATATTGCCCTATTAATAGATAATTATATTGTTTCCATATTTTTACTACCACAATTAATGCCACAATAGAGGTTTCTTAATGTGGCCTTAAATAATGATATGCATATATGTATATATATGTATATATGTATATATGTGTACATATATGTATGTGTGTATATATGTATGTGTGTATACATGTATGTATATACACATATATACATATATATACACACATATAGGAAAGCCATTTAAAAGTGGAGTTGGCAGGTCAAAGAGAATATATATTTAAAATTATAATAGACATTGACAGCTTTCTTTCCAAAATGTTTGCAATTTATATTCCCACTAACAATATATTACAGTGTCCATTTTCCCATTTATGTCTTATCAACAATGAATATTATAACACTTTTTAATTTTTGCCATCAGATAGGAAAGATTGTAAATTATCAAAAGAACCGTTCTGCAGTGTTTTCCTCAAATTGAATTCACAGTCTATCTGTTTAGGTCTCTGGCATCTATAGCTGGTTTGCTTCATAAGGTCAGCATGTAGACTGGACTTAAGCAGTGGTTTTCTTTGCCGTACTCTGAGGTCCCAGATTGACTACAGGAGACTGTATCATTGGAATTGAACTACCAAAAAAAAAAGCATGTTATATAGGTTAATACCACCAATTGTCATATATGAAAGATACCTTGATATTCACTGGAAACAAAATAATAGAAACACAAATCTGAGGGGTTGAAGGAGCTATCCAATGCTTAAATCTTAACTATGAAATCTCTACCAATTTATTATTTCACCTCTGCTTAAATTCCTCTAATGATGGAAAACATACAAAAGCAGACAGCCTATTCCATAATAATAAAGCTAACTTTTATTGAACGTTTATTCTGTACCAGACAGAATTGTAAGTGCCCGGCAGGAAGTATCTCATTTAATCCTCACAAAAACCCAATGGGGGAGGATTTACTACTATACCTATTTCACAGAATAAACCAAGGCACAGATCACACAACAGGCGAGTGGTTGTATTGGATTTGAAGTCAACGGGAAGCCGTACTCAACCTCTACACCCTACTGCCTCCCAGAGGCAGGTTTAGAAAACTGTGAATGCTAACTCTCTATACAAAGCCCAACATTTCTTCCTGTAGCTTTGTTGCATTGCTCTTACTTCTACTGTGCTGGTTTCCAAGAATTCTCTTTAAACCTTTGCATACGAAAATACTACCAATATTTGCAAATAGCGATGAGATTATCTATTTGTCTTTAATTCTAGAAATAAAAGTGTGTTTAATGGAAGCCAAAGAAAAATCAGCTCATAGAATCCACCCAATGGCAAGAGAGAGAAAAGATAAGTGACCAAATCTCTTACTTATTGCAGACACCAAATCAAGCTAGCTATGAGTCTTTATAGGAAATAGGGCTAAAAATTTCAGGAGGAGGAACCAAGTCTCTAGTCTTAAGACATAAAACACTAATGGGCAAGATTAACATAAAACCATTATATTTCCAAAGTCCCAGTCAAATCCATCAGTGAAATGCATGTTCCTAAAAGGACTTCCAAGAATACCTCAAATACCAAAGGATTAAGGTCCTTTAGTAGTACAATGACAAATGAGAGTACAGCACTTATAAGAGACAAGTTTAATAATGTTCCAGTTAGAGGAATTCAAAGATAATGGAGGGTACAATCATAAAATTAAAACAACCAAAATTTCCACATTTATCACAAGAGAATGGATTCCGTAGAAACACAAATAGAAAACAAACAAAACTAGACGGCATAAATCAGCATAATAGAAGTAAAGTGTGCCTGTGATGAACATCTGGTATGTCAGTCAAAGATTCAGCAAGAATACACTAATGTAAGGCTGACCTTACATATGTAAGGACTCTCTCTCTCTCTCCCTCTTTCTCTCTCTCTCTTTATCAACATATGCTTTTTGCTCTTAAAATACCTCATATTTTCCATTTATAATCTCTTTAGTCACAGAACTATTTCTCCTCACTTTTTTTCTCTATCCTTTGCACTCTCAGAAAAGAGAATAAAATTAGCATTTTTCTTAAAATCCAGGCCACATTAACATTATAGCTCTTTTATTTTGCTAAATTAATTTGTACATATGTGAGGTCAAGAGCTCATGGAGTTTTATTCCTGCAACTGCCTTGCATTTTTTCACTACTTATTTTTCAATGCATTCATCATCACTTCTTTACATTCAAGATAACAGCCTAACCTGTATTGCAGTCTTGCATTGCAATAATTTAGAACTAAACACTAAACATTCCTTCCAAACACTAAAATAAAAACTACAAAGGAGGAGCTTTGTTAGGTGATTATGGACTTTGTGTGTGTGTATTCCATTTATCTGTAATTTGTAAAAAAATTTATATATTTATAAAAATTTGGTTTTATTTATTTTTAAGTAGTGGACTCTTAAGATAATTGTTAAATCTATCTGAATATCCCTTTTATTGGTTTGCTTTCAACTTGGTTATTAATTATTAATTGAATAAATTGAAGACAATTTAACCAGATACTATCACTTTGGAGATTTTGAAATATTTTGTTTTCTAAATTTAAGTGAAGTAAATAAGCTTTTTAAAAATATGGACTTTAATGAAAAATAATATATGTATTTTCAACTTCTGAACCACTATGCTACAGATAAAACATAACCATTGATGTATCTATTTATTTCATAACTTTTAAACAATTGTTTTGTAGAACATATAATAGAGAATTGGCTAGCTTGAGACAAACATTTTAAATATACTTACAGAATAACTTTTTTCCTCTTTGCATCAGAGAATGTTAAGGTTAAAAAGACTTACAATTTTCAAAAGTTGTGCTATTCTTATTACTTGGAATCCTTTTTGTCAAGTCTTTTACCTATTCTTCTATTGGCTGTCAGGATTTTACTTAATGCTTTGTAAAAAAAATTAATGTATACTTTGGAAAACTTGCCATATTTACTAAAGCTGATGTATTAGTTAATTTTCATGCTACTGATAACTGGGAAGAAAAAGAGGTTTAATTGGACTTACAGTTCCACATGGCTGGGGAGGCCTCAGAATCATGGCGGGAGGCAAAAGGCACTTTTTACATGGTGGCAGCAAGACAAAAATGAGAAAGATGCAAAAGCAGAAACCCCTGATAAAACCATCAGATCTCATGAGACTTATTCACTACCATGAGAACAGTATGGGGGAAGCCACCCCCATGATTCAAATTATCTCCCACTCAGTCCCTCCTGTAACGTGGGAATTATGGGAGTACAACTCAAGATGAGATTTGGGTGGGGACACGGAGCCAAACCATATCATTCTGCCCCTGGCCCCTTCAAATCTCACGTCCTCACATTTCAAAACCAAGCACGCCTTCCCAACAGTCCCCCAAAGTCTTAACTCATTTCAGCATTAAGCCAAAAGTCCACAGTCCAAAGTCTTATCTGAGACAAGACAAGTCCCTTCTGCCTATGAACTTGTAAAATCAAAAGCAAACTAATTACTTCCTAGATACAATGGGGATACAGGCATTGGGTAAATACAGCCATTCCAAAGGGGAGAAATTGGCCAAAACATAGGGGTTATAGGGCCCATGCAAGTCCAAAATCCTGCAGGGCAGTCAAATTTTAAAGCTCCAGAATGAATCTCCTTTGACTCCAGGTCTCACATCCAGGTCATGCTAATGCAAGACCATGTTCCCATGGTCTTGGGCAGCTCCACCTCTGTGGTTTTTCAGGGTACAGCCTCCCTCTTGGCTGCTTTCACAGGCTGGTGTTGAGTGTCTGTGGCTTTTCCAGGCGCACAGTGCAAGCTGTCAGTGGATCTACCATTCTGGGGTCTGGAGGACGGTGACCCTCTTCTCACAGCTCCACTAGGCAGTGTCCCAGTAGGGACTCTGTGTGGGGGCTCCAACCCCACATTTGCCTTCCACACTGCCCTAGTGGAGGTTTTCCATGAGAGCCTCACCCCTGCAGCAAAATTCTGCCTGGGGCATCCAGGCGTTTCCATACATCTTCTGAAATCTAGGTGGGGGTCCCCAAACCTCAACTCTTCACTTCTGGGTACCCGCAGGCTCAACACCATGTCAAAGCTGCCACTTTGGGGCTTCCACCCTCTGAAGCCATGGCCCAAGCTCTACATTGACCCCTTTTAGCCATGGCTGGAGTGGCTAGGACACAGGGCACCAAGTTCCTAGGCTACACACAGGTTGGGGACTCTGGGTCTAGCCCATGAAACCACTTTTTACTCCTAGGTCTCCAGGCCTGTGATGGGAAGGGCTGCCGTGAAGACCTCTGACATGCTCTGGAGACATTTTCCCCATGGTCTTGGGGATTAACATTGGGTTTCTTGTTACTTAGGCAAATTCTGCAGCTGGCTTGAATTACTCCTCAGAAAATGGGATTTTCTTTTCTATCACATTGTCAGGCTGCAAATTTTCCAAACTTTTATGCTCTGTTTCTCTTTTAAAACTGAATGCCTTTAACAGCACTCAAGTCACCTCTTGAATGCTTTGCTGCTTAGAAACTTCTGCCAGATACCCTAAATCATCTCTCTCAAGTTCAAAGTTCCACAAATCTCCAGGGAAGGGACAAAATGCTGCCAGTCTCTTTGCTAAAACATAACAAGTCACCTTTGCTCCAGCACCCAACAAGTTTCTCATCTACATCTGAGACCACTTCAGCCTGAATTTCATTGTCCATATCATAATCAGCATTTTTGTCAAAGCCATTCAATAAATCCTAGGAGGTTCCAAACTTTCCCACATTTTCCTGTCTTCTTCTGAGTCCTCCAAACTGTTCCAACCTCTTCCCGTTACCCAGTTCCAAAGTTGCGTCCACATTTTTGGGTATCTTTTCAGCAACGCCCCACTCTACTGGTACCAATTTACTGTATTAGTTCGTTTTCACACTGCTGATAGTGACACACCCAAGACTGGGAAGAAAAAGAAGTTTAATTGGACTTACAGTTCCACATGGCTGGGAAGGCCTCAGAATCATGTGGGAGGCGAAAGGCACTTCTGATATGGTGGCAGCAAGAGAAAAATGAGGAAGATGCAAAAGTGGAAACCCCTGATAAAACCATCTCAGATCTCATGAGACTTATTCACTACCACGAGAACAATATGGGGGAAAGCACCTCCATGATTCAAATTATCTCCCACCGGGTCCCTCCCACAACACATGGGAATTACAGAAGCTACCATTGAAGCTGAGATTTGAGTGGGGACACAGAGCCAAACCATATCAGCTGAGCACATGCATATAGTGTGATCCAGCAATTAATTCTACTCACAGTTTTATACTCAGCAGAAATATGTGTGCATGTGTGTCACCAAAAGACATGAACAAGAATGTTTATAACAACACTGTTCATAGTAGTAAAACTGGAAACTAAATGTCCATAATAGTAAGTAAATAACATTTAGGTGAAAATAATCAATTGCTATTGAAAGTGGAGATATAGCAGCTAGGGGCATAAGGGTGTTTGGAGGGTATTGGTAATATTCTGTTTCTTAATCTAGGTGCTGGTTAAACAGGTGTGTTCAATTTGTGAAAATCTGTCAATCCATACAATCTATTTACAATCCACATAATCTATTTTTGACATATACATCATAAATCCTTAAAGATCATCTGGTACAAACCATTTCTTCAGGGATTTACAAATTACTCACTTATAAAACTATGAAGATTTGTTGCCCATTTTGCAAACTGAAACTCATATGTATTAAATAGAGATAACTTTCCTGTGTTTAAAAGAGAATGGATGGGGTGATTGAGTGTCTATCTGGCTTTGGCTTTAACTTTTAGGTAAAGATTTATGCAGTCAACTTTCCAAGGTTTTAAAGCTAGATCTGCATTCAAATCCTGAGCTTACTACTTACTATCTACATTTCATTACCTGAAAAATGGGGGTAATAATAGTTAATTTGAAGGTTATTCAAAAAGTTAAAGATAATGTTTGCAAAATGTCTGCCACAGGTGGGCAATCAATAAAGAGTAGGCATTAATTTTAGAGAGTCTCACCCAACAAAGAATAGGCCATAAAGAATGTAGCCAGAGTGTACTAGTGAAGCAGAGAAATGTTTTCTTTCAAATGGAATCTAAAAACAGAAAAAAAGTACACCTATTAACACATGTGTTTAAACCAAAATTAGATCACCCAAGTAGAAAAGACAAGATTACACCACCCTCCTATCATTTATTATTTGGGGAGAGGAGGAAACTAGGGGGCATAAATATTTCCAACATATTTTCTTCCAGTGAAAACAAATTATATGAAGCAGAGAACTGACATGTACATTGTTTTGAACTAATAAGTACTTCCTCTGAAAAAGAACATTGTTTTAGAACAACAGGGTTTTTAAAAGTTATTTTTATTTGTGGTAAATACTCATAATATAAAAATTATCATCATAACCATTTTTAAGTGTACAGTTCAGTGGCATTAAATACATTCATACTGTTGTGCAAATATCACCATCATCCATCTCCAGAACTCTCCATCTTGCAAAACTCTGTACTCATTAAATGAGAATTTCTCATTCCCCCTCTACCCAGACCCTGCCAACTACCATTCTACTTTCTGCCTGTATAAATTTGACTACTCTACATACCTAGTGTAAGTGAAATCACAATGTTTCTCCTTGTGTGACTGGCTTATTTTACTTAGCGTAATGTCTTCAAGGTTCGTCCATATTGTATCATGTCAGAATTTCCTTCTTCTTTAAGATTAAATAATATTCCACTGCTTGTTTATACCACATTTTGTTTATTCATCCATCCATGGACATTTGGGTTGTTTTTACCACTTGGCTATTGTGAATAATGCTGCTATCAACATGAGCATACAAATACCTCTTCAAGCTCCTGCTTTCAATTATTTGGGGTATATACCAAGAAGTGGAATTGCTAAATTATATGATAATTCTATTTTTAACTTCTTAAGAAACTGCCACACTGTTTTCCAAAGCAGTTGTACCATTTTACATTCCCACCAACAAAGCATAAGGGTTCCAATTTCTTCACATTCTCACCAACACTTATTTTCTGTTCATTTTTATATCAGCCATCCTAATAGGTAAGACGTGGTATTTCTTTATGGTTTTAATATGTATTTCTAATGATTTGTGTTGTTGAGCATCTCTTCATGGACTTATTGGCCATTTATATGTCTAGTTTGGAGAAATGTCTGTTTAAGCTCTTTGCTCATTTTGGAATTAAATTGCTTGGGTTTTTTGGTTGTTGAGTTTTAGGAGTTCTCTATATATTCTGGATATTAATTTCTTATGAAATAGATGATTTGTAAATATTTTTCCTTTTGGTTGTCTTTTTACTGTGTTGATAGTTGTCTATTGATGCACAAAATTTTTACATTTCCATGAAGTTCGATTTTTTTTTTTCTTATACCAGGATAGGGGCTTGCGATGTTGCCCAAGCTAGTCTTGAGCTCCTGGGCTCAAGTGATCCTTGCAATTTGGCCTCCAAAAGCGCTGGCATTACAGGCATAAGCACCACACCTGGCCATGAAATTCAATTTCTCTTTCTCTTTTTTTTTTGAGACGGAGACTTGCTCTGTCACCCAGGCTGGAGTACAGTGGTGTGATCTCCATTCACTGCAACATCTGCCTCCTGGGTTCAAGCGATTCTCCTGCCCCAGCCTCCTGAGTAGCTGGGATTACAGGCATGCACCACTGTGCCCAGCTAATTTTTTTGTATGTTTAGTAGAGACGGGGTTTCGCCATGTTGGCCAGGCTGGTCTTGAACTCCTGACCTCAGGTGATCTGCCTGCCTGGGCCTCCCAATTTGTCTTTTTGTTATTGTTATTGCCTATGCCTTTGGTGTCATATCCAAGAAATAATTGCCAAATCCAATGTTGTGAAACTCTTGCCCTGTGTTTTCTAACAGTTGTCCAGTTTTAGGTCTTACATTAGCTGGTGGATCCAGTTTGAATTAATTTTTGTATATGATGTTAGATAAGGATCCAGCTTCATTCTTTTGGATGTGGATATATCCAGTTTTCCCAGCCCCACTTCTTTAAAAAGACTGTCTTTTCCCTATTGAATGGTCTTGACACCCTTGTCTAAAATCATTTGACAATATATGCAATGATTGTTTTGGAACTGTCTATTCTATTCCATTGGTCTATATGTCTGTTTTTATGCCCCACTGTTTTGATTCCTGTAGCTTTGTAGTAAGTTTTGAAATCAGGACATATTCTTTATTCTTTTTTTGCAAGATTGTTTTGGCTATTTGGGGTCACTTGAGATTCCATTTGAATTTCAGAATGGGTTTTTCTATTTCTGCAAAAAATAAGTCATTAGGATATTGACAAAGATTGCATTAAATCTGTAGATCACTTTAGGTAGTAGTTACATCTGCACAATATTAAATTTTTAGATTTATTTATGCTTTCCACTTATTTATATTTTCTTTAATTTATTTTAGAAAGTCTTTTTAGTTTTCAGTGTACAACCTCCTTATCCTTGGTTAATTCCTGTCTTTATTCTTTTTAGTGCTATTGTAACTGGAACTGTTTTCTTACCTTTTTTTTTAGATTTTTCATTGTTAGTGTATAGAAATGCAACTGATGTATGTTTACTTTGTATCCTGTTATTTTGCCGAATTTCTTAATTAATTCTAATATTTTTGTGGAATTTTTTGTTTTCTACATATAAGACCATATTATTTGCAAACAGAGATCATTTTACTTCTTCTTTTCCATTTGGATGCTTTATTTCTTTTTCTTATCTAATTGCTCTGGCTAGGACTTCCAGTACCATGTTGAATAGAAATGGTGAAATTAAGCATTCTTGCCTTCTTCCTGCTTTTAGAGGAAAAGCTTTCAGTGTTTTATCACTGAATATGATATTTGCTGTGGGTTTTTCATATGTGACTTTTATCATTTTGAGGTAGCTCTTTTCCATTCCTATTTTTTTGTGTTTTTGTCATAAAAGAGTGTTGATTTTTGTCAAATAATTTTTCTGCATCAATTTAGATGATCAGGTTTTTTCCCTTTCATTCTGTTAATGTGGTGTAATACTTTGATCAATTTTCATATTTTAAGCCATCCTTGCATTCCAGGAACAAATCCCACTTGATGAATAATCCTCTTAACATGCTGCTGAATTTGGTTTGCTAGTATTTTATAGAGGATTTTTGTATCAATATTCACAAAGGATATTGATCTATAGTTTTCTTGTAATGTAATTTTCTGGCTTTGGTATTGGGGCAATGTTGGCCTCATAAAATGTGTAGAGAGTGTTTCCTTCTCTTCAATTTTTTTGGAAATGTTTGAGAATGATTGGTGTTAGTCCTTCTTTAAATGTTCGGTAAGATTTACCAGTGAACCCATCAGGTTCAGGGTTTCTCTTTGTTGAGATATATTTAATTACTGATTTAATCTACTAACTAGTTATAGGTCTATTCAGATTTTTTACTTCTTTGTGGCTTAGTGGTGATAGGGTTTGTATTTCTAGTAATAGGTCCATTTTATAGGCTTTTCAGTTTGTTGGCATATAACTGCTAAAAGTATTCCTTTTTGTTTCTATGGAATTAGTATTAACATTTCCACTTTATTTCTGATTTAGTAATTTGAGAATTTGAGTCTTCTCTCTTTTTTCTTATTTTGTCTCATATTAGCATAGTCACTCTTAATCTCTCTTGATTAATAGCTAAATATTTGTCAATTTGGTTGATCTTTTCAAAGAACCTATTGGTTTCATTGATTGTTCTCTATTTTTTTTACTCTGTACTTTATTTAACTCTGCCCTAATCTTTATTATTTCGTTTCTTCTGCTGGCTTTGGGTTTACTTTGTTTTTTTTCTAGTTCCTTAAATTGTAAAGTTAGGTTGTTGATTTGAGATCTTTCTTGTTTTTTAATGTGAGCATTTATAGCTATATTTTTTTTCCTTAGCACTGTTTTCACTGTGTCCTATAAGTTTTGGTATGTTATTTTTATTTTCATTTGTCTCTTAGTATTTTGTATTTCCCTTATAATTTAGTCTTTGATCCAGTGGTTAAGAGTATTTTGTTTAACTTCCACAAATTTGTAAATTTTACAGTTTATCTTTCATTATTGATTTCTAATTTTGCGCTGATGAGGTCAGAGAAGATACTTTGTATGATATCTATCTTTTTAAACCTATTGAGACTTAATTTGTCTCATGTGGTCTACCTTGGAAAATATCCCATATGCACTTAAGAATATGTATTCTGTGTTGTTAAGTAGAGTGTTCTGTATATGTGTTAGATCTAGTTGGATTATTGTGTTGTTCAAGTCCTCTATTTCTTTACTTACGTTCTGTCAGGGTGTTCTTTTTTTTTTTTTCTTTTTCGAGACAGTGTCTCGTTCCATTCCCCAGGCTGGAGTGCAGTGGCACAATCTCGGCTCACTGCAGTCTCTGCCACCTGGGCTCCAGCAATTCTCCTTCCTCAGCCTCCCAGGTAGCTGGGATTACAGGCACGTGCCACCACTCCTGACTAATTTTTGTATTGTTAGTAGAGATGGGGTTTCACCATGTTGGCCAGACTGGTCTCAAACTCCTGATCTCAGGTGATCCACCTGCCTCAGCCTCACAAGGTGCTAGGATTACAGGCATAAGCCACCATACCTGGCCTTCTGTCAGGGTGTTCTATCAATACTGAGGGTGGGGTATTGCAATATCCAGCTATTATTGTGGAACTGTCTATTTCTCCTTTCGATTTTGTTGATTTTTTCTTCATATTTTGATGATCTATTATTGGGTTCAAAAATGTTTGTAATTGTTGTATCTTTTGCTGTATTGAAGCTTTCATTTATGAATGATGTCCGTCTTTGTTACTGTAATTTTTTTGGTTTTAAATTCTATTTTGTCTGAAATTAGCATAGTCACCCTTAATCTCTCTTAGATACTAGTTGCATGGTACATGGAAAGAAAATATCCTTTTCCCTTACTTCACTTTCAACCTATTTGTGCATTTGGATCTAAATTGAGTCTTTTATATTCAACATATATTTTGGTCATGTTTTTTAAAATCCATTCTTCCAATTTCTGTCTTTTGATTGGACAGTTTAATCAGTTTACATTTAAAGTAATTTCTTTTTTGTTTTGTTTTTTCACATTCTTTTTTTTTATTATTATACTTTAAGTATGGCATACTTATACTTTAAGTTCATGGCATCAATCACCTGCCTCTCTACCAAGATAGTTATCCAAAGATGGATAGATTGCAAAACTTTTCTCCCATTCTGTAGGTTGCTTGTTCTCTCTGATGATAGTTTATTTATTTATTTATTTATTTTTCTGAGATGGAGTCTTGCTCTGTCACCCAGGTTGGAGTGCAGTGGCGTGAGCTCGGCTCACTGCAAGCTCTGCCTCCCATGTTCATGCCATTCTCCTCCCTCAGCCTCCTGAGTAGCTGGGACTACAGGTGCCCGCCTTCACACGCAGCTAATTTTTTGTATTTTTAGTAGAGACGGGGTTTCACCGTGTTAGCCAGGATGGTCTTGATCTCCTGACCTCGTGATCCGCCCACCTCGGGCTCCCAAAGTGCTGGGATTACAGGCGTGAGCCACAGTGCCCGGCAATATTTTCTTTTGCTGTGCAGAAGCTCTTTAGTTTAATTAGATCCCATTTGTCCACTTTGGCTTTTGTTGCCATTGCTTTTGGTGTTTTAGTCATGAAGTCTTTACCCATGCCTATGTCCTGAATGGCATTACCTAGGTTTTCTTCTAGGGTTTTTACTGTTTTAAGTCTTATGTTTAAGTCTTTGATCCATCTTGAGTTGATTTTTACATAAGGTGTAAGGAAGGAATCCAGTTTCAGCTTTCTGCATATGGCTAGCCAGTTTTCCCAACACCATTTATTAAATAGGGAATCCTTTACCCATTGCTTGTTTGTGTCAAGATTTGTCAAGGATCAGATGGTTGTAGATGTGTGGTGTTATTTCTGAGGCCTCTGTTCTGTTCTGTTCTATTGGTCTACATATCTGTTTTGGTACCAGTACCATGCTGTTTTGGTTACTGTAGCCTTTGTAGTATAGTTTGAAGTCAGGTAGCATGATGCCTCCAGCTTTGTTCTTTTTGCTTAGGATTGTCTTGGCTATGCGGGCCCTTTTTTGGTTCCATATGAAATTTAAAGTAGTTTTTTCCAATTCTGTGAAGAAAGTCAATGGTAGCTTGATGGGGATAGTATTGAATCTATAAATTACTTTGGGCAGTATGGTCATTTTCATGATATTGATTCTTCCTATCCATGAGCATGGAATGCTTTTCCATTTGTTTGTGTCCTCTCTTATTTCCTTAAGCAGTGGTTTGTAGTTCTCCTTGAAGAGGTCCTTCACATCCCTTCTAAGTTGAATTCCTAGGTATTTTATTCTCTTTGTAGCAATTGTGAATGGGAAATCACTCATGGTTTGGCTCTCTGTTATTGGTGTATAGGAATGCTTGTGATTTTTGCACATTGATTTTGTATCTTGAGACTGCTGAAGTTGCTTATCAGCTTAAGGAGATTTGGGGCTGAGACGATGGGGTTTTCTAAATATACTGTTATGTCATCTGCAAACAGAGACAATTTGACTTCCTCTTTTCCTAACTGAACGCCCTTAATTTCTTTCTCTTGCCTGATTGCCCTGGCCAGAACTTCCAATACTCTGTTGAATAGAAGTGGGGAGCAGGGCATCCTCGTCTTGTGCCGGTTTTCAAAGGGAATGCTTCCAGTTTTTGCCCATTCAGTATGATATTGGCTGTGGGTTTGTCATAAATAGTTCTTATAATTTTGAGATACGTTCCATCAATACCTAGTTTATTGAGAATTCTTAGTATGAAGTGGTGTTGAATTTTGTCGAAGGCCTTTTCTGCATCTATTGAGATAATCATGTGGTTTTTGTCATTGGTTCCGTTTATGTCATGGATTACATTTATTCATTTGCATATGTTGAACAAACCTTGCATCTCAGGGATGAAGCTGACTTGATCGTGGTGGATAAGCTTTTTGATGTGCTGATGGATTCAGTTTGCCAGTATTTTATTGAAGATTTTCGCATCGATGTTCATCAGGGATACTGGCATAAAATGTTCTTTTTTGTTGTGTCTCTGCCAGGTTTTTGTACCAAGATGATACTGTCCTCAAAAAAATGAGTTAGGGAGGAGTCCCTCTGTTTCTATTGTTTGGAATAGTTTCAGAAGGAATGGTACCAGCTCCCCTTTGTACCTCTGGTAGAATTCGGCTGTGAATCCCTCTGGTCCTGGACTTTTTTTGGTTGGTAGGCTATTAATTACTACCTCAATTTCAGAACTTGTCATTGGTCTATTCAGGGATTCAACTTCTTCCTGGTTTAGTCTTGGGAGGGTGTATGTGTCCAGGAATTTATCCATTTCTTCTAGATTTTCAGTTTTTTCTTCTTTTTTCTTTTTTTTTCTTTCTTTTTTTTTTTTTTTTTTTTTTGCTTAGAGGTGTTTTTAGTAGTCTCTGATGGTAGTTTTTATTTCTGTGGGATCAGTGGTGATATTCCCTTTATCATTTTTTATTGCATCCATTTGATTCTTCTCTTTTTTCTTCTTTATTAATATGCCTAGTGGTCTATCTACTTTGTTGATCTTTTCAAAAAAACAGCTCCTGGAGTCATTGATTTTTTTTGAAGAGTTTTTCATGTCTCTATCTCCTTCAATTCTGCTCTGATCTTAGTTATTTCTTGTCTTCTGCTCGCTTTTGAGTTTGTTTGCTCTTGCTTCTCTAGTTCTTTTAATTGTGATGTTAGGGTGTTGATTTTAGATCTTTCCTGCTTTCTCTTGTTAGCATTTAGTGCTGTAAATTTCCTTCTACATACTGCTTTAAATGTGTCCCAGAGATTCTGGTACGTTGTGTCTTTGTTCTCATTGGTTTCATTGAACATCTTTATTTCTGCCTTTATTTTGTTATTTACCCAGTAGTCATTCAGGAGCAGGTTGTTCAGTTTCCATGTAGTTGTGCGGTTTTGAGTGAGTTTCTTAATCCTGAGTTCTAATTTGATTGCACTGTGTCTGAGAGACTGTTATGATTTCCATTCTTTTGCATTTGCTGAGGAATGTTTTACTTCCAATTATGTGGTCAATTTTAGAATAAGTGCAATGTGGTTCTGAGAATAATGTATATTCTGTTGATTTGGGGTGGAGAGTTCTGTGGATGTCTATTAGGTTCTGTTGGTCCAGAGCTGAGTTCAAGTCCTGGATATATTTGTTACTTTTCTGTCTCATTGATCTGTCTAATATTGACAGTGGGGTGTTAAAGTCTCCCACTATTATTGTGTGGGAGTCTGAGTCTCTTTGTAGGTCTCTAAGAACTTGCTTTATGAATCCGGGTGCTCCTGTATTGTGTGCATTTATATTTAGGATAGTTAGCTCTTCTTGTTGCATTGATCCTTTTACCATTATGTAATGCCTTTGTTTGTCTCTTTTGATCTTTGTTGGTTTAAAGTCTGTTTTATCAGAGACTAGGATTGCAACCCCTGCATTTTTTTTTTTACTTTCAATTTGCTTTGTAAATATTCTTCCATCCCTTTATTTTGAGCCTATGTGTGTCTTTGCACATGAGATGGGTCTCCCGAATACAGCACACCAATGGGTCTTAACTCTTTATCCAATTTGCCAGTCTGTGTCTTTTAATTGGGGCATTTAGCCTATTTACATTTAACATTAATATTGTTATGTGTGAAATTGTTCCTGTCATTATGATGCTAGCTCGTTATTTTGCCCACTAGTTCATGCCATTTTTTCATAGTGTCAATGGTCTTTACAATTTTTATGTTTTTGCAGTGGCTTGTACCAGTTGTTCCTTTCCATGTTTAGTGCTTCCTTTAGGAGTCCCCCTCTCTCTTCTGTCTTGTAGGGTTTCTGCTGAGAGATCTGCTGTTAGTCTGATGGACTTCCCTTTGTGAGTAACCTGACCTTTCTCTCTGGCTGCCCTTAACATTTTTTCCTTCATTTCAACCTTAGTGAATCTGACGATTATATGTCTTGGGGTTGCTCTTCTTGAGTAGTGTCTTTGTGGTGTTCTCTGTATTTCCCGAATTTGAATGTTGGCCTGCCTTGCTAGGTTGGGGAAGTTGTGGATAATATCCTGAAGAGTGTTTTCCACCTTGATTCCATTCTCCTCATCACTTTCAGGTACATCAATCAAATGTAGATTTGGTCTTTTCACATAGTCCCATATTTCTTGGAGGCTTTGTTCATTTCTTTTCACTCTTTTTTCTCTAATCTTGTCTTCTCACTTTATTTCCTTGAGTTGATCTTCAATCTCTGATATCCTTTCTTCCACTTGGTCGATTCAGCTATTGATACTTATGTATGCCTCATGAAGTTCTTGTGCTGTGTTTTTCAGCTCCATCAGGTCATGTATGTTTTTCTCTAAACTGGTTATTCTAGTTAGCAATTCCTCTAACCTTTTTTCAAGATTCTTAACTTCCTTGCATTCGGATAGAACATGCTCCTTTATCTTGGTGGAGTTTATTACCCATCTTCTGAAGCCTACTTCTGTCAGTTCATCAAACTCATTCTCCATCCAGTTCTCTTGTTGGCGAGGGGCTGTGATCCTTTGGAGGAGAAGAGGCATTCTAGTTTTTGGAATTTTCAGCCTTTTTGTGCTGGTTTCTCCCCATCTTCATGAATATATCTACCTTTGGCCTTTGATGTTGGTGACCTTCGGATAGGGTCTCTGAGTGGACATCCTTTTTGTTGATGTTGATACTATTCCTTTCTGTTTGTCAGTTTTCCTTCTAACAGTCAGGCCTCTCTGCTGCAGGTCTACTGGAGTTTGCTGGAGGTCCACGCCAGACCGTTTGCCCGGATATCACCAGCGGAAGCTACAGAACAGCAAAGATTGTTGCCTGTCCCTTCCTCTGGAAGTTTTGCCCCAGAGGGTCACCCACCAGATGCCAGCCAGAGCTCTCCTGTATGAGGTATCTGTCAACCCCTGATGGGAGGTGTCTCCCCGTCAGGAGGCACGGGGGTCAGGGACCCACTCGAGGAGGGATTCTTCCCTTATCAGAGCTCGAATGCTGCACTGGGAGATCCGCTGCTGTATTCAGAGATGTCAGGCAGGGACGTTCATGTCTGCTGAAACTGTGCCCATAGCCACCCCTTCCCCCAGGTGCTCTGTCCCATGGAGGTTTTATCTATAAGTCCCTGACTGGGGCTGCTGCCTTTTTTCAGATATGCCCTGCCCAGAGAGGAGGAGTCTAGAGAGGCAGTCTGGCCACAGCGGCCTTGCTGAGCTGCAGTGGGCTCCTCCCAGTTCAAACTTCCAGGCAGCTTTGTTTACACTGTGAGGGGAAAACCGCCTACTCAAGACTTGGCAATGGCAGATGCCCTTCCCCCCACCAAGTTCAAACGTCCCAGGTCAAGCTCACACTGTTGTTCTGGCCATGAGAATTTCAAGCCGGTGGATCTTAGCTTGCTGGACTCCATGGGGGTGGTGACCGCTGAGCCAGACCACTTGGCTCCCTGGCTTCAGCCCCCTTTCCAGGGGAGTGAATGGTTCTGTCTCGCTGGCGCCAGGTGCCACTAGGGTATGAAAAATAAACTCCTGCAGCTAGTTCAGTGTCTGCCTGAATGGCCACCCAGTTTTGTGGTTGAAACCCAGGGCCCTGGGTGGTGTAGGCATCAGAGGGAATCTCCTGGTCTGCCAGTTGTGAAGACCCTGGGAAAAGTGCAGTCTCTGGGCCAGAGTGCACCATTCCTCCCGGTACAGTCTCTCACGGCTTCCCTTGACTAGGGGAGGGAAGTCCCTTGACCCCTTGCACTTCCCATGTGAGATGACACCCCACCCTGCTTTGGCTCACCTTCCATGGGCTGCACCTACTGTCCAATCAGTCCTAATGACATGAACCGGTTACCTCAGTTGGAAATGCAGAAATCACCCGCCTTCTGCATTGATCTTGCTGGGAGCTGCAGACTGGAGCTGTTCCTATTCATCCATCTTGCCAGCCTCCAAAAACTTTTAATAATTGGAGAAACTGGCTTTCAAAATGCTTGTATTAATCCGTTCTCACACTGCTATAAAGAACTACCTGAGACTGGGTAATTTATAAAGAAAAATGTTTAGTTGACTCACAGTTTGGCAAGCTATAAAGGAAGCATGGCTGGGAAGCCTCAGGAAAATTACAATCATGGCAGAAAGTGAAGAGGAAGAAAGCACATCTTACAATGGTGGAGCAGGAGAGAAAGAGCTAGAGTGAAAAGCGGGAAGTGCTACTACAAACTTTCAAGCACTAGATCTCATGAGAACTTACTCACTATCAGAAGAATGGCAAGGGGAAAATCTGCCCCCATGATTTAATCACCTCCTATCAGGTCCCTCCCAACAATGGGAATTACAGTGCAAGATGAGATTTGGGTGGGGACACAGAGCCAAGTCATATGAACGCTTAAAGAGACAGTTGTAAAATCACGCTGTGTTGCATCTTACCAGATTTCTGAACACCAGTGATTGAGGGATATTGACTGTTAACCAAGCATTTTCATACTATGAATGCTCCCATTTCTCTTTATAATTTTTGAAACATATGTTCATAGGTAAATAAGTTTGATGTTTGCATGTTTTTTGAACTTTATATAAATGATTTTGCATGTACATATTCTTCAAAACTTTTTTCATCAATATTATGTTTGTGAGATTCTATCATGTTGATTTGTGTAGCTGCAGTTCATTTGCTTTCATTGCTGTCCAGAATCACATTGCTGGATGACATTTTCATGGTCTACAGGTTTTTGTTTACAAACTATGCTCTTAGGAACAATCTTCTACAAGTTTGCAGACACATATTTATGATATTTTCTTAGTCTTCTCTAGCTGCTATAACAAAATACCTTAGACTGGGTAATGTATAAACAACGGAAATGTATTGCTGACAGTTCTGGAGGCTGGAAAGTCCAAAATCAAGGCACCAGCAGATTCAGTGTCTGGTGAGGGCTCTCTGGTTCATAGATGGTGTCTTCTATGTGTCCTCACATGGTGGAAGGGCAGTTCTCAAACCTCTTACATAAGAGCACTAACACCATTCATGAAGGTGGAGCCCTCATGACCTAATCACTTCCCAAATGCCGTACGCTTAATACTATCACATTGGAGATTATGTTTCAACATATGAATTTGGGGGAAACACAGCAGATATATTGTCAAAAGTGAAATTATTGGTTATAAGATATACACATCTTTGCCTTTATTAGAGTTCCAAGTTGTTTTCCAAAATACTTGTGCCAATTTATACTCCTACCCACAGAGTATAACTGTTTCCTTTGTTCCATTCTCTAGGCAATACTCAATATTCTCAGACTTTTTTTTTTTACAATCTGTTGGTATAAAATAATAACTAATTGTGGTATTAATTTGAATTGTCCTAAGGAATTTAGTCTCAGCATTTTTTCATACTTTTATTAGACATTTATGTTTTATTTTCTTGAAATAACTGTTCATGTCTTTTGACATTTTATTAATTTGTATTGTTCTTACCAGTTTGTATGAGTTTATTATATTTCTGGACAATAATCTTTTGTCAGTTATATGTTACAAATATTTTCTCCCAGTTTGTGGCCTGCCTCTTTACTTTTATGGTGTATTTTGAAGAACAGAAGTTTAATTTTACTTTAGTCAAATTTATCTATCATTTTCTTTATGTATTGTGCTTTTTATATCTTGTTTGAAAAAAATTCCCCTAACTCAAAAGTCATAAAGTAATCTCATGTATTGTCTTGGAAAATTTAAAGTTTTACTTTTCACTTTGAAGTATTTTATTCAGCAGAAGCTGGGTTTTATATATAGTGTGAAATAGACATCTTTTTTTAAAAATATACTTATCTAAATAAGCTAGGACTATTGATTAAATAGTCTACATATTTCTTCAATGCCACTACTGCATTATATCAAGTTTCTATATATTTGTGTGTCTGTTTATGAGATGTATGCTATGTTCCAATGACTATTTGTCTACTACCACTTATCCAAGTCCATGTTGTCTTAATTGCATTACTTTTACAATATATCTGGAAATCTAACAGGGTAGTACCACCCCATATCTTGTTCTTTCTTTTCAAAGTCTTCTGTAGTAGTCTGCCTATTTCTCTTCCATATAAAATGATTACACTTGGAATGATTTCATTTTAAAATCAGCTTTTCATGTTCAGTGAAAATCCCTGTTGGTTTTCATGATGGGAAATACACTGAATATAGAGATCAGTGTAAGAACCATTGATATTGCTATTATATTGAGTCTCTATCTATAATGCTTTTCAATGGTTTATGCTGTCTTTTATGTCCTCGTATAAAGTTTTAAAAGTTTCTCCAAAACGTTCTTGCACATTTTTTGTTTTATTTGTTCCTGGATACTTTATATTTTTGATGCATTATAAATCCGTCTTTTAAAATTGTATCTTCTAATTATTTGTAACATATATAGAAATAATAAAGTTGGCTTTTAATGTGAATTTTGAACTCCAATAACCCTGTACATTTTCATATTAGTTCTAATAGGTAATTAAACTTTTTGTGTATTTTATGACAAATTTATGATATTTTATTTCTATATTTTCAAAGTTTATACTTTTTATTTATCTACGTTGTCTTAATGCTGATAAGGAATTTCAGTACATTGTTGGAAACAGGTGGTAATAGCAGATATCATTTTCTCATTCCATGTTTTAAAGCAGTCTTCTAAACTTTCACCATTTAGAATGATGTTTGCAGTCGATGTTTCCAGCTACATTTAAATAATTTTAGGAAGATTCTTTCTAATCCTATGTGCACAGTTGTTTAGAAATACTAGTTTTCTGGTGAACTAAACCTTTTGTGTTTATATACCATTCCTTTACATTCTAGTAATGTTTTTGTCTCAAAGTTTATTTTGTCTGATATTAATATAACAGCTTTCTCTTGGTTAGAAGTTGCCTGGTATATGTTTTTCTTCTTTTCTCTTTCAACTTTTCTGCATTCATATTTTATTTGTGTTTCTTTTTAATAATATAGAAATTTGAAAACTCATTCTAGTAATTTTTATATTTTAAGAGGTTAGTTCACTTTTACTAATTATTACTGATATATTTTAGTTTATTTCCCTAATTTTATTCTTATTCTTCCATTTTTTTTCTCTCCCTGCCATATTTTGGATTGACTGATTTTTTTGCTTATGACTTTTTTTTGTTTTCAAAATTGTATACTCTGTTTCTATACTTTTTGTGGTTACCTTTGAATTTTAGCAAGCATATTTAACTAAATCTAAGGTTATAATAACTTTTTCCTCCTCCAAACAATTCAAGATTTTAAAACTCTTTAAATCTGCTTATCCCTCCCTAGGCTTACATCCTACTGTTGACTATTATTTTAGCTTTATTTAATAGTGTTTTTTAAATCCCATATATTATACATTAGGATCATAATTTCAAATAATCAGCCTTTGTTTAGCTTTACTCACAAATTTACAATTATCATTGCTTACCTTCCCTTCACACATCTCAGTCCTTTCTGCAGTACATAGTTGAGGAGTTCCTTTACTATCTACTGTTAGTCAGTATTTTAAGCTATTGTCTGAAAAATATTTTTCACCCCTATTCTCCAATAGTAGTTTACCTTGATATCCAATTCCAGGTTGATAGATTTTTTCACAGCGTTTAAAAAACAGTATGCCATTATTGCCTTCTGGTTTCTATTGTTGCTGCTTTCAAGTCAGCTGTTAGTCTAATTGTAATTCCTGAGTAGATAACTTGCCTTTTCTCTCTGGCTTTTTAAAAAGATCTTCCCTTTGTTTTAATGTTCTGCACATTCACTATGGTGTTCATAAGTGCCTATTTATTTTTTATCCTGTTAAGAATTCAGTGTACCTCCTGAATCTCAGAATTTATGTGTTCTATCAGTTACAGAACAAAATTCTTTTTTTTTTTTTTGAGATGTAGTCTCACTCTGTTGCCCAGGCTGGACTGCAGTGGTGCAATCTTGGCTCATTGGAACCTCCACCTCCTGAGTTCAAGTGATTCTTGTGCCTCAGCCTCCCCAGTAGCTGGGATTACAGTCTTGTGCCACCATGCCTGGCTAATTTTTGAATTTTTGTATTTTTTTAGTAGACACGGTGTTTCACCATGTTGGCCAGACTGGTCTTGAACTCCCGGCCTAAAGTGATCCACCCACCTTGGACTCCCAAAGTGCTGGGATTACAAGCATGAGCCACTGTGCCCAGCCATTACAGAACAAAATTCTTGCTCTTCTTTCCTATTCTCTCCATTATCTCCTTTTAGAAGATCTGTATTATAGATCTTCTAATTCTGTCTTCTATGTCTCTTTACCTGATTTAAAATCTTACATTTCTTGCTCTTTCTGTGCTTCATTCTGGATTTCCTTGTATATGAATTTTTTTCTAATTCTTGATTAATTCAAATTCTTTTATTTTTTTTTTTTCAGAGATGATGTCTCACTATGTTGCTCAGATTGGTCTCAAATTCCTGGGCTTAAGCAATCTTCTCACTTTAGCCTCCTGAGTAGCTAAGACTATAGGCACAAGCCACCACTCCCTGTTTCTCTAATTCTAATTAACGAATTATTGTTTCACTTGTGCTGAACCTGCTCTTTAACCCACTCATTGAGTTTTTAATATTAGCTATTCTTCTTTTCATTGATGAATTTTCATTTAGTTGTTGTTTACATCTATCTGGCTTTTTAAAATCTTTTATCCTGTTCCTTTCTCATGTTCCAATTCTAACTCTTATTTCCTTACAAATTTAAAGCATTATTTTATATTCTGTATCCACTATTAAATTAAGTTTGGCCTAAGGCTGCCTCCTTATGTATTTTAAGTTTGGCCTACAGGTTTCTGCATACATAATAAACTGTAACAAAACTTGATGTGTAAGCAGAATGCAACCTACTCTTGTAACAAGTGTTGGAGTATCGGCCAATCACAGTAGCTAAAATTTAGTCAACCATAGGCAGCCAACTGTTCAAATCATATAAGGTAAAATCATGTAAGTTTCATATAAGGTAAACACCTAGCTGTAACCAATCCAGCTGTTTCTGTACCTTACTTCTGTCTTCTGTATGCAACTTTTTTTTTCTCTCCATAAATGTGATCCAACCATGTGGCAGCCCTGGAGTTTATCTGAACCTGTTCTGGTTCTGGGGGCTGCCTGATTCATAAATTGTTCTTTGCTTATTTAAACTCTGTTTAATTTGTCGAATGTTTTTCTCTTAACATCAGTAATGTCATTTTTAGAAATTTTGGTTGTCAAATTATGCTGTTTGTTATCTGTGTTTACATGATGCCTGAATTCCTCATGTGTTTTGTAATTTTGGGCTGTGGGATTATGTTCAGCAGGGCTTTTTCTTTTTTTTTCTTCTTTTTTTTTTTTTGAGATGGAGTCTCACTCTGTCACCCAGGCTAGAGTGCAGTGGCGCCATCTCGGCTCACTGCAACCTCCGCCTCCCGGGTTCACACCATTCTCCAGCCTCAGCCTCCCGAGTAGCTGAGACTACAGGTGCCCGCCACAACACCTGGCTAATTTTTTGTGTTTTTAGTAGAGACGGGGTTTCACTGTGTTAGCCAGGATGGTCTCGATCTCCTGAGCTCATGATCCTCCCGCCTCGGCCTCCCAAAGTGCTGGGATTACAGGTGTGAGCCACCACGCCCGGCCCAGCAGGGCTTTTTCTATAGAAATCTTATGAGACAAGGATTAAGGTTCATTTTCTTTGGTAAATTCTCTAGAGATAATTTATTTCTCTCTTGTTTCTCTCAAGCAACCACGGATTTTACCAACCTAAGAGAAGTTCTTGTTATTGGATTTTACTGGACTAGGGTTTTCCTGATGTGGGTTTTACTTAGGAAACATAAGTTTTAGTCTCAAACTCATGTGTGAGCGGACATCTCTTCATAAATTTTCAGGGGAGCTTAGACAGAGATAGACAAGTGTTCTGCCTTGTCCCATGATTGGCAGGCAGATTTAGTTTATAGTACACCCATTCACCAAGGGCCGGGCTGTGACTAAGGTATGTTCCTTACTTGCTTCACCCTAGTGCTGGCCTGACTAAGGGTATAGCTCTTTGAATGTTCCAATTTTACAAAGGGATCTTGGCTTAAATTCCTCGCCTGGCACAGACCAAGGCTCTTACTCCTGACTCCATTCAGATGCTAAAACCCAATCATCATGGTTACAAAGACTGACAAATTTCTCCAGGGCAACAGTAGTGCCAGAGACAAATTACCTCTCTAATGCTTAGCTCAGTTTTCAATTTTTAGTGCCTAGATTTTCTCTACTTTATGTAGGCTCAGCTATACATTTTTAAGATATAGTTTTAATTTTCCATTTTAAGGATATCTGCTATGCCATATTCTTGGAAACCAAAATTCCCTTAAGAAAATCTTTCCCAGTAGTCTCCCTGCAGAATTTCCTCTCATGTGTCATTGGCCACTTGCTTGCATAAATCGATCAATGGCAAGAAAAGTGTGGTTTCCAAAATTTAATTAAAGACTAGTGAGGATTTACCTCAGGGACACATAGGAAAGTGATGGACAATGAAACAAAATTGGGGAATGGGGAAATAGCTTTTGGGGAGACAAAAATAGCATGTCTGCAATATGGATAATTTAGGGGAGACTGGGCAGATTAGTCTGACTAGAACCTTGTGTTTGAATTAGAAGGCAGCAGAACATAAGACTGAAAAGGTATTTCAGGCGTCAAGGTGTGGGAGTACCACAAAAGCCTAGGTAATTAGTTAATATTTTATCCTACATGTACAGTTGTGATATTGAGGATTTCTGAACCAGAAAACGACAATAAAAATATGTGTACTATTTTGTAAATAGTGTTGAGAATGAATTAGAGAGAGAAGAGACTAGAGGCAGTAATTATAATTTAGGGAGCTTTGCAGTAACTTAGGCATGAAATGATAATGAACTAAACCATGTTAAATTATAATAGAAATTCAAAGGAAGGGAGACAAAGTATGAGAGAAGAATAAATAGAATTTGGTGATTCAGTTGGATATAGGATAAGTTACGGGAGAAAAAGGCAAGTATTTGGTGCCCTTAAATATATTTGATAGTGTGATAAAGACCAGTTCTCTCATTTGTAAAATTGAGATGATTATATATTTAATACTTATCTTAAAAGAATGTAAAAATTATAGTTTCTGAATGTACTTCAAAAATTATGTAAGACTATATAAATATTAGGGCATCTCGACCATATATAAGGATTTAATTTGGGTACTGCAACAGGAGCTAGTAGGTGTGTCTCTATTCCTTAAGGCTGTTATAGCTCGTTGTGTTGGGAACTGCTGGGAGAAGGGACATATACATTTTCCTGTGTTAAAGAAAGGTGTGAAGAGCAAAGGATAACAGTGGTAAGTCAGGAATGCAAAGTAGAGTTGAAGAATGAGGGAATATGAATGGTGAGTGAAGTAAACTCACTTCCAGGCTGAGTAGGTTATGTATCTTTCAGCAAACCTAAAGGATATATCTTACAAATAATTGCAGCAAAAAATAAAAGGAGCCTGATTTCTTGGATTACTACTTAATGGAAAACTGTCCAGGAGAACTGACTGATGAGAAATATCAACAATTGATTTTGGATAAGTAAAAAATAAACTTTTTCCCCTTTGCAGCTTTATCAAGGTAGAATTGACAGAAGCTTATATTTATGGTGTACAATGTGATGTTTTCCTATATGTATTTATTGTTAAATGATTAAATCAAGCTAATTTGCATATCCAACACCTCACATTTTTTTTTTTTTGTGGTGATAACTTTAAGATCTAATCTCTTTGCAATGTTTCAGTATACATTATTGTTAACTATAGGCACTATGATGTACAGTATATCACTAGGACTTACTCATCTTGCATAACTGGAACTTTGTACCCTTTGACTAATACCTCTCTGTTTTCCCCTCCCCCAAATCCCTAGCAACTATTCTATCTCTGCTTCTTTGAGTTTGACTCCTTTAGATTTCCCATATAAGTGGTATCATGTTGTCCTTCTGTGATTGGCTTATTTCACTTAGCATAATGTCCCCCAGCTTCATCAATGTTGTCCCATATTGCAGGACTTCCTCCTTATGGCTGAGTAGTTCTCCATTGTACATATATACCACATTTTCTTTATCCATTCATCTGTTGATGAACATTGTGGTTGCTTCTATGTCTTGGTTGTTCTGAATAATGTTGCAATAAATATGGGTATCTCTTCAAGATCCTGATTTCAATTCCTTTGGATAAATAACCAGAAGTGGGATTGCTAGATCATATTGTAGTTCTATTATTAATTTTTTGAGAAGCCTTCATATTGTTTCCCATAGTGGCTGTACCAATTCACGTTCTCACTGACAGTGTATGTTAGGGTTCCCTTTCCTCCATATCCTTGCCAACACTTGTTATTTTCATTTTATTATTATTGTTGGATAATAACCATCCTAATAGATACAATATCTCATTATAGTTTGGATTTACATTCCCAATTATTAATGTTGAACACTTTTAGCTATATTTACAAAATAGAATCCTATACATGATGAAAAGGAATGTGCTAAAGCTACATGAATTAACATAGGTGCATCTCACAAAGTTAACTGAAAAATCAAGTTTTATAAGGTTGTATAGCTGTATGAAATCATTTATGTAAAGTTGAACAACATAGAAAGCAATACTATATTGCTGAGGGATACTATATTGTTGAGCAATACTATATTGTTGAGGAGCAATACTACATTGTTGAGGGATATACATGTAGTGAAAGGGATATATGGTATCTTAGTCTGTTTCTGCTACAACAAAATATTCGATACTGGGTAATTTATAAATAACAGGAATTTATTTATCACAGTTCTGGAGGCTGGTTAGTCCAAGATCAAGGTGCCAGCAGATTCAATGCCTGGTGAAGGCTGCTGTTTCCAAGATGGTGCCTCTTGCTGCACCCTCACATGGGTGCAAAAGGGGGACAAAAAGGAATGAACAAAAAGGGGGACAAAAAGGAATGAACACTGTGTCTTCACAAGGCAGAAGGGAGGGAAGGGTAAAAGAACCTAGCTACTTCCCTCCAGTCTTTTTATAAGGACATTAGTCCCATTCATGAGGGTAGAGTGCTTATGACCTAGTCACCTCCCAGAGGCTCCATCTTATAATACCATCACATTATTGATTAGGTTTCAACACATAAATTTTGGAGGACCATATAACTAAAGCCATAGCACACCAGAAATGATAAATTCAGAATGTGGGGAGAAGAAATATGCTTGGAGTGGTATGCACAGGGAGTTAAAACTGTGTTTCTAATGTTTTCAACTGGGTAACAGGAATATGGGTATTGGTTATACTCTCTTCATATTTGTATGTGTGTTTGCATATCCATAATAAAATTTAAGAGGCACAAGAAAACTCATCCTTCCTCTTTCACTGGTGTGACAGTCCATCTGTATTGCTATAAAGGACTACCTAAGGCTGGATAATGTATAAAGAAAAGAGGTTTATTTTGGCTCACAGTTCTGCAGGGTGTACAAGAAACACAGTACCAGCATCTTCTCCCGGTGAGGCTTCAGGAAGCTTCCAATCATGGCAGAGGGCAAAGTGGGAGCCAGTGGGAGCCAGTATTTCACACGGTGAGAGAGCAAGAGCGAGGAGAGGAGAGGAGAGAGAGAGCACACGAGAGGGAAAGGGAGGAGGTGCCAAGCTCTTTTAAACAACCAGATCTTCTGTGAACTCATAGAGTGAGAACTCGCTCATTGCTTTGAGGACAACTTGAAACTATTCATGAGGAATCTGCTCCCAAGACCCAGACACCTTCCATTAGGCCCATCTCCAACACTGGAGGTCACATTTCAACATGAGATTTGGAGGGGACAAAACATCCAAACTATATCAACTGAACATTGCCATGTCTGGATATGATGCCTGAAACTGCAGCAAGCCAGGCTGTCATTCTAAGGCAAGCAATAAGAGTATCACGTGGGCTCACTCAGAATGCCAGGGCAAAAGACAAAGAACTTAGGTCCTTGGGGCTGCTACAAAGCCATTGAGCCAGGCTACCCTGCAGCACTTAGCTCTGGACTTCTTGTTTTGTGACATGATCAATGTTCTCATTTTATGCAAAGAGAGTTGCCATTTGCTGTCACTTGTAACCAAAAGCATCCTAATAGCATCCACAAAAGCTCTCTTCTTCAAATCTTTTTCTTGCTGAAAATAAGGTGTTCATTCATAGCTCTTAGCAAAATTATAAACATTCTTTAATACTCAGTTCAAATTCTTCTTCTGTCATACAACTTTTTCTCACCAAGAAACTTATAAATATATCTCCCTATTCTGAATACCTTTATCACTTACTGTCCATAACTATTTAGGGCTACTCAAGGAGTGTTATTTATATTGTTACAGTCAATATGCTTTGGAAACATGATCTCTGGAATCTTAACATATAACTTTAGCTCACTGTACAAAGCTTTTAATTAATGGAAAAATCTGCTTGATTATGTATGTATATAACAAGCTTTTGTCATTTATTAAAAAAAAAGTCATCATTCAAACAACCTAAGTCTCATCTCATTAAGGATTGATGGTAAAACAGGCAACTATTAAGCAGCTGAAGGCTAACATACAAAAAGGCTAAAAGCACAAAAGTGGTTTCCCAGTTCAGTAGTAACAACAGCTAATATTTATGAGCTCCCACTATGTGCTAGACACCATGACAGATGTTTTATATATACTATGTCATTTAACCTTCACAATAATTCAGCTTTGAGATACTATTCACATTCCACAGAGGAGGAAACCAAGGTTTAGTTTAAATAATCTCAATGTCACAGAATTAGAAAGTGGATAGGTTAAGATTCAATTCACGTCTTCATGCCTTCAAAGACAATGCTCTTTCAACATTCCATGCTACCACTCAAGAACATATTCATTCAGTGAATTATGGGTGAGTCACTGTCCTTTACAGTGGAATAAGATGATAGGCAGAATATACATGTTTCTGTCATAAAACTTAGATTGTATATGAATTACATAATTATGTTACAAATGTACCACTGACCATTTCAGAAATCACAATGTGGGCATAGCACTTATATTTTGCAGCACTCAGTCAGCCATGAAACTTTGCTTTTTCTATTTTTATTGGTCCAACAATGCAACACAAACAGGTTTAGTTCATAATAATGCTGTCTGAAATGTGCCATCAAAAATATCATCAGATGGAACAACTGATGTTGATGACATTCTTACAGAAATATACAAAGAAAAAAACTCACATAGCAGTAGTACAGTTTAACTGCACAGAAGAATCACATTCCACAGGATTTCAAAGATGCATCAATTTCAATTTTACACCTGTAGAAAACCTAAAGGGGTTGTGCATGCTGTGTTGATCACTGAGGCATATCACTTGTGCCCACCACTGGGAAGATATTAACATGTATCATACTCAGTAGACTAGTCATACACGTCAATGTCATGGATATTTGACCTAAAACTCAGTGTGCCTTTCATTCCAGTCATGGAAGAGTGGACATGGTTTTCTCCCTCAGGCAGCAACATGAGTGCAGAGAACAACGCTCTGATTTGTATGTTGTATTTATGGCCTTAACCAAGATCTGTTACAAATGTGTTGGTATGTGGGAAATCCTACAAAACAGTGGCTGCCCATGCAATTTTAAAAGCATGATGCTAATCCATTTATCTTAATAATGTAAAAATTCTTCCTTTTTTTTTTTCTAATGATGTTCCTGGAGATTTCGCTGTTATACTTAATATACCTAAGAGTAGGTTTCATCTCTAATACTTGCATAACAAAAGGGCTAGAAGTAATTAGTCTGGATATTTTATGTGACAGTGATTGTGTACATGTAGTTTATAATTGAAATGATTGTTCAGGGTTAACAAGGCTACACTTCACTGTCAACATACACTTACTTCATTTGGAATGCAGCTCATACACTGCAGTTATCATTAATTCAATGACTTTGGGGGAACTTACTAAATAGATTGCCAAATAAAATCACAGTTATGTTGTTATTTTGGTATATTGTGTCTCATAAACAATAGCCAGAGAACAACTAATGTATTTGCAAAACACAATACTGCTTCATAACCATAAAATATTAAGGAAAAATACATTTCTATAATTTATTTGCTATGTTACTCATATGTAGGTTTTTGCTGCCATTATTCATTCATCTATTCATTTAAACAAGCATTTTTTAAGCATTTCCTACGAACTTGTGCTACTGGAGATACAGATTATTAAGACAATCTTTATCCTTAAAGACCTCACAGTCTGGCAGTAAAAACTCATAAACATAAAATTATACAATAGGAAAGTGCAAATGTAGAGTCATGCTTTGGATATTATGGGAGCCTTGGGGTGGCGTGCCTAGCCAGCCTGCAGAGAAGACTGGGGAAAGCAGACAAGGAGCAGAGTAAGCAGTCAGGAAAAGCTCACTAGAGAAGGTGACGCATAGGCTTAGGCTTTAAAAACAGGTATAACTTCATCAAAGACATGAGCTGAAGACTGAGGTGGAGATGAGAATAGGGTATTTTTTGTCAGACTAAACAGCATGTGCAAAATGTGAATAATAAATCTCCAGCACTTATCAGAGTGCCCTGATACACAGTAAGCCCTCCTTATATATTATTTCCATTAAGAAACCATTCTGTTATAGTTGTAGTCAGGGGAAAGAAATGATAATGATAAAGATAATGAACAATGATAGAAGCAAAGGAAAGGACCAACTTGAGACTTTTTGAGAAATTACAGACAATTTAAGACTTTAACTGCAGACAAAACTGACAAGAGTTGGTGATGGTCTGGATGGGGAGATGTAGAAAAAGTGTAGAATTACTCCAAGATCTCTGAATTTGATGAATGATTGGGCACCCATGCCTTTAAAATTGAAAATAAACGGGAAAGTAAGATTTCAAAGGTAATGGTGATTAAGTCTGTTTTGGACACGATGAGTTTGGGGTAATTTTAAACATCTATGTCTAGCAGGCAGATGGCTAGATAGGTATGTTGCTCTCAAAAGCTTTGAACCTGATGAAGAATCATTACATGGTAATAGATTAAAAACATAAGCATGGGTAAAATCACTTGGAGAAGTATTATACAGTGAGAGCAGTGGGCTGAGAATTGCTGAAGAAATCTGAAGAAAATCAACATTTAAGGATGAAGAGGAGAGAAGAAGCGCTTTTTAAAAATTCAAGGAATAATCCTAAAAATAAAAAGCAAATTTTAAGAATATGGGGTCCAAGAAGTCAAGAGAATAGCTTTGAGGGGCAGACAACTGACCACCTTAAAGTACAAGCAGTGTTAGTTAGGGAACTACTGTATAAGTGCACTGGATTTAGTAACACTTTAAGTTGGCAGTGCAGGTAGAAGCCAACTACCATTCCATTAGAGAATGACTGAGTGGATGAGGAGATGAAATGGCTAGATTACTTCATATCATATAGCTCATCTATACTTGTCCAAAATAACAAAAACAAAATGGAAAGATGGGCGCCAAATGCAGCAGTGCTCTAGGCATGTAACACTGGCGGAGTAGCATCTTCTGTGAAGTCAGCAGAGATTTGCTGGGCTTGCAAATAGAAATGGTTATAATTCCCAAAAGAATTTTCTAAGACCAGCTCTGTGAAACAAAGTGTGCCACTGGATGTCCGATTAAATGAAACAAAGATTCCCTATAGGCAACCTTAGGGGCATGTAACATTTGCTCTCAATCATAAGAATTGATAGTGAAAATCCACTCTACGTGGAGCATGACACGTCATAACACACCATTCGGCTATTTGGAAAACATGAAATACATAATCAGTGTCCAAATGGAAGTGTGCAAAACAGGCAGTAAACGGACAAGAAGTCTGTTGGTAGCTCTGTGGCTCCAGCAATAATTTGTCCACTACCAGCTCAATACATTCATAATTCATTAAAAGATAACACTTAAAGTCAATTAAAGGTAGCATTTCAAGGGCTTAGATCAGATCATTTAATATATGCATCTGTCTTGTCTGTCAGTAAAATAGCTCGCTTTATTTAATAATATAATTTAATAAGATTTCAGATTTAGTACCTCTTTTCACTTAGTTTTTTAAAGAAATATTTGCAACTATATATGTTCAAATATGCAATACTATGTATAGAAATTTAATATTAAAATTTCATGACATTTTTGTCCAGTAATTAGGAATATGTATTTGAGAATAAAAAACTGCTGACTCATTTATCCATTCAAAAATTCATTATTCATTATTCACTATGTGCCATAATACTTTCTGCAGAAGTACAAGTTGGGCTGTAGAGATAAAAAGATGAAAATGACATGTTCCCTATTATCTTATGATCTGTTGGGAAAACAATGCAAAAAATATAAAAAGTTGAAATGGCACAAATAATTGTGAGAAATCAAAAAGGAAGGCTTCTAGAGGGGACAGAGGAACATAAAAAAACTTTAAAAATGAACATTTAAATACTAAGTATTAAAAAGGACTGGGTGGGCTGGTGGAATTTTCTTTGCTTTTGAAAGTCACGCTGTAGTGGACTTTTGTGAACTGTGTCCTCAGCACTAATACAGGCCATTTTCAGCAATAGGTTTGGGTTGGTTGCCCATAGGCAGATCCAGGGATAGGCCCTGATTGGCTTAAGTATAATCTATACTCAAAAGACTGGTTCTGAAATGGGCACATGATAAAGATATGGCTGACGGGACTTTCAGAAGGGAAAAAGGGCTTCTCTTATCCTAGAGCTTCATAACAGGACTCTTTTTTTTTTTTTTTTTTTTAACTTGGACAAGGACCAGAAAGGATGAAACCATGGGAGCTGTCTGCAGCTATATTTCACCAATGAGAAAAACACCTGCCTGAAAAGAGAATTAGCATTGAAGAGACTAAGCAGAAAAATGAAAACCAAGCCCTGGTGAATCCTGAATCAAGTCATGCTTCATGGTTATATGAGCAAACACATTCCTTTTATTGTAACCAGATTGAGTTGTATAATCTATATCTTGCAACCTAGAGAGTCCTAATATACCTATTTAAAAATTAATATCAATGAAATCTAGGGGAAGGCATTTCTCTGATCACCTCACCTCCATCATAACAAGCATGTTCAATGTTAACACAAGTATCCCAAATGATATAATAAATGTTATAAAATATATCAACTATTACATGTTACACACAGAGTTGTGGCACAAAATGACTCTTTCTAGAGCAAATCTAAATGTAAATGCTTTGTAAATAAAGTTCAAACTTTATGTACCACTCTAAGGTGGGACTTAGTGCCCCACTTTCATACAGTTTTGTCTACTTTGAGCACAGAGAATCTGAGAAATGAACACATGATAGAATAAGCTAAGGGTAAAGCCCTGAGGAGGCTTTCTAAAACAAGAGACATAATGAATGAAAGTTACTTGGTGAGAAATGACACCGGCTCTAAAGTATGACGATCAAATGAAAATTGAAGGGGGCAGGTAATCTATTCAACATCTAAATGACACTGGGAATGGAGAAGACAGAAAAAAAAAAGGTTAATTTTGGTTAATTCAGTAATCTCCTTACCAAATAATCTGAAATCCATTTCTACATCTCTTTAAAATTGCTGTTTTTAAGCCAGGTGTGGTGGCTCACACCTGTAATCACAGCACTTTGGGACGCCGAGGCGGGAGGATCCCTTGAACCTACGAATTCAAGAGCAGCCTGTGCAACATTGGGAGACCGCATGTCTACAAATAAAAAGTTAGCCAAGCATGTTGGCACACACCTGTAGTTCCAGCTACTCAGGAGGCTGAGCTAGGAGGATGACGTGAAATCAGGAGTTAGAGATTGCAGTGAGCTATGACTGCACCACTGCACTCTAGCCTTGGCAACAGAGTGAGACTCTGTCTCAAAAAAAAAAATACTGTTTTTAAATTTTGAAATAATTACAGGTTCACATGCAGTTGCAGATATGGTACTGTGTTTACTTCACCCAGGTTCCCCCAATGCTTACACCTTACATGCTTACAATATGAAAACCAGGGATTTGACATTAAAACAATGTATGTATAGCTCCATGGCATCTTATCACATGTAAATTTTTGTAATCATCATAGTCAAGATACAGAATTATTCTGTTACCTACAAGATCTCTGTTGTTCAAGCCCTGTACAGTCCACTTCCACCCTCTCATCTTCACCAAAAGAAGTTTCATGTAACAATATGTACTCTTGTACATATGTATCTATATAAGATATGTATCTATATAAGATAGTTCCATTTATTTTCTATTTAAATCTGGTCTAGTCTATTTCATTCCTGTAAAATGCTGTCTCTACCCTTTGAATCGATGTCATGGCCTATTAGTGGATCCTGATCCTTAATTTTAAAGACAATGCAGTAAATCAATCTCAGGTTTTTGTTGGTGCGGGGACCTGACTTATGGTGAATGTGAATAACATCACAGTTGTTCATTTTTGGTGATCTCATGTTTGGTCCCACTCTTCCACAGCTTTCTCTAGGGTCCCTCCTTCGCTTTCCAGATTTTAAACTCTCCTCAGATTACTTAACAGTCTCCAGATCCTAATTTTTTATTCCAACAAAAAGAAAATCAATTTGCAAAATATAATACCAATTTATTAATTCACTGAGATTTTTAATGAACCAATAGGGTTGTTTCAATCACCTCCTACTAAGATTTAAGAAAATGAAAATATGACTACAGGGTTGCATGGTAAACACAGAAACCAAAAAACACGTAGTGATGGTCTATAGTGGCTTAGTCGCCTTTCTCCTGTACAACTGAATAATCTACTTTTGTCCTCAAAGATCAATTCCTGCCCTCCCAGTATTGAAGAGCACTAACAAAATTGGTACTCTTCAGCCCTCCTTTTCTTGAAACCCAGACGGGGGGTAGGAAGATGGGGTGGTGTTAATTTAATCCTAACACCTGAAATTACTTCCCGGGCTTGCCGTAATTTTCTCAAATACAATTATGTGACGGTATCAAGATCACTTTCATCCATCAGAAAGGAGATAATAGTTTTAGGTTGGATTTTGTAAATATTCAGCAACATGAACACAACACCTTTTCTTATTCAGTGTGCGATTTTACTTTTGGCCCTTATTCTAGGGTGGGCCAAAGAACCAAGCAAAGAAGGCTCCGCTTCCACCTTTATTCCTATCACATACTACCTGGAAACACTCAGCCTTTTCTGGATAGGCCCAAGGTGGTTATTCACAAACCTCGGGTCTTTTGATCACTTTCTGGGATCTTAACAGTTGTGGAGATTATACTGAATGATCCCAAGTCCAGTCTGACATAACAAAAAATGTCCACCTTTCAGCTGGGTGGGCGCGGGGGAAGAAGGAAGAGCTTAGAATTTAAGTCCAAAGATGTGGAAACACCAGGCTCTTCCCCGTCCAGGCAGCTCATCAGAGCCTCGTTAGCTGCCTTAAAAGCCCATTTTATTTCCGCAGCGGGCCCGCTGGTGAAGGCAGAAGGCTCAGTCCGTCCGCCTCCACCTGCTGCCACGGCAGCGCGAACCGACCCCACGCAGCGATGGCCACGAGCTGCCCAAGACCGGCTCGCCGCGCCCAGGCCCGCGTTGGTCGCCCCTCCGGGCCCCAGCGCCGGGTGCTCCGCCTCCCAAGGCCGGCGGCGGCATGGCGGCCAGGCAGATCTGGGCACGGACGGGTGCCGCGCTCTGCAGGCAACCTTCCGCCGCCCCGCCGCCAGCACCTCTCTGGGTAAGAGCTGGGTTCCGACAGCAGCTCAGCTTAACCCTCTGCCCTGCTAACGAGGGAAACTGCGGCGGCTCCGCGCCCAGCACGCCCGGTAGGCCGGAGAGAGCGGCGAGGCCTTCGGTGAGCGAAGAGTTAACCGCGGCGGAGCGACAGATCGCGGAGCTGCACGCTGCCGCCTGCGCGGTGAGACTCCCTCCTGCCCGCCCCGCCCCGCCGCGGCCGCCCCGGGCTCGGCGCGCCTGCGCATCCCGGGCCTCTCCGGACCCGGAGGCCGCCCGGCAGAGGCAAAGGTTGCTGGATACCGGTGCGGTCCTGCCTCGGGCGACATTCGCGCACGCACACGAACTTCCAGCCCCGACATTTTCGCGGGAAACCTGTGTCTGTCTTGAGTATGAGTGTGATTTGTTTTCCGATCAGCGTCCGAGCTAAACTCCGGTCGCAGTGTGGGACCCACTACCACTCTTTTGTGGTGTATGTGTGTGTGTGTTGCGGAAGGGGGTGTTAAGGAATTGATGGAGAAGGTGGAGGGACTGAGAAGTCACAACAAAAATGTGTTGTGTGTTTTTCTGCATTGTCAGTTGAACACTTAGCAATCCAGTGATTCTTAGAGTGAGAAAAAAAGACATTGACACATTTATTTTAATTTTTCCATTGCCTTCTTGTCCTTTCTCTTAACTCTTAACGGAGCAGAGGGAACTACAATCTGGCATTTGTAGACACTCAGCTGTTTTCTCCTGTTTTGCGGATTTGACAATTGTCTGTTAGTACCAGTATCTAAACTTCTCTCCCTTTACGCCTTCTAACACAGTCTGCGTGAGTTTAAAGGCAGCATGGTTACCTTTACAAAAGAAACAGTGAGAAAAAAAGAGAAACTGACTATAATAAAGATAGAAAAGCAGTATGAAATGAACCCATTTAATAAGCTATGTGTGTGTGCCTCCAGTACTTGATGGGACTAATATTATATGGTATGACTTGAGCCAAAGGGGTAGAGAAGAAAATCCCGGAGGTTGCCTAAAATTGACTTATTTAAATAATGACAGTTAGTAGGCCCTGAGAATCCACTGTCGGTCTGACCCATTCAAGTGCTGAAACTGAATAAAGACTCATTAGGAAGTGACTGGCAGCTTTTGATTGTTCTTGTTTATGCTCTCCTTTTAAAAATAATGTATATAATTTGTTCTCATACTTCGCAATATAGATATGGTGGATATTAAAGAAAAGTGTCATTCTCCTTAGAGCAAACACCAGTATCATGTGAAGAAATTTTCAATCAGTCTAGGGAAGGAAAGGAACTTTTTCTCACTCGGGAAATTCACATTTGTTTCATCAGTGTCAGTATCACAGGTTAAATGACTATCCAGGTGACCATAAGTAAGCCCAGTAAATAACAAGCTGCTTGTTTTTCTTTTTCGACAAATCTGAGCCCCCTCACTATGGTCCTTCTTCCAGCCTCAAAGCAGATAGCTCTCTTACCTTTCTCCGGGTACCGATGCGCATCACTGAGCATCTTGCTCTCCAGTCAAACTGTCAGCACCCTTGCTTCATCTTTGTCTGTGGCCACCATTACGTGAGGCTCATTTACTGAGGACAAATTAAGTTTGTGTGGGCAGCCAGCAAGCTCAGAGGTGCTCAATCAACATGGAAAGCTGTAGAGCAGGGGCATGCGCAGGAGCAATCTGTTAGGCTTCCAGGTTGCCAGATAATTGCCCTCAGAAGACTCCCAGAAGCTATGAAAAGTAAAAAGAAGCCTGCTACAGAGTTCCTAGTGTTTTTTTGTTTTTCTTCCAAGTCTCCAAACACGAGCTTCGTAAATAAATAAAGAAGTGAGGCCCTGACAATCGGTCATTCTAAGGTAGTGCTGAGTGCTCCTGATTTCATGTAATCTGCTTCTGTGGTCTCCCTGGACTTGGGAAGTCTCTCTCAGACCAGCCTTGGGACTTGCTCGGATTTCTGCTGCCCTGTCCTGCTCTAGCTTTGCTGGGATGCCTTAGAGTGAGGCTAGATTTCAACTGTACCCGTCCTTTTGCTACACACTTTTCTCATGAAACATATTGGGTTAAAACCTCAACCAGAATAAAATATTCTGCCATTAAATGAGACACTGAAGAAGTTGTTGGTGGTTCATACAAAAATGTGTTTGTCAGAAGACATGCAAGTTTCATGTGTATTTTAATGAAAAAAACTCTGTACAAGATTGATGCACTGAGTTACTGCGTGGTAAAAAGGTTATACAAAAAGTCCATGGGAGTTCCTCTACAAAAACCCAAGGCTAAGTAATATCACCCCAAAGACCCAAATCCACAGAAAAGATTATGTTATTTACTTTTCCCTTCCCACAAAGTACTTGAGACACCGTTTTAAGTCATGTTTGAATGTAGATAGAATATACTTCCTTGACATTTGAAATAGTACAATAAAAGTTTCTTTTGATCAAACTTGTGAAAGCTGTGAGTGTTAATATGTTAAAACAATACTTTTTTCACTTAAAAATACAACTAATAACACACCAGCAAAAAAAAAAATAGTATAAAATGTGCAATGAAGTAACACATGAAGGTAAAGAAAGTGTTCAATAATAGCAAAGGTAATACTTTTCTATAAGGACCGTTGGTTTTGATTAGCGCCTTTTCTGTAAGTTTAAATCATTATCCACATATTTTAAGTACTGAAATTCCAACTGCAACTTCTGAGTGAAAGTTCATTTTCAGCCTCTTAAGCTCTTAAAATCATTTAAATCACCTGTTATTAAGCTTGTTACCTAGAAACCAAATGAAAAATATCAGAGCAGTGGCTACATAGTTATTAGGTACAGAGGAGTTCTTGTTTTTCCATCAACTTCTCATTTTTCTCAAACTGTATATTTTCTCCTTATGTCACATAAAGTTGGATTGTGTATAATGCTGGAGTGCATTTGGTCTTTAATTGCAAGTGCCACTAAAACTGCTGGGAAGAAGTTTAATATTGTTTAAAATTTTTCTGCAGTATTTTATGTGTAGACATTATGGTGAAGAGATATGATGAATATTGAGATTAATGAATTGTTTCATTTTATTGCACTTCAGGCTGGCCAGCTAAACTATGTGGATCCAGCTACTGGCTATGTGGTGCTCACACAGATTGCCCACTTGCAAAGAGGTGAATGTTGTGGCTCTGCGTGCAGACATGTGAGTAGCAATTCTTGCATTACAGCAGCAGTTTGCGGTGCTTCTGTAACTTCGTAAATACCTATTATTTGAACAACAAGTCAAATAAAAAACCAAATAGACCTGGAGTGAACTTTTCACAAGCTACTTTAGCCAACGACAATGAAGTCCTTAGTACCAACATAGGACTTTTAAAGTTAATGGAATTTTGTAAAGTTTCACTGTGAGCATCAGTTCCTTGAAATGCTGTGATTTGAAATTCATGGGAGCTCTTTATTACAAGGAAACTTTTCATGGGGTTTCAAATAAGTTGTTTTCATTAGGCAAGTACAAAGAGGGCAGGAAAAGAAATCTAGAATGTTGCAGATGAGATCCCTCTTCTTTATTAGTTGAATAAATAGAAACTCGCCCAGCATTGAGAGGTAGGTTTCCTTCAGATAATGATTTTTTCTTTTCTTCTTTCCTTCCTTCCCTCCCTCCCTTTTTTCCTGTCTTCTTTCCATCTCTCTCTCTCTCATTCTGTTCCCCACCCCCCGCCACCACCTTCCTCTCTCTGGTCCTTTCTGTGGCTCTTTTCCAGTCTGTGTTTGAAATAACTGTGAAACTAGATTATACTGCATGTAGTGCCTGTACATTTCCTAAAATGTTTATTTCAATAGATACCTCTCTATGTTCACTAATTAAGATAAACAAACCTCTCCTTCCTTATTATAAGCAAAAAATAAATGGGAATGAATCCTTCACTATTACTTTTTAAAGGCATAGTAGTGAGGTAAATTGTTATAGGGTCAAGATTATAAACAGTAACAACCTCTGTTTACAGAACACTTTGTATGTTTTGGTGCAAGAAGGTGTAATTTCCTTTAACTAGCCACTCTATAATTAAAGAATAGACACTAAATGCATGTATTAACTGTAGCCAGGATTAAAAATTAAACCTTCCGTTTTATGTATGTTCCTGTGCCCTTAGCTGTTTCTAATCAAATGCATAAGAGCTTTTTGTAAATTGAGGATTTGAGGATTTTCTAAAAGTGGATTTTTTGACAGTAAAATTCTTAAATTTGGAAGGATGAATTTAGGAAATGGTTCTTGGACCCTAATTAGGATCATTTGCCTGAGGTTGCCAATATTTTTCTCTTAGTCTGCAGGACCTGATAGTTCAAATGATCTATATAAAATTGTTAACAGTCTCTTTTTGTCACCATGAGAAGTGTGCTTTTTCAAGATGATTGTTAAATAATTTAATAATAATTTGTTTTATTTCTTCTGCAGTGTCCATATGGTCAAGTCAATGTTAAAGATCCATCTAAAAAGAAGCAATTCAATTCATATTTTTATGTTTGACAAGAATTTCATCTCTGTTCCCTAACTGTGCTTGTATTTTTTAAAAAATAAAGCCCCAATTCAGAATTGCTGGATTATTAGTACTTGAACACTAGTTTAATCCTAAATACATATATTAAAAGAACATCAATAAAATGAAAAAGCTAACAAATGTTTGTGTGTTTCTGAAATGGCACATTGATCGTTATTTTCCTTTCTTTTTGCCTCATTATCAGACACATATGTTGAAGAAAAATAATGGCTGTTCCATTAAATAAATAGTAGCAATCGGGTCACATTAGTAGCTCTTGGTTTTTCTTAGCCTCCGTTCTCCTACTGTTTTCTCATCAGTGTTAGCAATCCCAGGGAGGTTGCTGGCAAATAGAAGAGTTTTGATATATTCTTCATTTTATTTATATCTTGAGCTATACGGAGATTATAATATATCGTGCAGCATGTGAGTGCCCAAGAAGTGCCATCCTGCATCAAGAAATGCTCTCATCTTCCATCTGTTCTTTCAATAAAAACTTTAAATCATTTTGACTTGAGGGTCAGGCAGCTGAAGATGTGTCACTTAGACCATCCTTTCTTTTCTCCCCCACCCTTTCCTCCTGTATTTCTTTTGGCACTTCCTAGGCAAATCTATCTTTGAACATTTTATTAGCTGTACACTTTTTCATTCACCACGGTGATGCCCCTGGGCATCAGTCTCCAGCCTGAGTCAGGAGCTTACAGGAGCTTCTTTCCACACCTTGTCTGCTTCTTATGAGGACAGCAGTCCCCAGGAAACCCTTTGCTAACCAGTTGCAGCTACTCAGAAAAATGTGGGTGCTTCCCACTTGGAAGACTGGCTTTGCCCAGAGCTGACTCCCAGCCTTCCCTCAGTGGAATCTGAAAGGTTCTCAGACATCTCGGGGGTCTGCCTCAGGTTCTGCCTGTGGCCCAAATAAGAGCTTTAGAAATCTTAAGCAAACAAAAGGTTTTGGTACTTTCTCCCACATTCAATTCAAAATAAAAGCCATTCTTAACCGTGAAATGAGTGAGAAGAAGCCCAATAAAGTTCTAATTTTCCTCCTGATTATGTCTTTTATTTTTAAATGTCAACTATTAAAATGTCTCCCCAAATTGTTGGCTTTTTTGTTGCCCTACTTTTGCTGGTGCTCTAACCATGGTGCCCAAGTAACACTGCCCATGAGCCCTGAGAGGTAACAGCAGGATGTAAAAGAGTAGTGTCTGTGGACTGGTACTGTCCTATCTGGAAATTGCTTTTAGAGGAGTAGGAGAAGGTGATCAGCATTGTGATAATTGAAGCAGTTTTCCAGAAAAGCATAGGGATTCCTGGGAGCCAGTTTCCTTTCCATTTTTTGGTCAAGAAGCAACCAGCTATTTCCATGTTTTCTGCTCCATTCTGTGTGTGGGATAGATAGATAGTGTTTCTTTAACAGCCCCCTCCCCCCGCAAGAGAGAAGAGTCTAAAATGTCATCTTTCTGGAGAATGGTGGAACGAAGAAAGGAAATTCATTTTGAAAAGGGGTCTGAAGTAAGACTGTTCTGAGAAAGCCCCTTAGCAGGTAGAAAGATGCCTCCTTCCTACCCGCAGCTCTTGCCTCTTCCCAGCGCACTTCCTGTAGTAGGAAACTGGCTGAAAAAGAAAGGATGTTTGTCACGGAGGACCCTGATGTGGGACGTTCGTAATTCTTACCCGCAATTCTTCCTGGCAGAACTTCAAGCCTTGAGGGCAAGAACAGCAAAGGAGCCGCTGGAGGGCTGCGGCGGGGACTAGGGAAGAGAGATGCTTATAGTCTTCCGTGCTCCTGGAGCCAGAAGGAGGGCTGAAGTTTGCTGTAGTTCTAGAGGAATGCATGCGAACTACACGTTAGAGGTGGCAGCGGGGGCGAGTGCTCCCACATTAAATAAAATATGGCCACATAAATGGGTCTCCCTGTAAGAGCTTTAAGCTATATTGTATTTGCACATTGTAAAGTAAAATTCAGGTTTCTTATTAGGTGTGTGTATACAAACACATGTGGATGCCAAGAAATAGAGACTTTAGAGTTTAAATCAACTCTGGTGCTGCTTCACTTTCAAGGTTTCTGGAGACTCCTTCTGCCCCAGGGTGCAATAAATCAAGGGAAAATGATTTTTAGATTGTTTCGTATGTGAAACGACCCAATGGAAACTGGGGAATCTTGTGAGGGTTGCCAGGGTGGGGTGTGAAGACAGATTCCTGCAGCGTTGATTGTCGTGGCAGGTGGATCATGATGCACACTCCTGTCTCTTCAAGCAGCAGCACTGCCCCCACTGTTTATTCAGAGCAGGGAAGAGAAGGGCTTTTATTTTTTTCAAGTAAAATTTAAGGTTTTCAAACAGGGTGTGTTTGAAACAGACAGCGCCCTGAGAAGTGGAGGCGCTCTCTGGGCCTGGCGCAGGTCTTTGTTCCAGCGCAGCACCCCTTCTCCAAAGGCACTGGCAAAGTCTATTCCGCACACACAGTTACACTGTCAGAAATCTGCGGATCTTAGATTTGTCTCCAGACAAGGCTGGAGAAGAGAGCTCACTACCAGACAAATGGCAATTGGCATGTTGCCTTCCTATGAGCACTTTGAGATCCCACAGCCCCTGGCTAGTGCAAAAGGAACCTCGCCCTCCACTCCTTGCTGACACCTGCCATTTCATCTTTTCTAACATTCAAGCCATAGCTTGAGTTTGTGGAATGGATGTCTGTGGTGGAGAAGTGAAAAATCGGTGCTATTTTTTCATTATCATGCAAAAATTAAGACATAATCCTGGATACCAAAACTCCTCTCCCATCATTAAAAAAGTAAGATATTTAAGTCGGGGGTGGAGGGCAGAGAAAGTCTACATCCTTTTTGCGAGTCTCTGTGAAGAGCCTGATTTCTGAGAAAAAGGTTGGGGAAGAACACGCAGCTGTCTTTAGCCAGAGACTGAGCTATCCCTGGAATGTCCAGCGTACCCTGGACCTCTGGATGCTCTGATGTGTGCTGGGGTGCCCAGGGCACTGGGTTGACCTCTGTCCCCACAAACAGCTTCGAGGTTGGGCTCATGACACAAAACGCACAGATTCACGGCTTTCCTTCCTGACACTGCAGGCATAAAAGACAGTGTTAACCAAAGAATCATGGACTCTAGAGGAATTGGAAGATCCTTAACGACCACATCCTCCTAGCAGAAATTTGTATTCTAAAGTGTGAGCTTTGGTGCGCGTTTCAGTGTGCGTGCGCCTGCGTGTGTGTGTGTGTGTGTGTGTGTGTATAGAATGCATGTCGTTACCAAATACCTAGAACGGTATTGGACCGCAAAGAGGTTAAACCCGGTTGCTTTCGACAGGAATGAGTTGAAAGCACCCAAGCGTTTTCGGGTGGGTATCGCCGTCCATCCATTCGATGGCCTCGCTGATGAGCATAGAAGATGAACCCGGGAGGACTGTCCCTTCCTGGCTGCGAAACCTGACCGATATAGGGGAGATTCTAGAAGAAAGAGCTAAGGAGGCCAGGGCGGAAAGAGGAAAGTCAGGTGTAGGGGAGATTAAAAGGTAAACTGGTGGGACTGACCGGGCTGGTGGGACTAGTTAGCGAAGCCAAGTGTTTGGGTAGAAACAGAGATCTTGTAGGAGGTGCTCCGAGCTACATTTCGGGATTTGGGATGAAAAGAGAAAGCCAGGGGGTTCGCCGCTCCTGGTTTGTTCCTTACCGACCCTAAACTGTATGGCGGAGCTTGTGGGTCAGGCGTGGAGGCGGCATCCACTCCCACGTGCCCCACATGCAGCAGCAATCCCACGCGGTTTTCGCAAGCGGCTGGGAGGCAAGCGGGCGTCCCCCCACACCCCCCCCCCACTGCGCCCTGGACCCACGCCACGCACCGCCAAGGAGTAGCTATGGTGGCACGTGGAGGAGGGGCGGGTAGGCAGGGCGGCACCATCACCGGGACCAGCATCTTGGAACGGTCAATCTCACTGCTCATACTCTCCTCCCTACCGGCGCGGGAGCCTTGCTGTAATCCCCTGCCACCCCATCTCCGACTGTGAGGGGCGCACCGGGTGGGGGAATGGGTAAATAACTGGCCCAAGGCCCAGCTTCCAGGTCCTCCCTCCACTTTCCCGCGGCCTGACTGCGCCCCGGGCAACACAGCCCCTTGGGAACCTGCGACCAGGTAATGTGGCCTCCGCCCCGTCCCGGGTCTGGCTGCATCCCCTCTAACCCCTGCCTGCCCGGGTCCAAGTGAGGGTTTTCTCCCGGAAGGTTAATCACCACCCCCATCCCCTAGCCGGGTCCCGGGAGGAAGAGATGCCCCGGCTCTCTCGTTGACCCGGCCTCGAACGCCGACCTCGAGCGCAGAATACTCCCGAGTGCTGGGTTCCTGATACCCAGCCCGGGAGCGAGGGGAGTGAAGGAGGGACCGGGACAGGAAGGCGGGGACGCGGTGGGTGAACAATCAATGGCTTAGCCTAGTTTCCCCGCAGGAGCTACCGCCCATTCACCGTCTATGCAAGCACCAGCTGGCGGCAGCATCTTTTAGGTACAAGCTGCAGGGAGGCAAAAGCTGGCTGGGGGGCCGGGAGCCCAGGGCACGCCGCGGGACTCCAGTCCCCCTGCTGCGCCCCAGCCTCAAGACGCTCTGGGCTTTATGAGGTTCAGTTACCGCCGAGTCCTCCATTAACACCTCCTCTGATTATTGAGAGGCTGGAAGGGCTGAACGCAACCTCAGAGCGTTTCTCTGGGCACCGGCCCGCGTCTGTGCCCTCTGCCCACCCCTTCCTCCTCCCCCTCCCGATTTGGAAGCATAAACAGAAAATAAAAGACAGGTGGAGAGAGCTAAGGGTCAGAGGTGAGGGAAACAGATCAACTCCAACGGGGTGGGGGAGAGAGAGAAGGGAGAAATTAATTTTCATCCAATGCTTTATTTATTTATTTGGATTAACAGGGGGACCCTCAGCGAGACGCAGGGACTGGCCCGCACCTCTGGCCGCCGCCTCCCGCCGAGAACCGAGTTCTAGTTGGGGAAACGTCTGACATCTGGACATCAAGGTAAGACCCTGATGGAGATATTTTAGTCGGAGCAGTTTTCTGCCCTCGGAGTGCGCCCGGACGCCCGGGAGTTTCAGGGACTTCTTGGGAGCCTACCGGAGGAAGGCCCGGCTTTGCTCCAAGCCGCGTCCCTACCTGAGGTCTCCACGGGAGGAGCGGTTTGGACGCGCCCCACCGGATGGGAGGAGGTGCTTGGGGAAGCCGGGCCGTACCGCCGGTCTGACTCCCGGCTTTTCTCTGCCAGTGCAACCACCATTACGGCGTGATCCACTCCTTTTCCTCTAAGAATGCTGAACGGTACCACTCTAGAGGCAGGTGAGTTATGTGCCAGGTTCCTTCTGATGTTCTCTGCCCCTTGGGCCAGTGCGTATACCATGTGAGTGTGTGTGCGTGTGTGTGCGCCTTCGTTGGGTGGAACGAAGAGGAGTGTGTGTTTGTCTTAAAAATTAAACCGCGCTTCGTAGGCTCAAAAATACACATTCTCTTTCAGAGTCTCCTGATAGGACTCCTGAAACCCTCCTTTTGCCTTTCTCTTTGACTGTCTTTGACTTTCCTCAGGATCAGTGTCCGGGGCGCCAGGCAGAGGTCCTGGTTCCACTGATCCTCCAGTAGTCAGTGGCTCCAGGGACGCGCTCCTGACCCTCCGGGGAGCTGCTGGGGGTGTCTCTTTCTTGGAAGGGATGGAAGGGGGGCCGAGAAGACACTGTTTCTCACACGTGTAGGGGTTAACTGGAAACTGGCTTCACCCACATTTTTTTGTTGTTGTTCAGTCCTAACCCAGCGCAGCCGTTTCTGCGCCTGATCTCAGCGGACGCAGTGCGGGACTTCTCCCTTTATTTCTGCAGAGCTGAGGGCAGGCGGCGCAACAAATCTCAGGTAAAAGAGCATCAGATTTCAGAAGAGCTGTATTCTAGACTTGGCGCAGGCCCCTTTGGGGAGAAGAGCCCAGGGGCTATAGAGAACAGAGGTTTGAAGGAAGCAAAAGCTGGCGAGAGGTTTTTTTTTTGTCGCGAAGGGTGAGGGTAGGCAGAGAACGCGCGAAAGGGCAGGGCCTTGGCCGGGAAGTACCGCCCAGCGAAAGGCTGGCAAGGGTGCGCAGCTGGAGCGTGGCCTCGGGTACCCCTTTCCAGGCAGCCGAACTCCCCGTATCCCAGCTCTGCTTGGCTGACTCCCATTTGTCTTGAGGGAGGATCCCCTAGTAGGACTGAATCAGAAGTGCGCCCGTGCAGCAGCCCCAGTATGGATCTGCCAACCTCAGTGTAGGGGGAAATTTTCCACATGGAGTATCTCAGTCTCCACTGTCTGGAGAAAGGCCCCAGCGTGTCCCGGCAATCCGCTCACCTTCCATCCAGCGCAGCCCGGGCATCCAGGGCCAGGTGGCGCGGCACTGAACGCATGGTTCCCAGCCTCAGGCTGACGCTGACGTTTCACTGGGCCTTGGGTGCTCAGGACAGTGCCAGACGCTGGATACTGTTTTAAGAGCCGCGCCTTTCAAACCGAAGGGGCTCCTTAACCAGCTTAACAGGGTCTGGAGGAAAGGTAACGCCTCCTTCTTAAAGGGCAAACTTAGAGGCGCAGAATCATGGCCTCCAAAATTCAGGTAGAGAGAGACCTTAAGTCACCTTTGCTCTCAAAATATGCACATTTGTTGGGTTACTTCTTCCCTCTCAACCCTAACTGTTCTGTGGGTTTAATTTCCCTTTCCTCCCCCCTAGGGAATTCTACTGGGCTCGGGTTCTTTGCCCATGTAGACCCACCTGAGCCGGCGACAAGGGCGCTGCAGTCTTTTTGACCTTCATAGAGATTCTAAGATCCCGAACTCTCAGTTCCAACTATTATGCTCCACTATAGTCCGGCCGTCCACTTTCCTAAAAGCGGCAACAGTAGCGGGATGGGTGCTGTCAGAATAGAAAGGAAAGAAAGCTTAGTGGACTGCGTGTGCTCAATTGTGAGGGAGAGCAGTGCTGGTCAAGGGACCTGCCCCATTATACCTGGTAGAACTTTGAATTTAGAGGAGACTTAAGATCTTATCCCCGACGCAGGCTAGAGAGAACCACATGCACCTGTCCCTCAGCTCAGGAACTGAAAAAATGAACACTGTAATTTTTATGGAACACTTGCGGGCCATTCAGACTACAGCTGGGAGAAGGGGGAACATTTTTTTTTTTGTCCCCAGCCACCGGGCCTCAGCCCCTCTGCTGGAGAGGTGAAAGAAAGCAGAGGTACAAAGATGCTTTCCTTATTTAAAGTGCTTATTTAAAGTCCTTTGAGAATGAGGAGCGGGGAGCTCTTAGGCAATCTTTCTTGGGGGCTCCAAGACAAAAAGAGTAGAAAACCCAGGGTCACACACCCAATTCGAGGGCATTCCTTCCCACCCTTCCTGGGCTTCCTCCTTAGGAACTGTGAGAGAAGGCAGGGCTGGACCCATGGGGACGTATTTCCGCAGAGCTAACAAGGACCTCCCAAACTCCAGCTGACCCCCACCCCACCCCCAGCTTTCTCCAGACTTCCTGCGTTCACTGAGAAGGAAGAATCCTGGCAGTTTGCTTCTTTACAGGAAGTAGCAAATGCCACTGGATGCAGGAACTTATAACCTGAGTTTTATAAGAGCAGGAATAGCTAGGATTCAACTTGGAAACTGATTGCAGAAGGTGTTCTGCCTTGCCTGTACCTAGATGATTAACAAACTTGTGTGGAATAGAAGAATGAATGGATGATTGGAGGGCTTACAAAACCTCTGTGTTTGGCTTCCCTGGAGACGCTGTAAAGTTCTGGCTTTTTCCTGGAGTTGTTTAACTTTCCCTGCATGCAGTCTCCAAAGTTTTATCTCTTGCAAGGAAGCAGTGGTATTCTTGGGTTCTTCATTGTTGATTTTGCTGAGCAGGGGCAATATGCAACAAGAACCAAACCTAATTTCAAACACCCCCATTTGGGGGTTGGGAGAGGTTTTAGCACAGAAACTAGACAAAGTAGGTTGAAGTCCTGTATTTACTTTTTGCTTGGAGCTTCCTTGGGTGAATTGACTGAGGGGACTTCTCAGAGACTCCTCCTCCTCCTCCTCTTTCTCCCTCTCCTCCTCCAGCTCTGAGCCAGTTTAGCCTCTGACTTGTGTGAAGGCAATCTGCCCTTTTGTGAGAGGACCTGCTGTCTCTGAAAGGACTGCTGCCCCCAGCCCCTCCTCAGGGCCCTTCTTGTGTGCACGTGGGTTTGAAAAGCTCATTGATTCCCATCCAAAGGGGCTAATTACATTACTTACAGTAAATAGCAGCCCTGCTGTCAGGTATAGCTGCCAAAGTAAGGAGGAGGGGGATGTCTCCAGCTTAGTTCACTTGATTGGCTTCATTTTTGTGTGAAATTGCGTTTTATGAGCTGCATTTTGGCACCCGGAGGACTTAAACTGCGTCCAGTCTGCAAATAACATTATTTTTGACCCTGAGAAAAAAGGAGGGGAAGCAGTAGTGTCTTCAGTTTCATGGAAGAGGTCACTCCAGGAGCCTCAGAAGACAACGCTTTGGGACAGGAAGTCAGGCTGCTGCACCAGGGGTCGTTTCCTCTCTCGCTTTATTTCTGCCTTCCTTCCTTCCCCTTCTTCTCATCCTCTCACTTCTTTTTTTCTTTCCTTCTTCCCTCTCTCCCTCTCTCCCTGGCTTTTCTCCCGTCATCTTTCTAGCTTTGGCCACAGTTCCCGGTCGGGCTCCCCCGGGCGGAGGGAAGCGGGTCTGCGGCCGGGCGGCTCTTGTGAGGTATCTAGGATGTGCCAGGACACAGGCACCGCAGTCCTGGGAAAGGCGGCGGGAAGTAGTGGGGAACGCAGGCTGACGAAGGGGACGGAAGGAACAGAGAGCGGCCGGCGCGTCCTCCTCTCTGGGTAAAGCCGCGTTGGTTCCTGCCGCAGCGCTGTGCTTCGGACTCCTAGGGGGCCTCTGGCCGTTTGAATGAATCGACAATATCAGAGTATTGTGGACACTTTTTAATGGGGCCGGGGAGGGGCCGCCGCTGCCGAGAACTGAGGGCGACAGAACAATCCCACCTCTTGTGAGGAGCAGGTCTGCCATTCTGCTTGTCAGTTCTCACCTTCCCCTCCTCCACGGCAAAGAGTCCCTTTCACACCCTTCTGAGTGTGCGGGTGCGCCCAGTTTTACAAGTCCTCTGTCCTGCCAGGGTAGTGGGAGAAGCACGCGATGGGGCTAGCGCCCAGTCCTGCGGGGGCAGGCGCCAAGCTCCCGGGAGTCCGCAAGTCGCTTCCTATATTGGCAAGCTTCAAATGAGACATTAGAATCTCCGGCAACCTTCCTTCAAACCTGAACCGGGGAAGAGAATAAGCCGCCCTATGGCCAAGGCGCAATTGCGTACCCGTGTGTACAGGTCCATGCCCTGTCCCCTACACTCTAATTTTCTCAAAGAAAATTGTTTTGCCAAAAGTAACCCTGAGAAATGCAGACGCTCCAAACGCCCTCTCCACTTCGGATGAAGCCAGCATCTAGTAGGGTCTCCGGCCCTCAAGAAGGTGAGGCAAAGAGATGAATTGTCAGACAGCTGCTTTTAAAAGTGGATTGAGGAAGATGGGATGGGGAGGAGAGGAACCAGCATTATCTCCACCTCAGTAAATTGCTTACATTTCTGCTCAATATTTATGCATTTCGGGTGACAGTCCTGCAGGCTGGGGATGAAAAAGTCCACAAGGAGGAAATCCAAAGTTTGAAGTTGATATTCTCTGTGTCCTGAGCCAAGGTCTGATCTTGAACTCGGATCAAATAGGCGGGTTCTAGGCCTTCTGCAACAGGGCGGGGACAACAAGAGCTCCTTTTCCCCTTTAAAACATGACTGCTGGGAACTCTTGGAAGGATGTGTGTGTGTGTGTGTGTGTGTGTGCGCGCGCGCGCGCGTGTGTGTGTTTTGTGGGGAGGTAAATGCCCCCTCCTCCTGCCTCCCCGCTCTCTATCCCCCCACCCCTTTGTAATGTTTGTCCTGCTTGCCCATCACCAGGGGGTTGAGAGGAGTATGACAGGTCTTTGTTGTCTGAATAAAAATCCGTGGCAGCTCCGGGGAGAGAACTCCTCCTACTAAATTATCAAAAATGGGCTGGCTTTAGTCTCTTAACAAATTGGACACAGCTCAGGCAGGAGCAGTCCCCAACCCAATCTACAGGCACTGGGAACTTGCAAGCAGCCAGGGAACGCTGAAAATAGCACGTCTTTTTCTTTCTTTGTGTTCAAAACTATTTTCTTTCTTCACCAGATTTTGTTTTCCTCCCCCCGCTGCAGTTGTTTCCCATTAGTAACTCGATCTCTCAGAGCAGTAAGATTCGCCTTCTACGCCTCTTTTTCCCTCCGCCCGAATTGTTTGTTTTCTGCACATCTCCTTCAGGGAGCCGCTGAGGCTTCCCCCCAACTCTTCCCAGTTCTTTTTGCTTCCCCTCGGCCCCCCAAGCAGACCGATTTCCACTCCATCTGTTTCTTCTCCTCCTTTCTCTCCCTCTTTCCCTCCATCCTCGAGCGTCTCTGCGCTCCTACAGGGCAGCCCTCTCTGGTCCCTTGCCTCCTTCACTCGGATGAGCTGAAAGCCCCGGGCGTGTGTATATGGAAATAGTGGGGTGCCGAGCAGAAGACAACTCGTGTCCTTTCCGCCCCCCAGCCATGCTCTTTCACGGGATCTCCGGAGGCCACATCCAAGGCATCATGGAGGAGATGGAGCGCAGATCCAAGACTGAGGCCCGTCTGGCCAAAGGCGCCCAGCTCAACGGCCGCGACGCGGTAAGGAAGGGCTCCGCCGCGGCGGTAGCCGGGCACCCCTGCGCCCTCTGTTAAACCAAGCCGACTCCCTGGCCGGTGGAGAACCGGAGCGGCGGGTCGTAGAGACGTCCGCTTGAGGGTGGCGGGTGAGTTTTCTCCCGTCCACCTATGCCTACAGGGCTAAGAAACGGTCGTTTTTCTGAATCGAAATGTCTGCAGCTGGCTATCCTCCGTCGCAGCTGATTCCGAAAGAGCAGGGAGAGGAACTGGGAGGAGGTGGGATGGGGGGTGGTGGCATTCTCTTCTACAGACCTCAAGGTTCCCTTGATTCCGGGGCAGGCGTCTCCCCGGCGAGGATCCGCAGCTCCGAGGGCAAGCTGGGCATAAGCAATAGGAGGACGGCGCGCTGCCGAGGCGTCCGAGCCAAGCAGGAGCCCAGGTGGCCTTAGTCTCTGGGCCTGATGACCGGACCTGTGGAGTAGATTCCGACGCGACTGGGTCATTTCCAGTTCTCTAGACGCTCGGGGCTTGGGACCCCTAACCGAGAGAATCTCAGGGTTTCTGGCATCCCGACTCAGTCCCTCTAAGGAGACAGCACTACGTTTAGCGCCAGGACCCGGCGGGTGTCATGTGTAGGGGGAAATCAAATAAAACATACGGAGGAGCGCGGCACCCAGTCGAAACGCATGAACTTTATAACCAACCCTTAAACAAGCTAATCAACCACCACTGTTTCTACTATCCATAATAATAAAGTCATGTCCTCTTAATAAAGAAAACTAATTACTTATCTAAGCGCTTCCCTTTCCAGATTACTAACGGGGGGGGGGGGGGACTACAGAAGTCTCCGGAAATTATTTCGGCCAAACATAGCTGTGTAGATCCTTTGGTACCACAGTAGGACTTGTAGCCCAAACTAATCAGGAGACTGCTCTAGCCCTTATCAGCTGGGTTTTGGGTCCGGCCAAGTAGCCCAACTGGTGAACGTGTCTATATTTGTAACACTCATTCAGTGCCGGGGCCCCTGGTCGGAGTAAAGGGCTAAACTTTACTTTTTCAGGCCCGCTGAAGTTTCGTGGGGAAGATCAACCCATTTCTGCTAGTCGTGAGGGAAATGTCCGGAGGTTAACTCCTTTTCCCTTTTTCTGGTCATCACTTTTAAAAACAAATAGTAGCAACCCAAACCCAAATTTTGCAGCGGGGCTGGGCTCCTCAAGGTGGGGCCACTGGGGCATCCCGAGTCGGGTCAGTGGGACCCAGAGGGAAGCATAACTTGGGCACTAAACAGATTTTCAAGACAAAGGTCTCAGTACGCCTGTTGATGCTAGGGAAAGAGGGGACTGTATACAGCGGGCTGGACAGCGGACCCTCTTTGGGAACAGCCACTTTACACATTTATTGGGAACGGCACCAATAGCCCTGAAAATTAGGGAACAGCAGGGGCTGCCAAATATATCTCAATCAAAACAAAGTCGACCAAATTATGAGCAGAGGTCCAATAATCTCCCCTTTGCTTTTGATTTCAATGCTGCTTATAAGAATTTAGAGAAATCGAACTGTAATATTTTTTGTTTAAAAATAACCTGTGCTCGTTGAAATTTCCTTTTCACTCCCTTATCATTTCCGTTGTTTTATTTTGTGTGCGTCGAAAACCACAATTTTTAGCTTGTAATTATTTGAATTCGGAAACGATCACCAAACTGTAGTCAATATTTTCCTAGTCCTTTTTAAGCGAGGCTCCGGATGGCTGGGATGTCTTTAGGTTAGTAGTCCCGGGAGGACGCGAACGCCGGTTCAGGCAGACACGGAAGAAAGCAAGCGGGCCGCAAAGAGAGAAATCACAAATGTTTCCCCTGACTTTTGCCTTTGTGCAGTGGACCCTGGCCCCTGCCGCTCTCCCTGCACACCCTGGGCTTGGTCTGCCTGGGGGAGAACCCCGCGTCGTGCGGCTACACCGCGCGCCCTCCTCAGCCTTGCGGTGTGCTTTCTTTGCAGGGCATGCCCCCGCTCAGCCCGGAGAAGCCCGCCCTGTGCGCCGGCTGCGGGGGCAAGATCTCGGACAGGTACTATCTGCTGGCTGTGGACAAACAGTGGCATCTGAGATGCCTGAAGTGCTGTGAATGTAAGCTGGCCCTCGAGTCCGAGCTCACCTGCTTTGCCAAGGACGGTAGCATTTACTGCAAGGAGGATTACTACAGGTACTCCCCTACACCCCCACTTCCTACGCCCGAGTACACCTGGAGGGGCCATCTGCCTGAGCCCGGAATCCCCTCTCCGTCCCCTACCTTTTGCCCCATTCCGGGTGCTGTTATCATTTCGGAGACCAGGCAAACCCACTGCATATGCCTTCAAGCTGTAATCTCCCTGACCGACGGTGAGGGTGGGTGGGAGGGACATTAAAAATCTAGAGCTTTATCAGCGAATACCACGCACTCCCATCACTTCTCAGCTTGGCTGGCGGAACTTGGGGAAATCTGGGGAAGAGTAAATGGACGTGGTCTCCGTCTACCGAGACTTGATTGGGTGTTTGTTTTCCGCTTGCTACGAATTGGGCAAGTTCTGCGCCTTGAAACTGAACTAGTGGCTCGGGCAGCAGCAACAGAGTGTTAGGTTTTCGTAGGTGGCAGGAGACTCTGTAAATGACTATGAAAAGGAATAAATGCCATTGCCAAAACCCAAGCCACTCAGTTCCGGGTTCCTTTTATCGCTAGTTACAACCATGCCCCCCAGATTGGAGAAAATCAGCAGCAGGCGTCTTTATTGATTCTTCTCAGTTATGTTTCTGGATTGGGAAAGACAGGACTAAGTGCAGGTGACCTAGTTCCGCTCTCAGCCCAAGCAAGATAAGTTGTTAAAAAAATAATAACCTTTCCTTTACAAAATCGTCATCTTCCAGGACTGTGTCCGCATGCTTTCCCACACCCGCGCACATCCAGGAATAATTATATCTTCTTTCATTCATATGTTTTGTAATTGATTAAGTGTTTTCACTTGGCATGGCAATTTAATATTCTAGTACCGTGAGTTAGCTAGTGCTAACTAGTGGTTTGCTTTTTTAAATTTTTTTTAATGTTTTAAATTTTCACTTTGCAGAGAAGAAAACTAAGGCTTAGTTGCCCGATTCTTCTGACTTTAATGTAAAGATCCTTTGTCTTGGTTTATCAGAAAAGGTCGATGAGCAAATAAAATTAATGCCTACTCTCCTGTCCCCCTGGAACCCTCCCAGGTCCCAGTCTCAGGCCACTGCAGACCAAACCCAGGTGTCGCGGGTGGGATATGGCTCTGCCTTGCTTCAACTAGCGCCCTGACTCAACTCTTTCCTTCCAGAAGGTTCTCTGTGCAGAGATGTGCCCGCTGCCACCTTGGCATTTCCGCCTCGGAGATGGTCATGCGCGCCCGAGACTCTGTCTACCACCTGAGCTGCTTCACCTGCTCCACTTGCAACAAGACTCTGACCACGGGCGACCATTTCGGCATGAAGGACAGCCTGGTGTACTGCCGCGCCCACTTCGAGACCCTCTTGCAAGGAGAGTATCCACCGCAGCTGAGCTACACGGAGCTGGCGGCCAAGAGCGGCGGCCTGGCCCTGCCTTACTTCAACGGTACGGGCACCGTGCAGAAAGGGCGGCCCCGGAAGCGGAAGAGCCCAGCGCTGGGAGTGGACATCGTCAATTACAACTCAGGTGTGCCTCCTATCCTCACCCCCGGCGCAGCCCCGGCCTCCCTGAGGAAAATTCGTAGAGCTCCTTCCCCGTCCAAAGTCTTGCTGCAAGAGTGTGTTTTGCCCAATGCCTCTGTTCTCACTGCAACTCCCTCTCACTCTGAAGGAAGGGAGAGAGGGAGGAGGAGGGGGGAAGGGAGGGAGAGGCAGCACTTTATTTAGGTTGTGGCAAAAAACACATTCATAACTATGGGGCTGTAGTGACTTTCCCCAAACAGGCAGAGCCAAATCCTTGTTGCCCATTAGTTAATGAGCCCATTAGTTTCTGGCTCTCAGTTGGAGCAAAACAGCCCCAGGGCAATTTCTTTGTGGAGGCCAAATTATAGATCCTGTAGGAGGTTTCCTAAATACTGAAGAAAAAAAAAAAAGTCTACAGAGCCCAACCCTAGTCTGTCTAGAGGGGTCAGAGGCTGTGGTCACCAGCCCAAAGTTAATCAGGAACACAGTTGGCAAGAGTGTTGAAAAACCTAATCCCTGATCTTGGCAAAAAGCAGTTGTAGGGGTGGGAATCACTCTCCACAGCTGAGCTAGCCTGTGTCTTTCCTAAGCCAGGATATTCAACCAGCCGTCTCATTCCCGGTGTGATAGACCATCCAGACATCCAGACCCCTGGAACTGAAAGTACCTCCAGGTCAGGCCTCCTGAAGAGGCTTAGTGGTATCTCAGGCCATTCATCTATACTCAACCACCTTCTCTCTTCATTAAAAACAACATGCAGACAACAAGTCAAGAACACATTCTTCCTTGCTTTGGGGGACACGCCTATCATGTATCAATCTCTCACATGCAGCAGTTTCCCATTGTTGGTAGCCTGCCCCCACTCCCCATCCTCCAGGTGAGGATGGTGATCGGCTCTGCAGATGATAATCTAACTCTGAGCAGAACAGAAGCTATTCTTGTGAGTCCCAATCACTGGAAAAAAAGAGGTTGTAGAAAGCCCTGGCGCACTTTTGGGGAGCCTAAGGACCTTAACTGCTTTGGCTTTCAGTGCCCTGGCCCACATGTGGCTGAGAATCTCAGCAGACTCAGGACAGGGGAGACCATTCTGTTGGAAGGAACCTTGAGGACCTTATTATGGCAACCCCACTCTATTACTATGAATGCCCCCAGATACCAAGCATGGGCATCTCAGAGCATGGGATCTTGCCTGTTTTTCTCTTCCAGTTCCCAGGGCCTGGTATGGTGCCTGACATTGCTAGTCAATGGTAAAGAACAGTGTCCAGCCAGTTAAGTGATTTGCCCAAGATCACACAGCCAGTGTGAATGTGAAGCTAAGAGTCCTGCTCTGAGTTTAGAGTTTTCAGGGGAACCCACACAGGATGAGTGGCCGCTCTCTCAGACCTCCGTTGGGCTCTCTCCTGGGGTTCTCTACCGACTGATCTAACTGAAGAGGAGAATCCTTTATGGGCAAGCACAGCGGGTGGCCTTGCAGGGAGAATGGGGAGCAATGAGGAACACTGTGCGGCAGCACTTGTCCCTAGGGGGTTCATACCAGGGCTGCTGGACGAAAAGAAAAGGACCTGCCGGCTCACTGCAAATCTCACCAGGGTCGGTCAATCTGTGTGAGGGCAGCGGGCGAAGCCCCGGGTTTTGGCAACCCTCAGTAGTGGCCATGCCCTCACACTGGCCCCTGCTGTGCTGGGGCAGGAGATTTGGTTAGGGGCCACTTTGCCCAGCATGCTTACTTCATCTTCTTTGATGCGTGGTCCCCGGGGCAGGGCAGGCAGGGCACTAATTGTTCTTTATTAATAGAAGGTGACATTGGAATCTCAAGCCACTCACCAAGGCCCTAATTCCCAGAGAGAGAGAGAGAGAGAGAGAGAGAAAGCAAGCCACTCATACATAAACTAGTGAGTTTTTTTTTGAAAGAAAGGATCTCTCAGCCCGGATAAAGTCCAGAAGGGTGAAGATTTCTAGCCAAATAGTAGGCAAGCCTGACTTTTTGATTGTTTATTTAATCTAATTTGCTAAATTTGATTTCGCCTTGGATCTTCATGTTAGATCCAAGGAGCTTTAAGAACAGTAGAATTTAGATTCTTTTACTTCTCTGAAAATAACTAGAGAGTACAAATTTATTTTTAAGAAGAATAAAAGAATCCTTCTGAGCCACTTAGGTCTTTAGTTTGCAGATTAATGCTGCTACAAGTTGTTGTGGAGAAGGTCGCTTTTGTCTTGGTCCCAAAGGAGGGAAAAATTGCTTAGGCCCCCTTAGCCCGAAGAGTTTGTACCTCGCACCACTACAAACTGGATGCCTCTTAGTTAACATCTACTCCATCCTTTCTGGACTTTTCCCAGAGATACTATTCAATAGTATATATATTTTAAAGATCAGGTTAAAATTATCTATGGGAATTGGTTTGAAGATGCCTGACCAGAAATCAGGCCATCATTTAAAACAGTGCTTGCGAATCTGATGCCACTTTGTTCCAAAACTAGGGAAAGAAACCCTTCAGCAAATTAAACACGCGTTAAAATGTAAAAAAATAAAATAAATCCAGTTTTAACTCGTTATTTTAGCCTTCTTTGGATTTTGTCTTGCTATCTTTCATTAAATGTAAACATTAAATGTAAACAAGTCTCATAAAGGGTAAGGTTGATACTAAACTAAGTATAATTTACACAATATGTTTTCAAAATGTGCAGAAAACATGTTTGTGATTCAAAGAATCTCAGAGAAGATGTGAAACTTGGCAAAGGCCAGCTAGTGCTTGATAGGGCAAATGCCTTTTAATGAGAATGTCCCTAGTTTTGTTTATACCTCTGTGCAAATTAATCAGGCAAATATTTTAGAAAGAGACATGGAAAGTTTACCTGAAATGCTAGCTTGAAATAAAGCCCTCTAGGGATGAGAAGAAGATTTAGTTTAGGATAGGAAGCTCTTATTTGTGTAATTTAAACATTAATTGAGAGATTAAACTTTTGCCACTTCTCAAAATATCCTTTCCTTAAGCCCTTTCTTCCTATCCAAACTTTTAAGGCTCCTGGTGGTTAAATTAGCCTGGCACTGACCCCTAGTGGTCTTCCAGGGATCACTTCATTCTCAGAAGGTTACATACCTTCACAGCGACACTCACTTTAGGATGGGTGCCCATCGCATAAGTGACTGGAAATAAAATACTTAGATCTTCTCATTAACTTATAATACTGGATGTGAACTGACAGGTAGATATTTAAGACAGTTTTAAGAGTTATCATTTCATCTCATAATTCGGGGAGTGGGGGAATCCCCTACAGCTTTAGCAATAGGCCTTGGAGAAACAGTCATTTGCAAGTTTATATAATGCATGTGTAGTTAAACATAAATAATATCAGATAATGCACTGTTACTCTGTAGAAGAAATAGCTTTCTCTATTAAGTTGCATAATATGAGATAACAGTCACAGGAAAATCATATATAGTAATATCTGTTTAATAAAGACCCAACGAGCTATCTCCTTACATATTGGATTGTGTATTTTATGTGGAAACAGGGCCTATAACTGTATTTTACACACTAAAAGGCTCTGCTGAGTTTTTAATCAGCAATAATGGATATAGAATGCGTTTTAAGGGAAGCCATTTCATTAAATCTTACTACAATTATTTTTCATAAATTTCATTTTAAGAACTAATGATTATATAGTCAGGTTGGGAATCATATTCATTTCTATATATTACCTTGGTGTGGAGTGGGGGAAAGATGGCCAAGGGCATTATTTAAACACCAAGTCCTCTGTCCCAAGTGTGAAATTCAATTTGATGTATTGTTCAGGAAAGGTTACATGTTACATATGATAGGAAAGAAATCTGAGTTGAAGAACCCTCCGATGACTAACATGTGCCCCTTTGACTATTTTTTGTGGGTATATTTATAATCTGGTTATGAAATATGGCTGAGTTTACTGGAGATAAGTATAGTTTTATAGTAGGTCATAGAGATGCTGTTTCATCCATTTGAGGATATGAAAGTGCAATTCTGTAGAATATTTGAACTTGACATATCCCCACTGGGCCAAAATAGGATAAAATGTAATGCATACTCTTTCTGTTATCTCTGGACATATGGTAGCCTTTCTGGTGGAGTTTAGGAAGCCTATGTTTTACATTCGAATGTATATATCTGACTTGGATTCCACTTCAAGTTGATTTAATTTCGCATTAATACTCACTTGTAATTTACTGATGAACAAAGGGCCCAACATCTTGATTGAATGCTTCTTGAGCTCCTACCCCTGTGTTTGACTCAGGGAATCAATTCAAAGTTGAATATGGTATAGTCAGTTCCCTCAATGAACTCACCTGTTCTTTTGCCAAGTGTGTCCTCCTACTTATGCGTCTTATGGAAATACAAACAAAGGAGACATTTGTTTGTGTCTAGTCTTTTTACATTAGGAAGAATTTCTTGTTAAGTGAGTTTTATATGTGGCTGCCTTCTTGGGTGATGACTACAAAACTTCTGTATTTCTGTAAATATGCTGATTTGCTGAATATTTTTTAAAAAGTAATTCTAAACAGAGCCTAGCAGGCAGATAACATTGTATTAAGCAGAACATTTTATTAAGCAGATTGGAAGAGCTCACATTAAGGGATGCCTCCCTTTTTTAAGATTCAGGTTTCTTTCTCCCTGGAATGACATGATCAGGTTGGTTTTAGATTTTCTATTATAAAGCAGTACAAGGCAGGATGATCAGATCTAAATTTATATAACTATCTGAAGGAAGAATTTAAAGAAAAAAAATTACCATGCTCTTTAATTTGTGAAGTTGGCTGAAGTTGGTTGTGTAAATATTTCACAAAATGTTTTCATTTTACAATTGTATTTCCTATGCAGAGCCAGTAGATTCTTGGAAATGACCCTTTAAAAGTGTAGCTTTACATCCTGGGGATAATGACTTTCTGGCTGGTTTCAAAGACTGGGTTGTTTTGCCCTTGGTGCTAAGAAAGTCTTTGTAAGGGAAGAGAAAATGCCGCCCTCTCTCTGCCAGGCCAGCCAGGGGCACAGCTCACATCCCACTCACACACATCTGGAGCAAAAGGGACTAAGATCTGAGCCTAGAAATAAGCACCATCAGTATCTCTCAACTGTGAGCTGTGGGGAGCGCTTCAGGCGTGAACCGTGTGAAGGGAAGTCTGGGCTCATTCTCTTTCAGAAATATTTATTAAAATCACTCCAGGGGAAAAATATTTTCTTTCTGGTATAGCCCTGTGTTAACCAGTCATAGCTAAAAGCTGAAACAAATAATATTCTTATGTTTACATAAGAAATTCACAAATTTTGAATTTCTAACTTCTCCTCCTTTTTCAGCCTTTTCTAACTTTTTCCTGACTGACGGAGCTCTAGGAATATGAGAAAAGGCTAACCCTTAGAATTGACCTAGATGCTTCCTTAGTTGGTGGGCTCTCAGAAACTTTCAGACTTGAGGGAGTAGTAATACTTGTTTCTCTACGTCTCATGACAAAAAGCAATACCTTCAGACAGTGTGTCTCATTCCAGAAATATAGACAAAAGGTAGAGTCTTAAAACACTGTGAGTGTGGGCAGTGGGGAGCTGGTACAAATAACTATATTAGAAAAGGGTTTCTTCTTCTCACTCTCGTAGGTCTCTCTCACTCCCACCTTACTACTTAGGGTTTGTTCATATTCTCAAATTCTTCTAGCAACCATTAAACAAAAGAGAGGATTTAACCAATATTTTTCTATTGCATAAACTTTGGTTGTGTCTACATTAACAGAAGAGTTCAGCTTACTTTAGCAATTATCTTCTTTCTTTTTGTCTAGATACTACTCATAATTGGGTTGACAACCTTTTTCACTGCTGCTTTATTACCATAGCAGTGTCATACAGCCTGCCATCATGTCAGCTAATGCAAGAATTTCCACTGAGCAGTTGTTTGTTCACTGTTACTGCAACAGGTTGTAATGAGAATGAGGCAGACCACTTGGACCGGGACCAGCAGCCTTATCCACCCTCGCAGAAGACCAAGCGCATGCGAACCTCTTTCAAGCATCACCAGCTCCGGACCATGAAATCCTACTTTGCCATCAACCACAACCCGGATGCCAAGGACCTCAAGCAGCTTGCCCAGAAAACAGGTCTGACCAAAAGAGTTTTGCAGGTAAGACACATGCATCATTGACTGTGCATACATTTCCCTTCCCCTTCCCAGTAAAAATAGTGCTCTTCCCTGGTTAGAGTGACGCAGATATTTCCTATATTGCTTCTTACTAGTTTATCTTAGCTATCTCCCTAGAGGGTGTTCTGAGATTTTGCAGGGGCTTCCTGGAGGGTTCCCAAACAGAGACCCAGGGTCTTTTTAAATACAGCCACATTCTCTCTACATATGTGGAGATGGGCCCTCCAAAGGCAGCACAGCTTGTCTCACTGCTGTGCAAATGCGAGTGATGTTATTTGCACAGGCCGTGGCTTTATCGATTTCCATTAATATTATGCTCAGTGCACGGACTTGAGAGGGACCTGTTGGCACTGCCTTAACTCGGCAAACTTTTGGCAGCCTCACTCACCTTCCAAATTCAGGTGGAACCTTTTTTCCACTCCTGAAAAGCCAAAAGTATGGTTAGTGTTTCAGCAACCAATTGGAGCAAGTATTTTCCTGCCTTAACAAACCATAATTAGAAACAAAATATTGGAAGTTAGTTCTGCTGTCCAATTGATTTCCTAAACTCATCATGGCAAGAACATATAACTAATGAAATTATGATAGGTTGCTGTGAGTCACCTGTGATCTTCTCTCACTTCTTGGTGACAAATAGCAGGCATTTTAAATTCTGCTAAACAGTTTCAGGCTGTTCGAGGTCTGTGGCCCTGGGAGTTTTTTCTATGTGAAGAATATATACCGTGTGTTGGGCTCACGAATGGCTTGAAGTCTGTTTCAGTGATGTCCATTTCATATGAGTGATTCTTACTTTGCCATACTTTCAATGGCCCTGCTTCTACCTCTTCTCAAAAGATAACAGTTGAGGAATCACCGTGTATTTCCCCCTTTTTATCACCATGTGTTCATTTCCATGGTATATCCACTTAAGCATCAGTTGTTCCAAGTGGCACTTGTTAATGCTACAGGGTGGAATAAGTGCAGTTGAGAGATAATAAATCTGTAGTGTTACTTGAATAACTCTGTTTTAAAAGAAAAGAAAAAAAAGCCCCTTTCCTCCTAAGAAAGACAAACAATGATATTTAAAAGGAGAAACCTATATCAAAAAAAAAAAAGAAAGAAAGAAAAAGAAAAAAAGAAAAAGTGAGAGAGAAAGAAAAGAAATATAAAAATGAACATCGGTAAAGAAATCAATTGGGATTGGTTTGCAGGTTTGGTTCCAAAACGCACGAGCCAAATTCAGAAGGAACCTTTTGCGGCAGGAGAATGGGGGTGTTGATAAAGCTGACGGCACGTCGCTTCCGGCCCCGCCCTCAGCAGACAGCGGAGCTCTCACTCCACCCGGCACTGCGACCACTTTAACAGACCTGACCAATCCCACTATCACTGTAGTGACATCCGTGACCTCTAACATGGACAGCCACGAATCCGGAAGCCCCTCACAAACTACCTTAACAAACCTTTTCTAACATTGGTTTTTTTTTTTTAGTTTTTAAATTCTTCCTCTTCTTTTTATTATTATTCTAATTATTATTATTTTATTATTTACAAGACTTTTTTTTTCTTCTAACCCACAAGATATTTGGGGAATAAAAATAACAGCTTGGTGTGTAGCATCTGCAGCCACTTGGCAAATGAGTTTACAGTATTGTCTCCTTTAAGTGAATATATTTTGTCTACAAAGTGTATTTGGATTTAAAAAAATTAATTAGGTCTTTCAGTTGGTAAGGAGAGTTTTTGAATAATTCTAATAAGTGCCTCTTAAAATTGTATGTTACTTATTTCCAGAATCTCGAAGAAAAAAGAAAAAAGAGTGGTATTATTATGGGCAAATAATCATATTCCCACTTAAATGATTAGGTTAATAAAGAACCAGATAATTAATTAGTTACTTTTTAAATCTTGCAATTGTATGTGTGATTATGGAGTTTTGAAAACGTTACATTTTTTAAATCTTAAAACTGAAAACTTGTTTTTAGTATTTCTATTTCTTACCTGAACTGTTAATTCAAGTGAGGAATATGATGAAATAAAAGCATTAACTACAGACATTTTAAATAGTAATGATTAATTAGGTGAGAAATCTATTACAGGAATGTGACTTTTCCTTCTCTTAGGGGTGTACAACTCTAAAAACTTTTTACTTGGTTATTTGTTTTTCAACATTTGAAAAATACTTAAGCTCCCTATGTATCCATGAAAATTCCGCATTGATTTTGACATTCCATACTTTTAACCTCCTAAAGCTAAAAACAATAGCTCGGAAACCATTCTTTCTAGTTACTTTTTTTCCCAGGGAAAATGGAAATAAGCAAAATATAATGTTTTAAGAAGTAAAAAAATCAATATAATTTAATTAATAGCTCTATTAATTGGCTTCAGCTGTACCATGATATTGTATCTGGCATTCTATATGAATAATGTTTAAAATACCCAGCCTGGTAGACTTATACCAACAATTGGTTTTGTTTTGTTTTATTTTATTTTGACATAGGTTGACTTATGTATTGAAAATAATTTTTCTGATATTAGAGATTTGAAGTTATTAGTCTTAAAGTAGATAAACTCAGAAGCCTTGTGGATGCTGATCTGAATATATTTCCTAGTTTACAGTAGCATTTTTTTCTTTTAATTTAAGCTAAAATCTTAATGGTCTGGGCAGTGGTGAATGTTCATCTATTACGCTTCTGTTGTAGTTAAATACCAATTAGATTGTGGATTTCCTAAAAAAATAAAAAAGAAGTCAAGATATATGTCTTGCTTTAGTGGATTGTTAAGAATAACTTTGCACATATTTTCCACTTTTTGGACCCCTTAAATCTCCTTTGGTGGTCGAAGTGGCTATTTAATAGATTTTAAAGGTGTCCTTCTGGCTGTATAAATGTGTGGTTACATATTGACAGTTCACTGCCCACATTAAAGTGCATTATTGTAACTTTTGCTCAGGGTCTTTAGAAAATTAGCACAGAAAGTAGCTTATTTTTTAAAAAAAGATGATGGAAGATAAGTTAACACTGTAACAGAAGAAAGGTGTGATTGCCATTATATATTTAGCAAGTATGGTTATCATCTTATATGGAGCTTAAATCTTGACTTTTCATACTTCTATTACATTTTGGGCATTTACCACTAACCAGACCAAACAACCTTGGTAAGGCTGAGATCTTATTAATACACTTTTACAGGTAAAATATTGACACTTATAAATTTTGTTCTTTGACAGAACAATATATGGTACTATATAGATCTACTTTATTAAGTAGACTAATTATAACTCAGTTCTCCTATGTGCCTTATGATATAACTTGGAAGTAAGTTTGTGAAAAATCAGGATATATGTGTTGTTTGTTAAATTAACTGTTTTAAGCCCTTTTAACACCTCACTAGTTTTGTACTGTTTTACCTCTTATTTCTGAAACTCTTTTTATGGTGTATCCTGTTAGAGGGGACAAACATGTCATAGAAAGCAGTTGTGCACTCTTTCAAATATAGTTGATAAATTCAATAATCTTATATATTGAGCTTCGTGTTTATAGTACAGTAAGTGGTCTAGCAAAATTGTCCATGTTTCTTTGTTTATTGATAAATGCATTGTATAGAAACTATTTCCCCTAAATATTTATGGACCAAACAATTGTGATATATCCTATTAAATTTGTGTGAATAAAACATTTTGAATCTAAGGAGTTTTCTTTCCCATCAGTTTTATTTAAGTTTTAACCGTACTAGTGTGTTCCAGCATCTATATGTAAAAGCTTTTCAAATGGTAATACAACATTGTTAGAAATATTTAAACATACAAATAGTTTTTAGACTTCCAAACTTCTGATTCATATGAAATGTTACACATTGTTGCACAGGCAGTGTAATTCAACCTAGAAATACCTTTGAATATATTTGCTTATAACAAAAGTAATGCCCCACTGATTTGACTCAGTCCAATTTTTAGAATAAAAAGGCTAATTAGCATATAAAGTAATTGCATGGAACGAAACCTTAAATATGATTAAGATTTCATGTTAGGTCTATTGAGCACAAATGGATATTTGTAAATCTAAATAGAAATTGCAGACCCCTAAAAGCCAAGTTGCTCTGTAGTTAATAAATTGTCACTATGATTTTTTTCAGGGAGAACAAATCTTGGGGCATTACAGCCAAACATCCCGACGTTTGAAAATTCCCTAAAGTATTAAAAGAAGGGGAAAAGTTTGATCGGAAATCCACTGCAGTGAAGACAAAGACACTATTAGGTTATGATAATCATACATTAAAAAATTTATTAAGCCAAAAAAAAAGAGAGAGAGAGAGACTTAAATGTCATTTACTGAATGTTAACGAAACTTGTGTTCTTTATGGTGTCTAACACAACTGAAGGCCTAAAATTATGTGGTTTAAACAAAATTAGATAAACCATGTACAAAACCAGAGCAACCTGGCAGTAATATGCCCACCCCATATTTGAAAAAAATTATTATTGAAAAAAATTTCACACATTTGTCAAGCACAGTTGTAAAATAAAGTCCAAAACATTCATTTCACCTGCTTGCTAATGTGTATTAGTCCTGTTAATGGCATTTTCCAACTGTAAATTCAAAGAAAAGCTATCACCCATTTAAGAGTATAGGGATCAAACCCCAGTAATTTTAGCATTATTGTTTATCACTTCCTTTTTAAACAGAAATCTCTGCATGCACTTTTACATATGTCACCTCTAGTGTACACCTCTGTATGATGACTTATCTTTGCTGTTTCTTGTATGATAAATAGCTTTCATTAATAAACATTTATTTGATGCAAACATAGTTAACTTTATGTTAAACACATGCTGTTGAAATTAATTTTGAACACTTAAAGAGGCAGCACAGTACATTTACAACTTGTTATACTAATGAAAAAATACAAACAGCATAGTGAGATTAAATTCTGGTAATCTAGGATAAAATTACTTACTTGGTTTTTACCTTTTCATGACTTATTTTCATTTGTTGTATTCAATTGCCACATGTATTAAAAATAAAAAACAAAGTGAACCCAAATTACAACAAAATAAACCTTAGAATAAACTATTGTGTAAAATTTCAGCAACTTTTTTAGATTACTAGGGTAAAATTTATAGATCCTATGTGAGTTTACATGTTTGCTATGCAATGAACAAATTTATTGATGTATACAAATATATTCTGAACTATAAAAAGATCCAATCTTTGCATAGTTCAATTACATATGATTATTACAAACAAAAAAGCAAATGGAAAGACAGACAAATATTTAGGAATGAGGTTTTTTTTAATTGTTAAAGGGAATATTTGAAGAATAAAATTTTAGCTATTCCTATTTAGCCGTATATCCAAAGCATATGTTAAACAAACTAACATATACTTTCCAGAAAATTTTTCATTATGATGAAATTTTTATTATATACAAATGAACCCTATGTAAATGATGTAACTTTTATGAATGACAGACATTAAATATTTCACTTACATGTATTCTCAGAATTTTGAATGTTTTCTTAAATGCTTTCACTTCCTGAATAATAAAAAGAAAAAATTTTAAAGAAGAGAGAGCAACTTACTAATAAAAAAAAGCAATGCACCATGACAAGTAGACTATTTTGAGTGATCACAAATCATGCTGGTTTTGTCAGTAACTTGAATGTTTATGCCTCATTGAAACCTCATCCACAGCTATAGCAACTTAAATAGATTTTCCAATGCATTTCCAGCCAGTTTATTCAAATCTTTGCCCTACAGTCTTGCCTTCTTTCCCTGTTCTGTCACCTGTGGCAATTTCATTTAGAAGTATTTTGGAACTTCGCCTGGTTTTACAGACCTTTAAATATTTGTCTGGTATGTGAAATGCAGGAAGAGACCAGAGAGGGAAAGAACATAACTGAAATTAGACATCTGAAAAAAAAATACAAATTTGAAACAGGCACATTTTTTAAAACCAAAAAAAAAAAAAAAAAGAGAGAGAGAGAGAAAGGAGTACTAATTATGTGAGTGGGAAGAGGAAGCGTGTGATGCAGAGCTGGAAGGTCTGTTGTGCTTTACTGTGATGTAAAGCAGTCTTTGAGTCTGGGCAACTGCACATTTACTGTTTGGTGTGGAATAGAAAAATGTGGACCTCTTAGTTGAGAGCAGGACACTAAATTTTCATAGCTTCTACCTCCCAGTTGCCTGGGTTAGTCTAACTTCTGGCAGATTGATCTTGGGCAAAAAGCTTCACTGAGAGTTAGTGTCTGTGTGCTTTGGTTGAATAGCCACCTTAATACTGACTTACATAGTGGGTAGGTTTTTGATACCTCAAATAAGGATAAAACTCCATAATAAAGGACCCAAAGCAAATACTTTTAAAACTTAGGTGATTTTTCATCACCTAAAACATAAATAGCTTTATTTAGCAAAATCCCAGTGGAATCTACCACACATTCTTTTATAATAACCCTTTTTTGGGAGTCAAAGTATTGTTTTTTTATTAGCCACATATAAATATCATCTCATTTTCTGTTGCAGTGTGACTGCAAGGCATGTTGTGGTGGAAATCATTAGAACTGGGAAGCTCTGGAATGGAAATTTGGAATCGTGTCATTCTAGGCTCTTAAAGAGAATATTAGGGATAATACTGTTGTAAAAAATAAATATAAACACCTAATTTTGTATGAAGTTTTGCTATTTAAATTTTAACTATGTTATAAACAAAGCTAGCTTTACTTGTAGAGAGTTCGTGTACTCTTGAGCTCATTCAATAGCTTTTACATTTTGTAGTCTCTTCCACAACAGGGCAAAATAAGCACAGTAGGACTTAGTCCAAATTGACGAAATATCATTGAATTTTCTTTGAAAGCATATATATAGATAAACTCTGGATTGGTCTTTTAGATCTGTTTTCTGTTTTTAGTAATTGGGAACAAACTCTTGATATTAAAATAAATAAAATGCCTCTAATGTAAAGCCACAGCCCTGCTTCTAGCCAATGTCAAAAATAGGAAGTTTTTTTAATGGTTTACTGTTGATTTTAAACATTTTAATAATAGTGCTCTGCCCTCACAACAGTTTTTTTTTCAGAATAATATTATGATTTACCTTATTTTAAAAATAAATTATAATTCTAACTTAAAATATTATTTTAAATGCCCCTCTGGGAAGATTTCCGTTTTATTTTATGAGGTTCCCTGGCAGTTGGGGGGGTGGTGAGGTTGGGAGAGGGAAAGTTTAGAACTGTGCATGATACTCAAGGAAAAGTCTATGAATATGATGTAAGTAGTAACATTATTGCCACAACTAAATTTCTGTTTAACTGTGTTGCAGAATATGATAATGTCATCTAACATCACTCCCTACTTGCAACATTCCTCTGTGAATATTAATATAGTTAACCCTCCCTTATTATGTATCATATCAATAAGTTTCTCTTCCCTTGGATTAATTTTTGCTTCTTTGCATTACATTTTATCTTGTGCTAAGATAACAAAAAGCAAGCAAGAATAAAGATCCAGATATTAGCCATATGTAGAAAGTTCCTGGTGTGCATTTCTGTGTACTTTTCCCTCACATATTAGAATTGTCAGGAAAGTTTTTTTCTTTTGGAACTTTCTGTTTACATTTTGCATGATCTTATAAATTAACCTGAAGAGTAATTGGATACCTTTTATGGTTATTTGAAAATAAAATTTGCTACAAATAAGATGCTTCAGTCTCTGTTGCCTCATATTATGCCTGAATATATTATGTTTTTCTGTACTTTCATATCAAATCAGAAAATATTAACCTTAGAGGATATTTAAACTGTTATTTATGACAAATATACAAAGATGAAGAAATTCAAAGGTGAAATTGCCTTTACTTATTCTCATTCTGCTTCTTTTCCTTTTCCAAAGCAGCAAAAATTATGAAGGGCTATCAGCTTTAACTTCAACATTCAAGGGTTTTGACAGCTTGCATCACTTAAAGTATATTTATTATTCAGTAAACTTTAATTCTGTAGAATAAATGCCCTTTATGAAGTGTGATTTTTGAAAGCACAAAGGCATTTCAGGATTTCAAGCAGTCAAAGCTGCTTGAATTCTGCAAACAGAGTAGTTTTTCAGAAGAAAAATATAATGGAAAGTAATTGTAAATATAATATTTGTAACATTTTACCTGATTGGTCCAAATACTGCACATGAAGTTTAAAGAGTTATAAAAGCCTCCAAAATGTTAGGATGTAATTATGTGATGATTATTTTTGTAACATAAATTGAGGCAGTTTATTTTATAAATACAATTACCTAGTTACTTTATTGAGTACAGATTCTGAGGTCTCCTTCTGGATATATTTTTTCTTTTATTATTATTATTATTATTTTTTGAGATGGAGTCTTGCTCTGTCACCAGGCTGGAGTGCAATGGTGCCATCTCGGTTCACTGCAACCTCCGCTTCCCGGGTTCAAGTGATTCTCCTGCCTCAGCCTCCCGAGTAGCTGAGACTACAGGTGTGCGCCACAATGTCCAGCTAATTTTTGTATTTTTAGTAGAGATGGGATTTCACCATATTGGCCAGGATAGTCTCCATCTCTTGACCTTGTGGTCCACCTGCCTCGGTCTCCCGAAGTGCTGGGATTACAGGCGTGAGCCACCATGCCCAGCCTCCTTCTGGATATTTTAATAACAAGATGTTTATATTTCCAAGGTTCTGATATATTTCCCTAGTTTTCTTCTTAAATTCAGCATCATGAGCCTGTGTATGTATGTGTGTTGTTTATTTTCATCCTAACACCCATAGAAAGATATATATTTTTAAGAAAGAAGGCTCATCTCTTCTAAAGCCAGTTTTTAGTTGAAAGCAAAAGAAAAAGCCAAAATAATGGCAATTTTTCTTCAGTTGAGATATTGTAATAGGCCTACTTTTTGTTAGCCTAACATAAAGCCACGCTCCCCAAAGCCTCCCTGCTAATGCAATAGGGGATCTTTCTAGGTTACTTTCTTCATTGAGCTTGGCCATAACTTTGCTTTTTACTGGACTTGTGTTGCCATTTTGAACTTTTCTGTTCAACAAAGTTTGGCAAATGCTTATAGTTCAACATAAACAACCACAACAAAAAAGGTAATTTTTGTTGTAATGAACTGTATAATTTACTTCATTTATTAAAAGAGGCACAGTAGAAACAAAAGGTTATATAGGCCAGGCACAGTGGTTCACACTTGTAACCCAGCAATTTGGGAGGCCGAGGTAGGAGGATCGCTTGAGACCATGAATTCGAAACCAACCTGGCAAACATGGAGAGACACCATCTCTAAAACAAAACAAAACAAAAAAAAAAAACAAGAAAAAAACCCAAAAGGATCTTTCACAAATCAAACGGACTATTTTGGTTTAATTTCAACATTATGGGTGTATTAAAGTGGCTGGACTTCAATGAGTTCCTTAGTAAATATCAACTATACATTTATCAATCAATCCATATTTATGTACACATAAGTATCCAGTATGTCATGCTTAATGTGTGTCTTATGTAATAAATGCAGCTAGATCCTGAGACTGCACCACATATGCAACTTCAGTATCCCGAATACCTAACTATTAAGTGTTGGATTATGAAGCCTTTGGGATCAACACTGATGTTTTCTGCTTTTCCAGAGTGTCTTGTATTGGAATTTATCACTAATAAAAGTTTCCACCATAGACTTTGTTTCTGTTTAGAATCGGATATTGATAAAAGCATAGAATCATTCTGTGTACAAGAAAGAGGGTTACTAAATTGTCTGGCTCAAATTCTCATATTTTTTCAGTTGAAATGGAAAGCACCCAGACAGATGTGTATTGTTTCTAGCTCAGAGACAATTTTTGGCCTTCCTCAGAAAAATGTGTGTGTCAAGAGTTTCCACTTAATCTCTGCAGATTTACACTTTTTTCTAACCAATGCTGAAACAATGTAATTGCAATAATTTGGCACTATCGATACCTCTTATTTATTGCCCCTGAATTGTTACTGGAAGTTGCAATTCATTTAGATAGATTACAGTTATTATAAAACACGGATGGTTATTACTTCATTGAATTTTCTATAAATGTTCATAGCTTCCATTACCCATCAGTGGCTTACCACCATTTCTCCTAAATTCTTGTTCATATCACTTCTATTCCCATTACACTATTGAAACCACTTTTCTTAAAGTTAGCAATTACCTTTCTCTTACCCAAATCTTGGTATTTCCCTTCTTTATTCACATTTACATTTGTGCCAGATTTTACACTCCTTATTACTTGCTTCTCTCCAAAACGATTTCCCCGCAGGCCACGCACCTGCTGCTTCTCCCTGGGGTTCGGCTGACTCAGAGCCAGCACATCACGGTCCAGCTTCAAAATCTCCTTCCACTCTTGCACTACTTGCTTCCCGGGAAACAACATTCTTTCTTAAAGGCTCAACATTTTAGTGATGACTCCAAATATATTCCTTGAGACATTTCCACCTGACTCTTCTGCTGTTGTTTGAAGGGCAGCATAAATAATATTGAACTCAATTTTCTCTTCAGCAAACTTCTGGACTTTTTGCCATTTTTGTTAAAGACATTACTGAAGTTTCTCCCAGTCACCCAGACTGGGAGTCATCAATTTCTCCATCAACTTCTTCTCCTTCTTTTTTTTTCTTTTTAAAATTATCTTGTATCATTTTGTTACCAAATCCTATTGATCCTTTCTTCATTCTATGTTTTTCATCTCAGTCTTGATCTACTTCTTTTATTTTATTTTATTTTATTTTTGACATCCCCCTGATCATTGTACTCACTAGAACCAAGTTTTCTTAATTGGTGGGAAGATATTCTCTATAGGACATCATATGAGTTGTTTCAGGTTTTGTGCTGTTTCCTCCATCTTCACTCTCTGCAGCCTTAGAAGAGTAGAACCAATGATCAGACTTTTTAAAAAGACTGTATCTAAACTATATGAAATAACTTTCTTACTAATGTAGAATCATATGATCTAGAAGATTTTGATCATTCTCTGCAGGGATTTAAAAAGAGCCTGGGCCAGGTGCGGTGGCTCAAGCCTGTGATCCCAGCACTTTGGGAGACCGAGGCAGGCAGATTACCTGAGGTCAGGAGTTCAAGACAAGCCAGGTCAACATGGTGAAAACCCGTCTCTACTAAAAATACAAAAATTAGCCAGGAGTGATGGCACGCACCTGTCATCCCAGCTACTCGGGAGGCTGAGATGGGAAAATGGCTTGAACATGAGAGGTTGAGGTTGCAGTGAGCCAAGATCACGCTACTGCACTTCAGCCTGGGTGACAGAGTGAGACTCTGTCTCCAAAAATAAATAAATAAATTAAAAAACAGAGCCTGATTATCACTTATTTGCAGTAGCTGAAGGAGAGCTTTCTCAGCCCATGTATAATTAGAATAGAATATGCAGTCATGCATTGCTTAACAGTGGGGATGGATTCTGGGAAATGCATTGCTAGGTGATTTCATCATTGTGTGAACATCATAGAGTGCACCCAAACAATCTAGCTGGAATAGTCTACTACATACCTAGGCTATATTGTATAGCCCATTGCTCCTAGGATACAAACCTGCATAGCCTGTTACTATACTGAATGCTGTAGGCAATTGTAACACCATGCCTAAACATATCTAAATACAGAAAAGGTAAGGTAAAAATGCTATAATCTTCTTTTTAAACTTTTATTTTAAGTTCAGGGGTACAACTATAGGTTTGTTACATAGGTAAACTTGTGTCTTAGGGGTTTGTTGTACAGATTATTTCATCATCCAGATATTAAGCCTAGTACCCATTAGTTATATTTCTTAATCCTCTCCCTCTTCCCATCCTCAACTCTCCAAAAGGCCCCAGTGTGTGTTGTTCCCTTCTGTGTGTCCATGTGTTCTCATCATTTAGCTGCCACTTATAAGTGAGAACATACAGTATTTGGTTTTCTGTTCCTGTGTTAGTTTGCTAAGGATAAAGGCCTCCAGATCCAATCATGTTCCCGCAGAAGACATGATCTCATCGTTTTTATAGCTGCACAGTATTCCACGGTGTATGTGTCACATTTTCTTTCTTTCTTTTCATTTTTTTTCTTTTTTTTTTTTTTTTGAGACTGAGTCTCGCTCTGTTGCCAGGCTGGAGTGCAGCAGTGCAATCTCAGCTCACTGCAACCTCCGACTCTCTGGTTCAAGTGATTCTCCTGCCTCAGCCTCCCGAGCAACTGAGATTACAGGCATGTGCCACCACACCCAGTTAATTTTTGTATTTTTATTAGAGACGGGGTTTCACCATGTTGGCTAGGACGGTCTCGATCTCCTGACCTTGTGATCCACCCACCTCGGCCTCCCAAAGTGCTAGGATTACAGGTATCAGCCACCACGCCAGGTCCACATTTTCTTTATCTAATCTATCATTGATGGACATTTAGGTTGCTTCCATGGCTTTGCTATTGTGAATAGTAAAACTGCTTTTTTTAACTCTCTCTATGTATGTAGTAAAACTGCTAGTTTTAAGGAACCACTTAAGATAGTTCATACATGCAGTCCATCATTGACTGAAATGTTGCACAGTGCATGATCGTACTTGTTAATTTTACTTGATAAAATTTTAAATATTAATTTTTTATTAAAACAAATATGAATACGCAATATAAGAAAATAAAAGTGTTTGCTTGAATTGTAAAGATAAAATCTGCTACTTCAAAGAAAGTTTTGGTTTGCAGGTGGGTATCCTAAGATTGTACTCCAGGTTCTCAGGAACAAATTGGTGGAAGAGTTTGAGAAGTGGGGAAGGAGTAGAGTAGAATCAAGATTCCTCTGGTTCCAACCACATGTAACAGGTGTGTGAAGTAGAAGAATCAGCCGGTGCAGTGGCTCATGCCTGTAATCCCAGCACTTTGGGAGACTGAGATGGGAGGATTGCTTGAGGCCAGGAGTTCATGACCAGCCTGGGCAACATAGCAGGCCCCTGTCTCTTTGAAAAAGAAAAGAAAAGAAGCAGAGAATCATAGGATTTGGACAGACAGACAGGCCTGGGTTCAGATTCTACCTCTTCCACTGTAATTCTAGTCCAATCCTTCAGTTGCTCACATTCTTCATACTTCAGTCCTTTATTTGTGGATTCTCTTATGTCTAATTTCTCTTGGCTGAAATATTTACTGTATGTTGCAAGAGTAATCTTTCTAAATATCGCCTTTCAATGACTCCTTCGTCTCAGGAACTTTAAGAGATTCCCATTGTAGATATGATTAAATATAAACTCCTCTGTGAAACAGTAAAGGTTCTTTGTAATATGACCCTGTCTCACTCTAACCCCCCGTTGTCCGCAGCACGTGATGTGTTAATTCTCTGTCACGTTTTTGCATACAATATCTTCTCCAATTATAAAACAGATTTCATTACTTCTTATGTGCCCAAATCTTACAAATTCTTTTTCATTACTTATTGCATGCACAATACAAAATACTAACAAAGAAAAACGTTTAGAAGAAATAAAATCATCACCGGCCACCCCCATCATGATGATAAACCATTATATATCATAAATACACATTTTTTCAAGTTCTCTTCCAGTCTTTGTATTTTTTTGAAAAATTATAATAATTTTGTTAAAGTTCATAGTTTGATATCTGGGACATGGTAAATAGTAAGTGGTAATTGAATTTGAATCTCAAAGCCATTAATTATTTACATTATTCTGTAGTATCTTCATGAAAATTCCCTCTATTAACTCTTGTCATAATTGATGCCTTCCTTTTTGACCCCTCCATAGCATTCATTGTGTGTCCCATACATTTGACCTGAATATTAGGCCTTTATTATATACATAGCACAAGTCTAGTTATTTCCTATGTCTTCCCCAAATATTAAACCTTTTTTATTTTTGAGAAAAGAGGTTTTTTTATACCTCGATTGTATTTTTAAACATATGAGGAAAATAGTAATTGTTCAACAAGCATTTTAAAAATTGAGTTGTGATGTAGTAACTCTTTCATAGATAAGACATTTTGTCAAGAATTCTGGGGAAAGAGAAGCTTTCATTATGAAGAGCTACTGCTGGCACTTACCATTCTTCATAATGTAAGTCAAGGGAAAGGCAATGACGTGGACCCAGCAGGACTTGTTCAAGTCTTACTTTCCTTCTCTGAGACCAGTAAGTGCTATGTGGGGTTATCCTCTCGAGAATGGAAGTCAGAGTGCTAACTATTTTCATCCTATTCTGTAGCAAGCAACACCCAGCATCATTATGAATTTCTCATAGGGAGAGCATTCCAGGGACCAGTCCTGGTGCTTTGATTGGGAAGGATAAAATCTTTTTGCCCTGAATATTTTAGTTATGTTACTGTAGTAGTTCTTTCCATTTTGTAAGAACAGTTACCACCATAGAGTTTCAGGAGGCACACTTGAAAGGAATTAAGAGACTCAAAGGAGCATTGAACAAGTCACTAATGATGACCGCAAAATCACTACTACTGAATCATAACGCCTTTCATTAATGACAAAGGCATTTAATTGTACTGTTCACTTGTCTATCCTTCAGTTCTGAGTCTTGGTTTGAGTAAGAATGTGTATTGCTCTGAGCAGACTTTCTTATGTATTCATAAGGCAAAATCTCACATTTCAATAAGCATAAATATTTCTTTGGTGCCAGATTAGTGTTAAACTACATTTTCTTCTGTTGCTGGTATCAAGCATATCTGGCTAAACATGACCTGAAACCAACAGCATTACCTTATCAATATATAAACTCAGAGCAGAAATAAATTCTGCACGTTAGTTAAAGCATGGCATCAAATCCTTTTTTTTTTTTTTTTTTTTTTTTTTTTTTTTTTTTTTTTTTTTTGAGATAGAGTCTCGCTCTGTTGGGTAGTGGTGCAATCTCTGCTCACTGCAACTTCTGCCTCCTGGATTCAAGTGATTCTCCTGCCTCAGCCTCCCAAGTAGCTGGGATTATAGGCACCCACCACCATGCCTGGCTAATTTTTGTATATTTAGTAGAGACGGGGTTTCTCACCATGTTGGCCAGGTGACCAGGCTGGTCTTGAATTCCTGACCTCAAATTATCTGCCTGCTTTGGCCTCCCAAAGTGCTGGGATTACAGGCGTGAGCCACTGGGCCCAGGCGGCATCAAATCTTTGAGGTGTTCACAGCATAGCTGGGAAGGGTTTGCCATGCTTCCATGGCTGCATCATCCTGGTTGAGAATTGCTTTGTAAAAGAAGGAGGTGTATGCTGTTTTCTCCCCAGGAGCCTACAGCTCACTGGTGTTTATTATTTTTCAAGGTTGGTTGTAGATTTTGTATTTTTTACATTAGAAAATAGGTATTAAACTCCTCTACCAAATTGATGCTAAGTCCTTATTAAGTATGAACTATTTGAAGTGCACAATGACCAATAATTGGCTATCTCTACATTAATAAAATACATATGGCCTTTAGATAAGTGTACATAGATGTTACTAGCAGGGAGATTAATGAACATTGAATGAACTTTGAAATAAGAGGCTCTGGAACACTTTTTCCTTTTGAGGCAGGTGAACTTCTAAAATTGATCAGGCTTGCAGATGAAAATATTTTATATCGCTTATTCTCAAATTCTTCTTTTAAGTAACAAACATTGCTCATTGAACTTTTCCATAAAACTGAATTTATAAATCAGATAAGAGTAAAGCTATTCTGGTGGAGAGAAGAGAGCACTGGAAAAAAAAAAATAAAAGCCGTGGTTCCACCATTCTGTCTCCAACACCTTAAGCCTTGCCATGGAGTCTGGAAACTTCTAAGTGAACACTTTGGAAACCACAATTTTAGATCCAAACATAAAATCCTGTCAAAGACTTTGATATATAAAGGAACAAAAGTGATACTCTTGTGGCAGTCAATTATATGGGGAAAATGTAAACATGACAAAATAAAGCTGTAACCTCAAGTGAATCATTTGAACAGTGTTGGCATTGGAGAGGCCGCCCTAACTCAGCTTCCAAAACTTACTTGATCTGAAGGTTTATCTCGAGGGCTTGCTAAAAAAAAAGCCGGGGGGTGGGGGGTTTCTGGCCCTCACTCTCCCCGATATAAGACTCCTGAAATCATTTTCTTTTTCTTCATAAATATACCCCAAGTGATCAGTCAACTTTGGGAAAACATTGGATCAGATGCTCTTTACTTTCAGCACTAACGTTTTGATGATTCCATTCAATTCCTTGAGTTTTTCCCTAACCTGTGGGACAGGAACATTTTTCCTCAAATTAGTAAGGGTAGAGCAGCTCTGAAAAGCAGGAATTGAAACATGATGGAGTAATGGCAGTTACACAAAGGTGTCTCATTCTCAGAGAACTTGCCCAGACAGCTGTCAGGAGACTTTTAGAAAGTGGCAAAAACTAGGGTGTACAATAGAAGGCAGTGCTTGGAGTTCAGCAAAAGCTATTAAAGTGTTTCATGAGTTTTTTTAGGGTAAAATAATTTCTGAATAATAACATACATATCTCTGCATCTTTCCAGGCCTGGTCTATCTTGGGGTACCAGAGGGCATCATATAACTTCAGACACCCAACTTCCACGGTTCTCTTAGACCCCCTACTGGAAACATGTTAAAGTCCCTAGGGATGTTTCAAACATACTCATGCATCTGTTGAGTACATAATAGGAGGTGATTTCATGTTCTCCCCTTCAGCTCTGTTTTCCCCTGGATGTCTTCCTCTCATAAAGCTGTGTAAGGGTGCCTTTTAAGAGAATGTACCATTTGCATCAAAGGTTCTGCTATTCCCTAAATGTCCCCAGAGAAGGAAAATGACTCCTTCCCCACTCACTGTTGCACTTTTCAGGTCAACTGGGATCCAAGCAGCACTGTGGGAACTCCCTTATCATAGAGTCCTTCCCTCAACTTCTTCTGGTTTCTGCTATCCGCAGACCTTGATATCAACTCAGAAGACTGTGTGGGAGAGATACCATTCTAACTCCACCTCACCGCAGGCAGCTTTATATAATCCTCCTCCTTCATTTATTCCCAAAAAGAGGTCCTCAAACAACTAACGCCTGCAAATCCACTCTTGTCAGATCTCTCCATTTTGCCAGACATGATTCGACATGTTGGAATCTGAATTTGGGCTCAGGATTGGAGATTCACTATGTATAGTTGTGTAGATTGGTAACTGATTTGAAAAAGAATCCCAGAGTACCTATTAATGAATTACTATACCCTGTGGGATGTGTCTAGGGGCTTGTTCAATGACTTTTTTTCAACATTTTTATTAGTGAATTAGTTTGAGGACAGAGCTGTCAAGCTAATCACACTTGTAGATGGCAGAAAACTGGGAGGGACAGAAAATAAAGTGGATGGCAAAATCAGAATTAAAAATATACTAAGAGATTGGAATGCTGATCTGAGTCTAAGAGATAAAATTTATTAGGAAGAAAACGTAAAGCTACATGTAGGTCCTAAACTCCACCTGTATAGATATGAGCTATAGCAGTGACTTTCACATTTATTTTACCATGGACTACTTTCTTTTTTAATTATTTATATTTATGTATTTATTTTTTATTTTACTTTAAGTTCTGGAATACATGGGCAGAACGTGCAGGTTTGTTACATAGGTATACGTGTGCCATGGTGGTGTGCTGCACCTATTGACCCATTCTCTAAATTCCCTCCCCTCACCCCCTACCCCCTAACAGGTCCTGGTATGTGTTGCTCCTCTCTCTGTGTCCAAGTGTTCTCATTGTTCAACTCCCACTTATAAGCGAGAATATGCAGTGTTTGGTTTTCTGTTCCTGTGTAAGTTTGCTGAGGATGATGGCTTCCAGCTTCATCTGTGCCCCTGCAAAAGACACGATCTCATTCTTTTTTATGGCCGCATAGTATTCTACTACCATGGAATACTTTCATCAAATAAAATCTTGCCAGAATTCTCATATGTAAGAAAAACTTGTTCTGGTTGAAGTGGGAATGGAGGCTCTGGGAACCCACTCCTTACTCCTCTGCACCACTCTCCATGGCCCCTGAGGACTTTCTGTGAAACACAATTTGAAAGCTCTTGGGCTCTGAGGTGGCAGGCAGAGTGAGGAGAAAGAGACAAGAAGGCTGAAGAGATGGCTAAGCAGCACATATGGGAAGAAAATCTGATCAATTTTAGTAGCAGACAGACTCAATAAGAACTAAAGATGTGATGTGGTTATCCCTTGAACATGGTGATTTTATTTGGGTTGAGGTAAGTGACACAGTGTAGTAAGACTGGGGAATGTTTCTCTCCAGGACAAACCACACAGGGACATCATGTTTTCATACCATTGTGATCATCTGAAAGCTATAATTTTACAACTTATATTTTCATTAAGATTTTATTATTATAGCATAAGGATTTTCCACATGGTTAGATTATTATTTGTAATGGCTGCATACTATGTCATCATGTAGGTACTTCATGTAACCACTCTCCCACTATTGGAAGATTGGGCAGGGCTGCCAAATACAGCTGCATAGACTGTGCACTGCACAAGTCCAAAGACATTCTCAGAGAATATAATGATTACAAAAAGTTGTTCTTATTTTTTTCTCATTATTCCTTTAGGTTGCCTGCTATTCAGACCTCTAAAATTTCATTTTAAAATTATTTATATAAATTTAAGGGGTACAAGTGTAGTTTTGTTATGTGGATATATTGCGTAGTGGTGAAGTCTGAGAATTTAGTGTAACCATCACCCAAATTATGCACATTGTACCCACTAAGTAATTTACCATTCCTCATCCCCTTCCCATTCTTCCACCCTTCCAGGTTGCCAATGTCTATTATTCCACACTCTGTGTCCATGTGTACACATTATTTATCCCCCACTTATAAATGAGAGCCTGCAGTGTTTGATATGCTGTCTTTTAAGGTCAGACATACACCAATGGGTATAGCCGGAAAATAGTAAAAAATATATTTGTTCCTCCAGTATTTAAAGAATTCTAGTAATACCTGAGTATGGTGTTTTCTCATTGGTCTCGGTAAGAAGAATGACTGAAGCAGTTAAATATTCCAAACAGGTTCCCAGCATTCTTTCTACAATCCACAAATGAGAAGAATTTTTTTTTTTTTTTTGAGATGGAGTGTCACTCTATTTCCCAGGCTGCAGTGCAGTGCTGCCATCTCAGCTCACTGCAACCTCTGCCACCTGGGTTCAAGCAGTTCTCTTACCTCAGCCTCCTGAGTAGCTGGGATTATAGGTGCCTGCCACCGGGCCAGGCTAATTTTTCTATTTTTAGTAGAGACAAGGTTTCACCATCTTGGCCAGGCTGGACTTGAACTCCTGGCCTTGTGATCCACCTGCCTTGGCCTCCCAAAGTGCTGCGATTACAGGCATGAGCCACCACGCCTGGCTGAGAGGAATTATGAGTTTGATTCTCCCAAATGAGCAGGATGGCTTCAGGTTTACATATAACTCACCTCTGACCTTGTTCAGTACTCTGTTTCCTTTTCTTAAATATAAGTGACTGAGATGAGATTATCTCAATGTTCTTATCAATCTTAATGTTTCATGATTCCATTATATTTTCCAGTCAGTCAAAAACATACTTTTAGAGAAAGAGGTGATAATACCTCATTCTTATAATTGAATCCATCTATTCCATGTCAGAGTCACGCAAACTCCTTGCAGAGATTCTAAAGCAACGGTTCTCAAAGTATGGTCCTGAGACTGCTGTGGGTACCCCAGACACTTTTCGGGCTTCCATAAGGTCAAAGTATTTGTATAGTAGTATTAAGTTGTCATTTGTAATTTTCATTCATATTTTCTAGTGAATATTCAGAGTATGAGAAATTTATTGTTGTGTTGCCAGATTCCATATTGCAACTGACCTTTAAAAAACATTGTCATGTTTTGGTGTAGTGTCAAAGAAGACTATTGGCAATTATATGGCTCTTAAAATATTCCTCTATTTTCTAATTACATATCCTTATAAGGCCAAGTTTTCTTTATATAGTACAACCAAAATAATGTCTTAGATTGAAAGCAGAACCAGATATGAGAGTCAATTTCTACTACCATAAATAGTGATATAAATAAACTTCAAAAACAGACATCTTCAGGATCCTCAGTAAATATTGAGTGTAAAGGTGTCTGGTGTTCTAAAATGTTACCAGAATTGCCACACTACCTTGTGAAAGAGGCTGGTTGCTACTGTTACTCCCCTGAACTTCCCTCCTTTTCTGTCCTCATTTGTTTACATGAAGGTCCATCAGGAAGAGCCATCAGCAATTCGAAAAATGATCATCCTGCAATACTCCTTGAATTCTTATATTTTGATTTATTTGAAGCTATGACAGCATTCCCTTTCGTTCCTTCTCTAGCATTTTATTCTTATATAGAGTTCAGAACTTATTTTCTGAGTTTTGTTTCAATTAAGGGCATTCTTTAGAAACTCTATATAAGAATAAAATGATAGAACATTCGTTAGATCTCAAGGGAATAAAAATGTAATGTAGGGGATGGAGAAGAGGATTGGAGGCTGAGTTGAGGGTGGTAGGCAATATGGGAGGTCCAAGATTCAAGGAAAGAGATGATATCCACCACCCTTTCGTGTTCCCAAAACAAAGATGCAGGAAGGACTAGTATCATATAGTCATTGTGGTTGGAAGGGTCCCACAGAAAAGAGATGGAAGTTTTTCTCTGGATTACTCTATGTTTTACTCTTTTTTAAAGGGCCAGGATAGGCCCAGATCAGTGCATGATCTGTATTGGAGGGACCCAAAGGTGCACTCAAATGAAGGGCCAGTTTTGTGAGTGCTACTGCAGAGCCTGAAAGCTGTAAGGTGAATGCCGAATGCCTTCAAATCCTTGCATTCGCTTGGAAGTGACTCATTAGTAGGACTTCTGGTTGGGTATTCAACATGCAGGGATCAGTGGAGAAGGGAAGGGACAGTAGGACAGAGTATACACATAGATATAATTTTTGTACTTTCATGTAACTTCTTAATGGATTTTCAGATGATTCCTAGCCTGTTGAGCTCCCCATCCCTTCCCAACTCCCCTTTTAAAAACTTTTTGAAGGACATATCTCTGTTTTTATCTGATTCAGAGTGAAGACACATATCACCTAGGTGAGGCAGACAGAGGCTGGCTTCGACCCCTGCTAGAGAGCATTTGAAGGGACACAGTGGCTTTTATCAATGCCACAGGCATAACTCAAGCCTTTTCATTCTCAATCAGGTCACCAGTAATGAGATCCTGGAACCTATCCCCAGGGTCAGCCCCTGATGCTACCGTCAAGCTCACTGCAATTTGGGCTCATCAGATGGAACATATAAAGAGGGGAGGTGACAGCCAAAATCCTAAGCAAATGCTAGAATGATTACATGAGGGCGGCCTTCAAGCAAGGTTACAAGTATTCTAAGGTTACTATGATATGCAGTCATATGTGAAGTGGTCTAGCAATGATTATTTTCATACATGGATTTTAAGAACCTGAGTAAAATTTTTATAGAATAGAATTCATTTATCTCTCTTCATTCATTCACTCATCTATACACTGTTTGTTATACTCCAAGTCCTCTCACTCCACCTTTTCAGCACATTTGAATGACAAAAGTTAAAACTTGGCTGAGCCTAACTATGCACTTTCTTCACGACCACAGTAAAACAACTGCCTCTGTGAGAGAACTTTGCATGATAGGTCAGATGGGTATTATGATAAGTTCTCAGTACTAACCTCAATATTTCCTGGCAATCCTACCTACTATTTCTGATTAATCTTACTCTCTGCAACAGCTTTTCAGTTGTTCCACCCTTTTCAAACCTCTAACACCAACTTCTCCACAGTACCACCAATCCTATGTTCCACTTATTCTAAGCAAATGGCCTGGCTTATTTCCTAGGAAATAGAATCCATTAGATGGGAACGGCATCAACTTTCTGCTAAAACATACCAACTTAGCCACATCAAAATTCAGCGTTTCCCCTCGTGTCATAATAAAGGAGGGGAAATCCATCTAAGCTGTGTGCAGTGCAGTGTGCCAGGTACGTGGGAGGATCACTTGAGCCTGAGCAACCTCGTGAGACCCCACCACACACACAAACACACCCTTCCATCTGTGGACCCACATTCTTTAGCCTTTTCATGAAATTTGCACAACAATTTATTCATCTTTTGTCTTGTATGCCAACTGATCTCCTGATTGTCCCTGTATTAGTCTGTCCTCACACTGCTATAAAGAAATAAATACTGGAAACTGGGTAATTTATCAAGAAAAGAGGTTGAATTGGCTCATGGTTCTGTAGGCTGTACAGGAAGCATAGCGGCTTCTGCTTCTGGGGAGGCCACAGGAAACTTACAATCATGGCGGAAGGCAAAGAAGAAGCGAGCACTTCACATGGGCAGAGCAGAAGGAAGAGAGAGGCGGGAGGTGCCACATACTTTTAAACAACCAGATCTCATGAAAACTCACTCACTCACTATCACAGGAACATCACTGGGGATGGTGCTAAACCATTCATGAAGAATCCACCCGCATGATCCAATCACCTCCCCCAAGACCCTACCTCCAATATTGGGGATTAAAATTTGACGTGAGATTTGGGTGGAGAAACAGATCAGTCCCTAAGCCCACTTTCTTTTCTTTTTTCATATATAATATTTTTTATTTCAAAACATTTTTGCAAACTTCAGTTTATGACACTTAAAGGGCCAGTTAAGATTGCTACTTGATATCTCAGGACTGTAAACAACATTAAAGGTTACCCAGATAAACTACCGACACAACCATTAAGCCACTCTACTGTCCCCACCACACCTCTGTTTATGTTGGGCTTGATAATTCCAACAATACATGTTTACCCTCAAAGGTAGTAGATTTTATCTGTGAACTTCCTCTACTCCAAAATGATTAGTGTAATTCCATACATAGCTCTTAGAAATGCTAATTTTTCTTTGAAAATAGTAAAGGCTTTTTTATATTCTTTTTTAATATTTCAAAATTGCTATAAAAAGTAGTATATTCTTTTTTAATATTTCAAAATTGCTATAAAAAGTAGGTTTTTGCCAAGTGCAGTGGCTCAAGCCTGTAATCCCAGCACTTTGGTAGGCCAAAGTGGGAGGATCACCTGAGGTCAGGAGTTCGAGACCAGCCCAGCCAACATGATGAAACCCTGTCTCTACTAAAATAAAAAAGATTAGCTGGGCTTGGTGGCATGCACCTGTAATCCCAGCTACCTGGTAGTCTGAGGCAGGGGAGTCACTTGAATCCAGGAGGTGGAGGTTGCAGTGATCCGAGATCATGTCTGCACTCCAACCTGGGTGACAGAGTGAGATTCCATCTCAAAAAAAAAAAAAAAAATAGTAGATTTATTTTTCTTAAACTTTTTTTTTTATTTTAGGTTCAGGAGCACCTGTAAAGATTTGTTATATAGGTAAATTGCATGTTGTGAAGGTATGGTGTACAGATTATTTTGTCACCCAGGAAATAAGCATAGTACTTTATAGGTAGTTTTTTGGACCTCACCCTCCTGCCACCCTCCCTGCTCCAGTAGGCCTCAGTGTTTGCTGTTTCCTTCTTTGTGTCCATGTGTACTCAGGTAAATCCACTCTCTATCCAATGTTTGCTATTTTAAGGAATGACCCCATGATTGCCTGTTATGCAAACTAGAAACCCTGGAGTGGTCCTTGACACTTAGTTTTCTTTAATATCAGATCTGTCATCACATTCTACTTCTTAATGTTTTTAAACATTTTACTTCTTAAATGTTTTTCAAATTCACTTTCCCCTTTGCTGTGGTATAAGCTAGCATCTTTATTTTTTTAGACTACAGCAAACATTTTTAACTTGTCCTGCTACAGCTACTCTTGACCCCTTTAACTTATTTCCCAAATTATGTGATGTGTTCAAAACATAACTCTAATGTTACGACCCCAACCCCACCCCAGTCATCCTGCTTTAAACCCTTCCTAGATTGCTCTCCAGCATTTTACAAAAAAAGGCCAGAGTTTTATATTTGAGATGGAAGGACCATCTTTTATGCTCCTGACTTCCTGGGCTTCAGCCACACTGGCCACGTTCTCCTTCAACACAGGCCTTTGCAGCGCTGCTCCCTCAGCATGGAATGTGCTTTGGTCCCTTTTGACCTGTTAAAACACATACTTATCCTTCATTTCCAGCTTAAGTGACACTTTTTCAGAAGCACACCTAAGACAAGACCAATTTTCCACAATAAGCTTTCACAGCATCACGTGCCTTTCCTTTATACAACTTATGACAGCTGCCATTTTATGTTTATTTGTGAGATTACTTAATAATGTCTGTCTCCCTCACTAGCCTACAAACTCATGCATGCAGCCAGGGACCATTTCTACTTTGCACTGTATTTCTAGCATAATGCTAGGCATGTAGTAGGCACTTCATAAATATTTATCGAATGGATATGGATTGTATAAGTGTTCAGGGCACTGTTTTAGATGCTCTAGGGCACTGATTCTCAAACTTTAGCATCAGAATCACCTGAAGGCTTGTTAAGGCACAGATTGCTGGGCCTGAACCCTAGAATTTCTGATTCAGAAGGTCTTGGGTGTCACATAAAAATTTACATCTAACAATTTCCAAGGTAATGCTGATGTTGCTGGTCCATGGACCACAATTTGAGAACCATTGCTTAAGGGAATTAAACATATGACTATGATATGGTCACCATCTTCAAGAAATTTACAATTTTATTCTGGGTGTGAAACCAAAATTATAACTGAGAAAATTATTACAGTGAAAGACGTCTGACCTGACTAACTCCATGTTGCTTCTAACTTCCAGGCTGTCCTTGTTCATTCCTGGGCATAGGCCCAACTAACTTTGGGAGGAACTTAGTTTATAGTTTAACTTTGAAACAAAGACAATAACAGCCCTTTGTCAAAATAAAACCCCTTTCTACCTGGAGACTAGACTGCCTTTGCAGGACTAAAAAATTAGCCACAAAATTAGATATTATGGTTTAGGAGTCATGCAGCTGGAGGCTACAAGATTCTGACTCTCCCTAAATTACTCCTCAGGATAACCTCACTATTGTAAAACCTAAGATCAGTGCTTGAGATATTCTGCAGACCCTGCACTTAATGGATCAGCCGGCATCATCCAGATAAATAAACTGGTGCATCTGGTCTTGTGGCCCCACAAGAGGACACAGCACAAGAGGACAGCTTCAACTCCTTATGATTCATCTTCAACCCAACCAATCCACACTCCCTACTCACTGGCCTCCCACCCACCAAATTATCCTTAAAAACTCTGATCCCCAAATACGTGGGGAGACTGATTTGAGTAATAATAAAACTCCGTTCTCCTGTACAGCCAGTTTTGTGTGAATTAAATGCTTTCGCTATTGCAATTCCCCTGTGTTGATAAACCGGCTCTGTCTAGGCAGTGGGCAAATTGAACCTGTTGAGCAGTTACAGGGTCAAATAGTAAATAGGAGAAATTTCGTAAAAAATACAGTATTTAAAAATTGTGGCAGCCAGAAATAGAAAAGACATTACATGATCTTGCCTCTTGTTGATGCACGTAATTGATGGCTATATCAATTTTATGGCCAATAATTATTATTGGTGTTTATGGAAAACAAAGATCATTTCAGATTGAAATGATCATACAACTAGTTCATAAGATATAAAGTGAGTCTTAAAGGAAATTTAAGAAGAATTGAGGGGTTGAATTCTCAGGGTGGAGTAGGATGAATAAATACATGAAAAAGGGACAGTTAGAGCTGATAAAATAAAAACTTCAGCCAAATTAAATGTAAAGGAGTTTAATTGAGCAATGAATGATTTGTGAATCAGGCAACCCCTAGAATCACAGCAGATTCACAGAGACTCCAGCGCAGCCACGTGGTGGAAGAAGATTTATAGACAAAAAAAGGGAAATGACGTACAGAAATCGGAAGTGAGGTACAGAACGGCTGGATTAGCTACAGATTGGTGTTTGCCTTATTTGGACACAGTTTGAACACTCAGCAGTGATGAATGGTTGAAGTATGGCCACTGAGATTGGCCAATACTTAGCCATTGTTACAGGTGCATACTCCTGAGTTAGGTTTTCAGTCTGTCAACCTATTAAGCTAGGTTGCGGTTCCTCCACAAGGACTCAAATATAGAAGTTCAGAGAACTTCTTGGGCCATACTTAGTTTGCTTTAACAGAGCAATAGTACAAAGGAGAGGAATCAAACAATGTGCCTGGAGATAAAGAGAATAAGTTCATTCACCTGGAACCTGGGATTCATGCAAAGGAAGAATGTAAATTTAGGTGGAAAGTGGAGAGAAAAAAGGAAAGGTTTGAGCATGAGAGCAATAGTATAAGAAGAGGTGGGCTAGTAACATTTTTTTGTTTGTCTTGGAGGGGGGTGATGAAATTATATCTATATTGATTTTTTGTTTCTTATCTGTTATCTGTCTTATTTATAAAGAAACAATGGTTCTGGGAAATACCAAAGCCACCTCCTGTACAGAAGCACATATTCCAAACTAATATGTGCTCCACTGAAACTGCCTTTGCAAAGATTGTATCAGTGAGAAAATTATGGCAGTGGGGAGATCTGGTCTAACCCAACCTCCATCTTGCCTTTTCCTCAATTATTCCTGGGCTTTTGGGCCTAGCTAACTTTGAGAGACATTTAGGTTATAGTTTAAATGATAATAGCCCTTCCTCAAAACTCAACTTTGTAAGCTAATGAAAGACCACCAGGCTATGGGGAGGAGAGGAATCTGAATTCTGCTAAGGTGTAGACTGGTTACAAGATACGCAACTTGTCAGTTACCTTTGCATATAACCTCACTATGTAGATTGGCCTTTTGAGGTATCTTTTCAGGTTTTTTGCATGTCTCACACCCATGGCTCTACCTGGACCCATTGACCAATGACTCTTCTGTGGCCCCACCCAGAAGCAACTCAATGCAAGAGGACAGCTTCAACCCCCTATGACTTCATGTTCTCCCCAACCAATCAGCAGTTAAGCACACATTGCACAGCCACCCCCACTCCTTCCCCCTAACTAATTAAAAAAAAAAAAAACCTAACCTGTGAGCCTTTAAGGAGATTAATTTGAGTAATAACTCTGTCTCTGGCATGACATGATTGGTCTTCTGTCAATTAAACTCTTCCTTTACTTCAATGCTGTGGTCTTTACTTGTGCAGCAGGCAGGAAGAAACCATCAGGGGATTACACCATTTCTATCACTACAGTCTCTTGTATGATGTTGACAAAGCCAAATAGCAGGACAAAGAGTGTCAAAATTTTTGTAATGCTTGGTTTTTGTGTGATAAAAACCAGGCCCTGGAACAAGTTATCATAGCCCATTAAGATTCTACTTTTTAAGGCAAGGTGCTGAAAACATCGCTATTGTCTGAGAAGATTCTACAGCTATCGTTGCATCAAATCCTTTTCAGAGATAAATTGCAAAATACTCAGAGCTGCTATAGAACGTGCACTGTTCAAAGTACAAGGACTTGTTATAGGGAAGTACTGTGCCTTGAAAGTGACTGACTTTCCCTTGTACTCACACCAGGTGACAGAGTGTCAAACCTGGCACAGTCCAGTTGCCATCAATATTCATTAACAACCAGGAAATACACAGAAACGCAGCCCTTGATTTTCTAAGCAGGGAAAACTCTTTGTTTTAGAATATATCTCTTTATAAACAATATTTTTCAATATAACAAACTATCAAAATATTTTGTATCCATTCATTTGTGTAATGAATACTCCATAGATATAGAATTAAATTTTACAAAATTGAACTAAAATAAGTCTAGGGCTTTTAAAAAATGTGATTAGATAATTTTAGGCATATTATATTTCACATTCTCCTACTGGTTACACAGTAACATTCTGCCAGGAAATTTGCCAAATTTTTTGTGCTCATTCCAGTAAGTTAGGTAGGAGACAACATTTTTTCCCCCGAAAGACTGCAAACACTTCATCATCCATTCACCAGTGTGAAAACAATATTTAAGAAGAAATTCTCTTCCACCCACGCATGTACTCCTCAGGATAACAGTTTGTCTTATGTGTAAATTCCTTCTGGTGACTGCCACGTGGGTCTTGATTTTAAAAAGCAATGAGCCTACACTCAAAGGCAAACATTTCTACCAGTATCTCGACTTTTCCTCCTCTCCCTTAAATCTGACCAGTGTCAGAAGAGAAGATATCCTTTCCTCCCTGGCTATCAGAAAGCAGAGCTGTGGGGTGTTTCTCTTCTCCTGATCAGGACACATTGGCTTTCAATGTGTTCACTTTTGAAATTCATGTCACATATGACTAAAGTTCACTGGGATGAACCAACACTATTTTCATATGTAGAAATGCCACCAAGAGGCTTTATTTAGTTCAAAGTGCACAGAAAACTTCTGATATTCTACAGCATGTATTGTCTGTGGCACCTTGTCATGTCACTCTATCATGTATTTCACTATTTGAGTGCTGTGTGCTCTGTGTAAATATTTTCCCCTAAGATTGTAGGCTCCTTCCATCTGGGGACAGCACCAGGTGCCTCTTTTGTGGTTTTTGGGGCCTGTACCTGTACTTGAGCATAGCAAATACTTGTACATAGATAGATTAACAAATTAAGGAAAGCACTTGTAAATTCTGGACCATTTGTTAATTACTAGGGAATCAGATAATGAGTAGAACCTTAAAAGTCAGTACTAAAGTAATGCTTTTATTTTGTTTTTGTGGATGAGATAATGTGACAGATTTGTGCATCTTAAACAAACTTATAATAATTATATCAGGAAAGAAAAGCATAATCATATACCATCAAACAATATCATGTGTGAGGACAAACAGAAGGATATTCTAGGAATTGAATCCTATATATGCTATACTCATGAAGAAAAATACAAGTTGGCTTACTTTATGCTCAGCCTCAACCAGGTCATGTTATAGACTGAATGTTGTGTCCCCCGCAATTCATATGTTGAAGTCCTAACTCCCAGTGTGGCTGTATTTGGAGATGGGGTCTCTAATGAAGTAATTAAAATCAAATAAGTTCATAAGGGTAGGTCCCTGGGGTTGAAGTCTAAGACAAGACACCAGAGAGCTGGTTTTCTTTCTCTCTCTAGGTATTCACCAAGGAAAGGTCTTATAAGGACATGGAAAGAAGGTGGCTGTCTAGAAGCCAGGAAGAGAGTCTTCATCTGAAACCAAATTGGCCAGACCCTTGATCTTGAACTTCTAGCTTCCAGTATTGTGAGAAATAGATTTTTGTTGTTGAAGTCAACAATCATGTATTTTGTTATGGCGGCCTGAGCTGACCAATACAGTCTGCCATATCTGATCTCTATTAGCTGTCTTCTATTTGCTTCTAATTTTTATCAGTCTGCATCCTACCAGCCCAAAGGTGAGATAGTGAGAGTGACATTTAATTATCCTTGCTTTAAAGGCAACAAAAGGGTACCACCTAAGACATGGATGCACTGCAAGCTAGGGTAGTAAGTGACCTGGCAGCTATCACATCATTCTTGATTTACTCAACAAGCTTTTTTTTTGAGGGCCTCCTATGTGTCAGGCACGGTTCCAGGTGCTGGGATATGGTAGCAGGCAGACTACATGAAGCTTGTATTCTAGTTTATTGTCTATTATGGTCAAAGAGAGCTTAAATACCAACCTAAGCACAATATAAAAATAGTATTCAATGACAGTTGATGGCAGCTGAGTAAAGACCTGGAAGAGGGAAGAGAGAGAGAGCCATGTAGCTATCTGTGAAATGAGAATTCCTGTCGTGAGATGGCCTGAGTGCTCCTGAGGAACAGAAAAGAACAGAAAACAGGTCAGGGTGGTGGAAGTGTGAGAGCCTGAAGAGTTGAGCTCAGAGCCTTAATGGGTGCAGGGGAAGCTGATGATGCAGGGTCTTTTCTGTAAGGCATTCATCACACTGTAGTTTTAACTCTGTGTGGGATGTGAAGCCACTGGGGGGTTTGCAGCAGAGATGTGACCCAAGACGTCTAATGTCTAACATTTTAGCTTGATTACCTGGGCTGTGGTGTTGAGAAAAGTCTGAGGAGCTGATAAACTTTTTAGGAGACTATTGTGATAGTTCAGTTGAGAAATGATGGTAGATTTAACCAGGCTAGAGTAATGGAGGTGGCAAGAAGTGATCACATTTTGAATATATTTTGAGAGTAAGATTCAAATAATTTGTTGACAGGATTGGATATGGGATGTGAATGAAAGGAATTAAGAATCACTCCAAAAATTTTAAACTCAGCAACCAGAGGATGGAGATGCCATTGGCTGAGGTGGGGAAGCTGTGGGAGGAAGGATCTGGAGTTGGGGGATGGGACACCAGGATCTTGGCTTTAGACAAATTAAGTTTGAGATATGTATTTGATATTCAAGGGGAGATGTTGAGTGAGCAGGTAGTAAGCAGTAGTTAAGATGCAATCAGTGACAAGATGTGTGTCTGCTGGTGGGAAAGATATCTCAGAGATGGGAAAACTGATAGTGGGGAAGGAGAGGAGAGGTTTGCTGGAGTGACATTCTCCAATAGGTGAGAGGAGATGGAATGTGGTGTCCCCCCCAAAACTCAGGCATTTATTCAGACTAACAGGAAAAAGAGTTTGTAGCACAGATGCAGGGGGTGGGTAAATGTGATGTTTGGGAGTTTGTGGAAATTCTCTACTGACTACTTCAGTTTTCTCAGTGAAAAAGGAAGAAAGGTGACAACTGAGAGAGAAAATAGGTAAGGAGGAGTGAGAGGTTTGATGAAAAAGAAGATATGAAACAATGGTTTGGGAAAGCGAGAATGCATGGACTCAGAAATGATGGCTGAATTTCCTGCCAGTTGGAAGGGTCCCCTTTAAGGTTACGGTTGTGAATTTAAACAGAGACTGGCCTGTCTCCAGCCACAATCAGCTGAGCAGGTGCAGGCATGGATTAGGCAGAGAGCTGGAGTTTTGCCAAACAAGGAAGACAAGGTGAGAGAGGGCCCATGGAGTGAAGGGTCTAACCAAGGGAGCAATTATCATGATGAACTACGAAGGCTGAGCTGTTACAGAACAGTGATGACACGATGGGGCTGAGGGACCTTGAAAAGGTGGCGGATCAACAGATTGAGGTTCCCTGGGCTGGCAAAGGATTGCTGGAGTCATGGTACCAGAGGAAGTGAGCTGGTGTGAGAGGAGGTGGAGACCAGAGAGTGAAATTCTTAAAATGGAGACTGTGGCCACTGTGTCCTGAGTCCTCAAATCCAATTTACAGAAAGGCCTTTGACTAACAGGTAAAATCCATTAATTAATGAGAGTCTTAAAGTTTTAAAAGTGCCCCCAAGGCTGCAACTTCTGTTTGTTACTGTTTCCACAAGGAGAGGGCAGGCTAATAAAAATGTTACTGTATTCCTGGAAGTTAATGAATAATAAAACCACATGCCTGGAAGCAACTTCAAGAGGTCCTAGTTCAGATGACTTCACATTCTCCCACCAATTCTGAACATCTTGGGGAAGAAAATGCCACCACCCAGGTGAGTTGGTCATTTGCTGCCAAACATTCTTGTTCAGGTGGTAGATTTTGTAAAACACTTTTATTGAATTAAAATCCTATGTCCTTTTTTATTTTCTTTAGGGAAGAGAGAGAAGAGCAGGTCAACATTATTTTTTAGTAACCCTTGACATTAGAAGGCAATTTTAAATTCGGATTTCATATGTACAAGGTGTCACCTTGCCAGGTGGTTTTCACCTGGAAGAGAGGTAGAGAAAGACCTCTAATGTCAAGAGACCAAAAAAGTTTGTTAATGTGCATTGAGATGGAAATGTCCCACCCTTCATATTAAAAAAAATAGACCTTTATGTGTATTTATAATGATAGCATGTTATCTTAGCCAGAAAAATTGTGAGCCCCACATCTGAAAAAAAGATGCAATTTATGTTTCCAAAACTGTAATGTCAATATATATATTTTTAAAGTCCATATTGTTTCTGAGTTTGGAGGTGTCTCCTTGCTAATTCTTTGCATTGGCTTGAATTGTACTTGGAATTCTCTGATTGCTGGTTTGTGCCTGGGAACACTATTCTCCTTTCTGGTTTTGCTGAGATGTGGAGTAGGAGGGCTTGTTAGGAAACTTGTTACATTTTGAACCAGCTGACTCAGGTGCTCTTGAGGAGAAGTTTGTTCTGAGGAGAAACTCTATTATTATAAGGCCTTATTAGGGTTTTTAAGCCTTGGGATTTTTGGCAGGTCAATGTGCTAAATCATTAAAAATATGGAAATTCAGGTAGAAAGTCTTTTCTCTTTATTTTTTAAAGGGTGGAAACAAGCACACCAGACAGACTAACCAGAAATCAAAGTGAAGGGAAAAACAACTGCTTCTTAGTTGTTGCTATTGCTGTTACAGTTATTGAAAAATGTTGATTGTATGTTTCTGGTTCTGATTAAAGGTAAGTAGATTTTAAAAGGAAATTCCTTTTAATAAAGGGGCCTAAAAGTCCCAAATTCAAGAGAGAAGTGAGAACAAATATTGATTATTCTCAAACTTGCCTAATTTACTGCAGCAATAGATACCTACATAAACATTTTCACAAAATTCTACCTGAAAAGTATGAGAAGGGAGCAGTTAGGAAGAAGTATGTGATTTCTAGGTGGTATGCTTCATGTGGTGGGAAGAGGATAGGACATGATTAGATGTGTAAAAGAGGACGGTAAGAAGAGCTGTAACAGACTTAAGTTGAAAACTCATTCGAACTAGCTTAAGGGAAAACGAAACGGGAAGAAATAAATGCAACTTCCCGTTCCCTACCTCCCTACCCTGCAAGCCCTTAGTAACCATCATTCTACTCTTTCTCCTATGAGTTGAGCTTGGTTAGATTTCACATGTAAATGAAATCATGCAGTATTGGTCTTTTTGTGCCTGGTTTATTTTGCTTAGCATAATGTCCTCTAGATTAATCCACATTGTCACAATTGACAAGATTTTCTCCCTTTTAAAGGCTGAATAATATTCTATGGTGGACATATACCACATTTTCTTTATCCATTTATCTGTGGGATAGGGAGTAAGCTGTTGATCAAAGGGTACGAAGTTTCAGATAGACAAGAGGAATAGATTTTGAGATTTTATTGCACACCAGGGTGACTATTGTCGATAATAATGTATTATCTAATTCAAAATAACAGAGTAAATTTCAAATGTCTTATTATAATTATAAAAAGTGATAGGAAAGCAAGGTGATAGATATGTTAATCAGCTTGCATTAAACATACCACATTGTATACATACTCAAAACATCACATTGTATCTCATAAATGTATACAATCATGATTTGTCCATTTTAAAAAGTAAAAATAAGAAGAAATAATTGTGGTTGAATCTGAGGGACTAGAAATAGGGGCTGGAATGACATTGGGACCAGGTAGCGGCTCGCTTTTCCTCCCCTCTCCAGCCCCACAGGGTCTTTTGCCTCGGCTTCTCTCTTGACTTTTACTTTCTCCCACCCACCTCACTTTCCTGTGGTTGAGTGTTTGCTACTCAGCACGTGTTCAACATGGTTGCACCACTGCCCCTGAGTGTACATGGGCTGAAATGAGGGAATAGAGTAGCTAACTGACTTGCCTCTCTCACAATTCCAAACCACTGAGAGAAATTCTGATAGGCACCACTGTGGTCACAAGATGAGGCGGTGTCATCTGGTACAAATCAGAAGGCCAAATTTCTCTCTGTAGGTGGGGGTGGATAATGGAAGTTTTCTGAGAAGACTGTGGGATGGGGTAACACCCCAGGTGTGATGACTTTATATTACTAGGTTGGCTTAAATGGGGACTTTGGAAGATGTATAGTTTGCATCGTCCAGTTTTTTTGCACAACTGCGTTTCTGTTGACATGTTGAGCAATCTCTCTCCTGAGACTTGAGAGCATTTGGGGAATAGCATATATCACAGTTAATTGCTGGTTCAGGCTGGCTCTTGCCAGTGGATCACTATTCTGTCATACTCAAAAGACTTTGGGTGATGTGGTGTGAATTCACAGAGCTCACTGCTGGTAAACAGGGGCCTTCTTCATCCCTCTTTTTCTTTAGTAGAATGAGTTAAAATTATTAAGTGGAGTGTATTTTTCTTTTATCTTTGAACATATTAAAACTAATTTAGTAAATGTGTATTTAAATATATTAATTTTATTACATTTTTAAAATATTTGGGAACATTGCAGCACAAAGATTTTCAATAAATATGACCATAGGCCCATTTCGTAGCATATTTCTATGCTAGAAGTGTGATAAACTAAAAGAAAATTTGTATTTTTGGAAAAGATTTCTTGGGAAAGATTTCTGAATTTCATAAGTAACCTGGAAACTCTTTAGTGAACGAGTGGCTGTGTATTTCTGCATCTATTTGGATTAGTATAGTAACAAACGTGTGAAACCACGTCGTCTGCTGTGAGTCAAATATTGCTCTCTGGGGGCTGCAACATTTCACACATCCTCCTTTTTGAGGGTAAAAAGGGGAGGGGAGCGTCTCTCTCTTTTTCTTAATAGAATATATGTTTTCATTTAATAGATTTTGGAAATAAAATTTAGGTCGTGTTTTTCTTCTCCAAGTTTTGCATGCCTTTTGGCTCACAGGTTTCTCTTGCCAGGAAGCTTTTTAAAACTAAACGGTCCATATTTTGAGATACCATCCTCAACTAAGAAGTAAACTGTGAAATTCTCTGTAGTTCTTTGATTTAAAACACTTGGAAGGCATTCCATTTGTGTTTGCTTATGTTGATATGTCTATATTTTAAACATAAAATGCTAGGTTCCATTTTCATTTAAATATATATATATATACACTATACATATATACACTATACATATATATACTATACTATATATACTATACATACACATATATATACTATACATATATATATACACTATACATATATATATATATATATATATATATATTTTTTTTTTTTTTTTTTTTTTTTTTTTTTTTGAGACGGAATCTCTCTCTGTCACCCAGGCTGGAGTGCAGTGGTGCAATCTCGGCTCACTGCAACTTCCGTCTCCCAGGTTCAAGCGATTCTTCTGCCTCAGCCTCCCGAGTAGCTGGGATTACAGGCACGTGCCACCATGCCTGCCTAATTTTTGTATTTTTAGTAGAGATGAGGTTTCACCATGTTGGCCAGGCTGATCTTGAACTCCCGACTTCAAGTCATCTGCCTGCCTCAGCCTCCCAAAGTGCTGGGATTACAGGCGTGAGTCACTGTGCCTGGCCTAAATAACTAATTTTCTTGTGGGTGAGTTGTCAGGAGCATCTCAGTGAAGACCAGAGAGGAAAGATGGCACATAGTTCTTTCTTCATTTAATTAACCAAGTGGTATGAAACATTAACCAAGATTAACATACCTGTATTGGCATTATTAATACAATCCTCCTTACTATTGGCCCATTAGCAATAACAGGTAATATCTTATAGAGATAAATGACTATAAATATGAAAGTGCATTTGAGATGATATCAGAGTTTAGGGTGTAGTAAGGATTTTCATCCCTGCTCTGTTAACACCTTGATGTACAGACTTGAACAGGATACCCAATATTATGCCGAGGTTCTTCTCATTCTATCTCATGAGAAAGAGAGTATCTAAGGGTTGATCTTTTCAGGGATGGAAATCTGCAAACTGAGTCATTCACAACACACTCTAATGGTTGGTTTTAAAGACATATTGTCAGAGTAGAGATGTCAGGGGCGCAGGTAGGCTGGCCAGCTAGACAGATTTTCACAGTGAAGCAGTAGTTTGATGGAGTTTCCATACCCTGGGACATGGGCCTCTGGTTTGAAGGCAAAGCATCTTGATTTCTTTTGCCATGTCTTCCAGACTTTATCAGGTTCTTCAGGTCTGGCTCATGTTAACTAAATTAACAACAATAACAGCAAACACCTGATTTTATTAAAAGAAACAAGTTATTAATTTCCAGAGAATATGTCCTTTCAACATTCAGGTATTTGTTTCTGCCATTCAGGGATCCCAGTTTCTAGAATTAAGTTACCAGCAAGAACATATTTATAAATAGAATACTGCTTGGAGATTGTGGAATCAGAGCAAAGATAATTGGATTAGTTTAAATGATACTTCAGTGATGCCGTGGTAAATCCTGGTGAATTTTCCCTGCTTCTCAATAGGGCATAGTTTTTCTGTGACTCTTCCTCTAGATTCAGCATCTTTTTTTCTGATTCGGAGCGAGGTAAACTCTGTCAAAAACTTGGACTTCTTGTTTCCATGAATTCTGCATCTCATGCAGATTGTAGCCCTTCTGCCAACACATTCTTTTATTAGACCATAGGTGACTTTAACAGTCAATCATATTTTCCTGTAGCTAAGTAATGTTGATTGAACTTGGGGGTTCTAAATATCTCTCAGTCACATAGTTTTAGGCCATATTTTAAGGTGGGTTTCTTCCACAGATGGCCAATTTCATGATAATAATAACTGCTGGCCAGGCATGCTGGCTCATGTCTGTAATCCCAGTACTTTGGGAGGCTGAGGCTGAAGAATTGCTTGGGGCCAGAAGTTTGAGAACAGCCTGGGCAACACAGTGAGACCTTGACTCCACCAAAAATAAAAATAAAAATAAATAAATAAATAAATTAGCAGGGCATGGTGGCATGCACCTGTAGTCCTAGCTACTCAGGAGGCTGAAGTGGAAGGAGGATGGATCTCTTGAGCTCAGGAGGTTGAGGCTGCAGTGAGTTATGATCACTCCACTACACTCCAGCCTGGGCAACAGAGCAAGGCTCTGTCTCTAAATAATAATAATAATAACTGCCATTTTTTTAGCTTACAATATACCACCAGGTTCTTGTTTTCACAGACTGTGTATTATAATATCTATTTCTGAAGTAAGAAAATTGAGACTCAAAGAGTTAAAGGACTTTCTTTTTGTACACAGCTTGAAAGGGACCAAGTTGGGATTGATTGATTGAGTTTTTCTGAAACAAGGTCTTTCTCTGTCACCCAGGCTGGAATGCAGTGGAGCCATCTCAGCTCACTGCAACTTTTCCTTCCTGTGCTCAAGAGATCCTCCCACCTCAGCCTCCTGAGTAGCTGGGACCACAGGTGTGCACCAAAATGCCCACCTAATTTTCGTATCTTTTATAGAGATGGGGTTTCTCCATGTTGACTAGGCTGGTCTCAAACTCCTTGGCTCAAGCGGTCTGCCCGCCTCAGCCTCCCAAAGTGCTGGGATTACAGGCATGACCCACCATGCCTGGCCCCAAGTTAGGATTTAAGACCAGTTCTGCCTGACTTAAAGCTTGTGCCTTCTAATGTTGACCCATCCTACTTTTACTTTCAGGGAATAACTAATATCTAAGTTTTCAGAGAACTCTATTTTCCCCTTATATCCTGATTATAGTACAAAATCTATATTTTGGTATAAAAAACATGTAATGCACAGTCTTTGTATCAATATGACAGAAGTTCTGTATGTCTAACATTTAACAGATATTATTGAACATGCTTGACAAGCATATTTTCCTGAACTATTAGGGAAAATTGTTTGAAGTTGATAGTACTATTATTAACAACATACAGTTGAGAAGATTGAGTCAGAGAAAAGTTAAATAACTTCTCATAGTGACACAAGTCATGACTCAAACTTATTCTGTCTGCCTAGATTTGGACTCTTACTTAGTATACTATACTGCCTCTTCGGTTAACAGAAACTTTAGATCTGAAGGTCCAAAAATCGTATTGCCTGCCTTGTGTTTACATAGAAGTTTCGTTTAATAAAATCAGTATGTACTTCAAGCCAGACTCAGTGCCATGATGCAATAATAAATAAGTCTTTTCTTTTAAAAATGTTGTGGACATGTAAGTGACATAACCATAACACAAAGTGATAAGCAAGGAGCTATATGGTGCCAGGAGAATACAGATAAGCAGGAAATTAATTCTGCCTCAGGGATGGGAATGAGAGGGCACTACACAGAGGAAATGAGAAGTGATGAGTAAGGTGAGTCCTAAAGTATAAGTAGGACACAAGCAAAGGAAAGGGGATGGGAAAGAGAAATATCATATTAGGCAGCAGCAAGAGGCCTGGAGGCAAGAAAATACAGGGCTTGTTACAGAAGGAATTGAGGGATGTTGCTGGAGCAACCAGAAGGTGCTACTGCGGGCCTGGAAAATAAGGCCAGGCAGTCAGACTGGGACCAGATTTTGAAGAACCTTTTGTGCCTGGAATTTGGATGTTGCTGGCAATGGAGATCCATGGAGAGTTTTGAGCACCATGGTAACATGATTAGCTCAGATGTGTATGCAGACTGGGAGTTGAAGTGAAGCAAAGACTGTGATTTAGAAGAGCAGTTTATAATAATACAGGAAAGAATAAAGGATGAGGGTCTAGTCTAGAAAGTAAACAATGGATATGAAGATTGCTAAAGCAGAATCTAAAGGAAATAAATGGTGGCTGATTAGATGGAACCAGGGAGCCAAGGACGACCTTGTGATTTCCAACTTGGGCAATAGAATGAATGTTGATTTTCTTAACCAATATTGGCAATTTAAGATGAGGAGCATTTTGGTAATGGTGTCTAGTTATTGTTGCTTTTTTTTGACATATTTTATTATCAAATATCTCTTAAAAATTTCTAAGTTGTTAATGTAAGTTCTAATTTGTAGGGTCTAACTTTTTCCCCAATATAACATTTTCTTTTTAATCAAAATACTTCTAGAAACTGATAATTCAATTGATCAGACTTTTATTGAGTATCTACCATCTATTTAACTGCAACAGCTATTCAATCTTTAGAAGAAACAAAGGCAATTGTCATAGCTGAGAATCCTTAGCTGTTCTCTGGCCAACTTGTGATTTTAAAGTAATATTACAATACTTACTCAATGTCTACTTACTAAATACAAAGTCCCTCCTATGTTCTTTGGACTGCACAACTGGTATTTCTCATAATGTCAACTACTTGAAGAAGACTAATTAATTCTTCTTTAGACTACTCATTTTTATGTTCAGAGGATTTTCTTTTCAAACTTACCTAAGAATTTAGCTCCAGTAATTTATTTTTCCCATAGTTATTGGAGTAATCCTGGTTTTGCAAACTAGGGTCAACATATAACAAAAACTGGACTTTAGAGACTAGAGGAAAAATTCTGACAATGAGAAAAAGGCACTTCCTTTAATCCTCTACTTTCTGATTTTTGAACTATTTATGGATACTCTGATCTAAGGAAACATTTATTGCAAACATGCAGACTGTATTGATTCAGGAGCCAAACAAAGCAGCATTTGGTGAATAAGATATCTTGTTAACAAGATATCACAGTTCTGTCAAGTGAGCCCAGGCACAGGATTTGAAGATGGAAAAGACTATGTTTGGATGATACAATTTAGGATCATTGCTGATTTATTAAAAAGGGTCCTTTCATGTTCCACAGGTGGAAGAAAGCTAAAGCACAGGCTTCTTGTTTGTGCTGGGTGGCTGCTAACATATGCCATCAGAGCAGGTGGACTGGCAGGATCAGAGACAGACCAGGGGAAGGCAGTGGCAGGCCAGTGTGCCCTTCCCTCCCCAGGAATTTGAAAAATTTTACTTTGATGACCTCTAACTATGACTATAGTCCTTGTCTCTTCCAAATGTGGGGATACTTTTTTAGCTTCTGTGTGTGTGCGTGTGTGGGATAAGGGTCAGTAGTCATTCTTTCTTTTCTGACCTATATGGTAAACAGAACAACAGTGATATTTATTGCATTCTTGGACTGACAATCCATGAGGTTCAGAGAAAAAAAGCTAAGGTCTTAGAACATTTTTGAAAAGTTTTATTGACATATAGTTAATATATCATATAGTTCATTCACTTAAAGTATACAATTTAATGGCTTGTAGTATACTGACAGATATGTACAACCATTACCACCTTCAATTTTAGAACACTTTGACCACATCAAAATACAATATGTATCCTTTAGCTATCAGCACCTTGTTCTGTCTACTCCCATCTCCCAGTCCCTAAGCAACCACTATTCTACTTTCTGACTCTATAAATGTGTCTATTCTGGACATTTCATATAAATGGCATCATATAATATGTAGTCTTTTGTAACTGGCTTATTTCACTTAATACATTTTCAAGGTTGAGCTGTGTTGTGGCATGTATCAGTATTTAATTCCTTTTTATAGCTGATTATTATTACATTGTATGATTCTGCCACATTTTGTTTAGCCATTCACCAGGTAACACACAATTGGGTGGTTTCAACTTTTTGCCTGATACAAATAATGCTACTATCACATTTGTGAACAAATTTCTGTGTGGACATTTGTTTTTCATTTCTCTAGGGTGTATACCTAGGAGTGGAATTGCTGGATCATATCTTTCTTTAACTATTTGAGAAAATGCCAAAGTTTTCCAAAGCAGCTGCAATATTTTACATTTCCACTAACAATTTATAAGCATTCCAATTTCTCCACATTCTCTGCAGCACTTGCTCTAATCTGACTTTTGGATTATAGCCATTCTAGTGGATATGAAGAAGTTATCTTATTGAGGTTTTGATTTGTATTTCCCTAATTACTAATGATAACAAGCATCATTTCATGTGCTTATTATTTGTGTATCTTCTTTGGAAAAATAGCTTTACCCATTTTTAATTTGGGTCAGTTGTCTTGAGTGACAAAGATTCTTTATGCATTTTAGATATAAGTCCCTTATTAGACATGTGATTTGCAAATTTTTTTTTCCATTCGTGGATTGTCTTTTCACTTCTATAGAACACAGTTTGGAAAATGATGAATTAGAGCCTAATGTTAGCCCTCATTTGTTTAAAGTCCAAAATGTGGGGAACAGGTAACACATGATAGTTTATAAGAGGGCAGAATCTGTTAGTGGTATAATCAAGGAATATATCACATAATAAACATGTCATAATTGGAAGGGCCCTTGGTGTGAAAACTTGGACTACTGGGACCTCAGTGGCAGGCAGATGAAGAGAAGAAGCCAGAGCCAGGATGAATTAGTGCCAAGGGAAGTGATCAGACTAGATAACTGGTTTAGTCCTTCAGTAATGTGTCTCAGACATCAAAGGAGTCTTGGTCCAAAATAGCATGTGTGTTCATTTGGCCTTATCTGAAGGAAGAGGTATAGGAACACAACTTTCTGTCAGAGTTGACACTTGAAGTCAAGAGAGTGGCAACAACATGGTTCCTAATGTTGTATCTTGAAACTTGATCTAAGACATGCCTGAAGCTGGCCTCAGGACCTCCCTGGCTCCTGTTACTGCATTAGCTGTTGTGTCTTTCATTGGGAAAGCACAACTCTATGTACCTTCTTTCCATGCTCTGTTTCTTGCCTCATGGACTGATCCTGGTGTTCTGTCCCTGCTTCTGCAGGATCATATTTTCTGTCCCTTCCATGTCAGTATCTGTATCCTGCTGATGCGTTATGGCAGCTGTGAGATAAGCAAGAAATACAAGAGTATTTTGTGGATCCAAATCTGCACTTTGAGTTCCCTCAGATCAAATTAAGGTACATGGGAATTCATTAATTAGGCAATTTATTTTTTATCTCTTATAGTGGAGGTGAATGTTGGTCCTTATCCAAGCAGAGTACAACTGACTTTAGGTCAGCGATACTTAACTAATTAGAATTTAATTTACATTAATTGATTAAATTAAATTATCTTAATTTAATCATAAGTTATTTTAATTTCTCCCTAATGAGAAGAATTAATTACTAAAGAGTAAGAATTTTGTCAAATAGGATTAAGCTTTGGAAGACTGCAAACCACTATAAAACACACATATTTTTCTGATACCCCCTCACCACCAGGAATAGATTTTTGCTCCGTTTGGATGACATCTCCCCAGTTGAGAATGCATACTTTATGTCTTGATGTGTAACATCTGACTTGGTCTCTTGACTTAGAAAGATATCAGGTCATGAAATCACTTTAGGGATTGACACTGGCATTTAAATTTGTCACAGAGCAGCCCCGAAGTGACACAATTTCCAACCTTCTGGCAGACTTCTCCAGGAATGGATCTGGTAATTCATTCAATTAATCAATACACACTTACTTTCAATAAGCACCTATCATTACTGCACCATGTAGGTTGTACTACCTACACCATGTACATGCACCATGTAGGTAGTGAGAATACAAAGATGAATAAGATAATACAGTTTACTGGGGAAGATACATGTGAAAGCTAGCACTTAAAATATAACCTTCCCAGTTCAATGTTAAAGTTATTATGGGAACATTGAATAGGGATGCCTACTAGCAGGCGAGTGGGAGAGTTGTTAAGGAAGGCTTCCTGGAGAAGGTGACACCATCAACAACATCAGAAAGACTTCATGGACTACTTGTCCAGAATCAGACCGAGAAGCTCACCTCATCTGGACCCACTCCTGAGATTAGGAAGGGGAAATGTCAGGTTTGCAGGGCAAGAAGTGGGAAGCATGCTGCTCCCAGTATATTTTACTGTTAGCTGAATAGTGCAATGTATGAATGTATTGTATATAATGTTCATATATAATGTGTGTGTATATAGATGGAGTAGTGAATATACATATATATTCTCTACTCTTCTCCTTTCCTATCGTCCTGTCCGCAGCCCCACTTCAACTAATAGTAAGAATATTAACTATCTGGTGGTTGGTTTTCTTTTTTTAAATTTTTGCCACTACAAACTATGTTGCAACAAATTCCCTTTTACATTGCTTTTTTCTTCAAAAAATGTTACTTTTCTGATTACAAAATAATCGATGTTTATTATAGAAACATTGGAAAACTTTAAAAAAAGGATAATGAAGAAAATAACAAAGAAGAAAACAAATCAACCACAGCCTACCCTCCAGAAATAGACCCTTTCCATGTTTAGGTGGCTATTTCAGTTTTTCTCTATACAAATACATGTGTGTACTTGCATGCATACACACATTCTTTTTTTTATTAATATGACATTGGGACCATGCCATGTGTGCTGCTTTGAAATATTTTTATCTCAGTTGATGTATTGTCAGTATCTGCCATATCACTAAAGAATCCTCTGTATTTAAAAATTCTTAATTGACCTGGCATGGTGGTCTGTACCTGTGATCCCAGCTACTCAGGAGGCTAAGGCTGAAGGATTTCATGAGCTCAGGAATTTGAGGCTGCAGTGAGCTATGTTCACACCACTGCACTGGTGTGAACCTGTGCCCAGAGAGCCTGGGCGAGAGTGAGACCCTGTCTTTAAAAAAATAAAATAAAATTATTATTTCATTTAAAAATAAAAGTTATTTAAAATAAAATAATTATTTTATTAAAAAATAATTATTTTATTAAAAAATAAAATAAAATACAATTATTATTTTTTTCTTTTTTCTTTATTTTAAATTAAATCCATAATTTTTTTTCCTCTTATTATGAAAATTATACATACTTATTATGTAGGTCTATCTATATGGGTGTGTGTGTAAGATACAGATTGTCTTTGTGTATATATATGTACTAATTTTAGGTTAGATTTCCAATTTAAAATATTTAGTATAATTAATTTTGCATATAGGTAAAAGAAGTGAGGTCACATGGCAATACTACTCAGTAAATTGCATTTTTTATTAGATGATACATCTTGTACAAGTCAGTTTATACAGACCTATTTTTAAATGGCTGCCCGGTAGTACATTATTTATTAATCCATTTCTTTTCCATTGATTATCAATTAGTAATTAGCCATCAATGGACGGACATTTTAATTATTAACAAATTTTTTTTCCTTATAAAGAGTGCCAAATGAATAACTGATTAAACATCTTTTGGCATTAATGACAGCATTTGAATTGGAGTAATCCTTAGAAGTTTCTTGTTTGATTTTTTTTTTTTTTTTTGATACAGAGTCTCACTCTGTCACCCAGGCTGAAGCGCAGTGGCATGATCACTGCAGCCTTGAACTCCTGGGCTCAAGAGATCCTCCTGCCTCAAATTCCTGAGTAGTAGGACTATAGCTGTGTGCCATCACACGTGGATAATTATTTTTTACTTTAAAAATTTTTGTAGAGATGAGGTCTCACTATGTTGCCCAAGCTGGTGTATAATTTTTAGGATGTTTGTTTTCTTGTAGATTAAAACTTCATCTTACTTATGTTTGTTGTAACATGTCACAAAGTGCCTGGCACATAGTAAGTGCTCAAACCATGCTGTGAGCATTTTCTAAAGAATAAATATAGAAGCTTAGAATTTTTTGAATTAAATCTTCCTTATTTAAGGTTTCTTTCCTTCCCCCTCTTGTTTCACTTTACTTAAATATTTCAATATTAAGAAGAAAAAAGTAGGAGATAGGGAAACCACAAAAATGAATGTTTATTCCTTATAGTTTCCATGCCTCACAGAAAATAATACAATCATGATTTTTATTAAATATTTCTCAAAAATCATCAAAGCGAACCATGTGTTAGATTGATTTTTAGGGATCTAAATTGACTAAGTATAATTAATAAACATTATCTCATTTTTGGCGAATCATAATAAAAATTTCAACTTTTAGTCATGTGTTGCCATAGATTATAATTATATGATTGTAATTATACACATAGTTCAAACCAAACTTTCCTTAGATGAGAGGTGTTTGACCCTCTAGCAATTGTAAAGTGCAGGCAGCTGCAGCAAAGACAGAGGCCAGTTTCATGGTTAGCAGTAAAAAAGGAGCATCAAAGTAACAGGGGAGCCTGGTACGATGCTATGCACCCTGTTGGCAGTCATTAAATTCCTGCTGACTACTGACTGTTATAATTTTTTAAGCCTATATGGGGAGATGGGGGCAAGAAAAAAAATGGTCCCAGGACAAATGCTGTTAGAAGGGGCCATTTCTGATGAAACTTGAACCCAGAGAGAAGTTCCTCGACAGTATAAGTGAGGGATTTCTAACCACGAGCCATTCTGCTCTGACAATGCCTGGAATCACATCACCAGGAATAGCTAAGTTGTTAAGGAAGACCTAATGGAATTTGCTATTTATAAATTACACATTTGCTCAATGCTTTTTTCAAATTATTTAACCAACATGACATTGCCTCAGGGATTTGACCTAAATCATAGTCATAACTGCGTTTTCTTTTGGAGAAAGTTGGGACTCGTTTTCTCCTTTCATAAGGTGTTGATGTCCTAAGAGGTCACCTTCAGTGTTACAGGTGACAAATTATAGCAAAAACATTTAAATACATTGTTTTGCATAATGTGGTGTAAAGAAAATGCTTTTTATAACACCACTAATGTATACTTTGTTGGCGTACAAATAAAACTCTTTGTAAGAATTTAATTAGAATGCATTATACTTATTTATTAAAGGTTTTCATAAAATGTTACTTTCATAATCAAGATCATAAAATGCACGTTTGAAGCATCCCTATGCAGGTTTAAGATGGGAATAATGAAAGGTGGCTTATAAACTGGTGACATTTTCAGAAAAATATATCGCTATGCCAAAATATGCTAGTCAGAGCTCTTTGATGAATGGCTTTCATAATTATGATGACTGTGAAAGAGAAAAACTAGTGAAAACATCTACTCTCTTTTGGTTAAAAAAAAATTAACTTCTTTTTCCCCAGTAAAAGTAGAGACACTTTAGATTTTAGGACCCTCTTGGCTCCTAAACCTAAGTGCTGCTTGAAAAATGGCCCTTTCAGCTTGTAGCCAGCAGCCACAGTTTAAATCCACAAGAGAGATGCCTAACAACTCTGCTTTAAATGGCAGTCTGCCATTTCGGAAAACTGTAGCTTTTTGAAAAAAGAAAAAAAAAACTAGTAAGCCATGTAATTCACCCCCTTGGAACTGGATGTAAGTTAAGGAAAAAATAAGTAGGGTGAGCAAAAAAATCCTAATTCTTATCTTAAAACTCTTTTAATACTTGGTATAAATGGAGTCTACAGTCACAGCATCCAGAGTTGTAGGTCAAATACAACAATTTTTAGGAACCTAGTTTCTGTTAAAGTGAAGAAATGTAGGTACCATTCTTCCACTTATATCTGGACATATTGAGAGTTGGCGGACAAATAAGAAATGGGCTACCCCAAAATGGTATAATTTGTAAACTATGGGAAAAAATGTTTAATACTGAATACCAAGTTTTTCCTACCTTACTTGTGCTGCATATTTATCTGGTCTTTTGTATAGATATGTTTATTCATATCTCATTGTCAGGAAAAGGCTCCTAAATGTAAAAGCACTCTTATGACCAGATCAGCATTCACAAAGGAAAAGAGTAAGCTCATTTAAGATTTGATTTCAAGACTAAGTATGTGATTGCCAAAGTCACATAATAAAATGTGATCAGAGACTCTGCAGATGAAAGATATTCCAAATTCAAATGCCCTTAAGAAACATAATAATTTTTGCAAGCGTATCCACTTCTTAGAATGTCAACATCCAACATGTGTTTATTGAGCACTTACACTGTGCGATCGTCTGCTTAGGCACTGGTGATACGAGACTGAGCAAAACCAAACACTTTCTCTGTTTTCAAAAAGTTTAAGTTGTAGCGTTAAGTACGCTAACAGATTTTGGTTTCCAAATTCCACTGCCTTCTTAAAGGAATCGGGGCTCCTTTGAGAGATGGCTGATTGGATCCTGAGGGCAGGGAAAGTAGAAGGTAAAACTGGAACATTTTGTTGTATCAGAAAGCAAAAAAGTATACAAAGAATGATGGCTATATGTTGAAAGGACACAGGAACTGCCTTGAAGAGGATCTAACAAGACACAGGATGATTTGAGCACCCACCCCCCAATAAAGAAGGGTAATGTATTAAGACTATGATTAAAAAAATAATGTGTGGGTACTTCAAAAAACAGATGGATGGTAAGAGAGCTTCTGTACAGAATAATGCCAGTTTATAAATGTAAAAAAAGTATAGAATTTAAAAAATTGCTATTCTTCAATCCCATATATAATAATTGATTCAGGCAAGGATTATCAATGGATATTAAACCCATTAAGTAAGTTTCTGATGGAACAGGATATTCACATAATTTCAGGGCATTATCCCCAGACTATGATTAAATACAAAGAAGGAAAAGTTTCCTTTTACAATGGATAAATCTGGCAGACATCATGTTAAAGAAGAGATCAAATCTATGATCACAAATGATTGGGTAAAGTCACATTATGCAGGTACTGATGCACTATAATAGAAAGTGCATGCCATCACCCATGTAATATTTTTTCAAGGAATGTTTAACCTGAGTATAATCCTGAGGTAAGAAAAAGCAATTCAGATTATGAAACATTCTACATCAGCAAGACAATTAGCTGGATTCTTCAAAAATACCAATGTTATGAAAGACAATAAAAGACAGGGGGAGTTTCCTAGGTGGGAGGAGACTAAAAAGAGACATGATGGCTAAAAGTCATGTCCTTGATTGGATTCTGGATACCAAACTCACACACACACACACACACACACACACACACACACACACACTTCATAACATAGCTAGAAAGAACATTTTGATGACAGATGGGGGAATTTGAATGTGGACTTACGTTTGAAAATGTTATTGTGTAATATTACATTTACTGAGTGTGATAATCATATTGTGGTTTTGAAGGAGAATGTCCTTGTTCTTAGGAAACACGTATGAGGAACTTAGGGTAAAAAATCGTGATTACAACGTACTTTCAAATGGTTGAGAAACAAGTTGAAATACACACATACACATATATTTACATACACACACAAATATTTGAGACATATATAAAGCAAAAATATCAAAATGTTGAAAATTAGTAAATCTAAGTAAACGGTATATGAGTGTTCATTGTACTATATTAGTATTTTTGTAGGTTTGAAGATTTTCAAAATAAAACATTGGGTACATAAAAAAGAAGTTAAGTCTAATGAGAGCTTCATTAAAACAAAGTCATTCCTTTCCTTGTAAACGGACATGAAAACTGGCCTAGATCACAGTGTGAATGGGATTGATCCATCTTCCCTCCTGAACCTTACCATATATAGAGTTTTTACGCATTGTACAAAAATACAAAATTTTGTCCAGCAAAATTAGAATCATTTAGCCAAAAATAATTGTAGGCATATTATCTGTTCTAGTCTCACAATCAAAGGCAGATGGTTGAAAAACATGTTACGACTGGTAATTTTTGACCTTCCTTTTATGGTCCTCAAGGGTTGATTCATTAATTCATCTGTTCACTCAGTCAATGAGCACCATAGGCCAAAGCCTTGTGCTAGGCAACAGGGAGACACAGGAGGCCAAGACAGGAGCCTGGCTATCTGGGAGCCCCTCTTCAGGGAAAGTTAGAATAATAAGTCAGATTGAGATCCATATGCATACACTTTAATGCTTTCCTATTTGCTGCAATGCATATGGATTATTTTTTTTTTAATTGTACTTTCAAAATTTTTTTTTTTTTCTGAGATGGAGTCTTGCTGTGCCTCCCAGGCTGGAGTGCAGTGGCACAATCTCAGCTCACTGCAACCTCCACCTCCCAGGTTCAAGAGATTCTCCTGCCTCAGCCTCCCAAGTAGCTGGGATTACAAGCGCCTGCCACCACACCCAGCTAATTTTTGTAGTTTTTGTAGAGACGGGGTTTCACCATGTTGGCCAGGCTGGTCTCAAACTCCTGACCTCAGGTGATCCACCCACCTCAGCCTCCCAAAGTGCTGGGATTACAGGTGTGAGCCACCGTGCCCAGCCCCAAAATTTTATATGAAGAAGTGTTCAGAATTTGAAGCATCAGACTGCCAGGGCTCTATAACTAGAAAAGCATGTAGAAACATGACACTTTTTTGAAATTGGCAGGTGCTAACCTGTGTTGTCTGCTAAGATGAACATGTGACTTGGAATTGACTATGTAGAAATGTTTGTTTTGCTCTGTAGAAATGTTTATGAAAAAATGACTCAGCTCTTTGAACAGAAAGTGTCATCTGAAAACCAAGAGTAACTTCTTGGAAAAAGAATCTGTTTACTGGGAGATGGAAGCCAAGTTTTTCTAAAAATTTTAGCAACTGTACCCTGCATAGACATGATCCCTTAAGAAGACAAGGATATTTCTAAACCAAGTGAATGGAATGAAAGATTGAGAAGACTGTGGCTGTAACAGCTGTCACATATTGATCAGATAGTTTATATAACAATTCCAGTTGGCTAAGTTGGTGTTCAATTAATCAATTCAATGAAAATTTATTGAACACCCATGAAATGTCAACAATGTTTTAGACACTTGGAATGCAGAGATAAATAAGGCTAATTTCCCATTTTGGAAGAGAAAGAGTGGTGTAAGAAGAGGCAAGTGTCTGTATATTATCTATGTAGCTGGAGGATGGAACACAGGAAGCAGTGTCAATGTAACTAGGAGTGTAGACAGAAGCTCAGCCATGGAGAGCCTCAGCAAGCTTATTGTGTCTGGACATCAGATGATGGGGGCAACTAAAAATTCCAATACTCTTAAGTGTGGAAACAGAATGATCAGAGTTGCATTTGCCTGCTTTGGCAAAAATCACTGTAGATGGGAAGAAAGGTATATATGAGACAGATGCTGAGAATGTGGAATCCAGAGGACTTAGCAATAGATCTGTTGTAAGGGATGAGGAGTCAAGAATGAATTCAAATTTGTAGCTTCAATGTCTGGGAGTCACTGAGAAAGGGAGTACAAAATGGAAACAGGTTTAAGTCAGAATATGATTTTACTGTGTTCAATTTTAGGGACAGTCTAAAATTTGAGGTTAGCCAATAGTTAGTTGGATATATAAACATTCAGGATTAGAGAGTAGTTTTAACTAGGAGGTGTGGATTCATGGGTCACTAAAATATTACTAGAGTTAAGAGCTGAAAGCCCGAGAGTAGATAAGATGACCTAATGAGTTACAGAGAGCCAGATATGAATAAAGGCAGAAAACGTGCCTTTAAAGGATGGTTGAAAGACCAAGAGTCATCAGAGAAGACCCTGAAACAGAAGAGTCCCTGATCTGCTTACTTCACAGAAATCCAATTGAGAATCTTTACTGGTAGGACTGTTCTAGGGTCCCCTGTGCAGTCCAAAGTCAGATGGCCAACAGAGGCTCTCCACTGCAGCACCATCCTACAGCTACATGGTATGTTTCCATTCAGACTGATACCTTAGAAAGAGCACTGGAATTAGCAAACCCGGGATTGAGTCCCAATTCTTACATTTGCTATACGACCTTGGTTATGCCACTTAACTTCTGAGCCCCGGGTTTTCATTTATTAAATGGAGAATGGGGTAGTGTATAGTGATTATTATTTCTATTTCATGGGCATGGTGACAGGTGGATAACATATTTGATAATAATTTGTAAGCTGCAAAGTGCATTAGTAATGAAGAGCCTATATTACCATTGGCATCACTGGAGTTTTACAGCATACCTTGGCCTACATTTGTGGATTGGAATTGAAACAGAATGGGGCAAAATAGGGTCAGAGTGGGCACAGGGGCTTGCTTAATCTTTAGTCTGTCTTTTCCTTTTTAAATTTTTAATTAAAATAATAACTGTATATACCTCTAGGGTACCATGTGATGTTTTGATATATCCATATATTATGGAATGATTAAATCAAACTAATGAACATATCTGCCATCTCACATACTTATCATTTTTCTTGTGGCATGAACATTTAAAATCTATTCTCTTTGCAACTTTGAAATACAGATTATATTATTATTAACTATAGTTACCACATTATGCAGTGGATCTCAAAAACTTATTCCTCCTGTCTGACTGAAACTTTGTTTCTTTTCATTAACATCTCTCCCCTCTCCCCCATCCCCAGCCTCTGGTAACCACCATTCCATGCTCTACTTCTATGAGTCTGATGTTTTAAGATTCCACATATAAGTGAAATCATGCAATAATCATCTTTCTGTGCCTGGCATATTTCACTTAGGATAATGTCCTCTGGGTTTATCCATATTGTCACAAATGTCAGAATTTCCTTTTTTTTTTTTTTGAAATGGAGTTTCACTCTTGTTGCCCAGGCTGGAGTGCCGTGGCGCTATCACGGCTCACTACAACCTCCGCCTCCCAGGTTCAACAATTCTCCTGCTTCAGCCTCCCGAGTAGCTGGGATTACAGGCACCCACCACCACGCCTGGCTAATTTTTTGTATTTTTAGTAGAGACGAGGTTTCACCACATTGGCTAGGCTTGCCAGGCTGCTCTTGAACTCCTGAACTCAGGTGATCCACCTGCCTCAGCCTCCCAAAGTGCTGGGATTACAGGCATGAGCCACCGTGCCCAGCTAGAATTTCCTTCTTTTTAAAGGCTAATATTCCATTGTGTATTTAGACCAGATTTTCTTTTGATTTATTTATTTGTTGGTGGACACAAGTTGATTCCGTATTTCGGCTATTGTGAATAGTGATATAATAAACATGGAAGTGCAGCTCTCTCTTAACATATTGACTTCAATTCCCTTAGATAAATACCCAGAAATGGGATTGCTAGTTTGGATAGTAGGTTTATGTTTAATTTTTTGAGAAACTTCCATACTGTTTTCCATAATGGTTGTACTAATTTACATTCCCACTGCGTAGAGGGGGTCTTTTTCCTTCACAGTCTGTCCAACACTTATCTTTTTTTTTTTTTATAATGATAGCCATTTTAACTGGTGTGAGGTGATAGCTTTTGGTTGTAATTTGCATTTTCCTGATGATTAGTGTTGTTGAGCATTTTTTTTTTTAATATACCTGTTGGCCATTTGTATGTCTTCTTTTGAGAAATGTCTATTCAGGTTCTCTGTCCTATTGTTAGTTGGATTATTTGTTTTCTTGCTATTGTGTTGTTTGAGTTCCTATATATTTTGAATAGTAACCCTTTACTGTATATATGATTTGCAAATATTTCTGCCCAATCTATAGATTGTCCCTTGACTCTGAATTGTTTCCTAAATGGTGTTGGGAAAACTGAGTAACCACATGCAGAAGAATAAAATTGAACCCTATCTCACACCATATTAAAAACATTCAAAATGGATTAAAAGCTTAAATGTAAGACCTGAAACTGTAAAACTATGAGAAGAAAACACAGGGAAAAAGCTCCATGACACTAGTCTGGGAAATGATTTTTTGGATATGATCTCAAAAGCCAAGGTAACAAAAGAAAAATCAACAAAGGGACTGCATGAAATTAAAAAGCTTCAGTCTTCTTTTCTCCTTTAGTCCCTTCCTGTTCCTTTTGTTGGATATTTTCCTTAAAAATATTTTAATTGATATTTAGTAATAGTATATATTTTGAGGGTACATGAGAAAGATTTAGTCTTCCTTAAGTGAGGACATTCTTGGACAATTGCAAAGCAGGTATATTTTATTTCTTTGCTTGGCTGCTAAGCAATTAATTTCATTCAAGTAAGGGCATCAAGCTGCTGTCTTCTTCTCCTTCTCCTTCTCCTTCTCCTTCTTCTCCTTCTCCTTCTCCTTCTCCTCCTACTCTTTCTCCTCCTTCTCCTTCTCCTCCTACTCCTTCTCCTTCTGGTTCTCATTCTCATTCTCATTCTCTTCCTCATTCTCGTTCTCATTCTTATTTTTACTTTTATTCTTCCTTTCTTCGACAGGGTTTTGCCATGTTGCCCAGGCTGGTCTTGAAATCCTGAGCTCAAGCAATCCACCTGCCTTGGCCTCCCAAAGTGTTAGAATTACAGGCATAAGCCACCATACTCAGCCTGGATCTTGTATGAAGTTGAGCTTATCAATGCAATGTAAGATGTGTGACTATAGCAGACACAGTCAGTGCTCCACTCCACTCCCCTTATATTCCTTGATGCTTTTTACTGTTGCTGAGCACACATCCCACCCTATTCCTAACTGCTCCCCTTGCGCTTCTGACTGGTTTGGGTTTTTATAACCCACCTGCCACTCTGCATGGAAGAGTGCCTTTGGGCTACCGGAGCTGCTTTGTCTACATGCCACAGAGCCCAGAGTGCCTGGAGTTTACATTCCCCACCTTCCCATCCTCCACTTCACAGCCCAAAGACTAAAGAGTGCCAAGCCCAACTCCCTTTGCCAGGAGCACCCTTGGCACACAATTTGTACTCCAGAGCTCCCCCCGTAGGATCAGGCTAAGATTGGGACTTGGCTTGAAATGGCCCCTTGCCCTCTCCTATTCAGCTTTCCTCCTCCCTTACTGGTGTCTCCTGGAATCACTTCTTTAATAAATCACTTGTACATGCTTCTTTATCTCAGGGCAGGGTCTGCTTTTGGGGCACCTGACTAAGGCAATGACAACTCGAGTAACTGAAGGTATTTCTATCCACATGATCCCTTCTAATACCAAATCATTTTAATTTAAGCTTAGTTTATATATATAATTTGGTGTTTATTTTATATAATTTTTAATAAAATTTTAATGATGATATAAAGAAGTCCATGAATAAAAATGCATAGACCTAACCGGAGTCCCATAAGATTGCTCTTTTACCAGTATCTCTGACAATTTTAAAAGTCTAACCTAAACCATTATAATTGTGCAATGTTTTGATTTAAATCTATATTATTAACTCTATTTGTTAATGCATGCTATATGTTAGGCACTATGATAACTGCTTTTTTTTTTTTTGGTATTTTTAGTAAAGATGGGGTTTCACCGTGTTGGCCAGGCTGGTCTCAAACTCCTGACCTCAGATGATCTGCCCACCTTGGCCTCCCAAAGTGCTGAGATGACAGGAGTGTGCCACCATGCCGAGCCACACGTAATCTTATTTAATCTTCTTAGCAAATCAGTGAGATTGATCTTATTATCCCCAATTTACAGATGAAGAAACTAACGCTCAGGAAGCTAAGTAACTTGTCCCAGATTGCAGAGTAGATAGCTGTATGCTGTTTGAACTCAGGATTGATTCCTAAACCCATGCACTTGCCTTCACACTTCAATGCATTGAAATGAAAGAAATAGCAAGAAACATTTAAATACTGTCTCTTCCATTTTCAGTAAAATTACACGGAAATGTGTTCTTTTGCAATCTTTTTGATTTCATAATCCTATGAAAATTTTTATACAGTGTAAAGTATTAGAAGTTTCCCATGAATAATCTTTTCCTCAACAGCTGTTTGGAAAGGAGTACTCTCTAGTAGTAATGAGAGAACCCCTCATGAACAGACTCCTGGATTGTATGTGCACATGAAGAAATTCTTTGAAAAATGATCACTTGGGCATTTTAGGCTATTTAAAAATATTAAATCAGCTTCCCTGGGACATTTGAATGATGAGACAGTAGAAAACCATAAGTCAAGAAAGACAGTCATTTGAATGACTAGATTCTTTCTGTCTCCAGCTATCTGAAAGATGGATTAAATAGTGCTTTTCTTTTGGGATTGTTTTAAGAACTGTTAAACATACTGTTTCATAGTTTTTCATCAGTTTCTTTATCATTCCTTGGCCTCAGGAAATGCTATTGATAGAACTTAATCAGGTAGAGAAATGGGCACCATCCTTGCTCTGGGAGCTGTTTGAAAACTCTCAAAGGAGATGTGGTCAACTCTGCTTTTGTGTGATGACAGATGAGCCATATATTTCTCTAAAAAGTTAGCCATTGGTTGTAGATGCTAAGTGATAGTAACAAAAACTGCAGAAATTTATCAAGAGGAATTTTATGTTACTTTACAGAATCCATTGCAACTAAATAAAAACAGTGTTGTAGGAAATATGGAAAAAAAATATCTGTGTGCCAATGGAGGATAAGACTAAAGAAAGGAAAAGAAAGTTCAGAGACAGTCTGGCCCTGAAAGTCTGATTTAGCTTCTTGCCTGGAAGTTGAGTATACAAATGAAAGAGGCATGCAATCCAATGTGCTGAGAGGAAAAGAATTAAGAACATCTGAGTTTCTGTGAGAGAAGAAATGGCCTTCCAAAATCCACTCATTTCTTTGGGAAGTAACTGCACAAATGTTTTACCATTCAATAAAAGTTCCCAAGCATGTGCTTGTTTCTGTTGTTTTAAATGTGCTGATTGAATACTGTACCTGAAATAGCTCTGTAGGCTGGTATCTGACATGTGTCTGTTTTAAATGGAACCAGTCATGAGAGCGGGCTAGCAGTGCGCGTGCTTGAAAAAGGGGACATGGATGTGAATCATTTAGAAAAATGATGCATCCAGACTAGCCAGAGAAACAATAGGGTGTTGAGAAGGAGATGATGGAACTATGGATAGAAAAGGAATGGGCAATAGAAAGCTAAAATGCAGGGAGGAAGGAGTCAGAGAGATGTGCCAAAAATAGTTAGATGTGTGATGAAAACTTAAATTTCAAATTGTATCTTTTTAGTTTGAAATCCTCTCTGCCCAGATCCTCACATGCTTAGCACACCTCTTTGTCTGTATATATTGGCCTTGTTTTTGACCGATTGGTTCATTCTAAACCTTTAGCCTTCTATTTTCAGCATTTTACTTGAAATGATTCAATTCAAGGTAGATGTTGCTTGGGGAGAAGCATATCCAAATTCATATGACAGATTTGAAATCATATTCATTTAAATAGACACTGTATTTCCATGAGACTTCTCTGGACACTGGAAAAAAAAAAGCCTGAGTAACTCTCCTCATTAAAATATCTCTTCCTGTGTGTGCTGAGAATGTCAAATGGCCACTGCATTCTCCTCCAGGGAGTTTATAATCAAGCCCAGGACCCAGTTAGATGAAAAATAAGGGGGGCTTTTTTAAATCTTAACAAAGTCATATTCTTTCTTCCACCAATCCTTTGCCCTCTGTAAAAAATAAAATAAAAATTTTAAGCCTGTTTATAAAAAAATGTTTCCACCTATTAGGCCATAATAAGGAACAGGAGTTTTATTTAGCATAGAGGCAGAATAAAGTCATATTTTCACTCTGTTCTGCACACACGCATAAGAAACTCTTAGGAGCATAGACTTCTAGACGTTTTTCTGATAATATTTTTTTTCCTCAAATATTAAGGGTTTAACAAAAGCCTTCCATTATTCAATGTCTAGCATGGTTTCGGATGTTAGAAACCATGCAGTAGATATGAGATATATGCTATCCTAAGTTTGCAGTATGCTATAGAGACACACAAACATGCAAGTCAATGTGGAAGTATTTTGCATAAAATTCAGAGATGCAAATTCAAATGGTCACAGGAGCCACACAGGTAATATAAAGGTGTGAATGTTAGCCTAGGTAAGGTATCTGGGACTAATGGGATGTATGGTGAAACAGAAGACTTAACTTTGAAATTAAAATTAACAAAAAACTTAAAGCACTGATCATAAAACGACATCAGGTTTGGCAGATAGGGTCTGCAACTATAAGTTTGCCACATCTGGCATAGATAAATGGAATAATTATGTGATTATACGAATGCACCAAGAAGAAATAAAGAGGTATTAAAAATACTAGCAGCTTGGAGATTAAATGAGTGGCCTTTATCAGGGAAGGTTTTTCGGAGAAAAACCATTAGCCATGGTCTAAACTAAGGATGCATTACTGCACTCAAGACCCTGAGAATGCAGGAGAGAGCTACGGGCTGAATGACTTGTTCTAACTGGTATTTTTCTCTAAATATCCCTCTCAAATTATGACTTTTTCTTAGTTGTGTCTAATAAATTTATTTCGAGACTGGGAAAGTTAAAGAAGTAGAGATAGGGAGAACGGATGGTGGGACTGACATCAGAGGGAGGTACATTCCCCCCTTTTCCAAACAAGTAGATGCAGGAGCTGGTTCTGGAATACAACAGTCTCAACTCTAAAATCTTGCCCACTGTGAGTATCAAAATCAGCTGTGCACTGCAGTAGAAATAAACCAACTAGCTGAGTGCTAGTTTCTAATTCTCTGATGATGAATCACATATATTTATTTCAGTGTCAGAGAAAAATTTCCCAAGAACCTCTGTGAGCATTAGGATGTCATTTATTTCAAAGGAAAGAAGTCTCCTGTATTTATCTCGGTGAAGGCATACTATTCTCCATCACGTTAATTGGCCATGTTAGATTGATTTTTGAAAAATGATATCTTCCTGAGGAAAAATTCTGATTTCCTGGTGCAATTATCTTCTGGGTACTTATTTTTCCAGTAAAAGCTTTTCATCAAAAGCTCTTCAGTAGGTTTTAAAACATGTTAACAACAAACAGCATTTGAAAAGTGAGGTAAGAATGGCTTTGTTAAGGATTTAAACTTTTCTTTACAAGAATCTTAGGTGTTGGCAATTGTCTGAATACCAGAGGCTAAAATAAATTAGCAAAGACCACCAGAAAGTTAGACAGTGAGTCTGCCAAATCAGAAGCTGAGGATACTAAGGCATCTCAGAGATGATGCGCTCCAATTCAAGTCTCAAGTTTCTTCTGTGATATCCCAACTGGTAATACAGCTTCTGTTTCAAGTGTTCCAGTATTAAGAGAATTCACTATCTCTTAATGAAACTCATTCCATTTTTCTTGACTCCTCCAGTCATTCATACATTCTTTCTCAAAGTGAAAAAAATACCCCTTACTTCCACTCACCAACGAAATCACACTAAATTAGTTTCAATCTTTTTGTAAATGGATTTTCGTGTATTTAAAGATAACTATTATCATAATTTTCATAGAGTCACTAAATCTTAATTCCTTTTCTGTTTTATTTTTCTAGTTCAATGACAGTGTCGCTTGTGTAGAAGATGTGAGGATGTTTTCTATGGACAGATGGTTATTTTTTTCTAAGCTCGGCCAGGGGCTGGGTGGAGTGGGTATAAATGGTACATATCTATGAAGGTCACCCTCCTGGTCTAGGAGCTTGGAAAAAATAAAATTAGTAATAGATCTGATTCCTGTGCTCACAAATTCTACAATCTACAGAAGGGAGCACAATGCACTGCTCAGGGCTACTTCATAAAAGATCACTTGAGGATGACGTCATGTAAACTCAGATGGGGTTAATCCCGGAAGATGTCATGAAGGAGGTGGGGGTGTAGTCATGAGTTGCGACAGTGAGGTGCATTGTTACAAACTCTGGGTCAGAAATAAGATGTCAAGAGTCACTTTTGAAGTGGTGGCTTTCTTAGTATTTGCTTACGACAGAGATTGATAAATATAATTAAACTCTGGCAAGGCAAAAATGCATTTCACACCCAAGTGTTGTGTACCTATGAAGTGTGTATAATTTATTTGTCACACTGTTCTAAATGTAGTTGGTATTTTTATTCTGAGTATATACACATGGATTTTTATCATAGAGTGAAAAGAAATTTCCCCAAATTATTTGATAACATCTCTGAGTATGTAACCAATTCATGTAGAGATTCTAACACAAATATCTTCCATTAACTCTGTTTTCCCAAAATAATTTCTTTAGGATAAAATTAAAAACTTGTTTTACCCTTCATAAATCACTAGGCTTTGCTGAGCGTTTTCTTCAAGTCTCCATCAATGTTTCCCCTTTGGACCTGAAACTGAGCATGGAAAATTTCACCTTACCAGACAGGCCTTTTTGGAAACCATACACAGTGGGACGGGGGGTTAAATTTATATTTAACTTCAAAAGATTTTTTCTTCCACAAATGATATAATATGGGGTACTGAGCAATCATTTTTTGGTATAATTGAGCTAGCTTGTTGGTCTGTTCAATTATTTATGAGCCACTTACAGATTTATTTAGGTATTTCAGCATACTCTGACCTCCATCTCTCAGAACTGAACATCGACAGTTTTTCTTTTTTCCTTTTTGGGTGCATAAATAAGAGAATTTCATGTCAGTAAAAAATATTTCCATGTTGCAAAACAATAAGGTGATTATGTATTATGTGAAGTTGTTGGAACCCCTAAAACATAAAGAATGAGAAAAAAATGACATAGATCTCACTGATACTCCATATTGATATGATCTGAAACTGAATTAAGGAAAAGGTGGGGACAATGTTGGGAGGGCAAGGAATTTGCTTCTCTATTTTCTCATTTAAAGTTTTATGGTTTTAAAAAATGGACAAACTAGGGATTTGAGCATTTGGAAATATTAAATCAAAAGTACCAAACTTATACTCTAGAAGTACCAGGAATTAAACATTGAGTTACAGAGATGAGGGCACTGGTTATTTATTTGCATTTATATATTTGTTTATTTTTTGCTTTAAGTAATATAGGATAAAGACTAGTAGAATATAGAAATTAAATCTTTTGTAATAGAAAGGGAGAGAAAAGTGAACATAGGTGGAGAAAATTAAGAAGTAATAAAAGCAAGTTGGTGAAAGTCTAGAATACTTATTATTAGATACAGGAGGCAGTGGGAAGTAATAACTTTGATTGGTACTGCCTTTTTGTTATAGGTGTCCTGGAATTCTTTGGGAAGGTGCAGACAGAGCGAGGTCATGGAAGTCATAAGTATTTGGAATGAAATGGGGAACAATGCTAGTGGAGCAGTTGCCACTTATAACTGCTAGAAGGTGTGCCCTGAATCTGTCAGCGAGATTTCTGACTGGGTTGAGTTGGATAAACAGCAGGGCAAGGAGATCAAACCTAACTTACTTTTACTCTGAGTCTTCATCGGCCCCTGGAGAAAGTGACAATCTCATTTACATTATTTTTTATTATGATGTTTTGGTTTTAATTCTGCTGAACTTATTCAATGTTAAGTTTTAATATCACGGTTTTCAGGCCTTATATGAGATTAGCACCTTTTTATGCCTATAGTTTTCCCTGAACTACCTACAACTATCACTGCATCAATTATAATTCGGTAATTCAGGATTTTTGATCACACCACTTATGGGATTTCACTTGTTAGTTTATAGTACAGCTTGATTATTTTAGATAATATATTCATTCACCACAGCTTTGTGGTGGCTAACTCCCTCCACACTTCCTTCCCCACGCCCTGCCAAGTGTAGGCGCTACTTGAAGAAACTTTAGGACAAAAAAGAGCATGAAACTAACCCCCAAAGTGTCAGAATGGTAGGACATATCTTGCATGACTTCTAAGCAGTAAGAATTATTTAAATAAATCAAAAAGGGAGAAATCAAACTGCCTCCACAACAAAAGTCATGGGAAGAAGGCAGAATTTTGGTTCTTTTTTTCATAGTATATTTCAGGAATTTAATATACTAATATGCACTACAAATTATCAAGAAAGAAGGAATACTGTGTGCCACATTTCCAAAATTTATTTGAGATAAAAAAGAATTTTTGGCAGAACATCTAATAGAGACAACATTGAACATAATATGCTTTGAGAAACGTTGCTCTACATTAATTGATTAAAGCTTTCACCTCTAGGGAAGGGCCTTGTTTTAATATAAAAAATTCAATGCAGAAACCTGACTATCATACACACGTAAGGTTTGCCAAGTCTGCTAAGCTAGAAATGCGCAGCTCTTTATTTCCCCCCTGTCCTAGAGCCTGAGGTGGGACTAGACATAGGGAAAGTAAAGTGGGTCTAGGCTCTGGAGACATATTTCATGTTACCTGCATGGCGCTCCTGACTGTATCTGTCAAACTTGGAAACAACATCATTTGCCTAATTTCAGCAAAAGCCAATTCAACAAAGAATCAATTCACCCAAGAACCAATTTTCTTTTTTTTCTTTTTTTATTTCTAAAAGAATTTTTATTTTTTATTATACTTTAAGTTTTAGGGTACATATGCACAACGTGCAGGTTACATACGTATATATGTGCCATGTTGGTGTGCTGCACCCATTAACCCGTCATTTAACATTAGGTATATCTCCTAATGTTATCCCTCCCCCCTGCCCCCACCCCACAACAGGCCCAGGTGTGTGATGTTCCCCTTCCTGTGTCCGTGTGTTCTCATTGTTCAATTCCCACCTATGAGTGAGAACGTGTGGTGTTTGGTTTTTTGTCCTTACGATAGTTTGCTGAGAATGATGGTTTCCAGCTTCATCCATGTCCCTACAAAGGACATGAACTCATCATTTTTTATGGCTGCATGGTATTCCATGGTGTATATGTGCCACATTTTCTTGATCCAGTCTATCATTGTTGGACATTTGGGTTGAGAACCAATTTTCTTAATTGACTGATTTCTAAACACTGGCTCCTTATAATTATGCATAAACTTGATATGTCGAATAAAACGCTTTGTAACAGTTTTTGAGCATTTCACAAAAAGCTCCAGTGACCAGGTTTTTTTTATTTATTTATTTATTTATTTATTTATTTATTTATTTATTTATTTATTTTTCTGAGATGGAGTCTTACTCTGTCGCCCAGGTTGGAGTGCAGTGTTGCGATCTCGGCTCACTGCAACCTCCGCCCCCCAGGCTCAAGCAATTCTCCTGCCTCAGCCTCCCTAGTAGCTGGGATTACAGGCGTGTGCCACCAAGCCCAGCTAATTTTTGTATTTTTAGTAGAGACGGGGTTTCACCATGTTGGCCAGGCTGGTCTCAAACTCCTGACCTCATGTCATTTGCCCACCTCAACCTCCCAAAGTGCTGGGATTACAGGCGTGAGCCACCGTGCCCGGCTTTATGTTTTCATAATTGATTTTAAATATTTAACCTGTTTCTGGCTCAGCTTCTCGCTGCTGTGTCTGGAGGAGGTGAGACAGAGTGGAGACTTAGTGCTAGGAAATGAGGCTAGAAGGCTGGGACATAGCCCAGCCTGTGCTGCCGGCCCTGGGGGACCATGGGGGTGGAGGAGCAGAGAGTCACAGCAGCATCTGAGAGAGAAGTCTGGGTTCCAGAGAGTGGAGGAGACAAAGTTCAGGGACAAGGGGAAGTGAAAGTCAGAGAGGGGAGAAAAAGCAAACAGGAGTGAGAGGAAAGAAGAGTTTAGGTAAGGGAGGACAGTCTGAAGTCCCCAGAGTCCCATCCTCCTTCTCACATATCTCTCAGGCTCTGCCAATCCATCCAATATGAATTTCTCTGACCCTTAAACATATTTTATTTAAAACCATAGTAAATTAGTGAATTGGTAATTTGGTGAATAGTCCAGTCAATGAGTCAATTGGCTTTTGGTAACTACATAGATCCTGAGCCTCTTGACCTGCAATATTAATTCCAACTGTCAGTATTTTGTTCATGGTTATAGTCCCTGTGCCTTACAGTGTCAGACACAGAGGAAAAGCAATAAATATTTCTTAAGTGAATAAAGGCAAGAATAATTATATGAAGGTGTGAAGTATCCAGAGCTGATTAGTCTCCAGATGATACGCCATTTGGCGTTCCCTATGCCTAGACCTACTGTGGGTGATTGAAAAAAACTGAGTTGATAACTACTAATTTAGTGGCCTTAAGAAAGCAATGTGAGGCTGGGCGCTGTGGCTCACGCCTGTAATCCCAGCACTTTGGTAGGTGAGGTGGGCGGATCATGAGGTCAGGATATAGACACCATCCAGGCCAACACAGTGAAACCCCATCTCTACTAAAAATACGAAATATTAGCGGGCTTGGTGGCGTGAACCTGTAGTCCTAGCCACTTAGGAGGCTGAGGCAGGATAATTGCTTGAACCCGGGAGGTGGAGGTTGCAGTGAGCCGAGATCGTGCCGTCGCACTCCAGCCTGGCAAGAGAGAGAGACTTCATCTGGAAAAAAAAAAAAAGAAGAAGGCAATATGAAATACAAAATAGAAATGTGGAAGGTTGATGAAATTTAATTACCATTTAAGGAGAGAAAGTGCGTGTTTGGCAGTCTTTCAAATTATCTCTGAAACCAAATTGGTTTGCTCTTTTCTTCATCTTGTGCTTTTATATTGTGTTTTTGGTTTTTTGTTTGTTTTTTCGAGACAGGGTCTTGCTCTGTCACTCGGGCTGGAGTGCAGCGGTACGATCATAACTCACTGCAGCCTCGACATCCCGGGTTCAAGCAATCTTCCCACTCCAGCCTCTTGAGTAGCTGGGACTACATGCGCACGCCACCAAGACTGGCTAGCAATTTTTTATTTTTTTGGTAGAGACAGGGTTTTGCTATGTTGCCCAGTCTGGTCTCCAACACGTGGGCTCAAGCAATCCGCCCGCTTGACATGAGCCACGGCACCTGGCCTATTTTATATTGTTAATAGAATTCTTTACAATTCATTGATAACCAACTGCTGTGACTCCTCTCATTTAATAGCGATTTGTTCTTTGAGGGGAATTTGAGTTTTTTAGAATCACTTCTTTCAGCAATTCTCTCAATTCAGTTCAAATAGGATGCCCCACTATTCTGGTAAGGAACTCAGCTCCGTAATATTTAAATACGACTCACATCCAAATTTTATACTTTAATTTTATTTCATCTGAGTGGCTTATACTCATTTAATTTTATGTTTTCAGTGATTATTGTTATTTGCTTTTCAATAATGCGAAATTCTTTAATTAAAGAAATGGGGTCTTTATGTATTACCAAATATGTTGCATTAAAAAAATAGCCTTATAATGAATACTTTCACCAAACTGCATAAAACATGCAGTAATGCAGAATGATTAATATATAGGCACTATTTCTGAAGCAAATAATTTTTTAAAACCAACCTTTTTATTGCAAATTTCAAACATTCACAAAAATGAAGAGAATACTATAATGAGCCTACATGTACTCATCACCCATCTTCAGCGGTTAACTCAAAGCCAGTTGTGTTTTCTCTGTACCTGCTAACTCCCACTGGATTATTTAAACCAAACCCTAGACATCATATCATTTTATCCTGGAATATTTCAGAATGTATTTCTTAAGAGTAAGTAAGAGTGCTTTCAAAAAGTATAACCATAGTAGCATTATCAACTTTAAAAAATTTGTTAATATCCACTTTTAACTTTTCCCTGATTATGTCATACTTTTTAAAAGTGTGTTCAAATTAGCATCTACATGAGGTTGAATAGGCTTGAATTTTCAGACTTCATTTCTGCTTGGTTAATCCATTCTAGTTGAAATATTTAAATGTTAAATATTTAATGGGGTTATTTTCTAGGCTTATAAAACATGAAAGATTATCCTGCCTGACAAGGGTTTAGAAGTCTTTTGTTGTTGCTGCTATTACTGTGATGTTTCTAATCGCATTAGTAATTGTTGTTGTAGTTTGCTTTTAGTAATGTGGTACAGTTATGCTATTAGAATTAATCTTTTGGGTTGCTCCAATTATTCCCACACCTTAATTCAGAATCAGTTTTGTTATGTTTTTATAGTACAGTATAATTGAATACAACTGAAGCACCTATACAACAGTTAGAAACATATTTATCTACAAGGAGGACTATTTATATCAGTGGCTCTGGGGCAAGCTTTTCAGATCTTAATTACACCCAAGGGAAATAACCGAACTCAGCAATATATTAAACTTTTGATGCCTCTGAAGTTCATTACCATACAATAACCACATTATCTCTCATAACTTATTTTAAAATTTTTGCATTCCAAAGCCTCTTTATTGGCTGCGTTACTTGGTAGTAACAGAAACGAAAAGGAGCTGCTATATTGTAAACCTGGTTTCTTGTGTGGGTGGAGTACTGAAACTTACATGTGTGGGATATTTCATGTTTTCTTCAACTCAAAGGATGATTATATTTTTAATCTAGATTTTCTTCATGAAAAATAGGCTTGCAAAAAGTATCTGCAGCCAAATAGAGATCAGTAATTAACCTCTCTCCCCACAAAACTCTCTTTCTCTACTATGTAAGCAATAAATATTCATTATAGAACAATTAGAAAGTGCACATAAGCACCAAGAAAAAAAGATAGAGATAACAGTTAACCTTCAGTTAAGTGTTCACTTTTTTCTAAACTATTGTATAATATATACAATATATCATAATATACATACAATATACAGAAATATATATTAATTTATAATAATTCAATTTCTACAAACTACTATTAATATACTTTATTCAGTCAACAATATATTATGAACATCTTTGCATATTAATTAATATGCTGATACACCATCATTTTTTTGTTGCTGTTCCACTGTTAGACTGACACGATGTACACATTTATACTGTGTCTGATTTTTTTATCTTATAAACTGTGTAAGAAACATTATTATACATAAGACTTGTCCAATTAATTTTTTATTATAAATTACTAAAAGGGGAATTGCTAAAATTTGGCAATTTTAAAGGTTTTTAAATCACAATGGAAAATTGACTTCCACAAGAATTCTACCAAAATATTCTTCTAGGCTTTCTTGCGTCTAAAGGCACTGTTTCCTCACATGCTAAGCAACCCTGAGTAGTATGATTTTTAATCTTTTTCGATCAAATAATGAAAATTCCATCTTAGCGTGTTAATGTACATTTGCTGTATTATGAGAGAGTATTTTTTTGTACATTTATTGGATATTTGTATTTTTCCACAGTGCACTGACACTTTGTAATTTTAGACTTGTTTTCTTCTATAGCATGTCTTTTAAAAATTAATTTGAAAAAATATTTTTACATATAAGGGGTTCTTTACATATATTATATTTTGTAAATGTTATCCTACTTCTTGCTTTAACTTTGTGGGGTTTGTTGCTGTTGTTACATAGAAGCTCTTTAAGAGGGAAATTTTACCAATTTTTTTCAACACAGTAAAAGGAACAGTTGTTTCTCATATAGACTTAATTCTGTTTCTGGAATTTCTATTCTCTTCAACTGACCTGTCTTTTCCATCCCTAGTGCTTTAAACCTGTGTTTTATTCTCTGGTAAGAAAGACCCCCTATTGCCTACTGTGTCTTTACTTTTTCTGTTTTGTTTTAAAAATATTTTTATTACTTAGCATATTTATTTTTCCCAAACATTTATTTTTAAGTATAATTTAGAATCATTTTGTTGATTGAAATTGGAACTGCAGTTGAGGTAATTTAATAGCTGAATTTGGGGAGAAGCAACATCTTTATAATATTAAGCCCTCTAGTGAGGAAACATGTTATGTTTCTCCATGTATTAAAGTTCCAGGGAAACAGAACCAATAGATATAGATATAGATATCTATATCTATATAATATGTGTGTGTAGATATATCTTTTATATATCATATATAACATGTCATATGAGATATATCTTTTATATATTATAAGATATATCTTTTATATATTATATATATCTTTTATATATTATATATAAGATATATCTTTTATATTTTATATATCATATAATATATATCTTTTATATATTATATTACATATATCTTTTATATATTATATATTATATATAATACGTGTATATATATCTTTTATACATATTATATATGTGTATAAAGATACATTTGTCTTTTATATATGTATCTATATATAATATATAATATACATATTATATATACATATTTTATATAATATGTAATAATTACATATATAATATACATGTATAATTACATATAGAATATGTAATAATAAATAATATACATATTATATATAATATATAATATATAAAAAAGATATATATACACACATTTATGTGTATATATGTTTTATATATAAAAGATATATATTATATATAAAAGATATATAAAATGAATATATAAAATATATATAAGAATATAATAAAATATATCTTTATATATATCTTTTTTATATATATATAAAAGATACTTATAAGAATATATTGGTCCACATGATTATGAAGGCTGAGAATGTACTTAATCTGCCATTTGCAAGCTGGAGACTTAGGAAGGCCAACGGTGTAGATTCCATTTCCATCTGAGGCACTGAGAACCAGGAATGCCTAGGGGAGGAGACAGAGGAAGTGTATTTAATCTCCCTCTGCCCTTTTGTTCTATACAAGACCTCAATGGATCGTGTGATGCCCACCCGTATTAGGGAGTGCCATCTGCTTTACTCAGTCTACTAGTTCAAAAGCTAATCTCTTTCAGAAACACCCTCACAGTCACACTCAGCAATAATGCTTAATTAGATATCTGGGCATCCCATGGCCCAGCCAAGTTGACATATAAGATTAATTATCGTACACCAGATATTCAAATTTGTCTTTATGACTCCCAGGAGTGTTTGGGAGTTTTATGTACATGAGTGGTATTTATATCCCTTAAGTATTTGTGGAGCACTTAGTCTATGCCAGGCATTGTTCTAGTGCTGGGGATACAATGAACTAGACAAGCAGGTGGATGTTCTGGTATGAGGAGATAGAATGTAAACATATGAATAAATTATTAATTTTTTAAAAATACATAGTGGGAAGTATTAAGAAGACAACAACAAAACAGGGTAGTGAGATAGAGTGCAATTGGGAAGTGGGGTCCGGGAGCTACTTTAGTAGGTGGTCAGGGAGTCCCCTCTAAAGAGATGGCATTTGAGAAAAGAAATGTTGCTAAAGATCCGGTTAGCTGAGGACATTTCAGGAGAGTGGCAAGCAAATGTAAGGCATAGATTTGATTGAGATTATTGTATCTGGGTCAGCATGAAGGCTGGCACGGTGGAGCAGATTGGGCAAGGGAAACAGTGTAATAAGTAATTGATATCTGAGGCAGGCAGTATCCAGATCACGGTTGAATTTGTAACCTGGGAAAAGGAGTTTCGCTTTACCACCTTGTTGCATCAGGAAGTCACTGAAGTGAGTTCTAAGCAGGGGAGAGATGTTATCAGATTTATGTTTTAAAAAGGTTATCCTGGCTGCAGTGTTGAAGACGAAGTGTTGCGTGAGAAGAGTGGAAGCGAGGATACTTGTTAGAAGGCTGTTGCAATACTCGGAGTGGAGAGCCAAGGTGAAGATGAAACCAGTAGCAACAATGAGCAAGAGCAGTTTACTTAGGTAACCTGAGTACTTATTAACCAGAGGAAAATCAAGATTGTGATTTCCCAAGAGGTTGCCTTCAAAGCAGTCTCTGATGCCTTTCAGGGCAAGAGATAGGACCCAGGAGGCAGGCTTAAAAAATTTTGGTAAGCAAATGCTAAATTGTGCAACAATTCCAGACAGCTATTTTGAGAGTACCATAGTGCCCCATTGTCTTCAGAATATATGTTCCAAGACCCTCCGTGGATGCCTGAAACCACAGATAGTACTGAACTGTATGTATGCTTAGAGTTTGTTTGTTTTTTTACCTGATAGCCTACATGACTATTAAGTGACTAACAAGCAGTGTATTAGTTTGTTTCACACTGCTGATAAAGACATACCTGAAACTGGAACAAAAGAGGTTTAGTTGGACTTACAGTTCCACATGGCTGGGAAGGCCTCAGAATCATGGTAGGAGGTGAAAGGCACTTCTTACATGCGGCAGCGAGAGAAAATGAGGAAGAAGAAAAGCAGAAACCCCTGATAAACCCATCAGATATCGTGAGACTTATTCACTATCACGAGAATAGCAGGGGAAAGACCAACGCCCATTATTCAATTAGCTCCTTCTAGGTCCCTCCCACTAAACATGGGAATTCTGGGAAATACAATTCAAGTTGAGATTTGGGTGAGGGCACAGCCAAACCATATTAAGTAGGTAGTGCATACAGTGTGGACATATTGAACAAATGGAGGATTCACTTACTGGACAGGATGGAGCATGAGGGCTTGATATTTCATCACACTACCCAGAACAGTGCACAACTAAAAACTTATGAATTGTTTATTTCTAGAATCTTCTATTTAATATTTTTAGATTGTGGTTTACAATAAGTATCTGAAGCTGGGGATAAGAGGGACTACTGTATTTGTTCCATTTTGAGTTGAGATACTTATTTTTTTCAAATCTTGCTGTGGGTTTTTAATATCTTTTTTTTGGAGACATAGTCTTACTCTGTCACCCAGGCTGGGGTGCAGTGGTGGGATCTTGGCTCACTGCAACCTCTGCCCCCTGCGTTCAGGTGATGTTCCTGCCTCAGTCTCCAGAGTAGCTGGGATTGCACGCTGCATCACAATACCTGGCTAATCTTTGTATTTTTAGTAGAGACAGGGTTTCGCCATGTTGGCCAGGCTGGTCTCAAACTCCTGGCCTCAAGTGACCTGCCAGCCTTGGCCTCCCAAAGTGCTGGGATTACAGGCATGAGCCACCATGCCTGGCCGATTTTTCATTATCGTTTTGGTTGTTGTTTAAAGACAGGGTCTCACTTTGTCATTCAAATTGGAATGCAGTGACAATCCTAACTCACTGCAGCCTTGAACTCCTGGGCTCAAGGGATTCTCTCCCCACAGCCTCCTGAGTAGCCTTCTGAGTAGCTATAGGGTCAGGTAACCACACCCAGGTAATTGTTCTGTTTTGTTGTCTGTAGAGATGGGTCTTACTATGTTGCTCAGGCTGCTGTTGAACTCCTGGCCTCAAGTAACCCTCCCACCACAGCCTCCCAAATGTTAGTGTTACAGCCAATATTTATTATCTATTCATGACTAGTAATGTAAATTATAAAGTTTCATTTTGATGAAGAATAAGCTTCATCTAAGCTCCCCGGTCCACATATATCAGATGAGAAAACAACAACCACCCTATAAATCAGTAATACAGAGAATGCAGGAGTATTCACCAGTGAAAATTTTAGAATCTGCAGACACTATGCCTTAACTGGGGATTTAAAAAATATGCATGTATTACTGATATAATTCATATAAAGGATTAGATAGTGGTACAATTTATCTATTTAGAAAAATATTTTTTATCTCATACTTGTAGAGAACCCAAAATTTCCCCCATTAACTTTCATTCTTCTTTGGTTATCATTGTTAATAGCTTGCATTGCTTAGTACTTCACAGTTAACCAATGTATTTAGTGCAAATTTATTTAGTCTTTCTTGTTATGCTGTGAGCTCATACATTATTACTTTCATTTCATAGATAAGAAGAAATTCAGACACATGAAATTGTCTGCCCATTAAAAACCTCTCAGTTGGAGAGTGGTTGACAGAGTATTAAAACTCTGGCCCTCTCTCTCCAAGACCAAATTATTTTTCCACCAGTCTACTGTCTAAAGATGTTAGTATAATTTTATGTTATATCAGAAAATAGCTCATTAATATTCATGGTTATTTGTTTAAAATTCACTTTCATAATCTAGAAAAAGCAAAATCCTGAAGGGATGAGGTAGGTTTTAAAGGGGGTGGGACTTGCAGGAATTCTGAGGGTGAGAAGGTTGGTGACATTTGCCATTTGACAGTCTTGTAGGCCCCTGGGATTCATTTGAGACTGCTAAGTCCAAGACTCTTCCCAGAGAAACAATTCACTGCTCTGAGGCACCTTGTGAACCTGCTCAGGCTCCCTGGCATAGATGGGGCAAGAAGGAAAGGGTAAGCACGCCTTGCATTGAGTCTGGTCTATTAAACTCTGGTCTATTTCATTTAAGCTCCTCAAATGCTGATTTTATTTTTTTCTCCTAGTAGTAAGAAATACTTTTTAGATATCCTTTGTTTATCTCACTAGATTTGGAAAAAAAAAAAAAAAAAAAAGAATACTTACCCTTGGTGGAAATCTGCCTTATTCCTAATAACACTATTGGTTATCTCTGACTGTTTTTGTCATTTTTGTTATCCCTCAGTATGAAAGTTCATATGGAAAAGTGTGAGTGTAGTAGGCCCCAAGATAAGTTTATTCTCCAAATGTTATCGTCTGGATGTCTGTCCCCTCCAGATCTCATGTTGAAACGTGACCTCCAATGTTGGAGGTAGGGCCTTGTGGGAGGTATTTGGGTCATGGAAGTGGATCCCTCATGAATAGCTTGATGTCATTCCCATGGTAATGAGTAGTAATGAGTTCACACAAAAAATCTGGTTGTTTAAAGGAGCACAGCACTCCCTCGTTTCTCTTTTGCTCCCTCTCTTGCTATGTAATACTCTGGCTCCCCCTTTGCCTTTTGCCAAAATTGCAAGCTTCCTGAGGCCTCGCCAGCAGCCGATGCTGATGCTACGCTTCTTGTACAGCTTGCAGAACCATGAGCCAAATCAACCTCTTTTCTATATAAATTTCTCAGCCTCAAGCAGTCCTTTATAACAAAGCAAATAACAATGCAAAACGAACACACCAAGCTACCCCAGGAACTGAGGTATTCAAAAGTTTTCTTCTCAGACTGGCATTCCTTGGATACATCTTGTCCTGAGTTACTCCTCAAATTCTATTTGTTTTTTTCTGTCTTGCCTTGCTTTTTGTTCATGAGAGTCTAATTCTAAGAGAGACTTCCTTTCCACACTCCTTGTTGCGATTTTGTAATTTTGCAGGGGTCTGGGACATGAGCATTTGTAACATTTTGTAAAGTTGTAACGGGAACAACTTTTCCCATTTTCCTATGGGTTTGTCTCAATTTGAACTTAAGTCCACTCCCTCTTTGTGCTAGACTTCTGCATCGTCCATGTATTTATGCTATAATCCAAATTTGTGTTCTTCTCTTTCTAAATGTCATAATTTCCCAGTTTCCCCAAGAGTAGTTTAGAATTGCAGGGGCTACTGTGGGGAACTTTTGTTATGACCAAGATTATTTATTAGAAAGGTGCCTTAGAACAAAAAGGAAACACAATATCAAATATCCAGTGTTCTGCATTTTTTCATTGGTATAAGGAGGCATCCGAAAGAAATTCAGATTTCAAAACTGTGGCCTTAAGATAAGAAAATATAAAAAAACCTAAAACTATCTCTTTTTTAGATCCCCTTAATTCAAAATTCAGACCTAACAGCCTTTATTGTACAATTATCATACAATTTCTCTGACCCTAGTCTTCCCTCCTCTGTTTTCCCCTGCCTTCATCTCTCCCTCTGACCAGCTCCCCATGCCTCCTCAGTCACCCCAAACCCCAACACTCAGTTACCTCTTAGAGTTAAACATCCCTCAGAACAGAGAAAACTTCTTAGAGCTGATTTTAAGTCCTGTTCTTGCTCAGAGCTCAAAGCCACGTGAAAGATTTTCCATGGTCCAGACAAGATAGACAGCAATTTTCAGAAGAATATGGAATAGTTTTAGGAACCTATAAACCAGGACTCCCAAATTTATACCAATTGGTTCATAGGTTGGTGGAAACCTCAGATGTTAAAAATTGTATGAAAAAAGGCAGGATGGGAAACCCCAAGAGTTACTTAAAATATTTTAAATTGAATAGGAAACCAGAGGGGTTCAGTAAAGCTGTAGATTTTGGCTAAGCTCTTTTAGAAGCTGTCCCCAGAGTCTGTTCTATGAAAACAGATTACACACCAATCCAGTCCTGTGAGTAAACAAAGGATGCATCCATGGAAGACTTCAGGGATCGGCTTTTTAACATATTTAGACTGCATTGAGGAGCAGATTGTGAAACAAATGTGACTCCAGCTCTTGCCTTACTTTTTGCAAATGGCATTAGCCCTAAATGGAGGATTCAATAGTAAGCATTAACTCTGATGGGAATTAGCCTCTTTGTCAGAACTCTAAAACCTCACTGAACTTTTGAAAGAGCCTTAGAACTTAGAATAAACAAGTGACCTTACAGATTGTTTTAGTCAGGGTTCTCCAGAGAAACAGAACCAATAATAAAATGTATATACTTATTTAGTATGAGGAATTGGCTTACATGATTATGGAAGTTGAGAAGTCCCATGATCTGCCATTGGGACTAGAGACCCAGGAGAGCTGGTGGTGTAATTCTAGTCTGAGGGCACAAAAAGAGGAGATGAGATGTTCCAGTTCAAGAGGACAGATAGAAAGCAAAAAGGGATAAATTCTTCCTTTCTCTGCCTTTTGTTCTATTCAGGTCCTCAATATATTGGATGAAGACCACCTATTCAATGGGTTGGATGATGCTCATCTACACTGAGGAGGACAATCTACTTTACAGAGTTCACCAATTCAAATGCTGACTCTATTCAAAACACCCTCACAGACACATCTGGGAATACATTTAATCTAATGCTCCCTAAACTCTATTCAAAACACCCTCACAGACACACATGGGAATATGTGTAATCTAATGCTCCTTAAAGACTCTAATGCTCCCTAATGCTCCAACAGTCAAGTTGACAACATAAAATTAACCATCACACACATAAAACGTCTATATCAAGCTTGTGCAGCCTGTGGCCCACGGGCTGCATGCTACCTAGGATGGCTTTGAATGAGGCCCAACACAAATTTGTAAACTTTCTTAGAACATTATGAGATTTATTTTTATTTTTATTTTTTAACTCATCAGCTATTGTTAATGTTAGTGTATTTTATGTGTGGCCCAAGACAATTCTTCCAATGTGATCCAGGGAGGCCAAAAGATTGGACAACCCTGATCTACATGTTCCCACTCTGGTTATTAAACCCTGGGAGAGGGTCTCTTGGTAAAGATACTTTTAGATACAATAAACAGAAAAGACCTAGGGAAAATAATTACCCTGCATTAGCAAATAAACTAAACAATGAAACAAGTACTCAGTGAAGGTGCTCAGAGGAGGAAAAATCAAGCAACCAATTTCCCATTTTGTCTTTGAATTCCTAAGAAGAAATTTATCTATTAAAAATAAATTTGATAATTTTTAAATTGATATAGGCGCTATGATAGATTTATCAATCTTAAATTCTAGCAGTGTTATACAACCTCTGTAGGAGTCAACAAACTACTCAAGTGATGGATACCTCTAAGAAGCCTCATATATTTTCTATGTCCCAGCCCTTAACTGTCACCCTGGAACTTTTACTCAAGGAATATTCTTTCGTCCTTTGCAATACCACATCGACTAACTGTGCAGGGAGGGATTTACTGTCCAAATGGAACCACCAGATCAAATGCTTTCCTTCCTTGTAGCCCCTGTGGGCTCCGATATTCATAGTGAGATCATAGCTGATTGAGACAATTCATTTATCAGCATCCTTATGTCTAAATCAAAACTAAACTAAAGATCTCAAGAAAGTACTGGCTTTTGGAGGGCCAAAAAGTTCTACTGGGATAGGCAGGATTATTGAGGCCAAATACACTAAGGCTCACTCAGATTGAGTCATTGACATTTCTACCCCAACTTGCACAAGACTAAGCAGACTAAAAGCAATGGTTGAAACCCAAAAGTTGAAAGTCTAATAGATAAAGGTTTTACCATATTTTATACAGCCCTTGTTACACTCTTATGTTCCCAACTAAAACCAAACCAAACCAAAACAAATGGGCAAACAAAAACAAACAAACAAAACCCAATGGGTGTGGATATAGGCTTTTTTTTTCGGGACCTCAGGACTGTAAATAGAAAAATCATTCCCCACTTCCCTGTAGTGCTAAACCCCAATATTATTTTATCTCTGGTGCCTCTTGAGATAGCGTATTTTACAGTTGCAGATTTATGTTCTATAATTTTTTAGTGTTCCTTTAGAATCTATAGTTTAAATCAAAACAGTCAATATTTATCCTTCTCCTGGGAAAATCAACACTATTCCTGCACTATTATGCCCTAAAGATTTGCTGAGGCACCATCCTATTTTTCACAGTCCATCAGCCAGAACCTCAAAGATGTTCAAGTTCCTTTTGATTCTAATCTTATCCAAAATGTGAATGACGTTTGTTGTGTTTTAAAGAGGAAGTGAGCTCTAAGATTGATTCTATTGATTCCATCTAACAATAACACTTACTGTTTTAGTTCAGAACAGATATGAGGTTTCCAAAGAAAGTTACAATTTTGTCAAAGTAAGAGTCATTATCTAGGACATGATTTTTCGCAAGGAGTTGAATTCCTGATTTCTGACAGAGTACAAATAGTTTGAAACTTTCCTAAGCCAGAGACTAAGAGATAGTTAAGTGTATTTCTGGGTCTCACTGGCTACTCAAGGCAGCAGTTTCACTTTTCTGAAATCATGGCCCCACTATGACATAAGTAAGTTCTTGCTAACGGAACCTCTTCACTGGGAACCTAAACATGAACAGGGCTTTTATGACTTAAAATTAGTCCTCCTTCTACCACTCACTCTGGGTTTGACCTAGACCTAGTTATTATAAGACTTTCTGTCTACTTCTATGTGAAAGATATGGATAATTCCTTGGACTTCTGATTCCATTTTGTGGGAATTATCAGAGATCAATGAATGGTCTCTCTCTTGACCCAGTAGCAAACCCTACTCACCTTGTCTAAGTGCAATAGCAGGAACAGCTGCCCTAGTGGGGGCTTCCACCAGCTTGACATTAGGCTCTTTAAATCTAATAGTTCTTCATGGTGTACAGATTTTGTTGCTCACAGCAAATGCACAATATTACTTAGCAAATAGACTTACCTCCTGTGTAATCATATTATTTTCTTGTTCACGTATTTTCATCCATCATTGCAACACTTTGAATTCTGAAATTATTTTTTTCATAACCTGAAAAAGGGGAAAATCTTGACCGTCTAACCTCTAGTTATGATGTATGTTCAAAATAGATTTATTATAAATGACTTAGGAAATCTATACTTAACCTTTGTTGGTATGCCATATCTTTGTTCTGAAACAGGAAAATATCAGACAGAATATGCTGTAACAGATCTTACTTTGCTCCTGGAATATGACTTCTTGCCAGTGGCAAAATCTACCCAAATGGTGGAACTTGTACACCCAAGAATTTGTAAATAGCTAGAGATTAAAGGGTTAATAAACACACAGCTAATAGATCTCTTTTGGGAGGGTACATGATTTTGGAATGCTTTGGAAACAAAAAGCATGGACACCCCAATTAAGAGTATTCAGCAAATTAAATAACTTTAGAGTGCTATAATGCTTCCTAATGAGATGCCAATTACAAAAGTAGGTGCTTATACGAAATAAGCTAGTGTGGAGGCTAAGAAAATATAAAATGTCTAGGCTGATCATTATGCCAGGCCAGTAGCACTCACTGAGATCCTACCCAAATCCTTGAAGAAGTTCAAGGAGGCCTTTATAGAACTTCTGCAGCCAATTCTAGTCAGGAATGGGTACTGGGAGAAATATGGGTTCAAATTGGATGTAAATCAGCCCCCTTCTTTGCTCTTTTGCAGGTTTAAAGCTACCTTTATCTATGCTAGTTATAAGTCACTATTCTTAATGTTGTTTCTTGTATCCTTAACTACTCCTTGATATGAGCCCAATAATTAGCTACAATTTGCTAGTGAACTGGTTAAGCATACAACTAAACTGATTATTGGGGTTGTATATGTTTTCATTTGAGAAGGCATTACTTCCCTAGGGCTGCCATAACATATTACCACCAACTAGGTGGCTTAAAGTGACAGAAAGTTATTCATTAACAGCTCTGAAGGCTAGAAGTCTGAAATCAAGGAGTTGGCAAGGTTGGTTCCTTCTAGAGACTCTAAGAGGGCATCTGTTCCCTGCCTGTCTTTAGCTTCCAGTAGTTGCTGGCAGTCACTGGTATTCCTTGACTTGCAGCTGTATCGCTCTAATCACTGCCTGTGTGTCTCTGTCCAGATCCGTCCCTCTCCTTGTGGAGATATCAGTCATTGGATTAAGGATCACCCTAATCTAGTATAACTTCATCTTAACTTGATTATATCTTCAAAGACCCTATTCCCAAGTAAATTCACATTCCCAGTTTCCAGGTGCACATGAATTTTGAGGGGACAATATTCAACCAAGAACAGAGAGCCACACAGCTTCCCTTGCTTCCAGTCCTTGTAATAATCAGTTGGTTTTCTGGACAGATGGCTTCAAGTACTTTGTGACTTTTTAGATGAGAAACATCACAAGAGCCCAGGTAACCAGAAACCCACAACTCTCTATTATGCCATACCTAGAATAGGAGGTTTCTATCTCCCCTAAAAAATACTTGGTGACATTTTGTGGGAGCTAGCTTTTGTAACTAGACCTTTACAGAAATAGAACTTGAAAGAGGGCTAGGGAACAGATGGTATATATTTGGAGTAGTGTCACTTTCACAGATCTTACAAGTAAGACACATTATTTGCTTTTAAACTACCTAATGATGTCTATACTACAAATTTCATTGCCTGGCACCAAACTATTCTTGATAAGTGTTGTCAAAATATTACAGCACTGTCTGTCAATCCAATAAATGTTTTTTGGCCACAGTGAATCATTGAGTGGCTCCTAATGACTGGGTTTTAATTAGTAGCACAACAGCCTACTAGCTACTGTTGTTCTATTCCTAAACTAAATAGGAACAAATTATCTTGATAAATGGACACCTTCTTTCAGTATACTTCTTAACATCATCTAGGGTCTGCTTTGGCCTACACATTTTTCCTTTAGGAAAAATAGATAATCAGAAAACATGATTCAAGGAGAAAAACTAGACCTTGATGTAAGAACCCAAATTGTAGCCTCTCAAGGGGAATTTTGAGTTGCTTTTTATCTCTTTGGCTTCTTCACTTCATGATTTACCAAAGGCCCAGAAAGTGGGAAAGTGCCCTACATGCTGTGATTAGGAGAATAACAGATGAATTGGATTAGACAATGTCTCCTCATCCGAGAAGTTCAAGAAATTGGCAGGCGGTAGGTTAAAATAGAGCTGCCTTAGATATAGCATTGGCATCTCAAGAGGGAGCAAGTGCAGCTGTAAGAGAAGAATATTGTACTTATATCTCTGCATATTAATATTACTAAAAAGAGCTGGGATTCACAAAGAAAACAGAAAATTAGGTAATTTGGTTAATAACCTCATAGCTGGTTCTGTGGGCCATTCACATTGGGGATGGGATCTTTTCTATTGATTTAATGGTGAAACTCTTAGCTCCTGCCTGGGAAGTGGACTATAAACACTGATCATAATATTTCTCTTAGCATGTTGTGACAATTAGTTGTGTGAGCTTCAAAGTCTTCAATGCTGTTGTATAGTCTCTATTTTATGAAACGATCCAACAAATAATCATCAGCAAAAAGAACAGGAAAGCCTGACATTTATGGAGGTTGGAACAATCAATCACTGGTATTATGGGTTGAGGGTGTTAGAATCCTAACTCCAAGTACCTCAAAATGTAATCTTATTTGAAGATAGGGTCTCTATAGAGATAATCAGTTAAAATGAGGGGCTACCTGGGTGGATCATAATCCAGTACTGGTGTGCTTATAAAAAATTTGGACGTTGAGACAGACATGCACATAGGGAGAACTCTATGTAAAGATGAAGGCAGAGACTGGAGTGATGATTCTACAAGCCAAGGACTGTGAAAGATTGCCAGCAAACCACCAGAATCTAGGGAAGAGGCATGGAACAGATTCTTCCTCACAGCTCTCAGAAGAAATCAATCCTACCAGCATAGATCTTGGACTTTTAGCCTCCAGGACTGTGAGACAATAATTTTCTGTTGTTTAAGTCACCCAATATGTGGTATTGTATACTGAGCCCTAGCAAATTAATGCAACTGGAAACTTGATACATGATTGTGACACTTCTAGTAGCAGAAAAGATCTGGATTGATCACACACTAAGATATTAATTGTCTATCCCTCAGCTCAGGCTGAAGATACTTGGATCCTATAATTACAATTACTTATCCCTATACAGCTTACTGTCTACAATAATGTAGCTTTACTATTTCATTGTCTTTATTAGTATAAATGTACTATTTCAGGAAACTCTTGCTTAGAAGAATGAAAGTTGGAAATAACTTTATTGTTATTGTTATTATTGTTTCTGTATTCCAGAAAGTTCTTCAAAGAACCATCAACTTTTCAACAGAAAGCATCCACCAAGGATAGTCTATGCCCTAAGACTCTTTGAACTCATGCCTTCAAAGTCCTTGTCTTGCTGAATGAAATATTCTAATCCTATCACTAATCCTAAACTACTACATCATGACTCTTCCTGAATCTTAATCAAGCCCCTACCCATATTGAAAGACACACCTTAAGCCAGGCTTCAAATTCCTGATAAAATCTGACCTTGTATCTCCCTGTTTGAGATACTCCCAGAGCTCTGTTGAGATGCTCTCCCTTATAAAGGTTAGCAATAAACTCACTCTGCCTTATCAACAAGATATGTTGTTGATATTTAGGAACCGTCATTCTAAAGAATGAGGCAGATTTTTAAGTGGCTAGCACAAGTAGTGATTCTGAGAGAGAGAAGTGATGGAGCTAGAGTGACAAATGATGAATTTGAGTCATTTGAGAACCCTTGCCAAAATAGGTGGGACCTAAAGAAACCAAAGTATCTAAGAGGTGGTGGTAGTTGGAGGGGAGGGAGTGACGATGAATATCAGTTATATTAACAATAAACCTTTGATCTTGATTGCAATACTAATTACTTATATTGAAATTTTAAATCCATGTAAGTATTCTGTAGACTTGCTACTCAAAGTGTAGTCTTGTAGTTGAGCAGCATCAGTACCCCTTGAGAGCCTGTTAGAAATTCAGCAACTCAGGCCACCCTCAAGGCTACTGAGTCAGAATCAGCATTTTACCAAGACGCCCAGGGTGATTTATATGCACACTAAAGTTTGAGAAGCACTAGACCCCAGCAGATCTCAAATGGAGCCAAAGAGCTTTGTATAGATACTCAGGTTTTCCTGAGGCATGCTGTGTTAGAATTTTTGTGTGGAAAGTCCTAGAAAATGAGGACAAGTTTTGATCATTCTTGGAAATTGAAGCAAGTAAATGAACATATTATAGGTGGGATCTGTCATTGCTACATGGAGGCAGCATATTAGAGTAAAACAAAATCAGAGAACTCAGAGTTCAAGTTCAGTTTTGGCCATTTATCTTCTGGTAACCTTGAGTTACTCCTTTCTTAAATTTTGAGCTTCAGTTTTATCTCAGTATAAGAAAATAACAACATTTCCTTAAGGAAGATCTCAGAAGAGTTAAATGCAATTATAGGTGAAAAGTGCTTTGTAAGCTATAAATTCTTATATGCGTATAAATCAGTTATGTTATTTGACAAGTAGTGTAGCCCAGAGGTAGTTTACTCTTATGTTCATGATAATGGTCTTTCTTAAAATTATCTATCTGTGATCTTAGGGTAAGACAACTACAATATGATTTATATTTTCCAGATATTTTCTAAAATAATTTGTTTTGTTCTGTATATATTTTCATAGGAATATGAGTGTATGGATTGATTTCTTCTCCCCTTTCCCCTTTTCCCTCCTTGCCTTTCCTTTCCTTTCCTTTCCTCTCTTTCCTTGCTTCCTTCCTTCCTTCTCTCTGTCTCCCTTCCTCCCTCCCTTACTTCCTTGTTTCATTCAGCAATTTCTATTGAATGTCAAACACTGTTCTAAGCACTGTACTGGGACTACAATAGTGAACAAGGTTGACAAAGTTCCTATCCTCATGAAACTTATATTTTAGTGGAGAAATAGATTATTAAAAACAATGAGAATATAATTTCAGCTAGATGAAATTCCTATGAATAAACTAAAGCAGAATTAGGAGATAGAAAAGGATTGAGTCATGTATGTAGGGAAGGAGGAGCATGCTATTTTAGACAGAGTTGTCAAAGAAGGCCTCTCTTGGAATGAAGTTTTATCAGATAATTAAATAAAATGACAGTGAGTCATATTAAGATCTGAATGAAGAAGATTTAAGAAAGGAGGAAAAATCATTTGTAACATTCTTCTCATTCATCATGTTTGAGGAAAAGCAAAGATACCATTGTGGTTGGGGGAGACTGGCCATGGAGGGCCTTATGGCAGTGGTGAGAAGTCTGGAGTTTCTCCACAGTGTGGAGTGGGGCAGGAATTTTTGTTTATAAATAAGTATACCGTCTTTTATGAGTTTGGTGTGAATTAGTTCCCCCAGAGTCCGGACAACTCTTGATAAGCAGATAAAGTATCTGAACCTGAAAAGCTGAGGACTTGCTCCTAAACTTGACTGTGATGTGGCTATGATGCTGCTGAACTATGTGACCCTTTCTGAAGCAGACAGCTAGTTGCCCTCTTTGACTTTTTAAAAAACGTGTCAAAATTCTTTTCATTGTAAGAATAGAAACCTATCCAAAAATGTATCCTAAATAAGCTAAGCAAAAAAGATTTATTGACTCATATAACAGAGCAGATTATGGTTAGCTGTTGATGAGGTTCGATTTAACTCAATGGCCACCTCAGGTCATTACATTGGCTCCATTCCCAGGCTTCAAAAGGTGGTTTCCTGGAAGCTACAGGCTTTTTCCCTGACTGTGGCAGTTCCTAGTCTCAATCCTCATTCCTTGAATTATCAGAGGATATGCTCTCTCTTCTCGAATGGCTTGGGGTGTGGAAAGGGTAGAAAGAAAAGAGGGAAAGCTTATTTCCCAGAAGCCCTTTCAAATATTCCTCAAATCTTGTTGGATTAAAATTAGCCATGGGCCCATTCCTGAATCAACTCTGTGGCCAGTAAGATGAAATTGTCTTATTGGCTAAAGTTAACAGAGCCCACCTCCAGAACTAAGGATAGAGTCCATCTTATCCAAACCAAACAGCATAAAATGTGGAAAGAAGTGAGTCTCTAAAGAAAAATCTGTGTGTGTTTGCAGAATAGTAGAGTGAAAAGGATGCTCGGGGGACACCAAAAAAAATGAATGTTAGACCGGATTTGGGCAAACTACAGCCTATGGGCCAAATCCTCCCCATGACCTGTTTAGCATAGCCCTGGAGCTAAGAACAGTGTTTACAGTTACAAATGATGGGGGAAACTGGAAAGAAAAATAATACTTTGTGACATAGGAAATTATATAAAATTTGAAGTTTAGTGTGCATAGTAAGTTTTATTGAAAATAATCACACTTGTTTGTTTATATATTGCTTATGGCTATTTTCACACCACAATGACAGAATTGAGTAGTTACAATAGAGTCTATAGGGCATGCAAAGCCTAAGTAAAACCTAGTTACTATCTGGTCCTTTACAGAATAAAAGCTTGCCAACTGCATTAGTCCATTTTCATACTGCTATAAAGAACTGCCAGAGACTGGGTAATTTATAAAGGAAAGAGTTTTAATTGATTCACAGTTAAGCATGGCTGGGAAGGCTTCAGGAAGCTTACAATTATGGTGGAAGATGAAGGGGAAGCAAGGCACTTCTTCACAAGGCAGCAGGAAGGAGAAGTGCCGAGTGAGCAGGGAAGAGCTGCTTATAAAACCATCAGATTTTGTGATAACTGACTCATTATCATGAGAACAGCATGGGGATACCACCCCCATAATTCAATTACCTCCACCTGGTCTCTCCCTTGACTTGTGGAGATTATGGGAATTATGGGAATTACAATTCAAGATGAGATTTGGGTGGGGACATAAAGAGTAACCATATCATTCTGCCCCGGCCCCTCCCAAATCTCATGTCCCTTTCACATTTCACAACCAATCATGCCTTCCCAACAGTCCCCCAAAGTCTTAATTCATTCCAGTATTAATCTAAAAGTCCACAGTCCAAAGTCTCACCTAAGACAATGCAAGTCCCTTCTGCCTATGAGCCTGTAAAATCAAAAGCAAGTTAGTTACTTCCTAGATAAAATGGGGACACAGGTATTGGGTAAATACAGCCATTCCAAATAGGAGAAATTGGGCAAAACAAAGGGGTTACAGAGCCCATGCAAGTCTGAAATCCAGTGGGGCAGTCAAGTCTTAAAGCTCCAAAATGATCTCCTTTGACTCCAAGTCTCACATCCAGGTCACACTGATGCAAGATGTGGGCTCCTGAGGCCTTGGGCAGCTCCACCTATGTGGCTTTGCAGTGTACAGTCCCCATCCTGGGCTGCTTTCACAGGCTGCCTGTGGCTTTTTCAGGCACATGGTGCAAGCTGTTGGTGGATCTACCATTCTGGGGTCTGAAGGATGGTGGCTCACAGCTCTATTAGGCAGTGTCCCAGTGGGGACTCTGTGTGGGGGTTCTGACCCCACATTTCCATTCCACACTGCCCTAGCAGAGGTTCTCTATGAAGGCTCCACTCTTGCAACAAACTTCTGCCTGGACATCCATACATGTTACTATAAATCCTCTGAAATCTAGGTGGAGATTCCCAAACCTCAATCCTTGATTTCTGTGCACCTGCAGGCCCAACACCACATGTAAGCTGTCAAGGTATGGGGCTTGCACTCTCTGAAGCAATGGCCTGAGCTGTATGTTGGCTCATTTTAGCCACAGCTGGGATGCAGGGCACCAAGTGCCAAGACTGCACAAAGAAACAAGGACCCTGAGCCCAGCACAATAAACCAATTTTTCCTCCTAGGCATCCAGGCCTGTGATGAAAGGGACTGCCAGGAAGGTCTCTGACATGCCCCAGAAACATTTTCCCTGTTGTCATGGTGATTCGCATTTGGCTCCTTGTTATTACACAAACTTCTGCAGAGGCTTGAATTTCTCCCCAGAATATGGGTTTTTCTTTTCTACTGCATTTTCAGGCTGCAAAATATTTAAACTTTTGTACTCTGTCACCTCTTGAAGGCTTTGCTGTTTTGAAATTTCTTCTGCCAGAAACCCTAAGTCATTCAAGTTCAATGTTCCACAGATCTCTAGGGCAGGGATAAAATGCTACAGTCTCTTTGCTAAAGCATAGCAAGAGGCACCTTTATGCCAGTTCCCAACAAGTTCCTCATCTCCATCTGAGACCACCTCAGCCCAGACTTCATTGTCTATATCACTATCAGCATCTTGGTCAAAGCCATTTAACAAGTCTCTAGGAAGTTCCAAAGTTTCCCACATCTTCCTGTCTTCTGAGCCCTCCAAACTGTTTCAACCTCTGCCTGTTACTCAGTTCCAAAGTTGCTTCCACCTTTTTGGGTATCTTTATAGCAGCACCCCACTCTCTGTGGTACCAATTTACTGTATTAGTCCATTTTCATACTTCTATAAGGAACTGCCCAAGCTGGGTAGTTTATAAAGGAGGTTACATTGACTCACAGTTCAGCAAGACTGGGGAGGCCTCTAGAAACTTACAATCATGGTGGAAGGTGAAGGGGAAGCAAGGCACATTCTTCACAAGGCAGCAGGAAGGAGAAGTGCCGAGCGAAATGGGGAAGACCCCCTTATAACACCATTAGATCTCATAAGAACTCACTCACTCTCATGAAAACAGCATGGGGAAACCACCCCCATGATTGAATTGCCTCCACCTGATCTCTCCCTTGGCACATGGGGATTAGGGGGATTACAATTCAAGATGAGATTTGGGTGGGGACACAAAGCCTAACCATATCATCAACCCCAGTACTAGACCATCTAAATCAGCATAAGCAAAAAAGGGGAGGTGATGGCTAAAACAACTGAAAAGTTCAGGGATGAATATGCATTTAGGTCTGGCTAGAAGTAAGAGCTACAAATGTGCCCACCAACATTTTTCTCTCTCTCTTATTCTTGCTATTCTCATCCTTTCTCTTGCATTCCTTCCTCTTTTGCCATGACTCCCCTCTGCTTTTTTCTGTTAGCTTTGTTTTTGGGAATGTTCTTCCCAGGTGGTAGCAAGTGCACCACGGATAGCTCTAGATTTATGTTGTTCCTACAGCTAGTGAATCCAAAAACCATGTATTTCCCAAGAGCATTAGCAAAAGCCCAAAGGAAAATTCTGACACCTCTGCCTTGGAACTATAGCTCCTCCCTGGGATGAATTATTGTGCCTAAAGAGTGAAGGATTCTGATTAGCTAGGCTGGATGATGTGCTCACTCTGTATCTGGGGTCCCGAGGTCACCAGTGGGTAGCAGGAAATTTCCAAAAGGGAAAGATGACAGAAGACAAAAAGCATCAGATGTTTACTAAAAATCTGCCCTTTAAATTTTATAAAAGATTAATTCTTGTTTTAATACATATTAATCAAGTTCTTGATTTTATTTCCATGCACTTGTTTTTAAAAGTATTGTTTTCAATACATGTGTATGATGCAAACATGTCGAGTGATGCCCATTTCCCATTTTGGAGAATTTTTTTAGGATCTATTCAATGATAAGTAGTTGGCATTGTAAAGTAGATTTTTTTTCCCCAAAGCCCATTCAGGGGAATCTATGTCTGTTTATCCAGTCGAAGCATGAGACAAAAGGGAACGTTTCACAGCAAACAGCTTTTAGAGAACAGTTGCTTGGGCAGTTTTTCCAGAGCAATGGGATTTAGATGTGGTGGAAAATACATAAGGCCGAAATACCTGATGAAACTTGTCAACACTTTTAATTCTACATCTGTTGTTGATCACACTATGGGACTTGTTAATATGTTTATGATCATGTTGCCACAATGGAAAACACCAAGTTAAATTGTCATGTCTAGTCAGGTAGGGCACCAGGTCCTTCATGTATATTTGATGACAAACAATTCCATTAAAACATGGCTGGGTTATTTCATTAATGTAACTCATAGAGAGCCTCGTGTTTGGTTTTGTTATTCTTTGTGCCCCAGGCATAAGCAAGTAGAAGAATTCAAGACACTTAAGCCAAGAAAGTGGAATAGTAATTAGCTCCCCCATTAACAAAACATCAGTTTTGTGTGAAGTGCTAGTTAGGTTTTCAGGGTTGTCATCTCTCATCTGGTTAGCAAGTGAACAGAAAAGCTGGCTTTTTGATATGGAATGAGCTAGGGTTCAGGTACTTGCTAAGCACTTCTGGTTGTTAAAATTGAGAAACTACCAGGGGCTTGTATTATCATATTGCAATTAATGTTCCCTATCAACACTAAAGTAAACCTTTTTTAGCAATAAGTTAAAATAGTTTTTTTTTTTTTTTTTTTAATGCTGGCTGGGTGTAGGAGGCTGAGGCTGTGGATTGCTTGAGCCCAGGAATTCGAGACCATCCTGGTCAACAAGGGCAAAACCCTGTCTCTACAAAAATACAAAAATTAGCAGCTTGCACCTGTAGTCCCAGCTACTAGAGAAGCTGAGGTGGGAGAATCACTTGAGCCCAGAAGGTTGAGGCTACATTGAGCTGGGATCACACCACTGCACTCCAGCTTGGGTGACAGACCAAGACACTGTCTCAAAAAAAAAAAAAAAAAAAAAAAAGATTTTTGTCTTCTAATCTGCAATATGTCTATCTCCTCTCTCCCTGCCCCTCCAAGCTCCCTACCCCTACAACAATTTGTCTTTGAATGAGTTACTAATGAGATAGAGTTACCATTCAATAAAGCCTATCAGGTTTGAACACATCACATGGAACATCTCGTATGTCTCACTTAAAATACTTCATACTTTAACAAAATTATTAAATAAAATCCATGTAAAGTAATCAAAGAAAATGAAATTTAGTGTTGCACAGCCAAGTGCCATCTGTAAGGTTTATGTAACTGAATTCTCATAGACTGCAGCAATGCCGGACCTTTGAGGAACCTTGTCTAATGCACCCTCTCCTTCTATACAAAATGCCTAGCAGAGTACCTGGAACACAATAAGCGCCACATAAATGAATATATAAAACTGCACCTCTTCATGCACACATCAACCTCCATCTTGCTATGCTTTCATACATATTTTAACTTCTACACTAAAAGCCATTGTCCATAAAGGCAGAATTCATTATGAACCACAGTATCGTGCCTTTCATGTCTAGTATACGTTAAATATCTATTTTGAAGTGAAAATATAACATTAACTACATCTAAAATGCTTTACCTATAGGAAATAGAAAATGTAAGTGTACCTGATTTCCTCTTAATAATGGCTTATCTTATTTTCTCATGAGAACTATTTTTAATTGTCTTCATTAATGATCTGGACAAGGTAGAGGGATTTAAGCAGATGGTACTCATAGCTGGTCTTTTATTCTCAAACATTTAAAACAAAGTGAAGGCCGGGATAAAGTTGTAAGACAGGAAGACATGGAATCCCAAGTTGAAATACCCCATGGTGTTTTTCAGCTGCTTTATTTGGGAATGATCTTTCCCCTAAGGTCTACTGGCTGGAAGATCAAGTGAGGGATAACTCTCTCAGAATGACATTTAGGTAGAAAATAAAAATCCTAATGAGAAAATACTAATAATGTACTTAGAAGCCTTGACTATGGGTAGAAAATAGGAAATGAAAGGCAAGAGACAAAACTAAATGGAATGCCATTCATAAAAACAATATGGATGGCAGGTATTATGGCTCATAAGAGGAAAAAACAAGAAAAAAAAACCCAAATTTCACAGAATTTTGTAGCAAAATGTGACACAGTAGGTAATGGCCTTTCAGGTTGTATAAAAAAGAGTTTTTAGTTTCTTTACTATGAGCTTAATGAAATTATGGGCAGTGTCCATTTTTGCTCACCATATTACACGTAGTACCTGTGACAATGCCCAGCACATAGTAGGTGTTTCACAAATAATTGATGAATAAGTAATTCATAGGATCAGAAGCCTTCAGCTCAAACTCTGCTTAGCCTTGATATTGAGGTATGAAGACAGAGACAAACCCATAGTAAATAAAGCATTGGGAGAAAACTGTTTATTTTTATATTTCTGCCCTTTTCAATGTTTCTTTCATTTGTAATATTTTCCACCTTCTCAAACTTATTCTTTTTAATATAAAGAGAGGTGCAAAAGAATTGCTTAAGGAAAGAACTTTCCTCTTGGGATCTACATAGATTTCTGGTAGTATGAACATATACTTTGGATAATAATAATTATTGTTTTATATGTGTGTAACACCTTTCCACTAGAGAATATTTTTTTTTGGTTTGTGAATTTCCACATTTTCTGTAAACAAAAAAAAAATTATTCTCCTTTGTGGCAAGGACTTGAAAAAAGAATTATTCCAAAATAGGTCTCATTAAGACAACAAAATCAGTTTATGTCCCAAGAGCTTCTCTCTCTGCACCATCTTGCAGCAATCCCATCTGTTTTTGGCTGTTGGTGTAACAGTTAAAGTAGTATTTTAAGTTAATACATAGCAACAAGCTAATTTAGCAGGCGTGTTAAAAGAATATGCTTTTATAAAAGCTTGCTTGTCAAAACTGATGGAGTTTGACTAAGAGAAATGGTTAAAGAAGATCTAGCTGTTAAAACCAATGTTTACCTTTACAATTAATATCTTTTAACAGTAAAGGAAGAAGCCATCATAAATAGATGATTTGAAGTAGATTACATGCTCCTAAATGCTTATTTCATGTGAAATAGCTCAGTACTTAAATTATTGTCAGTTAAATAATAAGATCAGGCTCACTTGTGTTCCTGGTACTATGCTAGATTAAAAGAATAATGTTTTGAACTTACCCCTGTTTCTTTGACCTCTTCCCATAAAGCATGAGGGTTACTAAGCACCAAGATAGTCTACCACCATATTTCAAGCTGACTGAGCATTTAATGTAAACAAACCTTACAATTCTGTGCTTGTCTATGATCAAATCCTTGCCAGAGTATTTTATATTGGCTAGTGTTTGAACATAATCATTATTTTCTGCCTTCAAAATTATCTTAGTGAGGGCTATAAATTTAAGATATGCAAATATTTAGTGAATAGGTACTATCTGCAAAGCAAAGTGGAATATGAAAAGTAGAATAAGATTTATTATTTAAACCATGTATAATTTCACAAAAGGACTTAAAGCAGAATGTTCATTTACCTCATTTGAAAATGGAATATGCCCACATTGCTTATTTCCAAAAGGTGTCGTAAAGATCAAATGACATAATTTGTGCTAAGTATGTGTCAAGTACCATACAATACAAATGCAGTACACTAATTGTGTTAGTCCATTCTTGTGTTGCTATAAAGAAATACCTCAGACTGGGTAATATATTTTATTTTTTTCATCTTGAAATCCTTTTTTTAAAAAAATTTTACTTTAAGTTCTGGGATACATGCACAGAAAGTGCAGGTTTGTTACACAGGTATACATGTGCCATGGTGGTTTGCTGCAGCTATCAACCCATCATCTAGGTTTTAAGCCCTGCATGCATTAGCTATTTGTCCTAATGGTCTCCCTCTCCAGTGTGTGATGTTCCCCTCCCTGTGTCTGTGTGTCCTCATTGTCTGACTCTCACTTATGAGTGAGAACATGAGGTGTTTGGTTTTCTGTTCCTGTGTTAGTTTGCTGAGAATGATGGCTACCAGCTTTATCCATGTCCCTGCAAAGGACATGAACTCATTATGTTTTATGGCTGCATGGTATTCCATGGTGAATATGTGCCAGATTTTCTTTACCCAGAGACTGAGTAATATATAAAGAAAAGAGGTTTAATTGGTTCACGGTTCTGCAAGCTGTACAAGAAGCACAGTGCCAGCATCTGCTCAACTTCTGGTGGGGGCCCTAGGAAGCCTACAGTCATGGTGGAAGGTGAAGGCAGAGCAGGTGCATTGTGTGCTAAGAGTGGGAGTGAGAGAGAGAGAGCAGGGAGATTCCACACTCTTTTAAACAACCAGATCTCGCATGAACTACCAGAGCAAGAACTAACTCGTCACCAAAGGGATGGCACTAAGCCATTTATGAGTGATCCAGGCTCATGATCCAAATACCTCCCACCAGGCCTACTCCAACATTGGGTATCCCATTTCAACATGAGATTTGGAGGGGACAAACATCCAAACCATACCATTAATATACATTAATAATCTGTGTATTAGGATTCTCTGAAGAAACAAACCCAATTGTGTGTGTGTGTGTGTGTGTGTATACCTATATATCCTAAAAACTTTTTATTATAATGTATCAATTCACACAATTATAGAGGTGAAAAAGTCCCACAATAAGTCATCTACAAGCTGGAGGCCGGGTAAGGCCAGTGGTGTAGTTCAAAGGCGTGACAGCCAGTGGGTTGATGGTGTAGATTCCTTTCCAATCTGAAGGCCTGAGGACCAGGAGCACCAAGGGCAGGGGAAGGTCAATGTCCTAGCTCAAGCAGTCAAACAGAGGGAGCAGGAATCCAGTGTTCCTCCTCCTTTTTGTTTCATTTGGGGCCTCAACCAGTTGGTAGTTGGCCCGTCCACACTGGGAAGGGCTATCTGATTTGCTCAATCTACCAATTTGAATGCCGATCTCCTTCAGAAACACCCTTAGAGACACACCGAGAAATAATGTTTAGTCAGACATCTGGGAATCCCATGGCTCAGTCAAGCAGCTGCATAAAATTAACTGTCACAATCTGTAATTAAATAATGTTAAATGTTTTAGGAAGTCTTTTTAATTAGAACATTTTAACTTTTCAATTCCAGAGCCGAAGTTTAAGTATGCCCTGGGAATTTTGGAATATTGGGTTATGAGCAAGGATCATATTTAGGAAGATGATTTGGGCTCAAAGTATTAGAAGCCCTCACTCAACTCAATCTTACTTAAATAATAGGATATACTAATTTCACAAAACAAGCAGTTCAGAGTTACGGAAGGATCCAGGATCTTCTCTGGCATTCCTTTTCTCTGACCATGCTCAGATCCTCAGACATGATAACAAGCAAAGGAAAAAATATAGGGACAAAGTCTTTCTGCCTCTTTAAGGAAATCTTTTTTTTTTTTGTCGAGATGGAGTCTCACTCTGTCGCCCAGGCTGGAGTGCAGTGGTGCGATGTCGGCTCACTGCAAGCTCTGCCTCCTGGGTTCCCGCCATTCTCTCGCCTCAGCCTCCTGAGTAGCTGGGACTACAGGCACCCTCCACCACACCCGGCTAATTTTGTTTTTGTATTTTTAGTAGAGACGGGGTTTCACCGTGTTAGCCATGATGGGCTCCATCTCCTGACTTCGTGATCCTCCCACCTCGGCCTTCCAAAGTGCTGGGATTACAGGTGTGAGCCACTGCGCCCGGCCTATAGGAAATCTTTTTACGATGCACCCCAACAGACTTTATCTCCTGTTCCCTGATGGGAATGACATCATATACTCAGTCAAAGCCAGTGAGAATGGGGCTCCCATGACTGTTTTATACAAACCAGGCTCTTACTTTGGGTCTGAAACAGGAACCCATGAATGGATTTGGGATTCTGTAAGAAAGGAAGGGGTGGGAAATGAATGTTGGGTGAATAACGAACAAAATTCACTATGCATAGGTCTGGGTTCTTAGGCCTCCTCTCATTAAATATGTTGTTTTAATTACCCCATGCATTTATTAGTTTATTTCTCTGATAGGGACTATTTCTCATACTTCAGATTCATGTTGCCAGGATTCTGCTAGGTACCACAAATTTACTTTTTATAAAACAAATTTCATTATCTAAACTCTTAAGCCTATTTATCCTTGACCTTGGCTAGTAATGTTATCCTTTTTCCAGGGTGGCCAATTTAAAACATTGCTTCCAGGGTGGCCAATTTAAAACACGCCTTCCATTGAGGGAGGGGATTATATCCCTGCCCCTTACATCTGGGCAGGCTTATGTCTGCTTTGACCAATAGAGTACAGTGTAAGTGATGCTATGTGACTACTAAGCAGGTCATAAAAAGCCACAAACTTCTTCTTTACACACTAGAACACTTTTTCTTGAAGGCTTGAGTCACTATGTAAGAAGTCTGACTTCCCCGAGGCAGCCATCAAGAGGCCACATGGACAGACAAAAAAGAGAGAGAGAGAGAGAAACCTAATGAGTTCCAGCCATTAGTCACACCAGCCTAGGTTCCTGACATGAGAGTGAAGTCTCCAGATGATTCTGGCTCCCAGCCATCAAGTCAATCCTACTCATTGCTCTACAATGACTGGGAGGGGCTGAAGCTCCAGACACTGTAGAGCAATGACAAGCCATTCCTATAGTATGTACCCTGTCTGAATTCTTAACCCAAAGAATTCATGGGTGTGTCAATTTGTGTCTTCCAAAGATGACTGCAATATTTCCTATTCTAGATGGTCCTCTGCACTGATGCTCCTCCTATTGAGTAGTGGGGTCTCTGTCCCCTTCCCTTGAATTTGGGAACGCTATTGACTGCACCAACCCATAGACTACAGAAAAAGTGATGCTATGTGACTTCTGAGGCTAGGTTATGAAATGCCATGCAGCTTCTGCCTTGGTCTCTAGGATCACTCACTCTCTGCATGCTCCCTTTTGTGGTTCTTTGTCTCAGAACCCAGCCATCATGCTGAGAGGGGCTCAAGCCACATGGAGAGGCCACATGCAGGTGCCATGGTCAACCATCCCAGCTGAGTACAGCCTTTGAGTCATCCCAGCCCAGGCAGCAGATATGTGGATAAATATGCCTCCAGGTGGCTCCAGACCCAAATTCCCACACATTGGAGACTTTCGGCTGAGGCCCCAGACATTACAGAAGAAAGACAAGCCATCCCCACTATGCTCTGTCTAAATTCCTGACCCACAGAATCTACAAATATAATAAAAGGATTGTTCTGTGGCACTAAGTTTGAGATGGTTAGTTATGCAGCATTGAATATCAAGAATAGTGAGTACAATTGGTTATTATTTTAACCCACCATAGTTTTGGGTGGTTTGTAATAAACACAACACCCAGCTACTCAGGTTTGAAAACATGTTTCATTCTTTGCTTTCTTTTACTGCTTGTCCATTCAGAATTCTTATTTCATGAAATCTACCTTTGTTATATCCCTTGATGTTATCTTCTTTTTATTCCCACTACCACTGTTTTGGTCAGCTATTTTGCCCCTTTTCTAGATAATTGTAATAGTCTCTGAACTGATCTCCCTGCTTCCCAGCAATCCTTCCTACTATCTCCCTACACACCCTGCCCAGTCTATGCCATCCACTGCCACCAGAGTTGTCACCATAAACCTGGAAACATAAGGGTGGTACTGAGCTCCTGCCCCAAAACTTTCCTTGGCTATCTCATAGGGCATTCAGAACTCCCACAATTTTATCTTCTAGCCAGAGAAGTCACATATCTCTTCCAACATGCTCCTTTCTTTGTCTTTACTCAAGATGTGTCTTTTCCCCTGGAGTCTCCCTTCTCCAGTGTCCCCTCTTCAGTCTAATTCACATCTTCGCATCTTCTAATAAGGTTGGTAAGGCTTCCTAGACCTCCTATGGACAGAAATAGTTTCATATCTCTAGAAGACTTCATTTATACCACTGATAAAGAATTTATTAGGATGGGCACGGTGGCTGACACCTGTAGTCCCGCACTTTGGGAGGCTGAGGTAGGCAGATCACCTGAGGTCAGGAGTTCGAGACCAGCCTGGTCAACATGGTGAAACCCCGTCTCTACTAAAAATACAAAAACTAGCTCTGTGTGGTGGCATGCACCTGTCGTCCCAGCTACTCAGGAAGCTGAACGCAGGAGAATCGCTTGAACCTGGGAGGCGGAGGTTGCAGTGAGCCGAGATTGTGCCAGTGCACTCCAGACTGGGCAACAGAGCGAGACTCTGTCTCAAAAAAAAAGAAAAAAAAAAACGAATTTATTACATCTTTCTCATATTATAGTTATCTGTGTAAATGTTCTATCATCCTCACCACTGGGATCTCCTAAAGGTGGGAATTAGTTTTTATTCATCTTATCACTTTTAACCTGTGGCGGTACATCATCACGATACAATAAACATTCCACAAAATGAATCCAATAACTTATTTGTTCTGTCTGTTGTCAGATGATTCCTTTATCATACATTGACTCTTCAATTAACTTTTGTATTCATTTTCTAGAGTTACCATAACAATCACCACAAAAATTTGGTGACTTAAAACAATAGGCACAGTTCTGGAGGCCAGAATTCTGAAATTGCGGTGTGGCAGGGCTGCACTCTTCTTGGAGGTTCTGGGGGGAATCCATTACTTGCCTTTTTCTATCTCCTGGTGGTTTCCCAGCATCTTTGACACTCCTTTACTCGTGGCCATACCACTCCAATCTCTGCCTCTGTCTCCACGTCACTTATCCTCTGTGTGTCTGTGTCAAATCTCCTATCTCTATTTTATAAGGACATTCATGATGACATTTAGGGTTCACTCAAATCATTCATGATATACTCCTCTCGAGAGCCTTGCTTAATCATATCTTTTACAAAACAAATTAATAATCTCAGGTTCCAGGGATTTGACATGGATATCTTTTGGGGGGCCATTTTTTGGCCTGCTATACTTCTTACAGCTACTGAAATGTGCTCTCTTTATAATTCTTGTCCTCTTTTTTTTTTTTTTTTTTTGGAGACAGAGTCTCTCTCTGTCACCCAGGCTGGAGTGCAGTGGCACAATCTCGGCTCACTGCAACCTCTGCCTCCCAGGTTCAAGCGATTCTCCTGCCTCAGCCTCCCGAGTAGCTGGGACCACAGGCGCTGCCACCATGCCCGGCTAATTTTTTTGGTATTTTTAGTAGAGACGGGGTTTCACCGTGTTAGCCAGGATGGTCTCGATCTCCTGACCTCGTGATCCGCCCGCCTCGGCCTCCCAAAGTGCTGGGATTACAAGCGTGAGCCACTGCGCCCGGCCTCTTGTCCTCTTTTTGTTGATTTTTTTTCCCTTTCCTGGGAATTCTTATTAAATAGAAAATATTTGCAGGTCCTTTTTCAAGTTTGCTTTTAATCTCCTTCCAACTCTATTTTTAAGTATTAAGAACCAATATCCATTGTGTGGAACAATCTAGTGGCAGTGAAATAATCTATCTATTTATATTTGTATCTCCTTGTCCTTTCCTGGTTTTCATTAATAAATGTTGTAACAAATGAAATTCCTTTGTGGCATATGCCTGCTAAATAAAGTTTTGGTTTTCCATCCAAAACATACACCTCACAGAACATGACGAGCATGCTCAGTATGTCTTTTACAGGTGACAAGAACTAGAAGAGGGTAATAGTTAGAAATATTTATATCTGCAAGAAACAGAAAAGCGACATAGGCCTTAATAAATGGGAGTTTATTATTTTTACTAACAATATTGCTGTTGACCAACTGGCTTGACATTTCAGTTAATGATCTCTTAGATTCTTGCGGATTTTCTTCAGTCAAGAGATGGCTTCCCCAATAACTCCCAACATCATATCTGTGTTCAAGGCAGGAAAGGAGTGCAACACTAGTCATGTTGCTTCTGCTTATGAGAATAAAACAAATGCCTTTTGGAAATCCCCAGCAGACTTGTGGTTATATCTTATTGGCCAGAGCTTTCCCTAGTTTCAAGGAAAGAAGGGAAATTAGTATTTATCCTCTATAGTGAAGGTGGCAAAGTAGAAGGGGGTTTGGAATGTCTTGTTAGAAGAGCTGCAAACCAGAACTGCCTTAGAGTTAAAAGTGGCCTGCTGGTATAGAATTAGCATTCTAAAGCTCATCTATCAAAGATAGAACTGGTCCTGATTTTTCAGTCTCATGTAGACATTGACCACAGAAAACCTGTGTTAGAGTTTAGCTTTCATCACTTGAGAGGCCTGCCAAAAACCTCCTCATTATCTTTCAAATGACAGAATAATGACACCAAAAGGCTTCCCCTGCTCATGAGTGTTGGACTACTCTATACCAAGAGCTGTGAAGGGGCTGAGAACTTTACCCTACTTAAAAGAAGACAAGTTAATCTGTTACTTATATGGAGTATCATGTAAGTGACACTCGAGGACACATGAGACTTCTAGGTCAGAGACAAGGGAATCTGTTATTCACACCAATAGTAGTAGCCAAAGTACCAACATTTTCTTTCTCTCATTCCCTGAGTCCCAATTGCCACAGGGTGATGTGAAGAGGGCGAGATGATACTGGCACATTTACTGGATTGGAGGAGAAACTCTGAGCTTATGAAACCTGAATATTTTATACTGGACAGTAAATATGCCTGCCCTGTGCTCTAGAGGGAAGCATTATCAGTACCTTCCAAAGATGCTCGCTACGAACGACCCCTGAAATGATAGTCTGAAACAAAGGCAGTCAGTGCCTCTGCTTAAAAAATATGCAGAAATGGGGGACATCCGTGGGGAAGTGTCCCAGCACTTCAGTCCCTCACACACTCTTGTCTGCTAACTCCACTCTGATTGGCCATCACCACCACCATTGCAAAATCAACAGAATTGGTTTGTATGTGCCATATCGATTTGGGAAGCTTGCTAACTCTTTTTATAATGCATCTAATGATAATCATGTAATCTAATGCCCAACTTCCCTTCTCACTTCCCAGTCCCTCCAAAGACCTCGTTCCAGGGCTTCCACCATGTCCATTGGCACTTTCACTAGCATTGAATAAGTGCATTACTTTCACATTTGTATACTGAACAAGTTGTTGACTGAAAGACAAAAGGGTCTAACCTGAGCAAAAAATATGTCAATTATACTATCGGTAATGAGTAGTGTTGATTAAGTCTTCTGACAATGGGGAAGTGAGAATTCATCAACTCTGTTAAAAGGATAATGAGTGGTTTGGGGCATGCTATGCAGGCTTGAATTAAATGGATTTATGGGAGAATCCGATTGTAGAAACTTCACAGCAGGTCACCTTCAGCTGAGCAATATAGCTGCCTATTGACTAGTAATGAGATTTCTGTTGAAAGCATAATAAGTTAACAGCTCAATGGGATTTTTTTCCCTAAAGCTAGAAAAAATAGGTTTTAAAAAGTGAAATTTGCTCCATTTTACCACAAGTACAGGCCAAATTCTTTGTTAAAGGTAACACCTCTGAGAAAAGAAAATGGCATCTTCAAGTTATAAAGTAAATCATATAGATTATATTATAGGAAAGAGGTTTTAGCTTTTTTTTTTTTTTTTTTTGAGACAGGGTCTCACTCTGTCACCCAGGCTGGAGTGCAGTGGCACGATCTCAGCTCACTGCAACCTCCGACTACCAGGTTCAAGGATTCTCATGCCTCAGACTCCAGAGCAGTTGGAATTACAGGTGCACACTACCACACCCAGGTAATATATATACATATATATATATATATTTGTTAGAGACGAAGTTTCACCATGTTGGTCAGGCTGGTCTCGAACTCCTGACCTCAAGTGATCCACTTAAATAAAATGCTTTTAGCATTTTATTGAGCAAATATGTTTTAAAAAAACTGGTTAAAGAATTTCCATTAAGAATTTCAATAGTACCAGAAACTAATAGGCCTAGAAAAGTCATTCATATTTAGATAGGGACATACTGGACAATATTATTTAGGACTGAGCATTTAGTGAGTGCTCAGCAGTCAGTAAATCATGCTTCATGGTCAACGGCAAGACCTTTAAAAAATTAAATCTGCCTACTCATGCTTCAGTCACTGTGATTTATCAGAAATCATGCCTGGGAAGAGAATTGATCTAGAAACAGTAGCCATTTCCGTTCATGCTCTTTAAGCACTTTATTGATAATTGATAGGTTCTCACTATGATCTCAGATGCTTAAGGATTTGACAAGTAGTTTTCCCATATAAAGAGGTCAAGGAGCTTGTTCTGAACAGGTATCCAGATGAATGCATCCAGGAGCTTGCTGACTGCTCTGACCTCGTATATTACTATTTTACAGCCAACTCCATTTATACCATCCTCTATACCACACTCTGCACTTTCCACCCCATGTCTTTGCTTATGTTGGTTTTCCCTTGCTTGGAAGGGAAAACCTTCCCTTCTTCTTTCCACCAGTAGAAACCGATTTTTCACCAATCTATGGCATCCCTTACTTCCTCCAAGATTTTCCTTACTTTGTGTTTTTCAGCATCGTGATTATAATGTACTGCATTGTCAGCTCACGTGGTGTTGTTGCAAACTGCTGTTGTTACTTCTATTTATTTTCTATCTCTCTCACAACAAAGTCTCAGTGTCTACTATAATGCTAGGCATTTTATGTTTAAAAATCTTTTCCTTGCAAAATGAATGACTTTTAAGCCCACCAAGAGCCAGGAGGTGAGAACAAAAGCAAGAAAAAATCAGTTTCATCACTCTGAGATCATCAGAGCAGCTGAAGAGATTCTCACCTTTGTGTGAGTCACACTCCCTGCAATCTGCCAGCTGCAGGGAAGCTCTGATACAGATGGGAGTGGAAAAGAAGATTTAAAAGCAGTTTCTTTTATATATTCTTAGGAAGCATTGATTCATTTTTTCCTCAGTTTTCATAATTGAGATTTTGGTGTTAGGTAATGTCACCTATTTTAGGGTGGTGCTATACACTAGGACAATGAACTGCCATGGTTTTTCCCTGGAGCAATATTTATATCTGCTCAAAAGTAAAATATTCATATTTCTGCTGCCTGTTTGACAAAGGGGCAGTTATCTTATGCAAGTCAATGTGAATAAAAAGGGGAGAGGGTGCAGGATGCAAGAGGAGGTCAAAATGCATTCATCTATCAAACTAAGAGATCAAGGAAGAAAGTGTGATGGAAAGCTGTGGTTCTCTGACTTTGGGTACAAAACAATCATTTGCAGAGCTTATGAAAAAAGAAGATTCCTGAGCCTCCACTCAGACTTCCTATATCAGAATCTGTATGTGTGTGTTTGGGGGAGAGGGAGAGCAGGAATCTACATTTTTAATAATAATAATAATAATAATAATAATAATAAATGGAATTCTTATTCAGAAGATCTGAAGACCACATTTTAAGAATTGGAGACAGATGAACCTAGCTTAGTTGCATTCTAGCAGCATGGACTTAATTACTCTAAGCCTCAGTTTTCTGTCAAAGGGGGGTAATATCAACGTATCCCATGGGGTTATTGGGAAGTTTGAAGTGATAAAACCTGCATGGTGCCTGCACAGGGTATATTTGAAAATATTTACAGTTTTGACATTTTAGAAAAGGTAGTAGCTTTATCTATCTGAAGTAATCCTCCATTTGAAGTGATGTGAATTGGCAGAACCTTTTTCACGAGGACCTGTGTCAAGAGTGAAAGGCTGAAATGCCTGCTTTTTCATTTCTATATTGCTGGTGATGCAGAAGCATCCCAGGTTACTAAATTCGCTGGGGAAAAGATAATCTGCTTATTGGAAGCATCACCATCTACTGTTTTTTTTTCCTTCCCATTTTCCACGAAAATAATAGAGCTGAGGGTTAGTTCTAAAACTAGGCAGTAAAATTTAAAATTTTTAGAACACCACACTGGCTCAGGGCAATGGTTTCTTTAATAGTGTAGAACTAAGGGAATATTCTGGGGATGCACAATAATCTTCTATGAAATCCAAATCCAAAAGTTAAAAAAAATCCCAAACCACTCTTTTTCTTAATCAACTATTAGGAGCTAATTGTTACATGACTTTATATAAGCCTTTAAATAAATCTATAATAATGTCTCATTATGAGACACTGATACACAAAACCTCACACTTGGAAAACTGGCAATTTTGAAAATGATTGAGATTCTTGAGAAAAGTGAGATGAGTTTAACTTCAAATAGCCAGTGTCTCCTACTACATTTGCAATGACAGTATTTACCAAAATTTAATTTTTCAATTTTTGTATGTACATTGCTTTTATAAAACATGGCTTAAGTTTATTTAAATTTTCATACAGACCTTTGAATAATAAACTGCATTTTTATTGCCTGTCAGATAAAGTAGTATTTTCTTTTATTTTATGTCTCTTGCCATATTTAAGTTTCAAATATTTGCCATTTTCCTTATTCAGTCTTTAGCTTCAGCATTAATCATTTCAGGCTATGAAACAATAATTTTTTCAACCTATCTTCATAAGAAGCCCACTGAATCCCTTGGGTCATTTTAGTTACTTTCCTGGATTATTTCCATTGTGAGTTTTTTTAAATAAAGAGAAAGAATATGATGCCTTTAATTTGCTTTTCAGTGCATTTTTTGACATCTTCACCTGACAGATAGTTTCCTAAATATTAAAAATTCATTACATTGATTTCTCAAGCTAAAGTAAAAATAACAAAAATGAATAACATGATTCAATTGCATATTTCCAAAATTTGCCTTCTTTAAAGGATATTACAAGATATTTGTTTTGCAGAATATTCAGCTTGCATGATATGCTTTGGCTGGGTCCCCACCCAAATCTCATCTTGAATTATAACTCCCACAATTCCACATGTTGTGGGAGGCACCTGGTTGGAGGTGACTGAATTATGGGGGCAAGTCTTTCCTGCACTGTTCTCATGATAGTGAATGAGTGTCATGAGATCTGATGGTTTTAAAAAGGGAGTTCCCCTGCACAAGCTCTCTATTTGCCTGCCACCATCCATGTAAGACTTGACTTGCTCCTCTTTGCCTTCTGCCATGATTGTGAGGCCTCCTCAGCCATGTGGAACTACAAGTCCATTAAACCTCTTTTTCTTCCCAGTCTCAAGTATGTCTTTATCAGCAGCATGAAAACAGACTAATACACTGCAAATAAAACTATATCTGAATGTAAATTTATAGGCTCAGAATGTTAGAGTTGAAGGTGATCTAAGTCCTTTTTTACAGGATAAGTAATTTTAAAATTCTAGTATAATGTGTTTTCTGTTATTCTTAAGCCTCATTATTTACAAATATCTTAGTCAGCCTCGCTATTAATAGTAAATTCCCATCAAGACGTCTATGACAGTTTTCGGATGTCCCCAAATTGTCACTTTCTTTGCATTGTTTTGTACTGTTAATATTCAGAAATACATTTTCTCTTTTTAATAGCTATATCTGGTATTTAGATATTCTAAATATTTAGTATTTAGATAGTAGATGTCATTCACCTTTACCAGTATTTACATAGTTATTGAAATAAGCAAAATATAATTTAAGTAACAAATATCAAGATAGCTTAGAAGTGACAAGTAAAACATAATTCAAGAATGTTTTAAAAGTAACATTTTCCTGATTATAAAGGTAAAATTTGTTCATTTTAGAAAATTAGCATACTGTACAAAAGCAAAAAGAAGAAAATACATTTCCAGCATTCCACTATCTTAAAAAAAAAAAAACCTTTAATGGCTTGCTATGTATGTAAGTAAATTGAGAGAGACAGAATGCAGGGATATACTTGTACAATTTTTTTTGTGTAATTATTTACACACTACAATTTTTTTAACTATAAAAAGTTGAGGCTAGGCATGGTGGCTCACGCCTGTAATCCTAACACTTTGGGAGGCCAAGGTGGGTGGGTCAACTGAGGTCAGGAGTTCGAGACCAGCCTGGCCAACATGGTGAAACTCCATCTCTACTAAAAAAAAAAAAAAAAAAAAAAAAAAAAAAAAAAAAAAAATATTAGCTGGGTGTGGTGGCAGGGTGGCAGCTGCCTGTAATCTCAATTACTTGGGAGGCTGAGGCAGGAGAATTGCTTGAGTCTAGGAGTCAAAGGTTGCAGTGAGCCAAGATTGGACCATTGCACTCCAGCCTGGGCAACAAGAGTGAAACTCTGTCTCAAAAAAAAAAAAAAAACTTGATATATGTGTGTCTTTAATTATTGATAGACACTTTTTTGGTTACAGCAGAGTTTGGTTTTTAGATAATTGGTACTAACTCTAAATACTAGAGGTTAGATCTAATTTTTTCCTGTTATAATAAGAAATTAAATGATTGACTAAGGGACAGACGCCTGTTCTGTTATAGAAATCATTACAAGCATCATCTTAAAGCTACAAAAAATGCATCTATAGGTGCATTTTTAGGTTACTCATCATACAATCTTCTAGTGCATCTATAACTAATGCAAGAAGACACTGTAGGCTAACTTTGTTTAATAATATATTATCATTAGCTACTATATAAAGTTCTTATTTATGTAATTTTTAAAGCCAAAAATGAGCAGGTAAATGAGGACCAGGATTCCTAATAAAGGTGTTATTTATTAGGAATATAGCATTCAAGAAGGATTCTTTAGATTTTAGAACGATTTAATGGGCATCAGAGATTTAGTGTCATTTGATTTTTTAATAAAAATCTTCACAAAAGTTGATATTACTGGTTTACTTTTCTCATTGCAATTTCTTCATGCTAACATTAAAAATAAAGTCTCCTGAAATATTTGAGATAGGCTTTTTTACCTCACATTGCTTGGACAATGCATAGTTGTTTTCATGCTAAGATATTGGAAGAGCTTTAGAATTGAGAACTGCCTGTAATGTCTTTACTCCTCTCCTTGACTCTTCACCTTCTTTACAATTTTCTATCATCTTTAGGGAAGGATTTTTATTACTTTTATAATAACCCACTATCTATGGCCATTAGACATCTCTGTCAGCTTATCTTTTACCTTCTTCTCAGCGTGAAAAATATTTATCCTTCCTGTTGTTTTCCTGATCGGTCTCCAGCTTGCTTCTTCATCCTTTTCCCCTGCCGTTTCCCCAGTTTTCTTCTACTTCTTTACTGAAAAGGAACTTAGGAATAGTCTGATTTTGGAGGTCCCTGGAGACTTCTAGATTGCCATGGCAAGGTTAGAATGAGAACAGCCTACTGTCATGCCCTCAGAGGGCCCCTTCTCCAACTTGTATGGTCACTGAATACCCAGTAATGGGTTAAGTCAAAACTGGTGATAATGAATAATGATACCTGACTGCAGGGAGTACTTAAATACTTGGAGATGACAGAACCATATATACCATATCTTTTTGTTCCAAGGTTGCATTGCTTGAGAGAAAAAGTGGTACCCTTTTGGGAAGGAAGTTACAAATTATCTCTGAAAGCAAAGTGCATATAAGACAAAATTTCCAGTGTAGTTTGGAGTAGTGATAGTGACTCAGAACATGCTGTTCAGAAGAGAGTTCTAAGAACAAACATGGAAATGACGTTATAAGTAAATTTAGGAAATGGAGAATCTAAAGGATATCTGAGAAGAGTCTAATGTAATGTTCGCATACAATGAATTTTAGGTGGCATCTTTTTTGTTAACAGAATGCTATCATAGTAATTATACTGTTAGCTATAATTTTAAGTTTAGAGGAGAATTGAAGTTTATTTAATGAGTCCCAAGCCTATGAGACCTAAAGCAATTTCCCCAATTCACAGTAAGTAGAAAGTTTACATGGTACTGTTGAGATTAGAACCTGTGTCTCTTGTCTCTTAGTGTGTTGCTTTCCTCAATATTATTTTTTATACATATAGGGAGGTGTGCGCTATTTGTTAGCTTTTGTCTTGTTTCTCCTTAGTACATTTATATAAATTCTCAAGAATTTAGTACTGGTCTGACATAGTCCAAACTGATCTCTTTAATGATCTATATAGTAGAGTAGCCAAAAATGATGACCTTCAAGTAAGACAGATCTGGATTTTAATTCTCGCTATGCTATTTCTTAGCTATGCAACCCTGAGTGAGTTAATTTACCTCTCTGTACTTCATTGTTCACATCTGTAAAATGCAGCTAGGAAGAGCTACCTTGTGTATATAGGATTGTCTCATAGTAGCATCCACTACATGCTTTAATGCATTTAAAGTGCTCAGTGCATTGTCTGGCCCTTACTATGTGACTCAGTATCATTGTTGTTGTTGCAGTTATGGTTCATGTCACATTATTGCATGAATTATTTCTTAAGTAGGAATTGAAAGCAAAAATAATAAAGTTTGATTACGATTTAAAAATCTGCTGTCAAACCTTAAATTGCCAATGGAAATCTGTCCCAATGTGTTTCAGTGTAAGGAGAGCTACTGCCAAGAAGGCAACAGGGATCCAAAACCTCATGAAGTCCCTAAGCCCATGAAGTCTCCAAAGAGGTGGACTAAGAGAGGACTCCTTATGGTGTCCTAGAGAAGCAGACTCAAATAACAAATCCCTGTGTAACTGCAAAGGTTTATACAAAGTGGCATTCCATGCAGAGTAGAGAATATGATGTAAAGAGCCATCAAACATTATGAGATCCCTCCCCTGCAGCACATAAACAAAGTGAGGTGGAAAACAAAACAGAAAGTCTGCATGATAATCCTCAGCAATACACCGCTTTATGAAAGGGCATTTTAGTTCAAATGTGGGAAGCTGTGCCAAAAAAGCTGAAGGCAGGCAGGCCGAGCCAAATTAGAACAGAGTAAAAAATTTGTCATACCTTTGTAATTCACACAGCAGCATATTCAGCTCAACTACAAGCTGTCCAGATGTTGGCCATCTGACTCTTTATAGCTGTGGTCTGTTTTTTCTTTAAAGCCCCCTTTCCTCCCTGAGTTCCCAGACACTTGGCATTTCTCTTGAAGTGGAACCTGAGTTGAATAAAGAATTAGTCTTCTTTTCAATTTTCAGTCCAATTTATCTTTTTAAGAGAAATATTTTGAAAACAACAAAGTCCTTGATTAAATTTACATCATAGCAAGAAAATTTTGCCAAGTGATTGCTTAAATTGATAGCCTTGGAGCCAAATAGACCTAGAGTAGAATCTTGGATCAATCATTTACAGGTTGTGTAAGTTTAGGCAAGTGATTTAATCTGTCTATGCCTTAGTTTTTTCCACAGTAAAATGAAGATAATAGCAATAATACCTACCTTATTGCCTATGATTAAATGAGACAATGTATTAAAACATGAGCCATAGTGCTTGGCACATAACAAGCTCTCAATGAATGGCAGTTGTTTTTGTTACAGTATATTTTAAAATCTGTTTTATTCTTAAGGTCATTACTTCCTATGACTTCTGTAGACAAAAGCTTCCAAGACAGTGAGGATAAAGGAAGAATCATTTTGTATCAATTTATTGGTAACTTTGTAATTTAATAAGTATTGACTTCAAAAGAGGATGTAGCTCTACTTTTGAGGTGTAAAAAATATGCGTGTGTGTACATATGTATCTTAGCACTAGAATTAGGCACTGGAGAATTCATCACTGTCATATGGCAAGGTGAATACTTACTGCCATGCAGAAGTCAGTTTTCACCATTTGATCAGAGATTAGCCTTGTCCATCCTCCTTTAAGAGAATGACTTGGAGGCTGTAAGGAAAGACCTGTAACTAAATTCTTTCTATTGATTAGAGGTGTGAGGTTAGGGCAAAGAGTTGGGCTGATACTTGGAGGCACAGTCAGAATTTGTTTACGTAGAATAGGTCATTTGATAATTTTGAGCTTGTTTTTATTCTTTTAAAATAATTAGGCCAAGTGCAGTGTCTCACACCTGTAATCCCAGCCCTTTGAGAGGCTGAAGCATGTGGATTTCTTGGGTCCAGGAGGTCAAGATAAGCCTGGGCAACATAGTGAGATACCATCTCTACAAAAGATACCAGATTAGCCAGGCATGGTGGTACATGCGCCTGTAGTCCCAGCTACTCAGGAGGCTGAGGCAGGAGGATCTTTTGAGCCCAGGAGGAGATTGTAGTGAGCCAAGTTTGTGGGACTGCACTCCAGCCTGGGTGACAGAGCAAGACCTTCTCTCAAAAAATAAAAGTAAAATAAAACAAAATAATGAAAGTAAATCATAAAACTCAACTATTTCTTAGAACAAAATTCCTCTTTATCAAAGAAAATGGAGCTCACCCTAAATGCAACGTACCAATGTTAGGTACCTATGTAATTTACGGAAAGCTAGAGAGAAAACTGGAGATGTCTTTTGTGCAGTAAAATAGAATCTTCCCCTTTGATGATGTTAAATGCCATCACATTTCAATGGATAGCATAAGGTCTGACAGCAGGCAAAATGAGCTCATCCAGTGATGTGTGTGGCAAAACAACAGCTGTGATTGTTTTAGGTAATAGAAAAATAATTAACATATAATACACCATGCTGAAAAGCCTTGCATTTGATCACAAACAAAAATATAACATTCCTTCTGAAGTTTTTAAGTATATGAGCAAAGAAAAACAAGTGGTTCCCAAATCCAACTGATCTTCAGCATTCCTTAGGGCTCTTCTAAAAAATTCTGGCTCTCAGGCACTGGGTCTGCAAGTGGTTATTCTGAAGGTCTGCAGAGAAGCCCAGGGTATCTTTTGTGAAACTCTTCAGGGGACGTGATGATCGTATAGTTTGGAAACCACTTCCTGAACTATACTGTGCTGTCTGCTTAATAGGTCTTAAATCTTTTTCTGACCTGCTTCATGGTGTCTTAAACCAAGAGATTTGTGAGTTAAGATGTATGTGTGTTGTCAAAATGGATAATAATTGAAATTTCAAAGTCAGAATATGATGATAACCACTGTGGAACACTTGTTCTCCTCAGTTTGTGTGAAATAACTGGTTAATCAAGTTCGTTCAATAAGTAGTTACTGAGCAGTCGTCTTTCAGATGTCGTCTATGTGTTAGTGATATAAGGTGAATACAAGTGAAAGATACCCCTGTTCTCATAGGCTTAACATTCCAGTAGAGGGAAACAGCAAAGTAAATAAATACTTAGACTATTTAAGAAATAATAATATGTAAAAAGTTAAGGGAGAAGGTGAGTGCCAGAATGTGTGTATAAGTGCAAGTATATGATATGGATTTTAAATAGAGTAGCTAGAAAATGTCTCTCTGAAATTATATTTGTTCAAAGACGTGAATGAAGTAGGGGAGGTAGCAATACTGATATCTGGTGGAAAGAAATTCTTCACAGAGGGAATAGCAAGAGATGAGTGTGTTAGTTTCCTGTTTCTGCTGTAAAATTAGCTAAAAACAACAGAAATTTATTCTCTCACAGTTATGGAGGGCAGAATTCCAAAATCAGTATCATTGGGCTGAGATCATTGGCAGTATCACTGTCAGGGCTGTGCTCCTTCTGAAGTCTGTAGGGGAGAAGTCATTCCTCTGGTGGCTACTGGGCTTCCTTGGTTTATGGCCACATCACTCTAATCTTCAAGTCTAGCATCTTCAAATCTCTCTCTCCCCCATCTTCATTGTGTGTGTGTGTGTGTGTGTGCGCGTGTGTGTGTGTAATCTTTCTCTTTCTCCCTCTTAGAAGAATATATGTGATTGCATTTAAGGTCCACCCAGATAATCCAGTATAAAATTTTCACCTCAAGATTATTAATTCAATCACATATACAATGGCTTTGCCATAAAAAATGACATTCACAGATTCCAGAGATTAGGACACGGATATCTTTTGAAGGCCATTTTGCAGCCTACCACAATGAGGATATGCTTGATGTATTTGAGGAATAGCAAGAAGGTTAAGTGTGGACAGGGAAGAATAAGAAAGAAGAGTATAAGGAGATGAGATGGAGAGGGAATGGTGAGGAGATCATTAAGGGTCCTGCAGATAATTTTAAGAACTTGGCCTTTTGCTTCAAATGAGACAGAGATACACAAGATGGTTTCAACAAAGAAGCGACATGAGATATGATTTATGTTTTAACAGAATTATTATTTTGGCTGCTGAGTTAAGGCTAGTCTGTAGGGGGCAAAGACAGGAGCAGGAAGGTTGGTTAGATGGTTTTAAGAATAACCCAGGCAAGAGATGATGGCAGCTGGGATTAGACTGGTGAGAAAGGGTTGGATTCTGGGTATCTTTTAAAGGTAGAACCCACAGGATTTGCTGATGGATCATATATGGGGTATGAGTCAACAAGAGATCAAGGATGACTTCACAGTTCTTCGCCTGAGAAAATTTAAGGATGGAATAGCCATTAACCAAGATGAGAAAGGCTGTGGGAGAGCTGGTTTGGGAGATATCAGGAGTTCAGCTTTGCACATGTTAAATTTGAGAAGCTAATTGATTTCTTAGAAGAAGCTTAAGGGAGAAAATCAGGCTAAAGACAAAAATTTTGGAATCATCAGCATGTGTGTAGTATTATAGACTAGGAGACTAACTATATTCCCAAGTTGGTGAGTGTCAGGCCTCTGAGCCCAAACTAAGCCATCATATCCCCTGTGACCTGCACGTACACATCCAGATGGCCAGTTCCCGCCTCAACTGATGACATTCCACCACAAAAGAAGTGAAAATGGCCTATTCCTGCCTTAATTGATGATATTGTCTTGTGAAATTCCTTCTCCTGGCTCATCCTGGCTCAAAAGCTCCCCTACTGAGTACCTTGTGACCCCACTCTGCCCTCCAGAGAACAACCCCCCTTTGACTGTAATATTCCTTTACCTACCCAAATCCTATAAAATGGCCCCGCCCCATCTGCCTTCACTGACTCTCTTTTCAGACTCAGCCCGCCTGCACCCAGGTGATTAAATTTTTATTGCTCACACAAAGCCTATTTGGTGGTCTCTTTACACAGATGCACATGAAATTTGGTGCCGTGACTCGGATCGGGGGACCTCCCTTGGGAGATCAATCCCCTGTCCTCCTGCTCTTTGCTCCGTGAGAAAGATCCACCTATGACCTCAGGTCCTCAGACCAACCAGCCCAAGAAACATCTCATCAATTTCAAATCCGGTAAGCGGCCTGTTTTTACTCTCTTCTCCAACCTCCCTCACTATCCCTCAACTTCTTTCTCCTTTCAATCTTGGCACCACACTTCAATCTCTCCCTTCTCTTAGTTTCAATTCCTTTCATTTTCTGGTAGAGACAAAGGAGACACGTTTTATCCGTGGACCCAAAACTCCGGCACCAGTCACGGAGTAGGGAAGGCAGCCTTCCCTTGGTGTTTAATCATTGCAGGGACACCTCTCTGATTATTCACCCAGGTTTCAGGGGTGTCAGACCACGCAGGGACGCCTGCCTTAGTCCTTCACCCTTAGCGGCAAGTCCCGCTTTTCTGGGGAAGGGGCAAGTACCCCAACCCCTTCTCTCCGTGTCTCTACCCCTTCTTCGCCTTTCTGGGGGGCAAGAAACCCCCAACGCCTTCTCCTTCACCCTTAGAGGCAAGTCCCACTTTTCTAGGGGAGGAGCAAGTACCACAACCCCTTATATCTCTGTGCCCCGATCCCTTATTTCCATGCCCCAACCTCATATCTCTGCACCCCGATCCCTTATTTCCACACCTCAACCCCTTATATCTCTGCACCCTATCTCTAATTTCCGTGCCCCAACCTCTTATATCTCTGCACCCCGATCCCTTATTTCCACGCCACAAACTCTTATATCTCTGTGCCCCAATCCCTTATTTTTGCACCACAACCTCTTATATCTCTGCACCCCAATCCCTTATTTCTGCGCCCCAACCTCGTATCTCTGTGCCCTGACCCCTTTCCCGCTTTTCTGGAGGGTAAGAACCCCTGAACCCCTTCCCTCCGTGTCTCTACTCTCTCTTTGCTCTGGGCTTGCCTCCTTCACTATGGGCAACCTTCCACCCTCCATTCCTCCTTCTTCTCCCTTAGCCTGTGTTCTTAAGAACTTAAAACCTCTTCAACTCTCACCTGACCTAAAATCTAAGCATCTTATTTTCTTCTGCAATGCCGCTTGACCCCAATACAAAGTCGACAGTAGTTCCAAATAGCCAGAAAACGGCATTTTCAATTTTTCCATCCTGCAAGATCTAAATAATTCCTGTCGTAAAATGGGCAAACGGTCTGAGGTGCCTGACGTCCAGGCATTGTTTTACATATCAGTCCCTCCCTAGTCTCTGTGCCCAGTGCAACTCGTCCCAAATCTTCCTTCTTTCCCTCCCACCTGTCCCCTCAGTCCCAACCCCAAGCATCGCTGAGTCTTTCTAATCTTCCTTTTCTACAGACCCATCTGACCTCTCCCCTCCTCCCCAGGCTGCTCCTCGCCAGGCTGAGCTAGGTCCCAATTCTTCCTCAGCCTCTGCTCCTCCACCCTATAATCCTTTTATCACCTCCCCTCCTCACACCTGGTCCGGCTTACAGTTTCGTTCCATGACTAGCCCTCCCCCACCTGCCCAGCAATTTATTCTTAAAAAGGTGGCTGGAGCTAAAGGCATAGTCAAGGTTAATGCTCCTTTTTCTTTATCCCAAGTCAGATAGCGTTTAGGCTCTTTTTCATCAAATATAAAAATGCAGCTCAGTTCATGACTTGTTTGGCAGCAACCCTGAGACACTTTATAGCCCTAGACCCTAAAAGGTCTAAAGGCCGTCTTATTCTCAAAATACATTTTATTACCCAATCTGCTCCTGACATTAAATAAAAATCCAAAAATTAAATTCCGGCCCTCAAGCCCCACAACAGCATTTAATTAACCTCGCCTTCAAGGTGTACAATAACAGAAAAAAGTTGCAATTCCTTTCCTCCACTGTGAGACAAACCCCAGCCACATCTCCAGCACCCAAGAACTTCCAAATGCCTGAACCGCAGCGGCCAGGCGTTCCTCCAGAACCTCCTCCCCCAGGAGCTTGCTACAAGTGCCAGAAATCTGACCACCAGGCCAAGGAATGCCTGCAGCCCAGGATTCCTCCTAAGCCATGTCCCATCTGTGCAGGACCCCACTGGAAATCGGACTGTTCAACTCACCTGGCAGCCACTCCCAGAGCCCCTGGAACTCTGGCCCAAGGCTCTCTGACTGACTCCTTCTCGGCTTAGTGGCTGAAGACTGACGCTGCCCGATCGCCTCAGAAGCCCCGTAGACCATCACGGACGCTGAGCTTCGGGTAACTCTCACAGTGGAAGGTAAGTCCGTCCCCTTAGTCAATACGGAGGCTACCCACTCCACATTACCTTCTTTTCAAGGGCCTGTTTCCCTTGCCTCCATAACTGTTGTGGGTATTGACGGCTAGGTTTCTAAACCCCTGAAAACTCCCCCACTCTGGTGCCAACTTGGACAGCACTCTTTTATGCACTCTTTTTTAGTTATCCCCACCTGCCCAGTTCCCTTATTAGGCCAAGATATTTTAACCAAATTATCTGCTTCCCTGACTATTCCTGGACTACAGCTGCATCTCATTGCCGCCCTTCTCCCCAACCCAAAGCCTCCTTCGCGTCTTCCTCTCGTATCCCCCCACCTTAACCCACAAGTATGGGACATATCTACTCCTTCCCTGGCAACCGATCACATGCCCATTACCATCCCATTAAAACCTAATCACCCTTACCCCGCTCAAAGCCAATATCCCATCCCACAGCATGCTTTAAAAGGATTAAAGTCTGTTATCACTCACCTGCTACAGCATGGGCTTCTAAAACCTATAAACTTACAATTCCCCCATTTTACCTGTCCAAAAACTGGACAAGTCTTACAGATTAGTTCAGGATCTGCGCCTTATCAACCAAATTGTTTTGCCCATCCATCCTGTGGTGCCCAACCTGTACACTCTTTTGTCCTCAATACCTTCCTCCACAACTCACTATTCCATTCTCGATCTTAAAGATGCTTTTTTCATTATTCCCCTGCACCCCTCGTCCCAGCCTCTCTTTGCTTTCACTTAGACTGACCCTGACACCCATTAAGCTCAGCAAATTACCTGGGCTGTACTGCCGCAAGGCTTCACAGACAGCCCCCATTACTTCAGTCAAGCCCAAATTTCATCCTCATCTGTTACCTATCTCAGCATAATTCTCATAAAAACACACGTGCTTTGCCTGCTGATCGTGTCCACTTAATCTCCCAAACCTCAATCCCTTACAAAACAACAACTCCTTTCCTTCCTAGGCATGGTTAGTGCGGTCAGAATTCTTACACAAGAGCCAGGACCGCATCCTGTAGCCTTTCTGTCCAAACAACTTGACCTTACTGTTTCAGCCTAGCCATCATGTCACCGTGCAGCGGCTGCTGCCACCCTAATACTTTTAGAGGCCCTCAAGATCACAAACTATGCTCAACTTACTCTCTACCTTTCTCATAACTTCCAAAATCTATTTTCTTCCTCATACCTGACGCATATACTTTCTGCTCCCCGGCTCCTTCAGCTGTACTCACTCTTTGTTAAGTCCCACATTATTCCGGATACCACACCTGACCCTCATGACAGCATCTCTCTGATCCACCTGACGTTCACCCCATTTCCCCACATTTCCTTCTTCTCTCTCACCCTGATCACACTTGGTTTATTGATGGCAGTTACACCAGGCCTAATTGCCACTCACCAGCAAAGGCAGGCTGTGCTATAGTATCTTCCACATCTATCACTGAGGCTACCGCTCTGCCCCCCTCCACTACCTCTCAGCAAGCCGAACTAGTTGCCTTAACTCAAGCCCTCACTCTTGCAAAAGGACTATGCGTCAATATCTATACTGATTCTAAATATGCCTTTCATATTCTCCACCACCATGCGGTCATATGGGCTGAAAGAGCTTTTCTCACTACACAAGGGTCCTCCATCATTAATGCCTCTTTAATAAAAACTCTACTCAAGGCCGCTTTACTTCCAAAGGAAGCGGGGGTCATTCACTGCAAGGGGAATCAAAAGGCATCAGATCCCATTGCTCTAGGCAACGCTTATGCTGATAAGGTGGCTACACAAGCAGCTAGCTCTCCAACTTCTATCCCTCACGGCCAGTTTTTCTCCTTCACATCGGTCACTCCCACCTACTCACCTGCTGAAACTTCCACCTATCAATCTCTTCCCACATAAGGCAAATGGTTCTTAGACCAAGGAAAATATCTTCTTCCAGCCCCACAGGCCCATTCTATTCTGTCATCATTTCATAACCTCTTCCATGTAGGTTACAAGCCGCTAGCCCATCTCTTAGAACCTCTCATTTCCTTTCCATCGTGGAAATCTATCCTCAAGGAGATCACTTCTCAGTGTTCCATCTGCTATTCTACTACCCCTCAGGGATTGTTCAGGCCTCCTCCCTTTCCTACGCATCAAGCTCAGGGATTTCCCCCTGTCCAGGACTGGCAAATTGACTTTATTCACATGCCTCGAGTCAGAAAACTAAAATACCTCTTAGTCTGGGTGGATACTTTCACTGGATGGGTAGAGGTCTATCCCACAGGGTCTGAGTAGGCCACCACGGTCATTTCTTCCCTTCTGTCAGACATAATTCCTCGGTTTGGCCTTCCTACCTCTATACAGTCTGATAACAGACCAGCCTTTATTAGTCAAATCAGCCAAGCAGTTTTTCAGGCTCTTAGTATTCAGTGAAACGTTTGTATCCCTTACAGTCCTCAGTCTTCAGGAAAAGTAGAACAGACTAATGGTCTTTTAAAAACACACCTCACCAAGCTCAGCCACCAACTTAAAAAGGAATAGACAATACTTTTACCACTTTCCCTTCTCAGAAGTCAGACCTGTCCTCCGAATGCTACAGGGTACAGCCCATTTGAGCTCCTGTATAGACGCTCCTTTTTATTAGGCCCCAATCTCATTCCAGACACCAGACTAACTTACACTGTGCCCCCAAAAAACTTGTCATCCCTACTATCTTCTGTCTAGTCATACTCCTATTCACCGTTCTCAACTACTCACACATGCCCTGCTCTTGTTTACACTGCCGGTTTACACTGTTTCTCTAAGCCATCACAGCTGATATCTCCTGGTGCTATCCACAAACTGCCACTCTTAACTCTTGAAGTAAATAAATAATCTTTGCTGACAGGACTATGCTGAATTTCCTTAGGCACTCTAATTAGATGTCCTAGGTCCTCCCAATTCTTAGACCTTTAATATCTGTTTTTCTCCTTCTCTTATTCCGTTTAGTTTTTCAATTCATACAAAACCGTATCCAGGCCAACACCAATAATTCTAAATGACGAATGTTTCTTCTAACAGTCCTACAATATCACCCCTTACCACAAAACCTTCCTTCAGCTTAATCTCTCCCACTCTAGGTTCCCACGCCGCCCCTAATCCCGCTCGAAGCAGCCCTGAGAAACATCGCCCATTATCTCTCCATACCACCCCCAAAATTTTCACCATCCCAACACTTTACCACTATTTCGTTTTATTTTTCTTATTAATATAAGAAGACAGGAATGTCAGGCCTCTGAGCCCAAGCTAAGCCATCATATCCCCCGTGACCTGCACGTACACATCCAGATGGCCAGTTCCTGCCTTAATTGATGATATTCCACCACAAAAGAAGTGAAAATGGCCTGTTTCTGCCTTAACTGATGACATTGTCTTGTGAAATTCCTTCTCCTGGCTCATTCTGACTCAAAAGCTCCCCTACTGAGCACCTTGTGACCCCCACTCTGCCCACCAGAGAACAACCCCCCTTTGACTGTAATTTTCCTTTACCTACTCAAATCCTATAAAATGGCCCCACCCCTATCTGCCTTTGCTGACTCTCTTTTCAGACTCATCCCGCCTGCACCCAGGTGATTAAAAGCTTTATTGCTCACACAAACCTGTTTGGTGGTCTCTTCACATGGAGGCGCATGAAAGTGAGGGTAGACAGTGAAGAAAACTCTTGCAAAGACTGAGCCCTGGGGACATCCCATGTCTGAAAGGTTGAGGAAAAAAGCAACTAGCAAGTGAGGCTGAAAGAGGGCCACATATGTAATAGAAAGAACAAGAAGGAAGTGGTGCCCAGGCAGAGAAGTGTAAAAAAGGTTTGAAAAAGGAAATGATAATTATGACAAATGCTCCTTATAGGTGAAGAAAGATGAGAGCCTGACTGCAGTCAGTAACTGTAAAAGAGAAATGGAGGACAGGAACTGGAGAGATGGAGAAACCAGACAAGACTTTTGAGAATTTGCTATAAAGAGGAGAGAAGACACAGTGGGGTCATTGGAGGGGGAAGTGAGGTTCTTTGAAGCTTTTTTTTTAAAGATATTTATTGCTAAAAGGAATGATGAGTATAGAAGGAAAACACATGATGTAGGGAAGATAAAAGAGAACGGAATCTAGTGCAGAAGTGGATGAGTTTGGCCTCCCCAGGAGGAGGGCAGACCATCTCCAGTAGTACAAGGAGACAGATGGTGAGAGGTGGCAGATGAGGTGTTGGAGTGTGCAAGAGTTCTCTTCTCAGTGCTTACATTGTCTCTCTGAAATACGAAACAGGTTACCAACTGAGAGTGAACACAGCAGATCCAGTGTTGCAGGTTTGAGAAGAGAGAAGGTATGACATAATTCTCTGGGAGATATGACAGTAATGTGCTGGGGAAGTGAAGAGTGAATGTCAGCAGCATTATGGACATACATGAGGTTCCTGGCCTTGAATCTGAAGTCAGAGAAGCCAGTGTGGTTGTGTGGTTGTTCTCCAGCTACTTTCAGCAACAGCAACACAGGTGTGGAGTTGACAGACAGGTACATTGAACCAGAGCTGTGATTTAGACAAGCCAGTTTTATAACTTAAAAGAATGACATGGAGTTGAGGATGAATGTGAGGACATGATAATAATGCTTGATCATTGAATTTAAGCTAGGTAGGAGGGAATTGAGGACATGTGAGAGTGTGGTCACATTGGAAAGGTGAGATTGATAGATTGTAGGCCTGGTGCTGTGAAAGGATGTAAAATCAGGTTTACAGAGGGATGTGATAGACTGATTGCAAAAAAAAAAAAAAAAAAAATGGCCCCATTATCAATTCCTCCTTAGACCCACACCTTTCCTCCCATCAAGAGGTGAAGTCCATGTTTAATTCTCTTGTATCTAGGCTGGCCTTGTGACTTTCCTTCACTGATAGAATAGAGCATAAGGCCTTAAGCACTTCTGCATATTCCCTTGGGCATTTGGCTCTGCTGTGAGAACTGACAACCAAGCCTAGGAGTAAGGAGATCACATGAAGCAGAACCAAATCATCCTAACTGAAGCCAGCCATGCTAGCCCACAGCATACATACCAGCTGACCACATACGAACAAGACAATGGGAGATTAGCTAAGCCTAGACCCGCTCAGCAGCCCAGCTCAGGAGAACTGTCCAACCAACTCATAGACTCATGATAAATAATAAAGGACTGTTACCTCAAGCTGCTAAATTTTGGAGTTATATGATTATAAAACAATAGCTAACTGATAAAAAGGAGGAGCTAGAAAGAAAAACTGTAGTAATTAGAAAGTTACAACACTTTCTAAAATTGAGATGATGAAAGCATTTCAGTCTTTGGTAGAAACAAGGTCTAGGGTATAACTATGGGATGAGTGGTTGAGGTAAAGTAGAACATGAGATCAGGGGAGGAGAAGAGCTCAAGAAACTGATCTTCTATGTGTACTGAAATCACCAAAAATCAAGGGAAGAGTAGTGTTAGAGAGTGTTATAGCAAATCTGGAGCTAAAATCTTCAAGAAATGAGACGGCCTGACCAGACTCTAGCGACTGATACAAAGGGTAGGAGTGGATGGCAGTCTGGTGATATGAGATCCAAAGCAGGAGTATTTTTTTCTGGAAAATGGAGGGAGAAGTTTCTAGAAGTAACAATGAGCAACAAGGAAAACTCTTAACTCGTCTCCTGGCCTAGTGGCATATGGTCTATGGAACTAAAAACAGCTACCACTTGAGAAGGCTGCAGGGGAAGCTGTGTCCTTAAAGAAATGTAAGAAAATGAAGAAAACAATCAGAAAAGAGAGACAATAGAGGAGATTTTGCTGATGATGGAATGTTCAATTCAAAGGGCACAATGAATGGGTTTTAGGGGTTGGATATGGGTGGGAGATGCTAGCATAATAGAGAACGTAGAAAGCTTCATGAAGACTGAAGTTTGGGAGGTGAGGAGTGCCTAAAGTTTGTGTGGTAACTGACATACACCAGGTAAATAGAGAGTCCATACATCCCATTTTCCCTCGGTAGTCTTGGTTTACATCGATTATCACAGTCATGGCCAATTTAGCACTGACCTGGACAAGTGCTCTGATTACGACAATTTATGTGGGTATTTCACAGATAAAGGGCATGACATCAGTCCTGGTAGGCATGACTGCGGTGATGGTGATGGTGATGGTGAAAGAGTTAGGCTTGTGGGTAGGGAAGAGTGAATTTTCAGCTCTACTAGATGGAGCTATGGAGGACAGAGGGGGTCTTACTCCAAGCATGAGGGGGTTCATACTTAACAAAAGCTAGGAGAGGGATCAAAGGTTAAAAATGAACTGGGATAAGTTTATGCATATAACAGTATGTATTTATATTTTGCATGAGATTGGAGTTCCTTAATTGAAATGAACTAAGAATGAATAACTTAAGCTTAATTTTGGAAAAACCTTGACATATGCTGAGTCAAATGTAGAACACAAACTCTTCTCTCCCACAGTCAGTAAATGGTACCACCATTCATCCAGTTATATAATCCTGAAGCTTCAGAGTCACTCTCAGTTCTTCACATTATCTTCCTTCCCTCACCTAGTTCATCAGCAAATTTTATAGGCCCTATCTTCAAAATATATCCTGAATCTGGTCACTGTCCACTACCTCTACCACCTCTACCACCACCATCCTAGCCTAAGCCACTGTTATCTCTTGCCTGGGGTTTGGCAAATGTGTCCTAACAAGACCTCTTATTTTCAGATTATGTTATTCCCTTGTTGAAAATCCCCCTAAAGCTTCTTGTCACTCTTAGAACAGAAATCAAAAGTCATTATTATACGCAAGTTAGAGGTCAACAAGCTGTAACCTTCAGGCCAAATCCAGCCCACAGCTTGTTCACATTTAAAATGCAAGCTAACATTTTAAATGATTTTTTTAAAGTAAAAAAATAATAATTTTATTGACTCTTGAAAATAATAAGCTATTCTCATTTCACTGCCCATGAAAAAAGTTTTATTGGAACAGCCATGCTCATTCATTTATGTATTCTCTTTCACACTGCAGCGGCAGAGTGAGCAGCTTCAGCTGAGCCCATATGGAAGGAAAGCCTAAAGTATTTATCAATACTGCCTGGTGTTTTATAGAAAAGTTTGCCACCCACTGCCCTACGAGATGCCTGTATTATCTGGATCCTGTAACCTCATCTTCTACCACTTTCCCTTGTTTCTTAAACATATTTTGCCTTAAGCCCTTTGTATTTGATGTTTCTTTTATGCAGGTGGTGTTTCCCCTGATGGTTGCATGGCTTCTACGTTCTATCATAGTTAAATCTATTACTGTGCTTAGCCTCACCTTGCAAGGAGAAGCCATGGAAAACAAAGTCTGGGGAAACCCATTCTTCATTCAAAACATAGCCTTCAGAGAAAATCAGTTTTCTGTTATGGTTGTTAATAAACAACCCAATCAAATTAAGTAGAAACTTATAGGGAAAAAATGTGATGCTCCCTATGTTAAATACTTTTTAAAATCCAAGCTCAGTTTATACAAATTTATGATACAATGTACTACTATCAAAGACACCTAGTGTTTAATGGTGAAGGTCAAGTCCTTAGCCATTGTTTTTCTTAGAATTATTTAGAAATTTAAATTTTAAGTTGGATCCTATAACTTAATCCTAGAGATCCTCAGTGTCTGATGTAAGACATGAACAGACTGACCTAAAATGATCTTTAGGTTTTGCTTCTGACAAAAATTGTGTAAATGTGGGATGTATTGTTTTTAGAGGAAAGAGGTTAGAAAGAAAGTTTGTTTTAACATAATAAAAACTTTTTTAATATAAAGAAGAATATATACAATAGTAATTAATGAACAATAAAAGAATCTCTATCCCAATGATTATTATATATCTTTTCAGCTGGGTCCCAACTGCACTTAAACCTACCCATCAAAAGATTCTTGTTTTCCTTATTTGAGGTTTAGTTGACATACAATAAGCTATTTGTACATTTTAATATGTACAGTTTGATAAGTTTTGACCTAGGTATACATCTGTGAAACCATCACCACAATCAAGATAATGAACATATCAATTATCCCTAAAAGGTTCCTCATGCCCCTGGGTATTTTCTCCATCCTGTCACTCCCGGTATTCCCTTTACCTGTTCCCAGGCAACCACTGATTTGCTTTCTCTAACTATAGATTAATTTGCATTTTAAAGAATTTTATAACAATGAAATAATATTATATTCTGGCTTCTAAATTATTTGCACAGCATAATTATTTTGAATTGCACTCATGTGTTTATCAGTAGTTCATTCCATTATTATTCAACTGACTTTTATAGATTATATGGATACATCACAATTTATCCATTATCTGTTGACATTTGGCTTGTTTCCAATAGTTGGCTATAACAAAGCAAGTTTTTCTGAATATTCATATACAGGTTTTTGTATAAATACATTCTTTTATTTCTTAAAAAAATGTAAATTGATTCGTAATATTAGTACATGTTTATGGGGTACATGTGATGTTTTGTTAGATGCATAAAATGAGTAATTATTGAGTCAGGATATTTGGGGTATCCATTACCTTGAGTATTTATCATTTCTATGTGTTGGGAACATTTCAAGTCCTCTCTTCTAGCTATTTCAAAATATACAATACATTGTTAACTATAGTCACCCTACTCTGCTATCAAACATTAGAACTTATTCCATCTGACTGTGTGCTCGTACCCATTAACCAACCTCTTTTATCCCCACTCCCACACACACTCTTGCGAGCCTCTGGTATTTATCATTCTAATCTCTATCTCTATTAGATCAACTTATTTATCTCCTACATATGAGTGAGAACATGTAATATTTGTCTTTCTGTTCCTGGCTTATTTCACTTAATGTAATGATCTCCAGTTCCACCCATGTTGCTGCAAATTACATAATTTCATTCTTTTTTATGGCCAAGTAATGTTCCATTGTGTGTGTGTGTGTGTGCATGGAATACACACACAATGGAATGAAATATTGTGTGTGTATATACACACACACACTATATATATATATATATATCTCTATATAGTAGATAAATGGATGAACAAATTTATCCATGGATGGACGAACGGATGAATGGATTTAAAAATGTGATATCATTTAAATTAAATCACCTTAAATTAAATGATTTTAAAAAATTAAATCATTTTTTTAAACGTGAGATATATTATGCCCTTTATCTGTAAAATATTCATGTAAATTGTCCTAATCAGAGCACTTGTCCAGGTCTATGTTGAATTGGCCAGGACTCTGCGACAATCGACATAAACCAGGACTACTGAGGGGAAATGGGGATGTATGGACTCCCTATTTACTTGGTTTATATCAGTAACCACAAAACTTTTGGCACCCCTCACCTCCAAAACTATGGTCCTCATGAAGCTCTATCTGTTCTCTATTATGCTACCATCTCCCACCCACTTCTACCCCCTAAAACCCATCCATTGTGTTCTCTGTATTGAACATCCCATCGTCAACAAAATCTCCTCTATTGTCTACCTCTTTTCTGATTGTTTTCATCCTTTTCTTGCACTCTTTTGAGGACACAGCCTTCCCTGCAGCTATCTCAAGTGGTGGCTGTTTTTAGTTCCATAGTCCATATGTCACTGAGCCAGGAGATGAGTTAAGATTTCCCCTTGTTCTTGATTGTTACTTCTGGAGCTTTTGACTTTAAGAAATCTTGGAGACTTTTTGTGTGTCCTAACACATGGTCTATCCTGAAGAACATTTCATGTCCTGATGAAAATAATGTGTGTTCTATAGCTGTTGGGTGAAATGTTCTATAAATGTCTGTTAGGCTCATTTGGTCTAATGCACAGTTTACGTCCAGTGTTTCTTTGTTAACTTTCTTTCTACATGATCTGTCTAATACTGAGAGTGGGATGTTGAAGTTCCCAACTATTATTGTATTTAAGTCTACCTCTCTTTTTAGACCTAATAATATTTATGTATCTGGGTGCTCTAGTGTTGGGAGTGTATTTGTTTAGAATTGTTATATTTCCTTGCTGAATTGATCCCTTTATCATTATATAATGAGCATTTTTATCTCTTTCTACTGTTTTGACCCGAAGTCTGTTTTATATAATATGAGTATGGCTACTTCTGCTCACTTTTGGTTTCCAATTGCATGAAATATTATTTTCCATCTCTTTACTTTTGGCCTTTATGTGCCTTTCAGGTGAGATGAGTTTCTCGTGGGCAGCATGTAGTTGGGTCATTTTAAAAATTTATTCTTCCAATCCATATCTTCTAAGTGGAAAGTTTATCCATTTGTATTCAAGGTTATAATTGATATGTGAGGGCTTATTTCTGTCATCTCTGGTTGTTTTGTATATCCTTTGTTCATTTCTTTCTCTCTTACTGTTTATCAATGTGATTTGTTGGTTTTCTGTAGTAGCAACATTTGGGTCCCTTCCCTTTCTTATTTGTATGTTTGTTCTACCAGTGAGTTTTATACTTTCATGTTTTTTTAATGGTAGATATCGTGGTTTCACTTCCAGATTGAGGACTCCCTTGAGCATTTCTTGTAGGACCTGTGTAGTGGTGATAAATTCCCTCATTTTTGCTTGTCTTAGAAAGACTATATGTCTCTTTCCTTTGTAAAGGATAACTTTGCAGGGTACAATATTCTTGGTACTTTAAATATATCATCCCATTCTCTCTTGGCCTATAAAGTTTCTACTGAGAAATCCATTGTAAGTGTGATGTAGGTTCCCTTATAAGTAAAAGCCACTTATAAGGGAAACTGCTAGAGGAAACTGTGGTGAGGTTTTTCTGGGTACTAGGGTGCCAAGTGAGCCAGTCCTTTGTTCCCTAGATGCTATCCCCTTGTTGGTTTTAGAATTCTCTCTTCATCTTTGATTTTTGACAGTTTGACTGTAAAGTGCTGTGGAGAAGACATTTTTGAATTATATCTGTTTCAAGATCTCTGAGCTTTCTGTATCTGGATGCTTAAATCTCTTGCTAGACTTGGGGAAGTTTTCAGCTAGTATTTTGTTAAATAGGTTCTCCAACACTTTTGTTTTCTTTTTGCATTCTGAGACACTGAAAGTTCAAATATTTAGTCACTTTATTGCGTCTCATTTCAAAAGACCTGTTATCAAGTTTTAAAATTCTTTATTCTGCTTGATCTAGTATATTATGAAACCTTTCAAATGTATTTTACATTTTATTCAATGGATTCTTCATTAAAATTTTTTTAATTTTTAATTTTTGTGGATATATATAATAGGTGTATATATTTATGGTATACATAAGATATTTGGTACAGGCATGCAATGTGTAATAATAACACCATGGGAAATTAGGTATCCATTCTTACAAGCATTTATCTTTTGTGTTGCAAACAATCCAATTATACTCTTTTAGTTATTTATTATTATTATTTTTTTTTAGACGAAGTCACACTGTCACTCAGGCTGGAGTGCCGTGGTACAATCTCAGCTCACCGCAACCTCCACCTCCCAGGTTCAAGCAATTCCCATGCCTCAGCCTCCCACGTAGCTGGGACTACAGACACACACCACCACGCCTGGCTAGTTTTTTGTATTTTTTAGTAGAGACGGGGTTTCACCATGACGGTCAGGCTGGTCACAAACTCCTGACCTCAGGTTATCTGCCCGGCTTAGCCTCCCAAAGTGCTGGGATAACAGGCATGAGCCACCATGCCCAGCCACTTTTAGTTATTTTTAAATGTACAATTAAATTATTATTGACTACAGTACTTCCGTTGTGCTATCAAACACTAGGTTTTATTCACTCTTAATATGCTTTTTTTATACCCATTATGCATCCCTACCTCCCACCCTGGGATCCCACTACCCTCCCTAGAATCTGGTAACCATCCTTCTATTCTCTATCTCCATGAATTGTAATGTTTTGCTTTTTGGTTCCCACAAATAAAAGAGAATTTGCAACATTTGTCTTTCTGTGCTGGGCTTATTTCACTTAATATAATGATCTCCAGTTCCATCCATGTTGCTGCAAATAAAAGACTCTCATTCTTTTTTATGGCTGAATATTACTCCATTGTGTATAAGTATTACATTTTCTTTATCCATTTATCTGTTGATGGAACACAGGTTGCTTCCAAACCTTGGCTATTATGAACAGTGCTGCAACAAACATGAGAGTACAGCTATCTCTTCAATATACTGATTTCCTTTCTTTTGGTAATATACCCAGCAATGAGATTGTTAGATCATATGATAGCTCTCTTTTTAGTTTTTGAGGAACGTCTGAACTCTTCTCCATAGTGGTTGTACTAATTTACATACCCACCAAAAGTGTACAAGGATTCCCTTTTCTCCACAGTCTTTCCAACATTTGTTAGTGACTGACATTTGGATGAAAGCCATTTTAACTGGGGTGGGATGATATCTTATTGCAGTTTTGATTTGCATTTCCTTGATGAACAGTGATGTTAACCACCTTTTCATATGCCTGTTTGTCATTTGTATGTCTTCTTTTGATAAATATTTTTTGAAATCTTTTGACCATTTTTAAATCAAATTATTAGATTTTTTTCCATAGTTGTTTGAATGCCTTATATATTCTGGTTACTCATCCCTTGTCAGACGGGTAGTCTGAAAATATTTTCTCCAATTCTGTAGGTTGTCTCTTCACTTCATTGATTGTTTGCTTTGTTTTGTAGAAGCTCTTTAACTTGATATGATCTCATTTGTCCATTTTGCCTTTCATTGCCTGTGCTTGTGGGGTATTACTCAAGAAATTTTTGCCAAGACTAATGTTCTGAGCTCCCCCAATGTTTTCTTACAGTAGTGTCATAATTTGAGGTCTTCAATTTGAATCTTTAATTCATTTAGGTTTGATTTTTGTATATGGTGATAGATAAGGGTCAAATTTTATTCTTCTGCATATGGATATCCAGTTTTCCCAGCATCATTTATTGAAGAGACTGTCTTTTCCCCAATATATGTTCATGGCATCTTTGTTGAAAACAAGTTCACTGTAGGAGTATGGATTTGTTTCTGGGTTCTCTATTCTCTTCCATTGGTCTATGTGTCTATTTTTATGCCAATACCATGTTGTTTTGGTTATTATAGCTCTGTAGTATAATTTGAAGTCAGGTAATGTGATTCCTCCAGTTTTGTTCCTTTTGCTTAGGATGGCTTTGGCTATTCTGGGTCTTTTGTAATTCCATACAAATTTTAGGATTTTTTTTTCTATTTCTGTGAAGAATGTCATTGGTATTTTGATAGGGATTGCATTAAATCTGTAGATTGCTTTGGGTAGTATAGACATTTTAACAACATTGATTCTTCCATTTCATGAACATGGACTTACTTTCCAATTTTTTGTGTCCTCTTAAATTTCTTTCACCAGTATTTTAAAGTTTTCATTATAGACATCTTTCATCTCTTTGGTCAATTCCTAGGTATTTAATTTTATTTGTGGCTATTGTAAATGGGATTAATTTCTTGATTTCTTTTTCAGATTGTTCACTGTTGGTATATAGAAATGCTACTGATTTTTGTATACTGATTTTGTATCCTGCAAATTTACTGACTTTGTTTGTAAGTTCTAATAAGTTTTTGGTGAAGTTTTTAGTTTTTTCCAAATATAAGATCATAGCATTTGAAAGCAAGGATAATTTGACTTCTTCCTTTTCAATTTGGATACTCTTTATTTCTTTCTCTTGTCTGATTGCTGTAGCTAAGACTTCCAATACTGTGTTAAATAACAGTGTGACAGTGAGCATCCTTGTTGTGTTCCAGATCTAAGAGGAAAGGCTTTCAGTTTTTCCCCATTCAGTATGATGCTGTATTAGTCCATTATCACATTGCCATAAAAATACCTGTGACTGGGTAATTTATAAAGCAAAGAAATTTAATTGGCTCATGGCTCTGCAGGCTGTACAGGAAGCATAGTTGTGGAGGCCTCAGGTAGCTTTTATTCATGGTGTAAGGCAAAGCTGGAGCAGCATCTTCACATAGCCAGAGCAGAAGGAAGGTGGGGGTAAATGCCCCACACTTTTAAACAACCAGATCCTGTGATAACTCTATCACGAGAACAGCACCAAAGTGGGAAACCCATCCCATGATCCAATTGCCTCCCACCAGTCCTCACTTCTAACATTGGGGATTACAATTTAACATGAGATTTGGACAGGGACACAGATCCAAAACATATCAGATACTACTTGTGGGTCTGTCATACATGGCTTTTGTTATGTTGTGGTATGTCCCTTCTATATCCAGTTTTTCGAGGTTTTCTTTTATCATGAAAAGATGTTGAATGTTATTAAATGCTTTTTCAGAATCAATTGAAATGATCATATGGTTTGGATCCCTCATTCTGTTAATAAGATGTATCACACTGATTGACTTGCATATGTTGAATCATTCTTACATTCTTGGGATAGATCTCACTTGGTCATGATGAATGATCTTTTAAATATATTGTTAAATTCTGTTTGCTAGTATTTTGTTGAGGACTTTGCATAAATGTTCATCAGAGATATTGGTCTGCAGTTCTTGATGTGTCTGTCTGGTTCTGGTATCAGTGTAATACTGGCCTTGTAAAATGAGTTTGAAAGTATTGCCTCCTCCTCTCTTTTTCTGAATAGTTTAAATAGGATTGGTATTAGTTCATTAAAAATTTGGTAGAGTTCAGTTTTGCAGCCATTGGGTCCTGGGATTTTCATTACTGGGAGACTTTGTATTATTGCTTCAATCTCATTACTTCTTACTGTTCTTTTCAAGTTTTGGATTTCTTCATGATTAAATCTTAGCAGGTTTTATGTGTCTAGGCATTTATTAATTCCTTCTAGATTTTCCAATTTATTGGCATATGGTTGCTCATAATGGCTCTGATTATCCTTTAAATTTTTGTAGTATCAGTTGGAATGCATCCTTTTGTATCTCTGATTTTTAAATTTGGATCTTATCTCTTTTTTCTTAGTCTGGCTAAAGGTTTGGCAATTTTGTTTATCTTTTCAAAAAAACAACTTTTTGTTGCATTGATCTTTTTTATTGTTTTCTTCATTTGAAATTCATTTATTTCTGCTCTGATATTTATTATTTCTCTATGCTAATTTTGGATTCAGTTTGCTCTTGATTTTCTGGTTCTTTAAGATGCATCATTAGGTTAGTTATTTGAAACTTTTCTTCTTTTTGGATGTAGGCTTAAGCTATAAATTTCCCTCTGAGTACTACTTTTGCTGTACCCCTTAAGTTGTGTTATGTTGTGTTTTCATTGTCATTTGTTTCAAGACATTTTTCAATTTCCTTCTTAATTTCTTCACTGACCCACTGGTCATTCAGAAGCATATTGTTTAATTTCCATGTGTTTGTATAGTTTCCAAATTTTCTTTTGTTATTAATTTGTAGCTTTATTCCATTGTGGTTTAGCATTTTTTTGTAGGACAGGTTTGGTGTTGATGAAATCCCTCAGCTTTTATTTGTTTGGGAAGGTCTTTATTTCTCCTTCAGGCTTAAAAGACATTTTCATCAGACATACTATTCTAGAATAAAAGTTATTTATTTATTTATTTATTTATTTTTTCCTTTAGGGCTTTAAATATTTCATAGCACTCTCTCCTGGCCTATAATGTTTCCATGGAAAAGTCTGCTTCCAGGCTTATTGAGGCTGCATTGCATGTTATTTCTTTCTTTTCTCTTGTGCTTTAGGATCCTTTCTTTATCCTCGACCTTTGGAAGTTAGTGACTGTTAGTTGCCTTGAGGTAGTCTTCTTTGGGTTAAATCTGCTTGGTGTTCTATAACCTTCTTGGAGTTAACTGTTAACATTTTTCTCTAGGTTTGGGAAGTTCTTTGATATTATCCCTTCAAATAAACTTTCTACCCCATCTCTTTCTCTACCTCCTCTTTAAGGCCAATTACTCAGATTTGCCCCTTTGAGGCTATTTTCAAGATCCTATAGGTGAGCTTCATTGTTTTTTATTCTTTTTCCTTTTGTTTCCTCTGATTGTATTTTCAAGTAGCCTATCTTTAAGCTCACTAACGCATTCTTCTACCTGATCAGTTCTAATGTTAAGAGACTCTGATGCATCCTTCAGCATGTCCATTACATTTTCAACTCTAGAATGTCTGCTTGATTTTTAACATTATTTCAATCTCTATTAAATTTATCCGATTGAATTCTGAATTCCTTCTCAGTGTTATCTTGATGGAAGCACCCCTATGACACCCACTACTGGGACTGCACTGGGTCAGACCTGAAGCCATTACAGCACTGGGCCTTGCCCAAGGCCCTTCTGTTGAGGGTGGCAACTTCCTCTAGTTCCTGGGTGTGTCCAGATGCCACACCCTGGGAACCAGGGTTTGGGGTTAAAACCCTTAGCTGTTTACCTGATATTCTATACTACTGCCACTAAGGTGGCACTCAAAACCACAATACAAAATCCTTCCCATTCTTCCTGCCCCTGTTGACAGGCAGAGGAGCTTCTCCCTGTGGCCAGCACAACCACCAGTCCACAGGAGGTTCTTCTAGGCCACCACCTATGTTCACTTAAAGTCCAAAGTCTCTTCCGTAAGCTTGTGGTGAATGCTGCCAGGCTAGCAACTCACCCGTCAGGGCAGTGGGCTCCCCTCTGGCCCAAGGCAAGAGCAGAAATACTGTCCAAGAGCCTAGGCCTGGACTTGGGGAACCCAATATCCTGCTTGTTGCTCTACCCAACTGTGACTTCACTGGTACCTAGGATGCAACACAAAGTCCCCTTTGCTTTTCCCTCTGCTTTTCTCGAACAGAAGGAGTCTTTCACCATAGCCACCACAGCTGTGAACGTGCTGGGTCACCCCTGAAGTCTGCATGTCTCAGGGCCCAAGGCCCACAGTATACTCCATGGGTATCACTGCTGGTTATTTAGAGCCCGTGGGTTCTTCAGTTGGTAGATGATGAATCTTACTAGGACTGGGTACTTTCCTTAAAGGTAGCAGATTCCCTTTTGGCCCAGGGTGTGTCTAGAAAAGTTGTCTGGGAGCTAGGGCCTGGAATGCGGGCCTCACAACTCTACCCCATGCCCTATCCTACTGTGGGTGAGCTGGTATCAAAGATGCAAGACAAAGTCCTCTTTACTCTTTGCTCTCATTTCCTTAAAGAGAAGTTTTGGTTGCTCTGAGCTGCGCTGCCTGGGGTTGAGGGAGGGATGGCACAAGCACTCCTTTAGCCTCACCAGCTGGTTTCTCCCTAGGTAATATGTCACCTTAGTTCACTTGCTCTAAGCCCAGGCTAGAACTAAGAATTGCCTAGGAATTACAGTCCTTGTGTCCTAGACTGCCTTTCAAGTTTACCTAGGACCCTAGAGTGCTTTAGCCCTCAGTTGTAAAGCTTGCCAAGAAACTCAAGTTCTGATTGCTGGGTTGGGCAATTTCCCTCTGGCTAGGACTGCTCCAAATGCTTCCTCTGTGCGCAAGGGTTGTGGCTGAGCCCAACATGGTTTTGCTCTTCACTGTGACAGGGAAGCACTGAGTTCAATGTAAAGTCCCTCCAAGTGATCCTCCTGAGTAGCTGGGACTACAGATGTGCGCCACCATGCTTGGCTAATTTTTTTGTATTTTTTATAGAGACAGGGTTTCGCCATGTTGCCAGGCTGGTCTCAAACTTCTGGACTCAAGCAATCTTCCTGCCTTGACCTCCCAAAATGCTGAGATTACTGTTGTGAGCCACTGTGCCCGGGCAATATCTATGTCTTTGGTAAATTTCTCACTCATATCCTGAATTGTATTTGTTTATTTATTTATTTATATTTTTTATGACCTGCCACTTCAGGAAGGGCTTCTTTATACCTCAAGAAAATAAGACATTAAAACAACAACAATGCTTTTCCGAACAACCACAATAAAATTTTCTTTATTCATTTCATTAAGTCCTATTAAGTTAATTTCTGTTCTGCTGGATCTTGGATTAAAAGTCTCATAAATCCTGGGCCTAGTGGTGCACGCCTGTAATCCCACCTACTTGGGAGGCTGAGGTGGGAGGATTTTTTGAATTCAGGAGTTTGAGATCAGCCTGGGCAACATAATACGACCCTGTCTTGTTCTGTGGGCTATACAGGCTTCTGCTTCTGGAGAGGCCTCAGGAAACTTACAATTATGGTGGAAGGCAAAGGAGAAGCAAGCACGTCTTACGTGGGTGGAGCAGGAGAAAGAGAAAGAGACGGAATTGTTCTTCTAATTTTTTGTATTTTTCTGTATTCTCTTATATCTCACCGAGCTTCTTTAACATTATCGTTTTGAATTCTTTTTCCAGAATTTCATAAATGTGTTGTTCACTGGGATCTATTGCTGGAGATTATTATGTTCCTTTGGAGGTATAATAGTTCCCTGTTTTTTTCATGTTTCTTTGTCCTTATGTTGATATCTATGCATCTGGTGTAGCAGTGGCTTCTTCCAATTTTTTGAATCTTCTTTCATAGGGGAGGTCTTTTTCCTCAATATGTATCTATAGTGTTAGTTGGGTAGAGCATTTTGGCTTTGATTCTAAGTGCATGCAGTAGGGTAGTCTCTGTATGATTTCTTTGGCTGTAAACAGCATCAGTGGTACCTTTGATTTCCTCAGTGACTTAGGTGTGGTTGCTAGTGGCAACTGTGGTGAAGTTTTTCTGGAGACTGGGATGCCAGATGAGCCAGTCCTTGGGCCCTAGTGGTGACAGTGGTGAGCTGGACATGCCAGTAGCTGGGCCTTAGGGTGGTATATGTTGGCAGCAGCATTAATGGGTCCAACTGGGTTGATTCTCGGGTTTCCAGGCAACTTGCTTGGGTGTCAGTAGTGACAGTGGTGGGCAGGGCCAGTGGCTGGGTTCTTGGTCCCCTGGGCAGCCTGCATGATGTGAGCAGTGGTAGTAGCAGTGGTAGAACAAGCCTTTGGTTCTGATGTGGTCTGAACTGGTGTTGGTACTGGTTATGATGAGCAAGGTGGGCTAGTTCCCAGGTCTGCAGATAGTATGTGCAGGTGGGTGTCTGCTATGGCAGTGGTGGCAGGGTGGGTGGGCCCAATCTCAGGCCCTGGAAGGAGTGCTTAGGTACCAATGATGATACACCAGGCTGGACGATCCCCAGACCTCTGAACAGCATGCTTAGGCACTGCAGAGTTGGAGCCAGGTTGCAAGAGCCTGTCCTCACGACCCCCAGTGGTGTGTGCAGGTACTGGCTATGGTAGGCAGGGGAAGGTTAATCCTCAGGTCCCTGGCAGAATGCTTGGACAGGGGCAGCAGTGCCTGTGCTGGAGTCCTGCTACTGGACAGATGGGGTTGCTTTCAGTGGCAGCAGTTGTAGGCAGGTGGCTGGAAAGCATGCACTTCCCTCATGTTTTGAATCTAGCAGTGGAAGCCCATAGCAGCAGTGGCTGCAGGCAGGTGAGTCTGTTCTCAGGGCAAGTGAAAATGCATGGTGACTCCACTGCTGGGGGAGTCAGGTTAACTGCCAAGGGCTTAAGCTTTGGTACTGGTGGCAGCAGCCAGCCACAGCAGTGGCTGCAGGCAGGAGGTATCAACAGGGCTTCAGGGATGTGGAGACGTAGGGGCTTTGGAGCTCCAGGGCAGGATGCAGTTAGGCGGGGCCAGGCTCTCAAAATGACACCTTCCTGTAGCTACTTAGAACTCAGTGGGTATGTGAGGTGCAGCACAATCTCCCTCTCTGGAGCAATGCTTTTCTGTAGTCTCCACACAGCTTCCCATGTTAGTCTCAGGGCCCAGGAGGATTGAAGGGATCACCTGTGCTAGGATTTCAGGAGTCCATGGTGGGAATGTGGACCACTGGGGATTTCATACCTTTTTCCCACAATGGACAGCCTCTCAAGGCTCATAGCCAATCCTGGCCAAGCAGGCTGCCTCCCTTTCCACTTCTTTCTTGCTTTAGGTGTTTCCTCTCAGTTCTTTGTTGAATTTCAGTGTTCTCTGTTAGATGATCTATTCAAAGAGTGATTATCTACTCACTATTTTGGTTCTTCTTTGTGGAGAAGACGGGTGCCAGATTCCTCTAGTCAGCCGTCTTGAAGACCTCCTCAACATATGCTTTTATCTCTTGTGAGTATGTACCTAGGAGAGGAATAGCTGGACTGTGTGACTCATTGGTCATAGATGTTCTCCTTTTAAGAAGCTGCCAAACTATCTTCTGAAATGGTTGAACCATTTTACGTTCTCATTTGCAGTTTACAAGATTTCCAGTTCCTCCTCATCCTCAACAACACTTGGAGCAGCAAATCTTAGTAATTTTTGCTAGCCTAAGGTAGTGTGTAATGGTACCTCATTGTGGTTTTCATTTGAATATTTCTAATGACTAACGATGATGAGCAACTTTTCATGTGCTTATTTGCCATCTTTTTTGTGAACTCTGTTTAAATCATTTGCTCGTTTCTTAATTGGGGTATCTGTTTTCTCACTTTTAAGTATTGAGAGCTCTTTATATATTCTAAATTTAAGTCTTTTGTCAGATACATACTTTGAAAATATTTTTTCATGGTTTGTGGCTTTGAAAGTCTGTGGCTTTAAAAATGTCTTAAAATAGCAGAAGGTTTCAATTGTGTTAAAGTATAATTTATCAATTTTTTCTTTTATGGATTGTGCTTCTGGTGTTCATAGTTAAGAAATATTTGCCTAACCATAGGTCACAAAGATTGTCTCATGTATAATCTTCTATAATTTGTATAGTTTTAGGATTTACATTTAGGTATATAATGCATTTTCTTTTAAATTTTATATGCAGTGCAAGGCATGGATGGAAGTTTATTTTTGCATATATATATATATCTCCAATTGTTCCAGCACCATTGTTAAAAAAAGACTATCCTTTTCCCACTGAATGGACTTTGTGCCTTTCTTGAAAATTAGTTGACCATATATGTGTGGATTTATTTCTAGATTCACAGTTTTGTTCCATTGATGTATTTATTTGCCTTTACACCAATAGCACACTGTCTTGATTATTTTGGCTTTATAATAAATGTTGAATCAGGTACTGTTACTCTTCTAACTTTGTTTTTATTTTTCTAAATGATTTGACTTTTCCAGATAATTTGTATTTACATATGAATATTATGATTAGCTTGTTTATTTTTAAAAAAAATAAAGCTTGCTGGGATTTTGAATGGGATTGGTAAATCTATAGCTCAATTTGGGAAAAGTTGACATATTAACAATATTGACTCTCCTGACCCGTGAACAAGGGGTTCATTTATTCAGGTCTTTAAATTTCTCCTAGAAACATTTTTGTAGTTTTCAGTGTATAGGTCTTAACACCTATTAGGCGAATTTATCCCTGAGTATTTCTTATTCTTTTAAGCTACTGTAAATGGTATTGTTTTTTAAAATTTTACTTTATGATATTTCATTACTGGTAGATAGAAGTATAATTGATTTTTGTTTATTGATCTTGTATCCTGCAACCAAGCTAAATTTACTTGGTAACAGTTTTGGGAGATCCCACCAAAATTTTCTGAATAAGCATATTGTTTATGAATAAAAACAGTTTCAATGTTCTATTTTCCTTTTCTTGTCTTGTTCCACTGGCTAGGACTTTTGGTGGTACAAGTTTAACAAAATGTACAGACAGCAGACATTCTTTTATTGTCTGCACCTTAAGGAAAGTGTATTTGTATATTTGGTCTTTCACCATTAAGTGTGATATTAGCTGTAGGTTTTTTGTAGATATGCCCAGCATCAGATTAAGGAAAGTCTTTAGTATTTTTAGTTTAGTGAGAGTTAAAACATTTTCTTTTTTATTTCAATAGTGTTAGGGTAAAGGTGTTTTTTGGTTACATGAATGAATTGTACAGTGGTGAAGTCTGAGATTTTATCGCACTGGTCACCAGAGTAATGTACATTGTAACCAACATGTAGTTTTTTATACCTCACCCTCCTCCCACCAAGTGAGAGTTTTTATAAACAATGGATGTTGCCTTTTCTTAAGTGTTTTTTCTGTGTCTATTGATATAATCATATTAAAAATTTAAAATTCTTTTATTATGCTCAGTTACATTGGTTGATATTTGAACATTAAACCAACTTTGCATTTCTGGGATAAATCATACTTGGTCATAATGTATTACCTATTTTATAGATCATTGATTTAGATTTGTAAAATTTTGTTTAGACATCTTGCATCTATATACATAAAGAATATTGGTCTATAGTTATTTTTTCTTGTAATGTCTTTGTCAGGTTTTGGTATCAGGGTAATGCTGACCAGAGTAGAATGAATTGAACAGTATTGATACTGCATATTTTAGAATATAAAATTTAAGCCTTTTTCCATTAAAAGTAATGCAATGGTGTTACAAAAAATGGAACAAGTAAACATAAAGTAAATGAGGCATTCCTCTACAATATAAAGACATAAGAGTCACTTTTTTCTGGTAGAATTTTAAAAACTAGAGATACTTATGCTTTTTATATATATCACTTATATTTTCTTAAGATATCGTAATCCTTGTTCACATTTCCTTACAGTTTTAAAACCATTTTAAATGTTTGCCTCATATTCTATTGAGTGGATATAATATAATTGTACATATTGCCTAATGTCAGAATTTCCCTTATTATATTGATAGTATAAATATTCTGTAAAGAATGTCTTAGAGAATATCAATTTCCCACAATTCGGATTCCTCTCTTAGAATAAATACCTAGAAGTAGAATTACAGCACAAAATTTGTGAATATTTATATGACTTTTACATGTTTTTGTAGAATGTTTTAAAACAAAAATAGGTGTCAGAGTCCTTGACTCCAATGAAAATGCATAAAAACATGTAGAATTTAAGGTATGTAGCATTAAATGTTCTGTAAGAGCAAATTGAGGGAAATGTTAACAAACTTCCAAAATTCTGTGTATATTTACTGAATAATTTAGCTTTGGCTCTATATGTTTTTAAACATACAATAATTCACTTAATATTCATAATTTTGAAAAACCCAAGAACAGTTTTGGAGGCAAAATTCCCAAACAATAATGGTCCCAGTGGATTGATGAACACAAATAAGTAGATGTACGTTATTAAATGCATTAGGCAAGTATGGCAAGCTGTCTTTTGCTAGCTATGGAAGACTTGTCGAAAATTCTTTTTATTATTCTCCAAATTATTTTTAAAAAGAAACTCTGAAAATAGGTTAGTCATCATTAAAGTGTTGGGTAAGATGTCTGAATAAGGTTATTTCTGATTTCTAGAGGTTATTTTCTAGGAATGTCACAGAATTATATGGCATTTAAGTACATTTATCTTACTTTTAGATATAACAAGATTCATACGATTTCTGAAAAGCAAATGGAAATAAGGAGATAACTTATTAAAATAAGAGTTTTTTTTAAAAAAAGAATATATTATTTTGATTTCTGTATTAGTCAGGCTTCTCCAGAGAGACACAACCAAAATGAGATAGATAGATAGATAGATAGATAGATAGATAGATAGATAGATAGATAGATAAAGAGAGGATTTATTAAGAGAATTGGCCTACATGATTATGGAGGCTGCGAAGTCCCACAGTGGACTGTCTGCAAGCTGGAAATCCAGGGATGTTGGTAGTATGCTTGGTTCAAGTTCAAAAGCCTCAGAACCAGGGAAGCTGATGGTGTAACTCTCAGTTTGGGGCCAAAGGCCTGTGAACCTGGGGGACCACTGGAGCAAGTCTTGGAGTCAAAAGGCTGAAGATCCTGGAGTTCTTACACCCAAGGGCAGGTGGAGAAGAATGTCTCAGCTCCAGGAGAGAAAGAGAGAGAGAGAGAGAGAGAGAGAGAGAGAGAGAGAGAGAATTTGCCTTTTTACTGCCTTTTTTTTTTTTTTGCCCCAGGTGATTGGATTGGTCTATCTATAATGAGGGCAGATCTTCTCCACTCAGTCCACTGACTCAAATGTTAGTCTCTTCTGGAAACATTCTCACAGATATACCCAGAAATGATGCTTTGCCAGCTCTCTAGGTATTCCTTAGTGCAGTCAAGTTGACACCTAAAATTAAAGATCACAATTCTACCCCATGTCAACCAGGCACCCATATGCATCTCCTTAAACCATACCTAATCTCAAATAATAATAACAAGGTGATAGTTCCACCTAACATGCAACTATCCTGCATACAACCAGAAATGTACAAGTCTTTTCCCCAGAAAACAAGATGAAGTCCTTGGGCAATGTTTTACTTTTCTCCTGATCTCCCGTAACTTAAATACTATGATCTAAAATTAGCAATATTTAAATGCTGATATAAAGTCAATAAATTTTATGTTACATGATGAAGGAATAAGAGGAGAATAAAAACAAAGAAATTTGCATAACATATGCATATATTCAAACATATTTCTAACAAAATAAGGAAGAAATGCTTATGATGATTATAGTCCTCATTTCTGTAACTGGTCACGCTGTTGTAGTTGGTATTTATAACTACTTTATTCCACTCAATCTGTATCTTCCTTGCCTTTAGGCAAGCACCTTAGCTGCTTGTGGTTCTTTACCTGGAATAGTAACCCAACCCTTCATTCCTGGAGGGTCTGGGCCATTCAAAGTCTTGCCTGGATTGGGTTGTTATAATTTCCCATTGATCTTAGTCACAGGACATGATAACACTAAGGGATGCCCTAAGGAAAATCCTGTATTCCAGACATACTCTTCCTTACCTCCATTGCAGAATAGTAGTCCAATTTCCACTTGGTAGTCTGGATCAATCACCCAGTCCAATGTTGTAACTCCCTGCTTAGCCTATTGATCCAGAGGCATGAGGAACCCAAAGTGGCCAGGTGGCAAAATAATTTCCAGTTCAGGGGAATCATTGTATCTTCTGGTGGAAGCATTCCTCCCTCTGGAACTAACAGCTCTAGACCAGCAGAGCATAAAGTTGAGGGAACAGGAAGCAAAAATTTTGCTAGTGGGTCACTAGGGGTAATTGTGAGTGGTGCCATTCCCGTTTCAACCCCATTGATTCTTGGACCTGTGGATCTTTGCTATTGGAGAAATAATACTGTATTATTGGATACTGACCCAGGGCATATACAGCCTTCTGGAGAACCTTGCCCCAACCCTGGAAAGTACAGTCATCTAGTTGGTGTCATAACTGTGACTTCAAAAGGCCATTCTACTATTCTATCAAGCCAGCTGCCTCAGGATAATGGGGAACATAGTAAGACCAGTGAATTCCATGAGCATGAGCCCACTGTCACTTTTCTTTGACTGTAAAGAGAGTTTCTTGGTCAGATGCAATGCCCTGTGGAACCCCATGATGATGGATATTTATTGTCTTATCTGTTTTTACAAAACCATTTTCAATACTTAATATTTGAAATTTATATATCATTACCATTTTGTTTTAAATCAAGACACATTTTCTTTAAAGTCAATACAAAAACATTTTAAGTAAAATGTTATTATAGCATTTAATATCATAATTGATTCAATATAATAACACTAATGTTTTAACAATGACCTTTATTAGAATCTTTATGAGATTTTTTAAAAAAATCTGACACTACAAGTTTTTCCCTAATCAAAAAAAAAAAAAAAAGTAAAGGAGGCATGATGGTTTATGCCTGTAATCTCAGCACTTTGGGAGGCTAAGGTGGGAAGATGGTTTGAAGCCAGGAGTTTGAGACCAGCCTGGGCAACAAAGTGAGACTCTATCTCTTCAAGAAAAAAAATAAGTCACACTGAAAGATTGTTGTAATGATCGTCTTGTCAAAATCATGTATTTCATAATTGTGGAAAAACATTTTTCCCCTTAATGGTATGCATTTATGACAGCCAAGAAAATACACCTTGCTGACCTCCAGCTATGGGGATTATAATTGACCAAGATTATAATTGACCCCAGCTGCCACCCTCTGAAATCCATTACCATGTTTGCACTGAGGCCACTCTTATCATAGGCTGCTCTAGTTAATGGCTGAGCTTGACAGAGATGTTAAGGCAGACCTGTTATTGAGAGATACTGGGCTCCTCTGATGGCCTGCTTTGGCTCATGCTCCCTAATGTTTTTCATGGAACTTCAGTAGATTACATGGCAGTCTAAGAAGCTGCCTTCCCTTCACCCTTTCCTCTTCCTCTGTTCTCCCCTTTCCTTCATCTGTGGGTACACTTGCATCTTGGTTTGACAACTTTTGACTCCTCCCATTTTTTCTCACATGGGCATTTTCCTTAATAAAATTTTTGCATTATTAATCTCATACTAATCACTGCTTCTCATTGGAACCAGGCTAACACATCAATATAGAAAAATCTGAATTAAAACCATAAACAACCATAATTGCTATTTGTTTACTTGAAAAATTATACATAGGGTTAAATTTATATTGAACACACACACACACACATATATATATATAAATTTTTTTTTTTGAGACAGGGTCTCACTCTGTCGCTCAGGCTGGAGTGCAGTGGCACGATCTCAGCTCACCGCAACCTCCGCCTCCCAGCCTCAGGTGATTCTCTTGCCTCAGCCTCCTGAGTAGCTGGGATTACGACATGTACCACCATGCCTAGATAATTTTTGTATTTTTAGTTGAGATGGAGTTTCACCATGTTGGCCAGGCTAGTCTTGAACTCCTGACCTCAAGTGATCCTCCCACCTCGGCCTCCCAATATGCTGGGATTACAGGTGTGAGCTACCGTGCCCACCTGAACACATACATTTTTAGATATAGTGCATGTTCCTAAGTCTTGCCTATAGTTTCAGTATGACAGATACATTCGTCAAGCATCATCTACCAATTAGATGTCTTGTGCTTCTGAATGAAGGTGCATGCTCAATGTCAAGTTCAGCAGGGGGACCTAAACAAAACTTTTTGAAGGGCAAACACATTAACAAAGCCAATGAATATTTTTAAAAACTTTTTTTGTGTCCCAACATCAAAGAGCCTAGGACTCAGACAGATATGTTCAAATTTTAAACATAGAATAACTTTATGGTGACATACTGCCACTTAAATATAAAGGGATTGTATACAAAGGGCTACAACAAGTTACTTGGGAAATAATACTGATTACAAAAAGGGAGCTTTTCTTTCTAATGTAGCAATGCTGTGAACTCAGTCAGTAGGATTGCTACTCCGAGTTGTTTTTCTGATGATGACTACATTTTGCCCTGGAGCCATTTATCTGGTTTCCTTTAAAACCAGCAATATTGGCTTCCAAGATGGCTGAATAGCATGTGGGTGCAGTCCGTGGTCATGGATCTTTTCTCTTTACACCCCTGTCTTATTCAGTAAATGCTCAAACTATGACTTCACTGTCATTAATAGTGGGCTCTAAGCAGCTAATTAAAAGGCTCACACAAAAGAACTACAAATAGCAAGACCCATAACATTTGTCTGGAAAGTGGGGTGTTTAATGGGCCCACTGTTCCTTCCCTCCAGCCTTTGGCTGGAAAGATTCCTCTTGCACTACCCATCAGAATTTTCTTGGATTTGCCTATAGGCTGTGCAGGGCTTTCAGAGAGAGTAGTAGGTTCAAGGTGATTGTAAAATTAAATTTTAAAAGATTTTTTAAAAGGAACAAAGAATGATTTTGAGTCGATGGGTCATTTAAATTTTAGAGTTAGTTTCACCATAAAAATTAATCAAACCATCTGGTTTTCACTGAAAGGTATAACATAATACAATTTTAGTTCTGAATTTTAAGTAGCTTGTGTAAATAAACTTTAAAAGCAATGTTACAACTTTACGTCAGGGAACTAATTTACTGTTACAATTTTATTGTGGAATTAATATTAATTAACATACCTTAAAGAAATGTCTGGCATTTTCTTAATATATCAAATGTATTAAAAGGTAAAATGGGAGGTTCATTAACCTAGCAGCACCACAAAGATAGTATAAAAAAATCTTTTGTACTAAAAATAATGGAATATGATTTATAATTCTAGGGAGAATTCTGAAAATAAGCAAATTAAGCATTAAAATCATCATTTTTCAGCACTTTGGTTGAAGGTCCTCTCACTGTTCCAGTTATACCTGCCTCGCCTTTGTCTCTTTTAATCATCATGTATCTTCCTTCCTCTGGTTCCCGGCATTCAGAGCTGAGAGTGGCATGAGAGGTGTCTCTGAAGCCTCAGGGTGATGTGATGGGAGCCCTGGTGCCCTCACTGCCAGCACTGCCAGGGGCTTAATTGGCTCAGCTAGTATAACTTAAGACAAACTCCTCTAAAGCTGAGACTCATGTTACATTAGCCTTAGTGACACCTTTTAATGCATATGGGATTTTTCTCCCTGTATTTCAAAAGTGCTCGGGGATTTGCAGGATTGTGCATAGAACTCAGTTTCAACTACATTCATGTATATACAGACACACACACCACACAAATATGTTTATATACCTTTCAGAGGAAAATGTAAATTTGGAAATAAATTAAAGAATGAAATCAACAGTATTTTTTAAATGTTTTACATTGTCTTTTTTTCTTAAAAAACATTACGAATATAGTTCTATTATTCATTATTGAATTGCTTACTCTCAGTGTCCCCAAAGTGCATGCACGTTGGCTCCAAGAGGCTTGAGAATTCTTTTCTCTTTTTATTACTGTATCTTGAGATTCTGGAATGATGCGTGATGCATTTGTTGAATGAATAAATAAATGAATGAAAGAATGAATGAAGTCTTAAAATGACAGTTATGTAATATCTCAGTTTTCTAATCTTCTAAATGAGGAAAATGATAACTCCCTCACAAAGTTGTGAAGAAGATTAGATGATACAGGACAGGTATGCTCTTAACCTAACTATTGGAAAAAAAATATTGGTTGCCTTTTCTTTCTTCTAGGGAGTGGTCCTGCAAGTGTTTGACGTCAACCCTGTGGGAGGCATTTTGGAAATTAGTTGGGGAATCCTTGGTTATGGAAGGGAGAAGTCACTGTTAGTGTCAGGGATTCTAGATGTCCTGTACTGCATGGGAGAACTACACACAATAAAAACTGCCCCATGTCATAAATGACTTTTGATTGTCTCACTGGACATTCATGTAGCTGAAAAACTTGTTTATACTTATTGAAACTAGGACCTCACTCCATATTACATATAAAAACAAAATATTTGTACTGAATGTAAATTGTCAGAAATGCAACTACCATGCAAGTCAAGCAAAGATTGAACTTTAAAAAATATTTTCAATGGAGAGCTTAGTATTTGGGGTATTTCAAAATAGTTTTAAAACATTTGAATCATATGAAAGGATCGAAAATGAAAAACAAAAATATCCCTTCTCTCACTTCTATTCCTAGCTCCAGTCCTAAAGATAATTCTTTTTGAACAGTTTCTGGTTTTTTTTTTAGGTCCTTTTGCAATTATAATTGTCATTTCACATAAATGAAACAACTGAAATTTCAGTATGAGCTGAAATTTATACTGACATTTCTTAGTACATCAACCTCAAACAATGTCAGTGTATTTAACACTACTTTCCCTTCCTCTCTTTCTATCTGCTGGTTATCTTATTATTTTTACATTAAAAATTTATAATATACACTCTGTATTGTATGGGTCTTCTGTGCTTTTTTTCTGTAGCCCAGTTCTTTAAAATTAAATGAAACTGTTTGAAGTGTAATTTGGATGTAAGTATTCTATACTGCAGAAAAACTGATATGAATGGGCCCATTAAAAAAAGGAATGTTGCATAGTATTCCATGTATACATATGTAACTAACCTGCACAATGTGCACATGTACCCTAAAACTTAAAGTATAATAATAAAAAAAAGGAATGTTATTTTATGTTACAATTCTCTGTTTAACAATAATACAGTCTCACAGTCCAATAGAATCCCTTATTTTCCTGTCAGCTTTTCTTGTTCCCACTCATTCTTGTTATCTCATTCATGTTTTTGTGGGTATTCCTCATGTTTTTCTGGAGTATTTATTCAAGCACTTTTTTCATATGAGTACATGAAAGGTAATTTTCTTTAACTTGGCTTTGCATATCCCCAAATATCTTTATATCTTTCTCTCTTAATGTCTTCTCTTACATTTGATAGTTTTAATTTTGTCTCAAAATGTGGAGAGGAAGTTGCTTCAGAGTGTTCTAGCACTCATTGATGCTAAACAGAAGACTGGTATCTATGAGTTTGTAAGGTGTCAGATTTTCCACTATGAAAGCTTTCTTGATTTTTCTCTTTATTTTTAGAATCTAGATTATTTACAGGTATAGACATTTTCTTCATTTATTATTGGTAGGCTCTTGTAATGAGAATATGTATCTGTTTTTTAACTCAGAAACTTTTGAGTTAAAAATAAGAATTTCTATTTTATTATTTTTTGCTTCTATTATTTCTGTTTTCTTACATCTGGAGCTGTTATTACTAGATATTTAAACTTTGGAATCTCTATATTTCTGAAATTTTCTTTTGTCCTTTGGGCAAATGAATCATTCTATGCCTCAGTTTTCTTATATATAAAATGGAAATGATAACAATAGTGTCTTCTTAGATTGTTCAGTAATGCCAAGTGCTTACAGCAGTGTCTGGCATATATTAGGAGCTAGATAGGTACTCTGTGGCATATAGTAGGCCTATACGTAACTCTGTATTATGGGAGGTTTCCTTGATTTTATCTCCCTGATTAGCTTTACTTGAGAACTGTCCTTTCTACTATTCAGATATTCACTATTATAATAGCAATCACATTAACAAATTCCCAAGTCTGTTATTTTCTTATTGCTATTTTTTGTAGCACTTCTTTTTAAAAAAATTGTTTTGTGATCCCTGTGGACCATATACCTGCACACAGACATATTTAATTAATTAATGTTTACTGTGATTACTGGTATAGATGACTTTAATATAACTTAATAATAATTATTATAATAATTTCAAAATTAATAACAATGTTATTCAATTCCCAAATGCTTCAACTTAGCTTCTTTGTTTTCTTTTCCTGTCTTCTATTAGATTGAGTTACCTTATTCTCTCTTCCTCACACTATTGGTTTGAAGTGACAGATTCCATCCTAGTCTTTTAATTATTAGCATGGAATTTTATTATACATACTTGACATAAAAGTTTAAATTTTATACATTTTGGCCAAGTAGAGCAAGGACCTTACAATGATTAAACTCTAAACTTAAATGCTATTTTTGTCTAATTTATTTTTCCTTTTATTTTAAAATTACTCACATGTTTATAAATTTCTTTGCTGACTGTTGCTTCTTGCAAACACTTCCCTCTTCTGGGTCCAATTTCCTTCTACTCAAACCACACTGTTTAGAAGTTCTGCTGCTGCCAGAAAAAGAGGACACCCCAAGAGCGCATTCTTCAATCTTGCACAGGAAGGAATTCAAGGCGAGTTGTGGGGTGCAGTGAGAAGAGGTAGTTTATTGAAAGCTACTCAGTTACAGACAAAGGCATCCTCGTCTTTGTCTTAAGTTTTTCTTAGATAGGGGTCTTATCTATGTAAAAGCTAAACTAAGCTGTATCTACATGCAAGTGGGCTGACGGCATGACAAAATTTATTATTCTTTTGATTTAAAGAAAGCTATCATTGTTTTCTTTTAGTGCATAAATACTTCAAAGCATAACTATAATTATCTTGAAAGCACATACTGTTACGGGTATTAGGACATCTGGGCTTTCTGTTGTTGTAGGAATGCATCCTTGCAGGTATCTTTAGGCTGTGTCCTCAACTGTAAACATCTTATGACCATAGGTCATGACAGGCAAGGAATGTGCCTTGCTAGTCTCAAGATGGAGCTGAACTTAAAATGGCATTACTCGTCCAGGCGCAGTGGCTCACACCTGTAATCCCAGCACTTTGGGAGGCCGAGGCGGGTGGATCACGAGGTCAGGAGTTCAAGACCAGCCTGGCCAAGATGATGAAACCTCATCTCTGCTAAAAATACAAAAAAAAAAAAAAAATTACCGGGCATGGTGGCAGGTGCCAGTAATCCCAGCTACTTGGGAGGCTGAGGTAGAGAATTGCTTCAACCTAGGAGACAGAGGTTGCAGTAAGCTGAGATTGCGCCACTGCACTCCAGCCTGGGTGACAGAGTGAAATTCCATCTCAAAAAAAAAAAAAAAAGAAAGAAAGAAAGAAAAGAAAAACGGCATTACTCTGACTCTCCTGGGCGCCTGCTTCCCTAACACTTTCACTGAGAATCTTTCGGCACTAAACTCACTCTTTGAAAGCCTAAAAATGTCTTTATTTTGCTCTTTTTCTTGAAAATGCCCTTGGAGGGTATCAATTTATTGTTTTGGGACCTCTTCTTATTGTCTGTTTTTATAGGTAATTTGTCCTTTCTTCTCAACTGAGTTTAAGATTTTGTCTTTGATACTCTGCAGTTCATCTACAATGAGTCAAGATAGGTACTTCTTTTACAATTGACTTTTGAACAACGTGGGGATTAAGGATGCTGACCTCTTTGTGTGGTTGAAAATCCACATATCCAAGTATAACTTTCTCTTTTTTTTGCTTCAAACTTCTTCTTCTTCCCTTTTTTTTTTTTTTTTTTTGGATTGACAGGGTATATGTCCAGGTTTGTTATATGGGTATATTGCGTGATGCTGAGGTTTGAGCTTCTAATGATCCTATTGCTCAAGTAGGGAACATAATACCTGATGGGTAGTTTTTCAATCCTTGCCACCCTCCCTCTCTCCCCCATTTTGGACACATATAACTTTTTACTTCCCAATAGTCTACTGTTGACCAAAAGCCTTACTGATAACATAAACATTCAATTGACACATATTTTGGATGTGTATTATATACTTTACTCTTGCAATAAAGTAAGCTATATGAAAAAACTGTTATTAAGAAAGCCATAAGAAGGAGAAAATACATTATAATACTGTACTGTATTTATCAATACCATAAGTTTACATCATCAGCTTTTTGCGGTGATAATGCAATTTACTGGAGAGACACACTGCTCATGTGGAGATGATGAGTATGTCACTGTGTTTTAAACAGATACTTGCAACACCTGAGCTCACTGCAATAGCAGAAAGTGGTGGCTACAAAATTACTACAATAGTAAAGTACGTAGTTCAGTTAATTTTATGCAGCTATGATTTAATACTGCATTTTACATTTGTTCACATTTATGTGAACTGTGAATGGCACCATGTATGGTCTATAAGTGTGTGTGTTAATTTTGATAAATTTTAACTTTTTATAATAGATTTGTGTGTATTTTATGATAGTAAATAATAAAGGCGACTGGTACCTACATGTATTTTATTCATCCATGACATACTTAACTTAAAAATTCTTTTTTCAGTATTTCGAGGCAATGGGGTTTGTCTGTGAGGTTTTTCTTTTTTTCAAATTATCACAAATCTCCAAAAAAAATTTTCAATATATTTTTTTGAAAAAAATCCATGTGTAAAATGGACCCATGCAGTTCAAACCTGTGTTGCACAAGGGTCAACTGTATTTATTTTTCCTTAAGTTTTTGTCTGATTTTATGATTCAAATCATTACAAATTTTGAAAAACAATTCAGCAATAATCTTTGAACATTGCCTCTCTTCTTTTTTTTCCTCTTTCTGAAACCCCTCTTAGATACTCATTGGATCTTCACATTTTACTTCCATGCCTTATAACCTCACTATACTATTTTCTATCCTTTCATGTCTCTGTCTATTTGAGTATTTTCTAGGTCTGTCTTCTAGTTTACTAATTATATTTCCAACTGTCTAGCATGTTATTTAGCCCATCCATTTGGTTTTAAGTCTCAATCACTATGTTGTTCATTTCCAGCTATTACATTCAGTTTATTTTCTATTCTGTTTTTTTTAAATACTATCATATGTTTCTTGTAGTTTCTACCTCCTTTTGCCATTTAAATTATTTTAAATAAAACTATGTTATGGTCAATTTATGAGCAGTATATTAAGTTCCTGAAATGCTAATCCTTTTGTTTGTTGTACCTTCTGACTCTTACTCATGCTCAATCATTTTTGCATGTGTTTTGTAATTTTTGTTCATGAGCTAATCTTCAGTGGATTTTGGGTTTTTTATGACAGTTCTCATGTCCTGTTTGTTGAAGGGTTGAGACAAAACAGTTTTAGATGTGCTTCTGCCAGGCAAATGGATACGGTAGGACCATACTGGGGACAACATTTATATATATATTTTTTTGCATTGAGAGAGTCTCTCACTAAATAGATTAAATTCTAACTCCAAATTGTCACAGGACTGTGACATGCTTTTTTTCTATATCCCTAAACTCTGGACAAAGATAAATTTTCTTGCTACACACAGAGACTATTGAGGAGTATTTTTCTAGTCTTTCATTGAGAAGATAGCCTTTTGAGAAGCCTGGTTTTATATAGGGGACTGAGTTCCAATTACTACATACCTATGCACCAAAGATTTTTTTTTTCTATTCCTGAATGGTGTTAGAATCCAACTACCTTGCTAAGATCCATTTCTTGATGTGACAACATTACTGTATTTCTTTATGGTCCTGTTTTTCCATTCCCTCTTTTGCTTCTGTCACTTGGAAATTTCCCTTTCTTTTCTTTCAAGCCCAATTTTATATTAATTTTTATTGTTACTGTTTTATTTCATGTATCATTGATAGTATTTTAGCTCCTTTTTATCACTGCCTACCAATTTGCCCCCACAGAAATTCTAATCATTTATACATTTTGAAGTTCATTTCTTTTTTTCTTGAAATTATCCCTGTTTTCTCTGATGGCATTTTCCCCACTTTCTGTGCTGAGGTATCTGAAATTCCTATTTTTTTGTTTATATTTTTGAATAAAAAATTGGCTCACTGCAGCTACAAACATCCAAGCTTAGTCAATCCTCCCATTTCAGCCTCCTGAGTAGCTGGGACTGCAGATGTGTGACACCACACCCAGCTAATTTTCTTATTTTTTGTAGAGATGGAGTCTCACTATGTTGCCCAGGCAGGTCTCAAACTCCTGGCCTGAAGTGATCCTCCCACCTCAGCCTCCCTAAGTGCTGGGATTACAGGTGTCAGCCACCATGCCCAGCTTGGTGTGGGGTTCTTCTGTAGTTTCATAGTTCTGTTTTATGACATGCCACTCCCTTAAATAGGAAGGCTAATTCTAGACTCCATAATTTTCCCAGACCTGTTGGAACCTTTGTTATTACTACAGCTTTACCATAGGATGGAGTGCTTTAGTGTGTTTTACCACTGGATGGAGCTGCCTTCTCTTTGAATTAATTTCCTCAGTGACTGATGTGATGGTTTATCGTTACCTTTGACTCTATTCTGCTCCTCTTGCAGGCTTTGAAAAATATATTAAATTCTTCTCCAGGTAAAAAAGCAAGTTTGAGTTTTATCCTTGAGGGCTAAAACATATACTTCATATACTTTGTGTATGAGGAGGCTATGAGCAAAGGAAAGCTGCCTAAATGATTGGGCTATGCCAACAGCAATTATATATTTAATTGTCACCATAGTCCACTCCTTCTCTTGGTGGTAGCTGCTTCTGAACTAATAGCTCTCCAGGACCCTTTTGACAAGAGCCATTCTTACTTCTGATGTTTTGGAATAAAACTTTTCCTGACTTGTTTTCTTCATCAACTTGAAATTTTCTGGCCCTTCTAACTTTCCAGCCATCTTATGGTTCCATTCCTCTAAAAACACTGTTGTCTTTTCAGTGGGACCTCCTTAATGAGGAGAAGTAGATGCATGTATTCAGTCTGCCATCGTAAATCCGGAGCCCTTATCAATATTTTAGAAGCAAAGCATTTAAATAAAGGAGCAAATGTATTTTAAAGTTTTTATAGTAATTTGAGTAAAGCATACAAATATAAAAGTGAACAAATATAAATGTACAGCTCAATGAATTTTTATGAAGTGAATACCCATGTGTCTAGATCATGAAACAAAATACTGCCAGGGTCCTGTTTTGGCAAGGGAGATACATAAGATTTGTTCTCAAAAAAGATCAGACTTCTACAAGTGGATAAGTGACTCTCTCAGCTATCTCTTGGCCAATTTTTGCTCCTTCTCCAGTGGGTAAATGAACATTTTGAATGTTATTCCATTTTCTGGTTTTATTGAAAACTATCTTTGGACACTTGCAGGTTGTCACAAGCCATTTCTTCCCTTTAGCCACTGAACCACACTTGCCTGAAAGATTTTGGACTATTTCCTAAGGAGACTATTTTGGTCTTTATAACATATTGTCCTTTTACTGGTCACTGCCATCAGAATGAGTCTAAGTGTCTCTTTCAGATAGTTCAGAGGTTATAGTAGTTTCATCTTTCTAGTATAGAAATTTGAAAAATTTAGAGATGTATCAGGATTTTATATAAATAAATATGCTGAGTAGTAATACAATAAAATTTTAAATTTCCCCATAATTAGAAAGTTGCAAACATCATAATGCTCTACACATAGTTGCTAATAACTGTGGAATTCTTTCAGGTTTCATTTCCAAATGTTTAGTCAATCCTATCAGCTAGAGATTTCTTCAGGCCGCTTTTCCGCCTAACTCAGTCCATCTTCGGTAACTTAACTATTACATGCATATAAAATCTTTTTTATTGCTCACTGATCAATAACTTGTCATGGCTTTCAAGTTCATTCGGATTATTTCTCATCTTTTTTGAAATAAAAAAGTTTTTGGATTATTTTTCATCTTTTAAAGCAAATGGCTTATGTATAGATTATGATTGAACTTTTCGTTTTCTTCTGAAATAATTGTCTGCTCTGGGGTTTTCCTTCTTCTCTGCTGCCCATCTTTCTTTTATCCTGGAGGCAAGATTTGTTCACGGATCCAGAAACAATTCCACATAGCAGATGAGAAGGGCATGGAACACAGGGGAAGGGGCAGCAGGAGTTAGCAGTAGGAAAGAGTAGAAAGGCAGGTATTCCAGACCATTATTTAGCTGAAAGCTATAGGACACTACTGAAGGATATTAAGCAGGGGAGCAGCATGGCATCCCAATTCTTACCCATTCTGTATAGAGAAGAGAGAGTCCAAAAACCACAGTTTCCTTCATGCTACACTCTAGTTCAAAAACTTTGAATGCCCTTCTATGGCCTTCTGAATCCACATCAGATTTCCTTCAGATATCTAGGTGGGTGAGGTCACAAATCACTGCAATTAATATTAAAATGTTTTAACAATGCTAAATTATGATTATAAATAAGATGAACAAGTACTATGACAAGTTAGTGATATAGATTAAATCGGAATTAGGTCATTATGGGCATGAGCATTCATTAAAGAGATGAAAATTGAGAGTTATATCTTAGCAAATATATGTGTATATATTTATGTGTTTCATTATATTTTGAATAAAGACTGATGTGACTGAGCAGGGAGATATTTCAGGAGAGGAGAATTACATAGACACAAGAGTGGTGTGAACACCAGATGTGAAGGACAATGAAAACCCTCCCATGATTAGATAGAATTGAACAGACCAGAAGCTGGAAATAGACTGAATGAGACAAAAGAAGGTCAGTTGATGAAGCCCTTGATCTGAGTGAGTGTATGTTCTTGAAAATAAAATAAAAAATTTTAGAAATTCTTAGAATATATTTTTATTTTGAAATGTAGTGAGGTTCAAGGGAAACTCAAAGGAGAAATCTTGAAGAAAAAGAGATTTAGCCCCTATCAAAAGGCTATATTTTGGCAAATGGATACTAAGCTAAAATAATAAATTTGTTCATCAGAGTGTAGGGTACTGAGGTGAAGAGAGGTAGGAAGGGATTGAGAGGAGCTGGGGGCAGCTGTAGAGAAGGAGTGCTGATGGAAAAGTTGACTCCACCGTGAGTGAGCTCTGAGCAGTGGAGACTACTGGAAAACTAGCGAGGCAGGAATAAAAAAGTGTGCAGAACCCAAACAACCCAAACACTGTTTTGGCTAGAACCTTCTCTAAGAGAATTTAACAATGTAACTCATGATACCTTTAGATTTTCTCAGCTTATTATTCTGAATCAGTGTCTTTTTTAAAGTCTTTGTTAAATTCATAAAATAAGAAAGTTCAATATTGTCAAAACCAAACAAAAAATAAATCATTCTACTATAGTTACCCGTACCCTCAAACGTGTTTATAATTCACACAGACCCGTGAGAGCCTTATTGTTTATTATATACGAAAGTTCGCCATTGCTCTAGTATTATTTCTCTCTGTTGCTAGTAGAAAAAGACCCATACATACAATTGTTAATAGAAATAAAGGGAACAATATGTAATGACAAAAAAATACAGCTTATGAAGAAAAAAACCCAAAGTACCCAAATAGAAATGAGGCATTATCTATACTCTATGGAATGTAATAAACATTTTTAATGGATTTTGTTCAACATCTAGTTTTGCCTTTTCTTTTTCCCCCCACTGTCCCCTCCTTTCCTCCCTTCCTCCCTTTCCTTCCTCCCTCCCTCCGTCCCTCCCTCCCTCCCTCCCTCCCTTCCTTCTTATCAAGATAAAAATATTTGACAGTCTTCATCAATGCGAGCTGTTATATCTCCACTCTGAAGAATTAAAAAGAAACCCTAAAGTAGCCTTAAAATTATGCATAGGACACAACTGGGTTGAATAGAATCCTTTGGAGGACATTATTCATCTGCAAGTCTTGAGAATTTGATGTTTTTGTGTGTGTATGATTTGTGTGTTAGTTGTGCTAATTATACATCATGTTTAGAAAAATACTATTTTGTTGAACAGTGTAAATGTCAGTCTCATTAGCCATCATTATTACCCATCAGGATGAAGGCACTTTCAATGAATGATAATTTCCCCTCATATTTCTGTGGATGCATACAAATGTAAACTTTGTTTTTTATGTTCGTTCATCTTATTTTCAGCATCAGTAACCCTTCTTTCTTTCAAAGTGTTTTCAAACCAACTTCTAAACTTGAAAAATGAAAATTGGCCTTATAAACTACTAGCTTAAACTAGTTCAGATTAATTCATGGGGAAAAGAGAGAGCAAACTCATGGAAGACCCATTCTTGGGCAACTAAATTCTGATAATGTTAGCAATGTAGTTTGAAAGGTGAATGTTGGGGAGGTACAATTTGATACTGATTATTTAAACTGTCCAATTTTAGCCTGACCAATGCAAATGACTCTATCTTTACCCCATTTCCAACTGGATTCTCTCTATTTAGACATAGTTGTCAGTGCGCTTTTGCTAAAATATGCTTTCTAAAAGAAACTACCTGGCAGTTAAAAATGATGATATATAAGTTCCTCCAGTCCTCTGGCATTATTATTGAAGCAGGGCTATAAAAATTCTTATGCTTTTCAGGCCAGGAGTGGTGGCTCATGCCTGTAATCCCAGCAGTTTGGGAGGTTGAGCAGGTGAATCACTTGAGGCCAGGAGTTTGAGACCAGCCTGGCCAACATAATGAAATTCCATTTCTACTAAAAGTAGAAAAAATTAGCCAGGTGCAGTGGAGGATGCCTGTAATCCCAGCTGCTGGGGAGACTGAGGCATGAGAATTGCTTTACCCTAGGAGACAGAGGCTACAGTGAGCCGAGGTCATGCCACTGCACTCCAGCCTGGGTGACAGAGTGAGACTCTATCACACACACACACACACACACACACACACACACACACAATCTTATGCTTTTCAAATAATTTTTGTGTCTGTTTATTTTGACCCCTATAATAACATGCTGAGGTATGATAAGAAATTCCTAGAGAATGCCTCCTAAAATCCTTACCTGTGGTTACACTAAGACCCAAAGAAGGAAAATTATTTGCCCAAGGTTATATTAATAACATCGGCATTACTAGATACAGTGCATTTATTATGTTGTACATTTGATACCAGGCACATAGGAGATAATAAATATTTGCTAAAGTATGCTGTTCTAATTTAAATATGTGCAAAACTGAAAGACATAAAAAAGTGGTGACTTAAGTGAGGTTTCACAAGTTAATGATAAAACTGGAACTGGAAATTTGAGTCACAGTTCATTTTCTTTTTATTCTTTTTTTTTTATTATACTTTAAGTTTTAGGGTACATGTGCACATTGTGAAGCTTAGTTACATATGTATACATGTGCCATGCTGGTGCGCTGCATCCGCTAATTCATCATCTAGCATTAGGTATATCTCCCGATGCTATCCCTCCCCCCTTCCCCCACCCCACCACAGTCCCCAGAGTGTGATATTCCCCTTCCTGTATCCATGTGATCTCATTGTTCAATTCCCACCTATGAGTGACAATATGCGGTGTTTGGTTTTTTGTTCTTGTGATAGTTTACTGAGAATGATGATTTCCAATTTCATCCATGTCCCTACAAAGGACATGAACTCATCATTTTTTATGGCTGCATAGTATTCCATGGTGTATATGTGCCACATTTTCTTAATCCAGTCTATCGTTGTTGGACATTTGGGTTGGTTCCAAGTCTTTGCTATTGTGAATAGTGCCGCAATAAACATACGTGTGCATGTGTCTTTATAGCAGCATGATTTATAGTCCTTTGGGTATATACCCAGTAATGGGATGGCTGGGTCAAATGGTATTTCCAGTTCTAGATCCCTGAGGAATCGCCACACTGACTTCCACAATGGTTGAACTAGTTTACAGTCCCACCAACAGTGTAAAAGTGTTCCTATTTCTCCACATCCTCTCCAGCACCTGTTGTTTCCTGACTTTTTAATGATTGCCATTGTAACTGGTATGAGATGGTATCTCATTGTGGTTTTGATTTGCATTTCTCTGATGGCCAGTGATGAGCATTTTTTCATGTGTTTTTTGGCTGCATAAATGTCTTCTTTTGAGAAGTGTCTGTTCATGTCCTTCACCCACTTTTTGATGGGGTTGTTTGTTTTTTTCTTGTAAATTTGTTTGAGTTCCTTGTAGATTCTGGATATTAGCCCTTTGTCAGATGAGTAGGTTGCGAAAATTTTCTCCCATTTTGTAGGTTGTCTGTTCACTCTGATGGTAGTTTCTTTTGCTGTGCAGAAGCTCTTTAGTTTAATTAGATCCCATTTGTCAATTTTGGCTTTTGTTGCCATTGCTTTTGGTGTTTTAGACATGAAGTCCTTGCCCATGCCTATGTCCTGAATGGTAATGTCTAGGTTTTCTTCTAAGGTTTTTATGGTTTTAGGTCTAACATTTAAGTCTTTAATCCATCTTGAATTGATTTTTGTATAAGGTGTAAGGAAGGGATACAGTTTCAGCTTTCTACATATGGCTAGCCAGTTTTCCCAGCACCATTTATTAAATAGGGAATCCTTTCCCCATTGCTTGTTTTTCTCAGGTTTGTCAAAGATCAGATAGTTGTAGATATGCAGCGTTATTTCTGAGGGCTCTGTTCTGTTCCATTGATCTATATCTCTGTTTTGGTACCAGTACCATGCTGTTTTGGTTACAGTAGCCTTGTAGTATAGTTTGAAGTCAGGTAGTGTGATGCCTCCAGCTTTGTTCTTTTGGCTTAGGATTGACTTGGTGATGCAGGCTCTTTTTTGCTCGTTTTCTTTTTCTTCTGTATCTCTGGACCTGCCATACAATCGAAGATCTACATTCATATGACTTTTTTCAAGGCTGGAACTTCTCAAGAGTTATTGAACAACACAAACAGGGAGACAGGGATCAAACAGCAACAAAATATTGAAAATCAGTTTTCACTGAGGAATATGGCACAACCAGACAAGAGTAGATATTACCTAGGAACTGTTCTGTAAGAGCACTGATTCCTGGTCTGGATACCATAATCCAACTGTAATTGTTGGTGGGAATCTACTGAGTTCGGGTTTATCTTCTTAAAAGGTAAAAAAGTCCTTAGGACTTCATCAATGTGACAGAAAGTATTTATCAAGAATGGATGATAAAATGTTCACTAAACAATGAAATGAAATTATATGCTACAAATGTTAAATAATATACAGAAATGAAGATGATGAAACTTTAGAGTTAACTTTCAGTCTCTTTTTTCACTGACATACAGTAAAGCATTTAGCCTGATATATTTAAGAACATTTTTCTTCTCCTAGTTTATTTTGTAAATTTTTCTATATTTATCATCTCATTCTGCATTCTTGACTGACCTGCCTCATATTGATCTGCAGTATACTGTTGAAACAACCTCATTGTCTGGGGTGCCACCCAAAGTTCTTTGTCTCACGGCTGAGGAAATCAAGGGCATGGACACTCCAAGGGTGAGGTTAGAGCAAAAGTTTAATAAGTGGGAGAAAGAAAGAAAGCCCTTTGCTGCAGAGAGGGGTCCTGAAAAAGGGTTACCACTTCACAGTGAAATACAAAGATTTTTGTAAATGAGCTATTGGGGAGGGGTATCTCATCTACATAAGGCACAAGAAAACAGTTAAGACTAGGTGTGTCATTTGCATAGGGCACTAATCTCCAGCAGCACCCCTGCCAACCTTTTATTGCACAGATGGGCCCTTAGCCTAAGTTACTCCATGTTGTTTATCTTTATTACTGCACATGTGCTAAGTGGGCAGAACCATCCATGGTGGACATGCCCAGCCCAAGGTAGTTCCTCTTATTGGTGCAGCTGCAGACACCCCCATTCTGTGCAAGCTTCCTTATCTGAGTATGTCCAAAAAATGAAACGAATGTGCTCACTAGGGCCCACTGTGTTTACTGGGGGCCACCATATGTATGTGAAGCTTGCTGATTACATAGGAGGCTGCCTCTCTGTGCTGGAACTTGCTTCCTTATCTATATTTGCAGTCTGATCTTCCAGGCTGTTCTTTGTTAGAGAGGGAATTCTGCCAAGGACTCTGCCCTCAGTATCTGACTAGCTAGTTTCTTCCTTCTCTCTCACTGTCATTTCCTTGTATAAGGATTTATAAAGTCTTAATTTTTCAAAGTCCATACTACAAATACAAAATATTCAGCAACAGCAGCCAATGAGCATGATTGTGGTTTAGTCTGATGAGTGTTTTTCCTTTTTCTTTTGGCATCAAACACCCTCAATTCTTCCTTTTGGGTATTTCTTCCCTCTCTCAGCTCTATATGGCCCTACCGGGGCTGTTGAGCATCTTCCCTTAACCTCAGCCTTCAAATATTGGCCACAGACTAGACATATGAGTTAGACTTCAGCAAGAAGAGATCTCATCTTATTTATCAATGGTTTATAAATGAGCATTGATATCGTTTGGCTCTGTGTCCCTGTCCAAATCTCATCTTGTAGCTCCCATAATTCCCACATGTGGGAGAGACCTGGTGGGAGATGACTGAATCTGGGGTCAGGTCTTCCCCATGCTGTTCTTGTAATAGTGAGTGGGTCTCATGAGATCTGATGGTTTTAAAAATGGGAGTTTCCATCCAGGCGTGGTGGCTCACTCCTGTAATCCCAGCACTTTGGGAGGCCGAGACGGGCAGATCACGAGGTCAGGAGATCGAGACCATCCTCACTAACACAGTGAAACTCCGTCTCTACTAAAAATACAAAAACAAATTAGCCAGGCCTGGTGGCGGTCCCCTGTAGTCACAGCTACTCAGGAGGCTGAGGCAGGAGAATGGCGTGACCCTGGGAGGCAGAGCTTGCAGTGAGCCAAGATCGCGCCATTGCACTCCAGCCTGGGCTACAGAGTGAGACTCCGTCTCATAAAAAAAAAAAAAAAAAGAAAGAAAGAAAATGGAAAAGGGAATTTCCTAGCCGGAGCTCTCCCTTTGCCTGCTGCCATCCATGTAAGATGCGACTTGCTCCTCCTTGCCTTCCGTCATGATTGTGAGGTCTCCCCAGCCATGTGGAACTGTAAGTCCAATTAAACCTCTTTCTTTCGTACATTGCCCAGTCTCGGGTGTGTCTTTATCAGCAGCGTGAAAACGGACTAATACAAGCATACAAGCCAAGTTGGAACCAGGAGTGCTCTTCCTGGGACTTTTCAGGCAGAGTACCCAGGAAAACTGTCCTGCTCACATTTGGGGTCATGTAACAAGAAAGTTGTAAACTTGAACATAAGAGAAAATTAGAATATTTAATCACAATAAATAGGAATTCAAAGTTACTATGATATAATAAATTAAAAAGTTACACTTTTCATGTTTTGGGGAATAAAATTCCCTTTGATGTTTACTTGCTCCAATATTGTGTTTTTCTTGTGATATTGTAGGCATTGTATAGTTTTTAATATATTTTAAATTTAAAAAGATATATTCTCCACTAGTGTCTGATTTGAGAAAACAATATAAGGTTCTCCTTTTAAATGTCCCAGTAGATACTGGGTCATTAATGGATTTCATAGGAAACTGTTTACATAGTTGCAATAGTTCATGCCATGACTGTTTTCAGTATAGTAAACCTTTCTTTTAAAGGTGATAATTTTATATCCAATGTAAAAAATTAATTTTGGAATATAGACTCACTGAGTAGAGGATTTGCAAAATTAGTCTCTTTACTGTTTTCACTATTATTAGTCACATTGGATAAGTTGGTATCAGGGTCAAGAGTTTGCAATTTCTTTTCAAAAATTATTTATAAACATCATTGCTTTGTCTTTAAAAATGTATTAATCTCTTTGATACTTTCAGGAAAAATGATGTGCAATGAATTTAGTGCTGGCATAACAACTTCAATATCATGCCCAATGAGCAAATAAATTTTGAAAAAATTTCAAAAGTGAAACTTTTGTTTGTTTTCTAGACTAGATATGTTTATTAATATCATCAATTGTTTCTAAAAGTAGTGTCCTACCTCCAGTTGATTTTTGGGTGGCATGATATCATCAACTTGACTATCTTGTAGCAGAATCAAAAAAGATTTCAGGATATGTTTGCCATACACATTTCTGTTTCATGGAAGCTGCAAAGTAGTTGTATAGATCTGGGAAAAGATAAAATGTGGTGGTATCAAAAGGGAACTTATCTGAATTTTCGTTGTCAAATTTACATAACAGACAGAATAGGAAATGGAGAATGTCTACATCTTTTTTTTTTTTTGAGGATCTTCTTTGTAATCTGTTTCTACACATATTTGTGACACTGTTGAATGCTTGGTTTCTCAAGTTAGTTTTATCTAGAAAAAAATCTTTAAAAATAGTCCACTAACAATGGCTTCTTTTGGAGCCATGTGTTCTACTGGATCAAATATTTGCACTTTGAAAATCTGCAAATCTAGCAGTAATTTTTTTTCCAAAAATCCTATATGACCAGTCAGTTTATTAAAAATATTAGGTTACTTTTCTAGATTTTTCGATATTTATGGTATGTTCACTTTTAAAAATCTGTAATTTGTTATGATTAGTTTCTTATTCTAAATAATCGATTTTATATCTCAAAAAAATAAAAAACTCCAAGAATTCAGCAAAAAAAAAAAAATTCTACATGGTTTTATATAAGACTGGATCTATAATAATTAAGGTCTATTTAATTACTTTGTATCACTCAAAATAATTTCATTCATTGCATCTGCTATAATTTTAATAATTTAGTTTTGTATTTAATTCTCTAAGAGTCATAGTATTATTTGGTAATAATATCTGCATTCTTTATAAATGTTCTGCTGTATCATTATCAGACACTGCTATGGTTTCTGCCAAATGAAGAAAATTTCCATTACCAGGCTCATAAAGTGTCTTGGGTGATTCTCTGAACATCATGGATTGTCTTGCCAAAAATGGAATCACATGTGTTATAAATTTGACATTATGCAAATCGTTTCTCTCATTTTTCATGTCGCCTCTTTCTGCAGCATTGTTAGCACACATTTTTCAAATCTGACACTTTTGAACACTTAGCACATTAGTACTGACATGCTAAAATCTGTATTAAATGATGCCTACCACTGCACCCATTCTCGTTCTTCAAACTATTACTTTTCATATCCAAACAAGTTTTTTAATGTAAATGAAATGCAGAGTCTTTCTAGATGGAATAAAGTAACTAGGACATAGGATTATGTGTAATCATCTAGATGGTGCTCGTGTGTGATAAATTCTCTAAAACATCCTCCTTTAAATGTAGTGTCATTTTATAATGTTTAAAGTTTTTACTTGAGGTAGATCATTGCCAATAAAATTTTAGTGTTATATAACAGTCAAACTCTATGGTCATATGCCTGTAAACTAAAATACGTTTAGTTTTTAAAAATCTGTGGCTTTTAAAATTTGTGATTTTTTAAAAGAAACCATATATTTAGTTGACATGGCAGAAGAAGTGAAACTTACCCTTTACTTTTTGGTAGGCAGCATATGTTTATGCTACATTTTGCTCAAAGTGGCAATTATAATGACTTCTCCTTTTATTGTGGATTTACATCTATATTCACCATATATGTACATATATTCAGTATTCCAAATATTTAGAAATTTTCCTTCTGTAATGCTTTCCATGTTCTGTTTTATAATCTGAACACTTTAAAATGTATTTTTTTTTCTGATACCTGGAGAAAAACAATGTAATGATTCGTATTTTGTTAAGGAATTTTTAACATTTTGAAATAATTATGTGTGTGATAAGCTGTTACATTTTAATAGCAGTTTAGTTTCGTATAGATGAATTTTTCCATAACAACAAATAATAGCTGCTGTAATATAATTATTAGATTATCATATAATACTGCCAAATTTATATTCAAATAATACTTTGTGAATTATTATTGCTGATTAATGGTTATTACATAGAGATTTGGAACACAATGACTCTTATAAATGTCTATTTAAATTGGGAATTCAGAAATACTATTCTAGAATAGTAAACAACTGACAGATGATACAAACTGCAATTTGAAACATCTAATTTACCCAGTGCACTCATACACCAACAAGACATTTTTTAAATGAGATATTTACTAATCAATACATTAGTCCAAAAAACAATAACATCACTATGTTTAGAAACACAGGTTATTTTAGATGTTGTTAGATCAACTTGGTTTTTAAATTATTTAATTTCCTTTTGCAAGTTAAAGTAGAATGACATACATTGATCATTTTACAAGATATTTTACTGCCATCTGCCAAAAAATTGTGATAATAAATAAATAGCTCATATATGGAGTCAAACTGTAATCATAGAAATAAAAGATTCTAATGTAGCTGATGTCCCATTAGATACAGTGCCCTTGTGCAGTACAGAACCTGAGCAATCATACATGGCAGACTTGTCCCAGCCTCATGAAGAAAATCTGTCAGTGCCTGAGATTTTCCAGCACTGCATGGCAGGTGAGCTAAATTTGACCTCTTTGTCAAGTCCTTCTTCATTGTGGCATAATTTTGCATGACTGAAAAAGACACAGTATTGCCAATATTATGCACTGCCAACTGTGTATATGCAGGACTTTGGGAACACAATGGCCACAGGACTTTGGGAACACAATGGCCATTGTCTGGCAAATTTTAACTTCAGTCATTCTAGTCTACGGCCATACCACCCTGAACACGCCCGATCTTGTCATTTTAGCCTGAAAAGTTGAAAGGTGTTTTTGCCTGTTTTGAGGGAATCTCTTCCCATTCTTTGGCCATTTGTGAGAAAGTTAACTAGAGGGCGTTTGGAGCAGAAGAAAAGTCTGCTCTTTGCTTTGGTGTTTCATGGAGACCAAGGTTCAAACACTGACCCTCTGCACATAATTATGGTCTCAGCGGATGGCTTTCTCTTTTCCTCATTAGAGGTCAGTGGTATGGGCAGACAGAATGATATGCAAGAGGACCTGTGCTGGGTGAGGGCCCTGCTTAGGAGGAAATGAATTGACTGTGAAGGGAGCTGCCCAGGTCAATTTTCTACCAATGTAACAGTTTGTTGGACACATACTTGTTGCATATAATTTGTTGATCATATATTGCTCAAATTAGATATTACATATATTTATATAAAATATATGTACACTTTGAGAAATATAAAGCAAGAAGGTGTTATTACATTAATTTATGACATACCAGGCCAGGAAAAAAAAATTAGGTATCAGACCAATGGTTCTCATTCCCAGCTGTGCATTAAAATCACCTACACATTAAAGGTAGAGATTCCTAGGTCTTATTCCAGAGATGTTGAATCAAACGTCTGATATTGTGCCAAGGAGTCTGTATATTTTTAAAACTATAGGGGTGATGCTGACAGACATCCAGGTTACTGGATTTTTCTATTTTTCCCCCAGTATGATTCATCCAACTCTCTTTTATCCTGAAGCACAGAATAGGCCTACCTCTAAAAGCAAGCATTAAAAAAAATTGTCGGCCGGGCTCGGTGGCTCACGTCTGTAATCCCAGTACTTTCGGAGGCTTAGGTAGGTGGATCACGAGGTCAGGAGTTCAAGACCAGACTGGACAAGACGGTGAAACCCCGTCTCTACTAAAAATACAAAAATTAGCCGGCTGTGGTGGTGGGCACCTGTAATCCCAGCTACTCAGGAGGCTGAGGCAGAGAATTGCTTGAACCTGGGAGGTGGAGGTTGCAGTGATCCAAGATTGCGCCACTGCACTCCAGCCTGGGCAACAGAGAGAGACTCCACCTCAAAAAGAAAAAGAAAAATTGCCAAAGGTCTACCATGTACATGGCATTGTCAGCAGTATTATAGAAAATAAAAATATGAATAAGATCCAGTTTTTAAGGAGCTTAGAATCTAGCAGGGAAGAGAAAAGATAACCTGAAAATGGTAAGGCTATGGGTGAAATCATCACATTACATGTTCCATTCACAAGAAGTCTGAGGTGTTTCTCCAGCTCTTGGTTGTTTTACTCAGTATAGTGTTATTGGGCTTTCTAGCTGACATTCCGAGATAAAGAAGCAAGTGAATTATTACATGCTAGTTAAGGAAATTCAGCACAATGATCCTTTGTCTTACAGAAAATGTAGGAATACTTTTTGCCTTATATTAATATAAATAGAGAGCTGTACTTCAGAATTTAAGATTCCATTGGGGCTTAATATGCACCCTTTTATTATTGTTGTGGATATATTGTCTACGTTTATTTAAAAAATAAACATGCTGCTTTCTGAATTGATCTGTAATTTATAAGGACATCATTATAATTACAAATATGGTATTATTATTCTGCATTCATTGTGTTAGAAGGGTAGCTTAATGCTTATAATTCCTTCCCTATTTTTCCACAACTGATTTATCACTTGTCTGACCCAACTTCCCTCCACTCCATTGTTCTGCTCTCTCCGTACATCCCACTTCACAGAGGAATGTTAATAATGGAATATGTTATTTACCTTTTCATTTACATGCTTCCAAGCTGCCATTCTCTGTAATTAATCACTGCCATAAATATTCTCATGTATGTGCTTTATATATATACTCTTACTGGGTCACTGAACTAATAAAACAGCTTATTCTAAGCATTGTTGCAAATCACAGCCTATAGTTAGTAAAATGCATAAGGTAAGGATAGATTTGCAAGATATTTTGAGTCAGGTGAAAATGATGAAATCTTTTGTTTCTCAAATAATACATGTATTATTAGTATTATTAGGGTTATTATTAGTAGCAGTAGTACTATTAGTACTATTAGGATTATTAGTACTATTAAAAGTAGCCACTATATGTTATGTTTAATACCTACTATTGTTTTCACAGCTTTTAAATATTTATAAAATAAAATAGTTCTAAAAGAAAATTGAAGATTTTGTGGCTTCTTCTCCATATAAGGAAGTGGGTATGATATTACCTCCAAGTAAAAAATTTTACCTGGCCTTGGATCTTTTACTAATGTCAAATAACCTATCAGATATTAATCCATTAAGAGAGCTGTACTTTGAACATTTTATGTGAGTTATCTTCCCTCTAACTGCTTTTCTTTTCATCTGCAGAGCAGATCAATTTCTCAAAACGTGTTGGGCTATAAAGTAAATATATTTTTATTGTCTCTTTGGGGAGAGTTGAATTTAGGGAGCAACCATATAGATGGGGACCCTCTAATCCTTTTTTCTCTCATGAGTTTAATGGCACTTACCGTGATATGTGCAAGAGTTTATTTTCTTCCATTTAGGATGAAAGAACTACCTGTATGATATTCAGGATACAATCCAGGTCCCAAAATGCCAACATTAGAGCAAGGGTGTAGTAAAAAATCTGTATCAGAGTAAAGTCATCAGATCAGTATAAGAAATATGGGTATCAGAATTTGAGGCTAAGCAAAAGTGACAGAAAAAGTGGTACCAGAAACACAACTTGCTTGAGCGACATTAGCTCATCCATTCATTCATTCACTTATTCATTCATTTAACACATATTTATGGATCACCTACACTGTGCAAGGTGCTTCCCTTCATGAAACTTTAATTGGGGGTATGTAGGACATGGTGGTAGAGGTAGACAACACTCAATCATTGTATTAGTCTGTTCTCACACTGCTATAAAGATACTACCCAAGACAGTAATTTATGAAAGAAAGAAGTTTAATTGACTCACAGTTTTGCATGGCTGGAGAGAACTCAGGAAACTTACAATCATGGCAGAAGGCAAACAAGAAGCAAGTACCTTCTTCATAAGGTGGCTGGAAAGAGAAAGAGTGAAAAAGAAACTGCCAAACACTTATAAAACCATTAGATCTCGTGAGAACTCACTCACTACCAAGAGGACAGCATGTGAGAAACCACCTCCATGATCCAATCACTTCCCACCAGATCCCTCCCTCAACACATGAGGATTATGGGGATTACAATTCAAGATGAGATTTGGGTGGGGACACAGAGCCAAACCCTATCAATCATATATCTTTTTATTTGATTAGAAATGTGATAGGAATAGTAGATAGTACATGGTGCTATATAAAATAGGAACGTAGGAGTTAAGAGAAGGCTGCCTTGAGGAAGCAACAACTAAGATAAACTTGAAGGGTAAACAGGAATTATTAGAACAAAATGCCCAAAAGCATGTGGTCTGGGTCACTTTCCAGCTGGAATCAGTACAACAGGAGGCCAGAGAGTAGGGAGGCATGGAAGGTTAGGTTAACACAGGACAGTGCAGAGTTCAAAGTCTTGGAAATCCAATAGGCAAAATTCAAATCCCTGGCTCACCTTTGTACTAGCCTCTCTGAGCCTTTGTTTCTTTAACTCTCATAAATAAATAATACATAGTAAAATACATACTGAATAATATCTACCTATCAATGGTGTTGGGAGAATTAATTTCACAATTTTTCTACTACTAAGTTATGATTTCATCCACATACCAAGCCACTAATAATCCAGAACTCCTTAGGGCTATTTTTGGAGTTTTTAATGACTTATGCCTTAGTGCTGAAATTGTGGTATTAATTTCCTGTGTAATCGGGACTTTCATTAATAATGTCCATATGAATTCCATAGCACTTTTGATTTTAATCTAAGCTTCATAATCTGGAAAATATTTATCTCCTGCATTTTAGGAAATAATCAAATATGAAAACAGAAGTGTTTTGGAAGAAATGAATTGACTTTGTCACTAGGGGGAGACCTACCCAGGTTTTGAAACTTGCCCCAACTTTCAGAGTGGAGAGAATTTTTTTCTGAGAAGTGATGGTGTAGGAAAAGGCACTGAAAAACTTAGCAGTCCTAGCAGGAGGACTGGAGAGGTTCTCTCTCTCTTTTTCTTTTAGTGGCTTTTCACTGTGTTGTACGTGGTGGAGAATAAACTTTAGGGGATGCGATTAACAACATGCCCAAATGCTGAGGCAGTCAGCATGTTTGAATAAATGGTTTGAACATGGTTCTCTAGGCTGAATTTCTGGCAGTGTAGAGGCTTGGAAGCATCACGCAGGGGCAAGACTTCAGAGGGGAACCAGGCAAAAGAGAACTGAGTGGCCTGACCTGGCAGCCATCTGAGAGGGTATGTAAGCTTGATAAGCACCATATTTTCTCAGTGAACTTTTCAGTAACCATAGTCTGTGTGTATGCATATAAGTACTTTTTTCCACTGCACATTTTTCTAAGTACATTCCTCTGTAATCTTGAATCATAAGTGCTTCTGAAGGAGTAGGAGTAGTTTATCTTGACCATTCTGTAGAAGGAAAAAGTCTAGGAATTGTAGGAGGGGAAATAGCTCTCAAAGGAAATGCTCTACAAATTAATTACCTGAGGAACTAACTCACAGAGGGGTGCACTGACACAGGCTGTTACAATTATATTCAGTTAATTATACTTTATCAAAAAGAGATTCAAGCATTAGAATTTTGTTAATAGCAAATGATTTATCTTCTTAGTTCTCTTCAATCTATCAGTACATATATTTTATTTTATAGAGGATACTTGGAATGAAACTATAGACTTTTATTTTAAAAATTAAGAATTAATATAAACATGAAGTTAATATAATTGGTCACAAGGCTGTTTTTAAAAATTGTTTCAAGTATACAGTGGATATTAAATGATTCTAATTATATAATTTATAAACATCATTATAAGAGGTTAAACCTCTTACCAAGTGTGAATTTATATTTAACAAGTTGGCTATTGCCTTACTAAGCATACTTTCTTAATATGAGTTCCATTAATATAAACGTCAGAAGATTCAAATTTCATTAGGTATGGTTGAATTAGGTATCTCTAGAAAACTAATAGAAATACCTTAAAATAGTATTTATTTCTGATTATAAAGATGAATGTATAGTAGTGAAATTTAAAATCATCTATAATCTCTTTACTCAGTGAGAAACACTATTGACATGTTGAGTTATTTTATTCTAGCCTTTATTCCACACAATTTTATTACAAAAATTAAATCATGCTATATACATATTTCAAATTTTGATAATTTCTTTTTCCCAAATAACAATGCTGTGTTGTCTCCATAATCTTTCCATTCTACAAATGAAATATATTTTAATGCTCTCCTTTTAAGCACAAAAGCACTATCTACTGTTTTTTAAACAACATATTTATTTAACCTTTTCTCTTGTCATTAGAAGTCTTCATAAATATCATTTTAAAGGTTACAAGATACTTTATGAGATAGATGAATCACAATTCATTCTACAGTTTTATTATTAGATATTTAGTTGTTTCCAATAAATAACCCTGATGAATGTCTCTATTTATAAAATTTTAGCCACATTTCACTGTATTTAATAAGGATCTCTCGCATTGAAACAAAAAACTCTCTTTGACTTTAGCAAGATCAGATTATTGTATTTTTAGGTAAAAACTATAAACCACAAATAGTAGAACTACTAAAAGTGTAAGAATTATGCTGATATAATAATGATATCTTTGAATATTAAATAACTCATCTCAGGGATTCAATATAGATGTTAGAAGTCCCACAAAATTCTACCACCTCAGTGATTAGGAGTGTCTTCATATTTAGGGATATATAATATAGAATAATTATTGCTCTCACTTAAAAGTACTTATATTGTGCTAAGCACACTGCTAAGTGTTTTCATTGACATGTGCTCTTTTAATCATTAAAGTAACCATATGAGATGTATATTTTATTATTACTTAATAAATAATGCCTACTGCACATGGCTGTTATAAGGAGCAAATGAGCTAATACACTTATGAAATTTATCAATACACATAAATATGTATCATTTAACTTTAAATGCAAGTAATGCATAGGAAAACATCTGGATGAATATTGCTAATGAAGATTACTGCTGGAGTGAGAAGGGAGGTGAGAAGGAGGGAAACAGGCATGGTGGTATAAGTCAAAGTAGACTTTAGCTTTATCAGTAATATTAATTTTTTCCCAAGAAGAATGTAATTATATATTACTTATTCAAATAAAATTAATTTAAAAAGACATAACTCTGCAATTTACAAGAGAATACTTTTAATTATTAAGTCTTGTCAACCATATTTTAATGATTTGCAGTTCATTACCTCGTTGATAGAGTTGGGGAAAAAGGATGGCAGTAGAAAAATTTAATGCCAAAATTGCAGGAGCCCCTGAAAATTAGTCTCTAAGAAATATGAAGAAAATGAGTCCAAATGGATACTATATATCAAGGGCAAAATAATGTTCTTTCCAACACATTTTACATTCAACTTTTATAGACATTTGTATAAGATTTTATCTTTTCTGTAGTATAAGTTTATTTTTAGGTTATTGCCTGTAACTCCAACAGTATATATTGAGCACTCATGCTGTTCCAGAGACTGTTCTAGTGAATAAAACAAAGCCCTGCTTTCACTGAAGTTGGAGAGAGACACAATAAATGAATAAACAAATATGCGCGTGTTAGGTTGAGATAAGCTGAAAAGAAAAGTAAGCAGGATAAAAAAAATTGAGAAAGGTGAGCTGGGATAAGGTGGAGAGGTGTGGGGGTGAGCTGCTTGAAATTCAGTGGTCAAGAAGACCCCTCCGAAGAGGAGACAGTCGAGCAGTGGCCTGAATGAAGTGAGGGCATGAGCCCTGGGAATATCTGAGTAAGAATGTTCTGGACAGAGGGAATGGTGACTGCCATGGTCCTTAGGCCAGAAGCATTCATGACACTTTGTAGAATGGCAAGGAAGCCAGCCTGACTGGAGTTGAGTGAGCAAAGGGGTGAGCCTGAGAGGAAGCCAGAGGCAAAATAACAGAGGAGGCCATAGTGAGAACCAGAGTCAGCCCTTCAGTGGCTCCCTCACTGTAGTTGTGTTTTCTGGCAGCATATGCTAAGATTGAGCTTGAGGGTGCAAGATATTTATCAGGGGTCAATATCAATGAAAGGAAGGAGGAAGAAGTAGGATTGAGTAAAGGAAGAACCCAAAGCAGGCTTTACCAAATTTCAGTAGATCCATCAAGAAGCTTATGCTCTGTCCTTGTTCAGTCACCAGCTCTGTGGGACCCTCCTCCGTGGGAGAGGTAACTCTACTTAACCTATGCACACCTTGAAGGAATTGGTAGCTGGCAGCTCTGTTGTGACAGCCCTTCTTGCAGCTGGGCAGCAAGGTTTTTCTTGAAGGGAGATATGAATGGTGCATCTCTGTTCTACCATATTAGGAAATTTATTAGTGTATATGCTATAGGAGCAGGTTAGAATTTAAAAAATATATATAAATATTGAAACTTCTTTGATAAAGGCCAGTGGTCATTCTTGATTAATATAGAACCCTAGTAAAATAAGAATTGATTGATATTTTCTTAGTTTGATAAAACTATGTATCTCAAACTAAAATCCAGGGCCATAATTTATAATGATGTATTAGAAGCAATCCTATTAAATTCAGCATGCCCACTACTACCAGAGTTATTTGATAGCTCTCTGGAAAGTCTGATCAATGAAGCCAGAAAAGGGAAGGCCTAAAAATTTTCAATAATGGAAAACATGAAGCATAATTAACATTATTTACACATGATTTTTTTTTTTTTTTTTTTTTTGAGACGGAGTCTAGCTCTGTCGCCCAGGCTGGAGTGCAGTGGCGCGATATTGGCTCACTGCAAGCTCTGCCTCCCAGGGTCACGCCATTCTCCTGCCTCAGCCTCCCGAGTAGCTGGGACTGCAGGCTCCCGCCACCACGCCTGGCTAATTTTTTGTATTTTTAGTAGAGACAGGGTTTCACCGTGTTAGCCAGGATGCTCTCGATGTCCTGACCTCGTGATCCGCCCGCCTCGGCCTCCCAAAGTGCTGGGATTACAGGCGTGAGCCACCGCACCCGGCCACATGACATTTTTTTAAATCTAGAAAACCCAAGAAAATTGAAAACGATTAAAAACAGTAAGAAAATTCAGTAGGGAAGTTGCCTATGTTTAAAATATAAAATTCAATAGCTTTTCTGTATATCGGGGTTGGTAAACTTTTTTCTGTAGAGGGCCAGAGAGTAAATATTTCAGGCTTGTTGTCATCAGTCTTTGTTACAACTTCTTAATTCTGCCGTTGTAGCACAGAATTAACCATAGACAATATGTAAATGAAGAGGCATAGCCGTGTTCCAATAAAACTTTATTTTAAATACAGGCAGCAGACAAGATTTGGCCCATATTGGTAGTTTGCTGATCCCTGCTATATACATTTTAAAATAGAGAAATTATAATGAATAACAATCTCATTGAAAACAGCAAGCAAAATGATAAAAATATTACAAACTTTATTTAAAGAGAATATGTAAGACGTAGAGAAGAAATTTACTGGGGGACATGAAAGAAACTTCAAGTGAGTAAAGAATAAAATCTTGCTTTGATTATGAAGGTTCTATATTGTAAAAATGTCAGATTCTCTTTAATTATAGACTCAAGGGAGTCTCTATTTAAATATTTACATGATTTTTAAAATATCTCTTAGCATTTTTAATTCCTGTACGTTATTGTCATATGCATATACTATAGTCAGGCTTCTATTAATAAAAGCTTTGATGTTGTTACCTTTTTTAGCTACCACTAATAATTTCGGCAATAAATATGCTTGTACATGCTGGAAAAATCATGAAAGTAAATCCACAGACCAAATTGCCAGAAGTGGGATTACTGGATCAAACATTATGTCATTTTTAATGTTGATGAGGTTGTAAAGAGCTGCCTAAGAATGTCTTTACTTCACATTTTTTCTAGAACTGGGTGACATCAGTTTTTAAAAATATTTCTGATGTGTGAAAAATTATATATATTAGGTTTTTAATTGTTAATATCTGATATTATGAGAGAAGGGAGTTTTTTTCCTTATGCTTACTCATTGTCTTAGTCTTTGGGCTGCTATAACACAACACCGTAGACTGACTATGTTTATAAACAACAGAAGTTCATTTCTCAGTTCTAGAGGCAGGATAGTCCATGATCAAAGTGCCAGCAGATGTGATGTCTGATGAGGACCTGTTTCCTGGTTCACAGATGGTGACTTCTTGCTGTGTCCTCAGATGTAGAAGAGGTGAATGAGCTTCCTTGGGCTATTTTATAAAGGCACTAATCCCATTCATGAAGGCTCCACCCTCATGACTTAATCACTTCCCAAAGGCCCCACCTCCTAATATCATCATTTTGGGGGTTAGGATTTCAACATATGAATTTTGTCGGAATACAAATATTCAAGCCATAACATTGATCATAGGTATTTTTTTCTAAACTGCTTATGTCCTATTTTTGTTTATTTGATTGCTTCTCACTTTCTCATTGGTTTATGTGATCTCTTTATGAGTTATGAAAACTATCTCTCTGCAATTATCCTTGCAAATCAGGTTATGATTTTCCAGTGTGTATAAAGAAATTACATATTTATTTTCTATATGAGTTTGAGGCTCTGGGTACTTCTCAGAAATATCTAAGTATTTAAATATCCAACCCTTTATATCAATCAGGACTCTGAAAAAAAAATCACCTTTCATGAGGCTTTTCCTAATCACCTATCTAAAATAGGTAGTATATACTCCAGTAGGTAAACAAGGAAACTGAGTGTCAGGAAGGATAAATATCTGACTCAAGGTCACACAGCTAGTAGGTAAGAGAACCTGGAGCCAGAATTTAAGTTCAACATTGTCTGACTTCAAAGCCAATATTGCTATATTATCCTGTCCCATCCTGGCCTTCTCCATCTCACCTGGATAGAAATATAAAATTTTAGGTTTGGAAGAGATTTTTCCATACAGGGTCTTAAAAGATAGATCACGAGGGACATACCGATTCTTGGTGATAGATATTTCATGCTCTTCAGTTTAACCGACAGTTACCTCTATTAGAGAAGTTCTCAGAATTATTTGTGTGATTATCTATATGATGTATAGAATCTGTTACTTTTACATGCATTAAGATACTCATTTTAGTACCCTTCCCAGATGTTAAACATTATTATATGCAATTATTATTATTTGCATTAAGAAGGTTATAATTCCTAGCTGGATTTAATAATTAATTCCCATAAGTATAGTATTTATTATTCAGAACATTATGTAGAAGCAGAACCATCACTTTCAGTAATTAAGAGTTTCTATGAAACTCTTTTGGAATGAATTTTCAGATTTAGTAAAAACAAAAGGCTGATAAATGGCATATTCCTGCTAAATGTCATGAAAACAAAATATATGCTTTCTGTCAGTAAATCAAAATTACTGGCAGCTCAAGAAGAATGCATAATCAGAAGAGCTGGTAACATAATGTTAACTAATTCTTCATATTCGAGTTATTTAAGATGAATTATTAATCTTTACTGACCATAGAAATGATACTATTAGAATTGAAAGGTTGAGGCTTAAAGGTTCTACTTAGCAGGTCTAATTTATGTTCCCATAATTTAACAGTTAATTGTTGAGTATGGATGAGCATGTTATAACCCTGTATTAGCTCCTATTTTGGATAAAATCATGTGAGAATGAGGATTTGCTTACTTAGGAAAAGGCAAATTATATTTACTGCTGTTACTCATCCAATGTCAGTTTTAAATTCCTTCCTTCAAATTATTAGGATATAGTTTTTTTGGGTTTCACAGGTTATTATGACATATAAGTTTCCTGCATTATTATTCAACAAATATTTATGAACCCCTAAACACTGAAGTAAATGTTGAAGAGAATGTGGTTGATGAAGAAGACATAGTCCTTGCTCTTGAAGGGAGTGGGAGAGAGCTAATATAACCTGAATGTTATCTGCCATCTCAGTTTCTTGTTCTGCACCCCTAAAATTAATCTGTCCTTTCCCTTCACTATCTGGATACAGAATTCAGAATCTTTTCACATTCTCCACACAGGAGCAACTTTCACAAAAGTGCTGTGAAAGATGTAGACTTTGCTAATGCTTACAGAACTCAATATAGAGTAATAGTTAAGAGCATGATTCCTAGCTGTGAGTTATTGGGCAAGCAACTTCATGCCTGTGCCTTAGCTTCCCCATCTATAAAGTAAGGATAATAATAGTATTCAACCCATAGGGGTGTGGTAAGGATTAAATAAGTTAATGTGTGTAGAGTAAGCTTCTGTAAATGAGCACTGTAGAAAGAAACATTAGCTATGATGTTCATGGGGTGACAGAGAAAATGGTTTTCGTTACATAGCACATAGGAGGGGGGAAAAACCTCTAAAATTCCAATTAGATATTTCTGTGCTCTCCAGAAGTAACCTCTGTATCACCTGGCACCGGAGATGGGTTAGGTTCGGAATGAGTCCTCTAATTTATTCTCTCCTAATAGCGTCATCTCGAAGGCTTGGCTAATGAGTTGCACAGGCCCATAGATCACCTAGAGGGAAACTTAAATACAGGTCTGTGGAAAAGGTAAAAAGGTCAGGGCTACATACATTTGTATGGAAAAATTGGACAAATTTCAACAGCGACAGTGAAGAGGAAGGATGAGCAGACAGAAGGAGAAGAGGCTGGGGAAAAATCTTTAAAGAATACTGTTAAAAGTTTTAAACATAAAATGTATACTTCCAACATAAGATGCCAGACTGAGCACGCTCTATATAAGAAACCTCATTAAAATTATAGTAAAAGAAAAAAAGATGTAAATGTACAATGGAAAGAAAGTGTGGTAGATATCAGAGGATGTGGGAAAAGGCAAACTGCTGAAAAAGTGCTGACAAGTGAAGCCGAGCTTAAAATTCCCACAGAGAGGCTACAGTAGAGGAGAGAATAGAGGCCAGCCTGACTAGCAGCACCCTATGGAGAGGCTGGATTCATCAGATTCCAGATGAATATCAGGCCAGATTCATCAGAGGGTAGGGTGGAGAAGGAGGGCTGAAAGTAAGGATTAGTTATGTTTCTATTTGGAACTTTTGACAATGAATCATAAAAGATAGTGGAGTAATTTCCTCGAAGTGGAGGGAAAATGACATAAATCCAGAATTCTCTACCTAAATCATTAATCCTTGTTAGAGTTGAGTAAGAACATTTTGTAAATAGGTAGGGGGCCAAAAAATTTGTCTTTCAATAACTTTTCTAAGAAAGTTATTTGAGTATGTGTTCTAGGAAAGAAAGAAGTAAACCAGGATAGAATAACCTATGGGATTCAGATAACGGTGTAACAAACTCAGGACAGCAGTGGAAAGAATTCTTGTTCCAGGATGAGGACTGGGTAGCAAGGCTAGAGGAGTCAGTCTGAATTGACAAAGAGGGCCATAGTGGTTGAGTGTTGGAAGAACTCAAGGATAAGAAAATGGCAGAGTGGGCAAGGGATGAGAAGAGTGATTAGGAACTCCAGGTCAAAATGATAAACTATGCAAGAAGACCATGGCCTGAATATGAAGTAAATGGCCTAGGATGTTGCATGACAATGAATGAAATGGGCTACTAGGAATTGATAGAGTAAGAAGCTGAAAGACAAAGGAAAACATTTGTAAACAGAGAGATAAAATAATTATACAATAAATTCATGATTCAAAAGTATAACAAACTGAAATGTGACATGATTTTGAATAAATGATGAATAAGAAAGGATAATCCATTTGAACTTGATCCTGGGAAGATCCCCTCTTGAGAGTGTTCATAAGCGTGGTGTCTTGGAGAAGGGAATTAAGCATACTATAACAGTATGGTGCAATGGTAACACCATCAAATGATAGAACTATTATTAATTGGTTTCAACCTATGGAATCAAACTAGGCAAACACTGAAGACTTTCTTTGAGTATATAAAAGAATGTAAATATTGTGAATCTTCACAATATAAAAGTAAGAGTTTGACCACAACATTGAGAAGTGGAAGGGGAGATGTGAAGTGGAGGGAAGGATACAGGTAATAACATGGTCATCTTACAAAGGGGGAATAAAGATAACAAGTAGAGGGGTCAATATTAGAGATATAATTCTACTGGGGAGGGAGAGGAAAAGAGAAGCAGTTATAGATGAGCTAGTTCTTCATCAAACATGGAAGAAGTCAACAGGTAGTATCTGATGCTGATTATTCTAAAAGAGTTGTATAAATGTGGCAGAAGTTTCTAGTTAACTCTTTAATATTTATTCTCATGTTCTTTTATACAATAAAAATGAATCGGGGTACATGACCATCCGGGTAAAAACTGTTATTTCCCTTGCAGCTAAGTATGGCTAACAGAGATGTGAGCTGAAGTAAAATGTGCAATGTTTAGATCAGGTTCTTAAAATAAAAGGAACATGGCCTCCCTTCCTTTCTTGCTCTACCCTCCCCAGGCTGGAATGCAGCTAAAGCAGAGAGCCTGGTAACCATGTGGAAAGAGCTGTGTCCTAGGGAATCAAGAATAACAGGATAAAAGAAGCCTGGGTTCCAACACTACCTAAAGTTGCCCTGAATTGCCTACTGAGACTATTATGTGAGAGAAAAATAACTTCTATCTCAATTATACCACTATATTTTTGGGTTTGGTGTTAGAACAGTCTGACTACTCCTAGAACAGTCCTACTCTTACAAATAATTATGTAGAGACATAAAGGTAAATATGTAAGATTTTTAAAAAGAAATGATTGCAAGTTGTTTTCTGGAAAAAGAATTAGTGTGGAGTGGTGGTTGAATAGAAGATATACATTGCTTTTTATTATAAATCTTTCTATGCTATTTAATTTTAAGCATGTGCATGCAGTAGTTTTATAAAATAAAATGAAAGATAGTTATGTTAATTAGATAAAAATGGAATATAAACAGTTGCAAAATAAAAAATGGATCACCCACTCTCTTGTCACGTTGGGAAAACATTTTGGTGATTTACTTCAAGCTATTTTTCTATATCCTTTTTTCTTTGATTGAAAGTCTACATATGAGGAATGAACAGAGAAAGGGGACTTCACCCAGGAGACTAAAGAGAAAGATTTGGAGAATTAATGGGTAAACAAAGAGAATTCAGCATCAAGAGAGCCAGGGGAGGGTAGGAATTCAGTAATGACACATTGGTCAGTGATTTCAAACACCACGGAAAAATCAGTAGGTTGAGATCTGGGAATATGTTAACTGATTTTGATCTTGTAGATCATCAGTTTGGCCATTGATGATCTACAAGAGAGTGAATGTGGTAGAAAAGAGACAAGCTGGCAATGAGTTTAGAGTAATAGAGGAAAAGGAAATAGATCTGCTAGAACTCAGTGTGCAAATAAGAAAATGGTAGGATATGAGTTTGGAGAGGTAGGATGGGTACAAAGTCATGTAGAGCTTGTGAGACATAGGGAGGCTGTAACTTTTATTCTAAATACCAGTTTGAAATGTTTATTATTGTACATATATATTATTTTAAATGAACCTGAACTCTTGTATGGAGAATGAACTCCAGCAAGCAAGATAAAAAACAACATAACCAGTTAGAAGGCTGTTGCAGTTATCCTGGTAGGAATTAATGCTGGCTTGTACTTGGGTAATAATGATGAAAGTAATGAGTGAGTTTGGATTCTGGATACAGTTTGGAGTTTGGTGCCAAAAGCTTTGGGCATGCATAGTATGTGGGGTATGAGGAAATGGAAGAGCTAGTGGGTGAATGGGAAGAGAATGATACCAAATAATAAGACAGATTTAGGAAGGAGTAGGTTTTAAGTAAGAAATCAAGAATTCCAGTTTCAGATACCTATTACACATCTAAGTGGAGATGTTAAGTAGCAGTTGGATATAATAAGTTTAAAACTTAAGAAGCATTTACTTCAAAATTCGAAACCCTACGGTCATTAATATGTGAGTTGTCCTGAAAGTCAAATGACTGGATGAGATCATGTAGGAAGTGAGGGAGACAAGAAACAGAAGAATTCCTAGGACCAAGTTCTGGGTCATGTACTATATAAATATCAAGAATTAAGCTGGATGAAGAGAAAGAGTGGCCAAGACAAGAAGAAAACCGGAGACCATGTTCTGAAATCTAAGCAAGAAAGTGATTGAAGTACAAAGGGATGCTTGTGTGAAATGCTGCTGTTAGAGTTTGAATGTGTCCCCCAGATTTCATGTGTTGGAAATTTAATCCCCAAGTTTGCATGTTGATGGTATTGGAAATGGGGCCTTTTGCAGGTAATTAGGATTAGATAGCATCATCAAGATAGGGCCCCCATGATGGCACAGGTGGCTTTACAAGAAGAGGAAGAGAGACCTGGGGACACATGCTCTTGCTCTCTCACCATGTGATGCCCTCCACTGTGTGATGATGCAGTAAGAAGGCCCTCACCAGATGCCAGAATCTTGAGATTGGATTTTCCATCCTCTAGAACTATAAAAAATAAATGTATTTTCTTTTTAAATGACTAAGTCTGTGGCATTCTGTTATAGCAACCAAAAACTGACTAAGACAGCTGCTGAGAGGACAAGTGTGATGAAGGCTGAGAGAAGTAGTGATCCATCAAGCACCTGACGAGATTACAATAAATTGGTTCGAAAACACAGGTGAAAGTTCTGCCTTGAAAACAGGGTCTTTTCTTCCCTCAAGACCAAAGGAAAGGGAAAAACTGGGGGAAATAAGTTGATTTTTTTAAAAAATCAATGAAGTAGTTTATAAAATAATATCCTCAAAAAGTGAGACTATGGGGGTTAACAGGAGGAAGAGTTTGAGAAGGTTGCCCTGGTGAATTACACTGGAGACAAACTGAGGGCTTGGCAAGTGCACTGTGGGCTTGAGGTTATCCATCATGGATATGTAATCAGCTGGATCATGGGACTTAAACCAGTAACTCTCAGTGGCTTGGAAATGAGAGCAGAAATAGATAACTGGGTTAGTCCGTGTTATTAAGTTTTAGTAATGTTTGCATGTAAAAATATTTAAGGTAAAAAGTAGTTTTGATGTTCTCAATTATATAGGTAATTTAGGCATAATGAATATCATATTTACTAGTGGGTCAAATAAATTTGGCATGTAGCAGTAACAATGTGTTCTCCTTCTTACTTATAATTTCTGTTTTTCCCCATAGAAATTCAGTATTTTTGTATTAATTCTACCAAATTTATCTTATAACTTCAGAAAAAAATACTTAAAACTTTTCTTCCACTGATTTATTTGAAAAATCAATAAAACAAAGAAAATAAAATGGGAGACACACTTAGACTATATTAAAATGTATATTAAATCTGCTGAGTGATTCTAATTGGACTCATTGACTATTTCTGCTCTGATTATTTTAGACATAAGTTATATGGGCCAGTATTTAGTTTGTGAGATATTAGGGAAAGGAATGGATTGTGATGTTTTTATATTTTCCTCTGACTACAAGGTTGACAAATAGTGACCCTTTATGACAGGAAGTGTTTAGCTAACCCTGCGGCAGCCTTGTAGGGACCAACAGAGGCTGGAGATTTGGTTATAATTATGCTAGAAAATTCTGACATGTTTTCTCTATATCTATGGCATGAAAGGCTAATCTCAGAGACATAACCAGGGCTGCTGAAATGGGGTCAGAATCTGATTAAAAGAAAAAATTTTTAGGCTCCTCACAGCATTTGACTGGGCTTCAGATCCCCTTCCACCCCAGGTTTCATTTGTACTGGATTCTCCCAACTTATTCAGCTCTAAACCATACCAAGGAATCTAAGAGTAGTTCAAATAAAGATGTGATTCTGTCATTTCAAGATCACTTGCTACCTTTCTATTATATTCTTCTTTCATACTTTTCCACCTCACTTTGTTTTTTCAAAGCTCTGTAAAGGGCTAAAAAAAAAGTATCATTTTAAAAAACAGCCAAATGGGTACTAGGTATAGCTACTGCTCAAATAGTCTCTGCAAAACTTCAAGAAACCAAAAGGATCCTAAACTTATCCATTTGAAAATCACATTACCTACAATTCAAGCTCATGTCAATGTAACGAAGGATTCTGTATCACCGTAAGACAAGTCTTCACACCATATCCTTTCTAGTTGTAAGACATTATTTTAGAGAAACTCCTTGACATCTTTCCTAAGATAATTATCTAAGTGGCTCTGGACTATGCAAGGCAAGTGACAGTCCTTCCTTTTCCTTGTCAAAAGTGTTCGACCCATCTGCATAGTGGTCCCCTGCACTACAAAGGTAGCTACAGGTCTCTTTCTACACTTGAGTGGGGCTGTGGGGGAGGTTGTTCCTGATTCTTCATCTTCAGAGGAGGTGATAAGAAGCAGAACCACAGAGAAGCATTGGGTTTCCTTACTCACCACATTGAAGTAATCCTAAATACATCATATGGCTGTAGTACCTAGGATTCTAGGGTTTAAGAACAGTGGCACTATTCTATAAAAAATGAAACAAGGGATTTTATGATATGACAATTTTAAACTAAACCAAACTAACAGCATATAATTGAAGCCTATTTGAGACTTCACCATCTGACTCTGAGCAGAGTACAGAGACCACATATTTGCAGTCTCCCAGGCATGAGTAGTGACTCAATAAGTGTTTGTTTAAATAAAAGTTTAAATGAAAATTTATTAATATATTATTTGGGTAATTAGATTTAGTACATTTCCAAATTTTTGAGACTTAGGTCATAAGCCACTAGTTCAACCATTCGTCTGACGCAGTTTCACATTATGGTCTTAAAATCGTGTGCCAGACTTGTTAGCAAAGATAATAAAATTAAACATTTTTTGAGCTAGAGGGGACTTGCAATTTGATTCTAAAATTGAACATTGCTTGACTCATCAAGATATTATAAGCATCTGTGAATTCAGTGAGTGATCTCAAAGGAGCTTAAAAATATGTGAAAGGAAAGGTTTAACAGCCTCCTAAGCCCTGAGAATTATTCATGTTGATGAAATTCTGCTTTGGGCTTTGGGCAAATGCTCCATCTTCTCTTTTTCTTTCTGATTTATAGGCAATTTTAACACTTCAACCGAAGGCAGTCACACCACACTGTTAACCACATTTCCAAACTGTTAACTTTGCTATAACCTTCAATCAACTCAAGCTCAGTAATGCCAGGAAGTAGGAGGGCAGTTTAAAATACTAAGTGTGGCAAGGAAATAGATAGTAAAACAGAGATGCAAAGAAAATGCCTGCTATGCATTTCAGCTAAGTCAGGCATGCAAACACTTCCACTGGAAAGATTTAAAAACTGCATTCAGTGCTTCAAAACCATGGGCTCTACTCATTAGTGATAAAATCCATTAGACAGTCTTAAGTTTCAAATTCTGCTGCTGAGGATATGGCTTTGTCTATGCATATCGTCTGAATCAAACTGAATCCTGAAGGTTTGCATTATACACTCTGTGGCATTGGACATGGAGAGTTGGGGTGGGATTGCTACGTGAGGACACATCAAGGCAGCTGTATCAGTGCTGACTTCATTTTACCAGAACAAAGACTCCCAGACTGGAAGAAACCTTTGTGATCATCTAAGATAACTTCCTTACTTGAATATCTCTTGCTGAATTCGCGTTGGCTTTTCTATTAAAATCTTGTGTTTGACCATTCCGCATCTAGTTAAGAGTTCTTGTTTCAAGTATTTTAATGCAATGCCACTTGGCAACCAAAAGTCTATGGCATTGGTATGTGAGCTGTAAATTTTATCTTTTAGATGATAACAACCTGTACGATGTAAAAAAAGCAGAGATCCTAAGTAGTTAAATAACCAGCCAGCACCAGAGAGATAGAGACAGACACAAAACTAGAAACAATTTTTCTCTCCTAGCTATAGTCTGGAGGCTTTTATTCTTGTGCCACATCAGTTACTTCTGGTTTTATCTGGCCACCACATGGAAACATTTTATAGGTAGGTACAAGGGTCCTGTGTATACTGGCAGGTGAATATGGAGAATTTCTAAGTGCTGTCATCATGTTGTGAGAAATTGAGATTAAACTTTTCATGGGAGAGAAGACAAGACTAACCTTGGTTTCTTGAGAATGGCATAAATGGCATAAACAAATGTGAAAAACTCTTAACAAAAATGCAATCACAGAAGTGTCAATACGGAGCTTGGAGTTAGAGGACCTGGGTTCTAGGCCTGGTTCTCCCATTTCTCACAAACTGGAGTAGCCTGGATAGGCTAAGCCAGATGTGATAACATTGAGGAACCCAACAGCATACACCCCCTGATCAATTATAATTAGTTTCCCATTATCAACCAGAAGTCCAAGCCTGGTGCCAAGGTTTATAAGAACAAGTTTGATCCTGCTAAACTATCTTAGAAAACCAGTTGTCTCAGGCATTCTTAATGGATTTCAAGTCAGAAATAGGCAGAATTCTTTAAAACAAGCTACTCTTTGTTTCTGGCTATGGGGTTCCAAGAGACTTTGATTATTGTACTTCATTTTATCCTTCTGTAAAATTCTTATGGAACCATCCCTACTTGTGATAATGACATGCAATGAAGCCTAATTAAAGGGAAGGTAAGAGGAGAAGACCTAATATTTATAGAATAACTAATTTTTCAGCCATTTACAAAACACCTTATCTCATTTAAGCTTCAAAAAAATTATTGGAAGTAATTATTTTATCTATTGTACTAATGCAGAAATTAAAACACAAAGAGGTAAACTAATTTGCTAATAAATCATAAAGGTGAAATTCAAACCATTTCTGTTTGACTTCCAAAATGTAGTCTCTTTTCACTCTTTTCACTTTTCATGCTCATACTGCACTGTATAGTATATTGGGCAAAACCTAAGATATTTCATATTTTCACCACTGTATGCAAAAAATAGATTTGATTGTTAAAGTCTGAAGCATAAGATCACACATAATCACTAAGGAACACAGCAAAGATTAACTCTTTTCTCTTTCAGTTAGAATCTGCTTAGAAATTATTCATTAAGGGTAGGAAAATTAATTTCTTTTTGCGTAATGAAAAGAAAAATGTTAAAATTTAAGGATATAATTATTAAAAGAAAACCTTGAAGAAGTTCCAAAATACTATATTACATTTAATATTATTATTTTATTATATAATCTCAAAACAGAACACATGAACTAACATATTTTTATAGTAGTCCTCAACTATGTATTTATGTAGTGTGAAAATACTTCCCATTTTATAGTTGGGAAATACGAGAAAAAGGAAGGGACTTCGATGAGGTTACCAGGTCAGAAATTAAAGTATTAAACTCTAGTTCTAGCTCAGGGTACACAGATTTTGAGAAAAGACCCCTGTAAACTGTACAATACCACACAAATGTTTGATATTTGTGTTATTACCCTCAGATGAGGATGGAGTCCTACTTAGCATATTCAGTTCCTTGTAAGCAGGTGACCCACTTGATGACTTGGGAAACTACTGACTTGTCTGTATAGTTTAGAAGGTTATATTTATTATGTAAGTAAACAGTGTTTGGTATATATATTTTTTCTCTTTATAAAATCTCAAAGGGAGTAAAAATAAATAAAAAATAATAATGCACCAAACAGTCATTTCTTATGGCATTCTCTTTTTTTCCCTTTTTTCCTCTCATCAAACTCTCAGCTCCTCCCTTTTTTCTCCTTGTTCTTCCTCTTCAAAGATAGAGATGATATTAGAGATGGGAATGCAGTGGAATTATTTTTAGATTGTAGCTCTTTTGACTTTGTCTCTCCTTGGGTATTCTGGGACCATCATCATTACTGGCTGTGATTTGATGGAGGCTTCTGTGAGCTCTTTTTGGTCAGCCAGTCACCCGGTCAGCTTGGAATTCCAAGTCTGAGAGTGTGACACACACTGCACAAAAGACCCCAGCAGCAAGCTGCTCCCTGTGAATCTTAGATATCACTCATTCTACACAGGCTTTGGTCTTCATTTCCATTAGGGGGCACTTCTGTTTGTAGTTTCAATAAGCCACACTTTTCCTTTTAATTCCTGGGCCCACTACAATTTTAAAACAAATTGACATACAATACAAGATACAATTTGAGTGGTGCTGTAGTTTGATCGTGTCCCCAAAGTTAATGTGTTGGAAACTTGATCCCCAATGCAGCCGCATTGGGATGTGGGGCCTAATGAGAGGTGTTGGGGTTATGGGCGCACTGCCCTCCTAAGTGGATTAATGCTATTATCATGGAAGTGGATTCTGAGAGATAAAAATAAAATTCTAAGTCCCCTAACTGATGGAATTGATCCCCTTTTGGCCAAGGGAACCCCAAAGAAACCTTGGAAGTTGAATTCATGGCAATTCAGGATGGGAAATCTGGCAGGTTTCATTAGACTCCCTCCCTTGCTTACGGTCATTAGATTTTCTTCCCTAAAGGCTAAGCAGAAACCAGCCATTTCAAAAGCTACCAGTTGATGCTCCCTGGTAGTGTAGTGGTTAGGATTTGGTGCTCTCAAAAAACTACTAGTTTATCTTCCCAGGTACAGAACAAAGACATTAATCATTCCTTCACACCTCCCTGAGACATCTGCTTCCTCTATTCCCTTTTTCCCTCAAATGTTCACCTTATCTTATGTAAAATGTAGATTTACTGGGCACTAACTAAAGTCTTACAAGTATGTAATCATTTATCTCACTGCTGACCCCTACAGCCCTTTTTAAGGAAAATGTATAGATACTAAGCCTCCTAAGAACTTCTTGGGAAAAAACTGCCACAGATGCTTCTGTGACATGCAGTTTTCCTGGGCATACCCTCAGGCTGGCTCAATAAATCTCAGATTTGAGAGTTATGCCCCAAACACTCATTTTGGCTGTCAGTCCTTACAAAAAGATGAGTTTGACCCTCTCCCCCACTCTCTTGCCCATGTGACACATTTGCCCAATAACTTTTTAGTCATTATAAATTATCCTGTCTCACATACTCTGTTATAGCAGCACAAATGGACTAAGACAGAAAACTGGTAGAAAGAAGTGGGGCTGTTGCTATAATAAATACCTGAAAATGTGGAAATGACTTTAGAATTGTGTGATGAGCAGAGATGGGAAGAGTTTGGAGGCTAAAAAGAGCCTGTATTGCTATGAGCAGAGCTATAAGGGCAATTCTGGAAAGGGCTCAGAAAATAGGAGGGCTGTAGGGAAAGTCTAAAAGTTCTTGGAGAGTATTTAAGTGGTCATGATTAGAATGTTCGTAGAAGTATGGACTGTAAAGTTTATTCTGATGAAATCTCTGAGAAAAATGAGGAATAAAGTATTGGAAACAGAAGGAAGGGTCATCCTTGTCATAAAGTAGACCAGGATTGAATTGTTCCCATGCTCAACAGCTTTATGGAAGCAGAATTTAAGAGTACTGAACTAGGATTATCTGGCAGAAGAAATTTCTAACTAAAATATTGAAGGAGACTTTGTAATCATCTGGCAGATTCTTTCTGCCCACTCCATGGTCAAAATCAATTCACTGAGACCACAGCATTGCTGTATAGAAAGAGTTTAATTGACTTGAGGCCAGCCATGACACATGGGAGACAGAGTTATTACACAAAACAATCTGAAGACTCAGAGGTTAAGAGTTTTCCAGGATAGTCTGGTGGGTGGAAACTAGGGAATCGGTGTTGCTGATTGGTTGGGATGCCATCATAGGGGTGTGGAAAACAGTCCTTGTGTTCTGAGTCTGCCTCTGTGTGTGAAGGCCACAGGACCAGTTGAGTCATGAGTCATGAGACCAGGTAGAGTTAGCCAATCATCAGGAATGCAAAAGTCTGAAGAGACATCTCAAAGGCCAATCTTAGGTTCTATCATAGCGATGTTATCAACATGTGTAACTGAGGAAGTTACAAATCTTGTAACCTCCAGAACAATGGCTGGTTAACATTTATCTATGCCTACATCTTAGAGGAATTCAGGCCTCTTTCATAATCCTACTCTTGTGGGCTTTCATTAGTTTTACAAAGGTGAATTAGTTTTGGGAAGCACTATTATCATTCTTGCTTTAAGGTTAAACTATAAACTCAATTTTTCCCAAAGTTAGCTTTGCCTATGCCCAGGAATGATCAAGGACAGTTTGGAGTTTAAAAGCAAGATGGAGTCAACTCTGTCAGATTTCTCTGACTGTCATAATTTTGCAAAGGTGGTTTTATTGTGTGGATTATTTTAACTGCATACAGTAAAATGGCAGAAGAAATAAATGACCTAAAGATGAAATTTGTAATTAAAAGGAAAATAAAACATAAAAATTTGGAAAACTCACAGCCTGGCCATATAAAGAACAAAAAAGCATGCGAGGATCTGGCAAGTGGCCCTTTGATAAAGGATTAGCATGGATAGAAGGAAGCCAGGTGGTATTCATCAAGACAATGGGCGGATGACTCTGAAGGTATTTTGGAAATCTTCAAGGCTTCTCCTCTCATCTCAGACCCCAAATTCTAGGAGAGCAGAGTGGTTTCAGGGGATGGTCCTAGGGTGCCCTCGAGCTTGCTGATCAGGGCAATGCTCCCTGCATTCTGGTGCAGTACCCCTTGGTCACCCCAGTGATGGCTCAAGTAATCCCAAGGAAAGACTTGGCCCAGGAGCAGAGCCACCACAGTGAGTCCCCACTACAGTAATGCCTAATGAAGCTAAGACTCCAGTACTATACCTCCACTGGCATGAAGCCCCAGCCTGGAGGAGCTGCAGGTACAAGACTCCAACCCATTAGAGCTGCTGTGAGGGCTGAGGTCAGCAAGGTCATGGAGCAGGGCTGCCTGAAACCTTCGGGGCCTTATCCTCACCTCTGTGTTATGAGAAAGCAGGGCATGGAGTCAAGAAAGACTATTATAAAGTCTTAAGATTTAATATTGTTCACCCTGTTGGGTTTCGGACTTACTTGGCGACCAGTTACCTCTCTTTTCTTGCCTATTTCTCCCTTTTGGAATGGGAATGTCTATCCCACGCCTGTCCCACCATTATATTTTAGAAGTAGATAACTTGTTTGATTTCTTAGGCTGACAATTGAAGAGGAATTTGTCTCAGTATAATTTATGCCTTGAGACTCACCCACGTCTGATTAAGATGAGACTCTGTGCTTAGGGCTTTTGAGTTGGTGCTGGAATGAGTTAAGAGTTTTGGGCTATTGGGATGGAGTGATGATATTTCACATGTAAGAAGGACTTAAATCTTGGGGTCCAGGGGTGGAATGCTGTGGTTTGAATGCATTTCTCAAAGTTCATGTGTTAGAAATTTGATCCCCAGTGTGGTGGTGTTGGGACATGGGACATAATTGAAGATGTTTGGGTCTTGAGGTCACCATCCTATAAACCTCATAAATGGTTTATGCTGTTTTCATAAGACTGGGTTCCTTATAAAAGGATGAACTCCTCCCCACTTCTTGCCCACATAATGCCTTCTGTCATGGTGTAATGCAGCAAGAAGGCCCTCATAGGATGCTGGCATCTTGATCTTGGACATCTCAGGCCCAAGAACCATGAGACAATAAATTTCTGTTCATTATAAATTACCCAATCTCAGGTATTCTGTTATAACAGCATAAACAGACTAAGATAAATGGCATGTGAAGAAATTCAAAAAGAGGTATGGATATTTAGAAATTTACTCTCCCATCATCCCTATCAACTTGTGAAACTTTCTACAACCTGTTATTTTGTCACATAGCTGATGATTTCACAATGAGTAAACAAAATATTCAATACTTGATCTGCACTTGTGAGTTCAGTTTATTTCAGGCCGTGGGATAAAAATGTTCTTACAAGACATTTAGAACTTTCATATTTAACTCTTGGGTAGTTCAGCATTATCAGCCTTGCTGTTGGTGTGGTTCTAATTCTTGGGTCAAGTACTTTGGAACCTGAGTCCCTCCACTGCATGCCTAGTACTTTAGATCCTCTAAACCTGAAGCCCTACTTCAAGTTTGTCAGGTTTTTACTCTCTTCTCATAAAATTCTAGTATAGCCTGAGGCCCTACTGTCTCTTGATAAAGCTCCCTAATGCAAAATACCTTCCTATTTTCTGCCATTGGACCACCTGTGGCTGTAGTATACCTATGCAGTAGGCAGAACAATGGCTCTCAAAAAGTGTCCACATCCTAGTCCATGGAACCTGTGAATATGTTCAGTTACATGTCAAAGAAGAATTAAGGTTGCAGATAAAATTAAGGTTGCAAAACAACTGACCTTAAATAGGGAGATTATCTTGCATTATTATCTAGGCAAATCTAATGTAATTGCAAGGATCCTTAAAGGTGTAAGGTAGCAGAAATGTCAATGTCAGTGTAATCCAGAGTGAGAAAGACGTGATTGGCCACTGATGGCTTTGAAGATGGAGGAAGGGGCCCAGGAGCTAAGGAATGCAAGCAGCTTCTTAGAAATTGGAAAAGGCCGGGAAACAGAATCTTTCCTAGAGCCTTTAGGAGGAATGCATAAACTTTGTTTTAGTTCATTGAAACCCATTTATTACTTTTGACCTTCAGAACTATAAAATGATAAATCTGCATTGATTTAAGACACAAAATTTGTGGTAATTTGCTGCAGCAGCAATAAAACACTCACACGTCCTGCATGTCCTTCCATTTCTTTTATTTGTGTTTGACCTCCAGTGATTCAGCTACATGGCTGATTGTTTTTGTCTATTATTACTATTGAAAGTGACTATGTCTATTGGTAGGTCTGGGTCACAGTAAGTCTATTCTGTTCTGTTAAGGTTAACCTTCCCATGCCCTTATCATAGCAGTTAATACTCGAAAGTCTACCGAAGGGAACCCAAGATTCAGGAACCGTAAGAATCTCAGTCAGGCAGATTACATCGTAGATTCTGATCCATCTAACACCAGCTTCCCGTGTCTGGAATCGTGGACAAATAGCTGTGCCTATGTGATCCCAAGTTTTTTCTATAAAATGAATAGTAAATTTCACTGGAAAGGATTCTTGTGATGTTTCAAAGATTATGCTAAAAAAGTTCTTAACATGGTATAGTACCTGGCACAAAGTAATCTTTCCATACGTATTTCTTTTTATTATTATCATCAACACCTGGCTCATTATTTCTGAACTGGTACAACAGCCATATCTAATTCAACCAAATACCTTGACTGAATACCATGGAAAACCAGGCATGTGGTTCCCTCTACATCCAAGAACCACTGATTCTGTGTCACTCCAGCATGCGGATCATGGATTATCAAGATGGGGGCCATGTCTTTGATGATTTAGAAACCACATATCAGAAAGACAGGAAAAAATAATTGTGTTATTTTCAACATAGACACTTGAAAACATGGTGGGAGATGTGGGCTCGAACTCTGGCTCTACCACTTAATAGCTCTGAGCATGGACAGGTCACTTAAGTTGCTGAGCCTTTGTTCTTTTACCTGTAAAATGGGGTTAATTCTGTAAGGATTAAATAAAACAACATATATAAACAATGTATATAATTTGTTTAGCCCATGTTTTCCACAAAACATGTAATTAATAAATTATATTTGCATATTTTGTTTTGTTTCATGTATTTGCTATAGTTCTAATATATTTCTCCAGTACTCTGGTAAAACAACTAAGATTAATTATAAAATTAAAAAATAAAAAACAAAAAAATTAACACAAGTTAATTATAAAATTAAATATACAATTCTCACCTGAAGGTCTAGATTTCATTTTAAGTTCACACTGTCCTCCAAAATCCAAATAGTTTGTGATCCGTGCAAACAGAAGTTTAATAAATTTTATTAACACCTGGAGCACATTTTCTTGGACATTGTATATTGAAATAAATTTGGTTTTGGTTTGATCCTAAAACTGGTAAGGCAGTTTAGATACAAACCTGGTCAACAGCTTGCCAGGATTAATTAGAAGACAAACTATGGCCTGGGAAATGGAGCCACTGATGGGTTCAAAGAGGCCCACTGTTATGGGTATATCTCTAGTCTAGGAGCCCTGTATTGATACCAAACCACCTAAATATTGTATCTCTTCAATAAACGTGATTTGGTGGAAAAATAATGTACTGAACACCAATTAGCATGCCAACCAACATCTATCATTGTAAAATATCAAGTGTATTTTCTGGTTTATGTCCATCACACCTAGGTTTTGGTACTGTCAGCCAGTTCTCCCAGAGGTTTATTAACCCTGAAGAAATTAATTATTGAGATTTAAGGTGGAGTGACCAAATATTGACTTACATAAATGTATCAACCATCCCAAGTCCTTTCCCAATGGCAACAATTTTTTCATGATTATACCACCTGATCCTTTTTCTAGTGCAAGTTAGTTAAGAGGCTAGGGTGGGTGTCAGGGGTTTGAGATAACACTGGAACCAGTTGAGATGGAGACAATATGTGTATCACATGAGAAAGCCTTGGAGGGTCTGTGAAGACCTTGCTTTCAACCTGAAGTGCTTTGCAGAGCTGAAGAGCCAATATCAGGGATTAATCATTCTGAACCCCTGTCTTGGGACCCTGATGGAATTGTGTCATACGAATGGGAACTGTGATTTTCCGGTGCAGGTCTGAGGTGTATTAACCTTTTGTTTATGAGGAGGAGAAAGCAGACAAAGAAAATGTGAAGCATAACTTCTCCTGGGACCTTGAGATCTAAGTTCCTGACCAAATACAGCACTGCTGAGCTGGTATCATCAGACCAGTCCACTGGCGGCTAGAAAAAAATTTAATCTCTTCTGATATTTTCCAAGATGAAAATCCTATGTATATACCTTAAAAGAGCCTATAAAACAGTGTCCTTATTTTGGCCTTATAATTAAGTAATAATAAAAGGGCTGCACTGTTTTACAAGGCAATATTCTAGTTCCTTAGTGGGTAAGAGACACAGCTGCTTGCCAAAAATTGTAATTTATTCTGACAAGTATCGACCACCCCTACTCCTACCCCATAGCCTGATGAGAGAAAAAGGTCTAGACATGCTCTGAAAGAGCTAAAATAAAGATACAGAAACTCTTGTGGGTTACAAAAAAAAAAAAAAAAAAAAAGCAGAGGCCATTGACTAGAACAAGGTTAAATTGGACTTGCCATTAGTATAGGTGTCTTGATAATGTTGAAAAGGAATTCTGAGGTTAGAAAGTAAAAGGTTTTCTGACTGTTGTCTCTTCTTATAGATGAGAGACCAAGTAGAAGTAGTGTAGTCCACTTCTGGTCTCTCAGAAACTGCAAGAGCCATGAGAAGGTGCACCATCTTCCAATTAAAAAACAGTAAAATGTGTTTTCATTTTTCCCCCATAAAAGTAATTTTTAAAGTATGGTTTGGTTTCCAGACAGTTTTAAGAGCTAAAAGGCTCAGGGGGTGGGGGTAAAGTGAGTTAGGAATGGTAGTAACATTTAAATGTGCAAAAAAATTACCTTAACTTGGGTGACTTTCAGGAATAGGATATTTGATACCAACTTCTTTTCAGATCAATAGTTTAATTCTTAAAATATTCATATACTGCAGAGTCCGGATACAACTAAATTATAAAATGATATATTTGAAAAGCATGTATTTCCAGAAAATATGCTCCCAAAGGCCCACATTTTAGTAAACTTGACTCTAGAAGACCTGCTCTAGGCAATTAAATCTATGTAACTTAACGAAGCCCAGGAGCAAGGCTGCCTTCTGCTATGCTGTTAGAAAAAAATCTCCCTAAAAACTTGCCATTATTCTCTTCTTGAAAATTCTTTGCTTAAACATTATTCTGCATTAAAGATATATAAAGTAAAATTATTCTTAAGTGAGCTCAAATTTATGTAAAAGAAAATGAATTCATCATCATTTGCACCCTTCCCCCTGGAAGGAGGGAAAAGGTAACTTGAATCCACACACACACACACACACACACACAATGTAGTGATTGGCTAAATTCTTTCCTTGGCCCTTCAGAAATTATGTGCATTTCCCAATAGCCTTTTCATTGCCAAAAAGCACAATCCTAAGTCATACATATTTTTCCCATTTGGAAAAAATGGTGCATAATTGAAATGTTTCCAAAAGCAAAATATTTGATTGTATCTTTGGAAGTGACTTTCAGAAAAGGCTAATAAATCTAAAGGTCTCAATGATATGAGAAAGGGATCTAAAAATGTCATTGCATTATTTATGATTTTTCAAGTATTCAAAAATTCCTTTAGACTGAGCAATGATTGGCAGCTCCAGAGACACCCAAACATCTCCTTAGGGCTCCTTTATCAGTTATCTATTGCTGCAAACACCCCCAAACATATGACTTTAAAAAGTAGCAATTATTTCTGACAGTTCTTTGGGTTAGCTGAGCAGTTCCTTTGCTGATTTCCCTAGGTTTATTTATTCTACTCCATCCATTCACTGGACTCAGCTGGGAAAACTGGCCCCTTTTCTCCAACTAGTCTCTTGTTCTGGAACGTTCCATGCCGTGGCCATCTAAGGGATCAGTCCAAGAGGCTCAAGATGGAAACTGTAAGGCCTTTTGATGTTCAGGCTCTAAAATTCAGAGCATCATTTCTGCCACATCCTATTGGTTGTAATAAGTCACAGTTAGAGCCCAGGTTCAAAGGTGGTAGAGAAATAGACTCCATATTTGGATAAGAGAAATGACAAGGTCACATCTCAAAGGGAGGAATTTACTGGGATGGTAGGTTGTGGCCACTACACCATCTACCAGGGGTGATTTGTAAGACTTGGTGCTCAGGTCAAGCGTAATGAGGGGCCATTTTTTTTTGACTGGGCAAATGCTAATAGACTGCAAAACAGATGTACTGGTATTTTTACATCCGTGCCCACTGGATCTTTGTAATCATTGGATTTGGTGAAGTATCGAATCTTGGCTCAGAAAGTGGCTGGCATGCTGTAGAGCTCAGTAAATATTATATGTGTTGAATGAAGAAAATATGGATAAAGCATTACTCTTTTTATAAAAATTAATTTGTAAGAAAAGAATGTCATGGTTTTCTTGAAGAGGCAGTGGGCAGAGGTGGAACTGGTTCCACACTTGGAGTCAGATTCAAATTCCCTCCATCACAGTTTCCTGTCATGACACAGTAAAATATGGTGACTGTGTACACAGCAGAAGCTGCTCCTGCTGCACACGCACACGCATGTGTGTGTTTGTATGTGTGTCGGGGGCGATTGGAGTGCATATTTCCTCTTGCCTGAAGACTGGGATCAGTGTCTTTCTGCCTGCTTTTATTTGCACAAACCTGGGTTAAGAAGCTCTAAATTACTGGGTATGTGGCCTTCATCAAATCAGTTATTCTATCTCAGGAGCTAAAAGAACAAGGGTAACACCCTTCCCTGACTCCTCACAGGTTTAATGAGGATAGAATAACACTGTAGTGAATTTGGACGAAAATACTCTGCATCTTCTGAAGTCCAAAGCTGGAACTGACACTAGTGAAATATCTTTCTTTTTCTCAGATGAACAAAATTGCTCATAGAATGATAATTGTAATCTATATACCTTAGACAAATATATCTACTATTTTGTAGTTTGTAGCCTCTAAGCGATTTGTATCTAAAATGATTATTTTCAACAATTGCAGCAATTATTCTCTTGTTTTATACTATACACGCAATTCCTGAAAGAAAAAAAAAAGTTTGAATGAAAAAAACAAAGAGCTGAACATTATGAAGACATTTTGCCAAATTAGTAGAATCTTAAATAATAATTTTTTTTTTTTGAGACTGAGTCTCACTCTGTCGCCCAAGCTGGAGTGCAGTGGCGCAATCTCAGCTCACTGCAAGCTCCATCTCCCAGGTTCACGCCATTCTCCTGCCTCAGCCTCCTGAGTAGCTGGGACTACAGGTGCCCACCACCATGCCTAGCTAATTTTTTGTATTTTTAGTAGAGACGGGGTTTCACCATGTTAGCCAGGATGGTCTCAATCTCCTGACCTTGTGATCCACCCGCCTCGGCCTCCCAAAGTGCCAAATAATAGTTTTTATGAACTAAATGGCTATATGCTATGGAAATAATATCTGTTTTATATTTTATTTTGTTTTACTTGTGACTCCTTTTTCTGATATTATTTTAATATAGGAGGATGAACAGAAAAATACATATTTTCACTGATGAATACATCCTCCAGGAAAAGTTAAATTTAGCCTGCAGTGCAAATCCTGAGCCTTTCCTTTTATTCTTAGTGATGTGGTCCCCAGACATCACCAGCCTCCACGCTTTCGTGTTCATAGCATTGCTTGGATCCTACTTGCATCAACCCAGATTAAAACACAGTCATTCGCTAGTGGGTATTACAACAAAATAAAACAAAAACTACTTTTACCAATCGCTTCAGAAGTTTAGACATTTTACTAAAGATTTGAAGATCGTAAAAAAATGCAGTATTTCCTTAGTTTGCTGTCTTCTTGGTGTTCTTTCTCTATCTCTCATTTTCTACCTTATTCTTCAAAAAATAAAAAAGTAAAAATAGACTAATTGGATTGCATCAAACTGAAAAGCTTCTGCACAGTAAAGGATACAATCAACAGAGTGAAGAGACAACCTAGGGAATGGGAGAAAATAGTTGCAAGCCGTACATCTGATAAGCAGTTAATATCTAAAATATGTAAGAAACTAAAACAACTCAATAGCAAGAAAACAAATAATCCAATTAAAAAATGAGCAAAGGACCTAAATAAATAGATATTTTTCAAAAGAAGACATACAAATGGTCAACAGGCATATGAAAAAGTGATCAACGTCACTAGTCAGGGAAATGCAAATCAAACCACAATGAGCTATCACTTTACAACTGTTAGAATAGCTGCTATCAAAAAGATGAAAGATAACAAGTATTGGCAAGAATGTAGAGGAAAGGGAACTCTTGTACATTGTTGGTGAGAATATAAATTAATATAGCCATTATAGAAAACAGTATGGAGGGTCTTTAAAAAAATTAAAAATAAAACTATCATATGATCCAGAAATCCCACTACTGGGTATATATTCAAAAGAAATGAAATCAGTATGAATATTTCTTCGTAAGTGTTTGTGTGTATGTGTATATATATTCAGCCTTAAAAAAGAAGAAAACTCTGTTGTTTGTGAGAACGTGGATAAACTTAGAAGAAAGGCATTTTGCTAAGCAAAATAAGCAGGGAACAGAAAGACGAATATTGCATAATCTTACTCCTATGTAGAATCGGAAAAAATTGAACTTGGAGAAGGGGAGAGAAGAATGGTGGTTGCCAGGGACTGGGGGTGAAGGGAGTGAGGTGGGGGCTCAGGAGATATTGCTTAACGGGTAGAAAAGCTTCAGTTAGCAAGATTAAATTCTGGAGATCTATGGTACTGCATGGTGACTATAGTTAATACCAATGTATTTTATACTCAAAAATTGCTAAGAGAGATCTTTAAGTGTTCTCACAACATCGAAAAAGATAATTATGTGAAGCAATGACTGTGTTAATTAGCTTGATTTTGGTAATCATTTCACAATGTATACATATAATCAAAACATCATGTTATACAATGTTCAATAAAGCTAGGGGAAATAAAGAAACAAAATAATACCCTCCTTGTCTTCTACAGATCAGCTCTCACAAGTAGGATTCTAGAGGTCTCCAAGCCCCAAATAAACTTATTAATAAATTTTCCCAACAAAGATTTCTTGCTAAAATAATCCCAATGCTAGACGATAAGTGAATGAAAAACCTTCAATTTTAGTATAATTTAATTTCAAATTTCCACTCTATAAGCTGATATCTATGTTCTGTTTCATTCACTGAAATTTCTAATGGCATTGATATTAAAAGATAAAATTATTAAATTGGGAATTTTCTTTAAAATCTAGTGTTATCCAATATTTCGCCTTGCATGTCCAGACTCTCTTATTCTCCAGAGAAACCAGTGTACTCCTTCCCCAGCTAACTCCTCTTTCTCAATCTTTGCACATGGCCTTCCTTCCTAAATCATAGATAAAACAGCAGTCATAACATTCCTGAACTTCCTGCTCCTTCTTCTAAAAACTACTTTATATCTGTATCCAGCCTTACCTCTCCTCATCTGGTCTCAAAGGAAGAGGTATCTCTCCTCCTGCTCAAAGCTAATTCTGCCAACTGTTCTCTTGATGCAGTCAACTCCTTCCTCTCTCAGTAGTTTTTTTTTTTTTTTTTTTTTTTTTATCCATTCCCTTTCCCTCTGACATCTTAAGCTTCCCTGTTTCAGCTGTCTTTTCCTTAAAACTCTCCTTCATTCCTACCCTAGTTAAATTTCACTCTATGGTTCTCTCTTGCTTCTTGCTTCTGCAGCCAAGCTTCCTAAGATGATAGTTCATAATCACCATAATGACTGCTGTTTTTGCTGCTAGCTTCCCTTCTGCCTTTTTTTTTGTAAATCAGTACCTGATTCTCTCAGAGGAACCATTCCCTCCTGCCTCCTTGTGAAGTAAACCTCATCTAACCAATATGCGATTTACCTAGGCAACAACGATTGATTCAAGGAAGAACAAGTGACCCAAGTCAGATCCATTAGATCCAATCAGACTCAAATTCAGGAATTTTTTTTGAGTTATAAATAAAGTGTATTTTCACTTGATCTTAGCCAAGAGGCTGAGAAGCAATGAAGAAAGTGTGGATTTTCTTTTCCAAGGGTTTGGAAAATGAAAATGCATAGTGCTGGAGCTGCAACAGTCTGTCTGCCAACACAAACGGGAGGGCCCAGCTGAAAAGGGAGCAAAGAAGAAGGACTAGCAGAGCAATGGAGAGAAACTGGATCCTGGTGACGTCACTGGTGCTGCTGAGTCCAGCAGTGATTAAAGCCAGAAATACTCTTGGGTATTTTAGTTACATGAGCCAACAGATAGCTTTTTGCATAAGTCATTTTAGTTGTATTACTTTTCCTGTCATTTTCAAACAAAAAAAAATCTTATGTGATGCCCCTCACAGTTTCCAATTTCTCAGTTCTCATTTATTTCTCAATCCACTGTAAACTGTCCTCCAGTCTCACCACCCCACTAAAAGTTCTGTTGCTAAATTCACCACCTGTTTGCCAGACATTATTTCACTTGACTTTCTGTCGAATTTAAAAATATTGGCTAATCTTTCCTTGTTTGAAATTATCTTACTCCTTGAATGTCTTCATTTAATTATTTATTGGCTTTCTTCCTGCTTTTCTGCATTTTCTTGTTTCATTCCTCAAACCTTAAATCTTATCCTAACCAGAGTTTCATTCTATTCTTATTCTCTAAATATACATTCTTATCTTGTGTGATTGCATCAACTGTCAAAGTTTAAATTATCATTTATATCCTAATAGTTTCCAAGTTTACATCTATAGCTCTAAATCCTCTGAACTATAGACTCATTCATACAGCCAATGCTGTTAAGCATCCTTACCTAAGTGTTCAAAGCTACATTAACATCTTCCCCTCCAAACCTGATTTACCTCTTTACCATATTTCCTATCTTTTTCTATGTTCCTGTATTTATTACATCAGGCAGTGGCACCACTAACACCACAAATGTACAACTTAGTAACCATCAACTTCTTTCTCTCCTTCCTCCTCTTCTTCTCTGTATCAAATTCATCACCGATTAGTTATATGATTGGGGAAAATGCTCTAGTTTAGTTGTCTCATAACTTCAACAGGTGTTAATAATACTTGTTGAGAAGACTAAATGAGACAATTCACATAAAGCACTTTGAACAGTGGCACCTGTCACATCTTAAATAAATTTAGCTTTTGTATCATTTACCTATGGAGGTTATAAGCCATTTATCTGTTGAGGCCACGCCATAACTTCACGGCTTAAAGCAACGGTGATTTATTTTGCTCATGAATCCATAAATCAAGCAGGGCAAAGGAGAGGACAGCTCATCTTTGTCCCATGCAACATCAGGCTGGAAGGTACACTTTCAAGATGGCTCACCCAAAAGGTTGGCAAATGGGTGTTGGCTATGGCTGAGCTCAGCCTGTGTTGTGGCCCAGAGATCTACATTGTTCTCCATCAGGACTTCTCTGCCAGTTGGGTTTCCTCACAGAAGGAGGAATGAGCACCCATGAGGCAGGAAGTGAATTCCAAGAACAAGTATCCCATAGGACAGGAAGTAGAAACCATTTACTATATGGCAGGTAGCGTTCTGGTCCCAGAAACTGGCACACTGTCACTTCCACTATATTCTGCTGTTCAAGCAGTCACAGAAACCAGATTCAAGGAGAGGGGACAAAACAATTCTCAATGGGAAGACTCAATTTCCAGCTAAGTTACAAAACCACCCCTGGCCTTTTCCCTCCATACCCCCATCCTCCTTCTCTCCATAACCACCTCCAGGACTTTCCTTTTAGCCTTTATTATATTTCCTGAACTGTTGTCACGAGCTACTAATTTATCTCCTTGCCTTTTTTTACTCTCCTCCAATAACTTCCCCACACTGATATTTCTAAGATTATGCTATGTGTACTTCCTTTAAAGCCTTTTAAAGGCTCCCTAAAATATGAGTAATATCCAAATTATTTAGTATAGTATCCACAATTCCCAAACTGTGCACCAAATCGAATCAAACTCACAGTTGTGTGGTAGAATACTTAAAAGTTTCCAGACAAACACAAAGACATCTGTTAGACACTGTGAGTTCTGTTACAGGCTGTCATAGCTCAGGGACATTAACGGTTTCAATAACAGGTCTAGCTACATTTCTTTTGATGACTTTATATCTCTGCAAACCTTGGTTTTGGGTGGTTTCTATGGTTGAAAAAAAGTACTATGTGAAAATCAGTATGGAACAGGAAATGAGGATGATAGTATCCAGTCTAAATCCAGGATTCTAGAAGTTGCTCAGTGCCCAATAGCCATGCACATTCCATTAATAGACATGATTTAAAATGCAATAAGAATGTTGTTTTTTTCAATTTACATATATTATTTTTCAAACAGCTAGTAAATTGTTAGGACATAACTACTTTGTAAATTGTTTGGGCCTATGTACTTAATGAACAGAACTGTTGAGTAGTATTTTTTATCCTAGGACTACCATGAAAAAATATGCGAAGTCACTAAGGTAGATGAGAAAGTTTGGGAAAATTGTGCCATAATGTATGAGACAGAAATGTAAGAAAAGATATTTTAAAAACTGTTGGCCATCTTCTCTTTTTAAAATATCTCCTCCAGCCACTAAGTTACCTAGTGAGGAGGAAAGACGTTTGCTTGAGTTAGTCGGGATTACATTACTCTGTGCCTCACATACTATTTCTTTCATCTTTACCCAAAATGTCAACCCCTCTGGCCAACTTTATTCTTTCCAGTTCTCAATCCTGTAATGCTTTATGCTTTTCTGTAATCCAGATTGTCCTTCCTCACTTTTCATTGTACCCTCTGGAACTTCCTCCACTATCTAATCACTCTTCCATATCCTGAATTTTTTCACAGCACACATCCTATACTTTAACCAAAATAAATTTCTCCCTAGAGCACGTGGCCAGTGGAAGCTCTTGATTTTTTACTATAATGAATATTCCTTCATATATTCTCCTAGTGACTAACTTGCTTGTCATAGACAATACCAGACCTTTACTTTCTAGTCTTTTGAAACCCTTGTGTTCTGGTGAGACCTGCCATCTCCTCTGCTCACCCCAGCCCCTCTCTGTCATGAAGAGCCTTTTGCTTCTCACTCCTCACAGTAACTTCCCCCATTCATCAGTGACTTTGCCCTCTGGCCCTCAGACCTCTTCTCCACCCTGTCTGGTCTCCATCCTGAGTGACTTCAGCAACCATTTGAATGAGTCACTCCACACCCAGGCCTCCCTGGTCTCCTCATCTCCAATTACCGGCTCTTCCACTCCACATCAGCCAGCCCAGAGTCACAATGTAGCCCAGAGGTTTCAAAGTATGGTCATACCCATGCCCTATTGATGGTCTACTCTTCCACAGTTTCAGCATAATTATTTTTCAGACTGCTCTCATGTCATAACAAGACAAAAGCAGAAAACCTCACTCCCTTGCTCTTACCTCTGTTTCCGGAGCCTAATTTCTTGTGAAAAAAAAAATATCACCTAGCCTTCTTTTCTCACCTCCCACTTTCTCTTTAATTCATGCCAACTTTGTTTTTGTCTCAACAACTGCTTGGGCATGGTCTTTACTACAGTCATCAATCACATCACGTGACCAAATCTGGCAGCCATCCTATTGGATCTTCCAGCAGCATTCATACAGTTCATCATTCTTACCTTGTTAATGTCTTTCTTTGCTTCCACCACCCTATCCCCCACCTTTCCTGGCCCCTCCTATTCTACCTACCTTTAAATGTTGGACTGTCTCAGGTCTCTGTTCTACACATTCTTTCTTCTCATCCACATTAGGTTCCTAAGTAATGTCACCTGTTTTCAATTTCCACTTGAGTGTTGATTAAACCACATACTAGGCCAGGCGCGGTGGCTCACGCCTATAATCCCAGCACTTTGGGAGGCCGAGGTGGGTGGATCATTTGAGGTCAGGAGTTCGAGACCAGCCTGGCCAATTTGGTGAAACCCCACCTCTACTAAAAATACAAAAACTAGCCAGGACCATGGTGGCAGGAACCTGTAGTCCCAGCTACACGGGAGGCTGAGGCAGGAGAATCGCTTGAACCGGGGAGGCAGGGGTTGTGGTGAGCCTAGATCACGCCACTGCACTCCAGCGTGGGTGACAGAGCAAGACTCCATCACAAAACAAACTAACAGACAAACCACATACTAGCTGACACCCTGGGCAAGTCACTAAATTCAATTAATTTTCTACGGAATATCTACTTTTTAGCAGGCACTATCCTAGGCACAACAAATACAGACTAACCAACATGCACTTCTTGCACTCAAGAAGATCACAGTCTCTTATTTTTTCTGAATGTTTTTCCTTACTTGGATAACACGGAAAAAATTACTAAAAGGTTAGTAATAGTTCTATAAAAAATACTAATAATATACTAACAGTAAAACAAATATTAAGTTATTTTATTTCATTTTTTTACTCTGCTAAGTACTTGCTATGTATTATCTCATTTAATCTTACTACAATCCTATAAGGTAGATATCATTACCCTTGATTTACAGTTGAGGAAACTGAGGCTCAGAGACCTAAGAAAACTTTCTCAAGGTCACAAGAGTTAGAAGGTGGCAGAAAAAAGTTTCAAGCCCAGGTCTGTATGACTCCAAAACCCATACTCTTACTTCTGTAATAATGATAATTATTATACTTAATTTTACTATTATGCTAAACATTTTTACATTTTATGTTTTTAATACTCATAGTTACTCAAGGAGATAGATCCTAGGCTTATTCCTATTTTACAATGTGAAAACTGGAACTTAGAGAAGGTAAGAAGCTTATCTGACTACAAATGTAGTTCATGGTGGAAGAGATAGCCAGACTGAGTCAGAGCTCTTTGCTGGCAGAGGGTAGGAGGGTACTGCTGCCTCACAATGACCCAAGAGCCTGTGGGTAAGGGATGGGGAAGTTTAACAGGTGAGATTGTCCCTAAGGCCCTAGTTCAATGAGAGCGGCACCACTCCTACCTGCTTTATATATTGATTTGTGTCACAAGATTTCATTTTAAAAATAATAACAATGAAGGAAAAACATTTCATGATCTTAACCATGTGTGATAGACCACTATTATCTCATTTCTCAAGGTCCCTTCATAAAAAGCCACACATAACCCAATTCTCCTGAAGCTAAAACTGGAGGTTAGAAACAGCTTTGTTGATGTGGGGGAAATCTATTCACTTTCTCTTCCTGTCATTGAAAGTTTAAGGCCAAATTCCAACTCAGCGAGAATCTTGTAGCTTACTTATCTGGATTCTTTTCTTTTTGGCATTAACCACCTCATGTTTCCCGTCTGTTGGTCCAGATGCTTTAAATTTTTGTATGTGTTTTCAGTAAGTTGCTTCAGATTTTTTTTTTTGAACAAGATTTGGTACAATCAATGATAATGTATGTGAAACACTTGTGAATCATAACTGTAAATATATAAACATAGGGAAAGAAATACAAGAGTCATAGTCTTTTTAACAACTGCCTTGTAGCCCAGCTATGTCTCTCTCAGATACGGTGAAGTAAAAATTTGAAGAACTAGATAGAGTCCTGCAAGTCCTCACAACATTCTAAGGATGGGAAGACCTACAGAAACTAAGTGTTCATTGTTCAGCAATTCAAGAAAAAAAATGGAATTCCTCATTCATTAAGTGCTTGTTCTTTAAAAAATTAATGTACTACTCTCATATAGAAAGAATTTTATTCTGAGGATTTTCCTCCAAATAATCAGGTTCATCTGATGTGTATATAAGTTATTTAAAAATAATATGTGCCTCTGTACAACTGACTGCTCATAATTTTGAAATGACCAAGTGCAGAGTTATATATTTACTTATACAAATTATATAGTCATACAGAAAATTTCCTCAAAGAAAACAGTATAGAATAATACTTTATTTTTAAAAAAGAAATTTAAAGTGGCATTAAATCAACTATCAAATATTTATTGAGTGCCTACACTCTACAGCAGGCACAGTTATAGGCACTGGGGACACACTGATAAAAACACAGGCAAGGTCTCTGTGACCTATAAACTGGATCAACATTTTGCTCAACTCCAAATATATTCCTGTTTTAGAAGGATGTATCCCATTTGAAAATTAGCTTATGTACATAGACTTATGTATTTAAAAAGGATTTGCCTAGTAAGTATGCCTGTGACAAGAAAATGCTATTAATATTATTAAAGAATAATTAATGCCTTTCAGTGACGTGTGAGATTCTCTACTAATATTCCTACTGGATAGCTCAGTTTTGCCATGTGGATCATTGAGAATTTCCTTCAGTTATTTTTATTTGCTCAAAGGTATACTGGATAAGTTAATGAAATAAATCTGTTTTAAAGAATAAATCAATATTTAAATAGAAAGTATATGAGGCTGTCTTTTTGAAACTGAAGTTTTCTTTTTAAATGATTTATATGAATAAAGGATTGTGTAGCCTTGGAAACACTTGGGAGTGCTGATATCACACATGACTATAAACTAGCTGCAAGAAGAAAACGGGGAAGAACTATTGTAAAAAATATTTCAGATGCAAGACAAGAGAACACATTTCCTAAATACAGAATAAAGAAAACAAGTATGCTTCAGCCACTTTTATCTGAATCACAAGGTTTACTCCTTAGAAGTTTTGCTACTCTATCTCGTTTTTCTAATTTGACTTCACAGTCTTTTCTCTTCTCAATTTTTAGAACTTATTCCCCAACAAAATAAATAATTAAACTATAGATGAACTGTCAAAAGGGAACATTATTTTAATGTAACATTAACATTTTCATAATTAACATGGAAGTTAATGCTTTTAGCAGATGTAACAACATTAGACTTGTAAATTTTAATTAAAGTTAATGGTTCATGATAGCTGTAGGGAGTAGGCATCCTCTCTAGATACTGAAAACATGTCTAATGTGATTAGAAATACTAATTTTAGAAAAAAGGATAGTGCTGGCAATGACTATTCTTTATTTCTTACAAAATCAGTGACTTGAAAACCTTTTAAAATGAGGAATCTGGCAAGCACATAGAAGTTAACAGAAGAGGTGGTAATAATATTTAAGGGACTGAGTAAAAAAGCACCAACTGTTCATGTATACTTCCCTTTCTCTATGTTGCTACCTGAGATAATTCCTAGAAAACCAATGAAGTTATTTCATAATTTTAGACTAGGGACTAATGTTTCATCTTTAATTTTCTCTGGAAAATTTTCTCTGCAAAAATCTTTAATTTTTGGAGGGTTACCCTCCAAAACTGTATGCTCACGGCTCAGTCTAGATTTCTTAAAACAGGAGAGTGAGTTGCTTTGAGCAGCAAACAAACAAACAACTCCTACATAAAAATGTTACTAAAATGATGAACATGATGGCTTTATAGGGAGCCACACGTATTAGCCAGCAGAAAGTATATGGAACATGTAAATTCAGTGCCAATGATAGATGCTAAGTGCCTGTTTATTTACAAATGGGCGACAACATTCTTTTGATATTTTCCCAAGTATCTTCATTTTCATTAAGCCCTTATTAAGGCCACTAATTCAAAAGAATTCACTTAAGTCACTGTATTTCTTCGATTCTAAAACACATCTAAGGCACATCTAAGATACATCTATTTGCAAGAATGTAAGCTCCTTATCCAACTTGTTGAAACAGCACTTAAAACAGTATTTGGCAAAAGTAGGGACTTAATTAATACAAGCTGAATGGATAAACTTAACTCGATGAAATTAGAATAAATGTATAATTAGTATATGCATTTAATAGTGTTTATGAATCACATATTAAATACAGCATATATTTTATATAGAATTAATATTGTCTTGTTGTTTTGTCACCAAATGCTGTCTAAAAATCCCTGGTGTCTTACAATGAGTGGTAGTAGATTCAAGGAAATGTAGAAAGGTAAATGTTTCCATCACCTAAATATTTTTTTGAGAATAAACTGAACTCTCCAAATAATAAATTATGCCCTGTATTCAAGTAGTTCTGAGTAAAAGTTTTTTGCAAATCTTCACTGAGAGTACAAAATGCAGGAGGCTCAAGCAGGATGAGCTTTAAATACCAGAGACTTTGGATGCTGGCACTCAACCAAAGAAATCACAGAGACATCAGAGCTCACTTGTCACTGTCAAATTCCTCATAGTGTAAGGCATGGGACTGGTCATTGCTAAACAAAACAAAACAAAACAAACAAAAAAAACCCTTTCTCATTCTTTACTCATAACAGTGGTGTGATCTGGACTAAAGAAATTATGGATTAAATGGAGCCCATTTCAACTTATTTTAGTGCACAATTCTTGGCTGGGATTCCAACCTGGATGTAGACAAGCTAATTGGCAGGCCTAGTGAAAAGTGGTAGCCTTCAAGTTTATTGTATATTATAAACCTAATGGAATGTTGAGAATTAAACCTTGCTTCCCAATTGGTTATTCCAGTAAGCTTTCTAATTGGTTACTCTTTAAACTACTTACAAAAAAAAATGATGAGAACTACAAGCAGCACAGAATCTGCTGGCAAATGACCATTCAACATTTCACATTTCAACACATAAAACACTGATTATGTAATATTTTGTTATGAATTTTGAGCTGCTTTCAATAATAACAGTGACCCCTAGGTCAGGCATTTTCTGGTAATTAGTAACTAGCCCAGTTAGGAGTCCAAGCCTCATAAAATATTGTTAAGACGATTTTATGTTTTATAATTTAGAAAGGTCAATCGGTGAAGTTAAGTAGTTCTCTTTTTTTTCTACTGCTAAATATGAACTTATATCTCAATATCACTCTTGTCATTTTATAAAACATGGACTCTTAATGTCACTACGGACAGAAACATAATTATAGAAATTAGAACTTTAAAACACAGAGTAGGTAAATAATAAATTTACTGGTGAGCAAGAATTTTAATTCAAAACATGATCTGTTGCCTAATCTAGTATAAACATGGTAATTTTTTCCAACCACCAATGTTCAGGTATCTCCTAGCTCTAAAAAGAGCGATAACAATATCTCATCCCAGTGAATAGTTTTACATTCCAGTTGCCAGATTTAGCAATTTAAAAAATAAATGCCCAATTAAATTTGACTTTCAGGCCGAACACGGTAGCTCACATCTGTAATCCTAGCACTTTGGGAGGCCGAGGTGGGAGGATCATTTGAGGCAAGGTGTTCAAGACCATCCTGGCCAACATGGTGAAACCCCGTCTCTACTAAAAATACAAAAATTAGCCAGGCTCATCACAAATGGTGCACATTTGTAATCCCAGCTACTCGGGAGGCTGAGGCACTAGAATCGCTTGAACCCAGGAGGCAGAGATTGCAGTGAGCCAAGATCACACACTGTCCAGCCTGGATGACAGAGTGAGACTCTGTCTCAAAAAAAAAAATTGAATTTCAAATAAACAATAAAAAATATTTTAATATAAGTATGTCTTATATAATACTCATATTTTAAAAATTGTTCTTTAACTAAAATTCATATTTAACTAGTCAGCCTGTATTTTACATGGCAACCCTACCCCTTTCTCCAGATCCTAGGCTTCTTTCTCCACTGATCCTCTCTTCACTTTCTAGTTCCCCAAGTGTTGGAGTTGGGGCAGGGTGGCTTGTGGCAGGTGTGGGAAGTGTGGGAGATGCTGTATGCATGGCAGTCTCCACACCTTCTCTCCTCCCAGGCCTGCCATACTGCTGTTCACACTTTACTGGTCTGTCCCACGCTAGCACAAAACACTTTGAGGTTCTCTTCCCAGGGCTCCAGACAGGAGGTAAGAACAAGCCCCTGTGCTCTAAGACACAAAATCTATCCAGTGGTCTCTGATAGTACCCCCTCTTAGCATTTACAACAGTGGGGCAAAAGGCAGTTCAGAATCCCTGATCCTCACGAACACTCCACCTGCCATCCTCTTCCCTCTATCTCCCTTTTTTTTCCCCCTTTATCTCCACTTTATCTCCAGGCTCCCATTTCCAACCCAGGAAGGACGTTTCCCTCTTGTAAGGCAGTGCGTAGCTCCCCTTTCAAGATTTGATTCACTCTGTGGTCTAAATTACCTTGCTCTTGAATTGAAAAACCTGGACTTTCCATTTATTGTTCCTGATACAGACTGCAAAGACATATTTTTAAATGGAAAGACTGAATATTGAGGGTTACTTATTTTCACCTTTAATCTACCCTGAGGCAAAGTTAGTGTGTGGTTAAATGTGGGAGAAAATTACCATACAAAAAAGGACAAAAAAAGAAAAAAATACATTATTGTGCTATTTCACAATATTGTGTAGCTGCTCTTAGAAGGTCACTGTGACTGAGTGTTTTGCTCAAAACTACTCTCGTATTTTCAGACTGAACTAGTGGTTATATTCATGAACTTACAAGTCCTTCAGTTATCTGAGTGATCTTGTAAAAGTAGCTTACCTTTCTAGTTCTGCCTTTTTTCCTTATTCAAAAAATAAGTTATGTTGGGGGAGCGTTTATTTAATATTTAATCAGGTGACCATTATTTGTTCGGCAATATGAAGTATTTCATTATACACAATACCAAATACAATTATTCCTAATGTACAGAAAACAAAACACTGCAAGATATGTATTTGAAATATAATGAATGGATACAGTATCTCCAAGGTCATTTCTTATTATAAAGTGTATGATTGTATGTGGTGATGTGATCACATTATGTTGTGAATGAATCACAAGGTTTCAGAGTTACAAGCATTCTTAGATTGCTTATTTAGTCAAATTTCCTCATTTCACAAAAGTACAGCTGCCTTTTCCATTAATAGACATGATCAGGAAGTTTCAGAAATGGTTCCACTGTCCTTTGGAAATGTGTAATTTTACATTTCACATTCATCACACTTACCATTTCATATTTGTCTCATCAGTAGAATGTGTTACCTTTCAGATTGGTAACTAAATAAAAATATTATTTATCTGAGGTTGAATTTATCTTTATCAGGATACTTATGCATTTTTTCCTCTTAGCTCATAAAAATCTTATAGAACAATTTAAAAAGCAGGACTGGAACAGATGATTCTATGGTGAAAATGTATATTAATTATTGATAAACAATATACAATTTTACAAGCAATCAAAGAAGTATGAATGAAAACAATCATGATCCTTTTTTTTCCTTTTAAACTGGCAAAGATTATAACAATTAGGATATTCTGTGTACATGGAAAAATATTAAAGTGAATCAGAAAAATAAACCTTGCTCTAAAATGTTGGCATTCTTCAATGGCATTGTCCTATTCCTGCTTCTCTCCTTCCCTTAGCAATGTTATCCACTCTCCTGGCTTTATTTACCATCTTTACACCTACGTTTTAAAATCAGTATCACCTCTATGTTGTTAAACGAAATTTACACGAGGTCATTGGTTGGGACTGAGCTTCTGCACTAGGCCCAACTGGTCAAACCAAAATGGCAAAATGGAGTCACTAATTCTGAAATTCCAGATCCCAAGATGAAACTAAGTTATCTGACCTTCTAAGAAATCAGGAGAGAGATAATGGCCAAGTCTCCTAACAGATCAGTTTCAGCTGGCATGATAAGGAAGTCCCTTCTGCTTTAACCTTTACAAGGAAAGTAACTTTGAACCAGCCAATCCGCGTTTTGTTCCATTTCTGCTTTTTCAGCTCTTTCCTGCCTGTAAAGTGAAGGGGGCCAGCCCCTCCACACCTGTGGGTATTTCTCATCAGGCAGGACAAGAGACTGAGAAAAGAAATAAGACACAGAGACAAAGTATAGAGAAAGAAAAGTGGGCGCAGGGGACCGGCGCTCAGCATTCGGAGGACCTGCACTGGCACCAGTCTCTGAGTTCCCTCAGTATTTATTAACTACTATTTTCACTGTCTCAGCAAGAGGAATGAGGCAGGAGAGCAGGGTGATAATGGGGAGGAGGTCAACAAGAAAACACATGAGCAAAGGAATCTGTGCCACAAATAAGTTCAAGGGAAGGTACTATGCCTGGATGTGCATGTAGGCCAGATTTATGCTTTTTTCCACCCAAACATCTCAGTGGAGTAAAGAGTAACAGAGCAGCATTGCTGCCAACATGTCTCGCCTCCCGCCACACGGAGGCTTTTCTCCTATCTCAGAATTGAACAAATGTACAATTGGGTTTTATACCGAGACATTCAGTTCCCAGGAGCAGACAGGAGACAGTGGCCTTCCTCTATCTCAACTGCAAGAGGCCTTCCTCTTTTACTAATCCTCCTCAGCACAGACCCTTCACGGGTGACGGGCTGGGGGACGGTCAGGTCTTTCCCATCCCACGAGGCCATATTTCAGACTATCACATGGGGAGAAACCTTGGACAATACCCAGCTTTCCTGGGCAGAGGTCCCTGCGGCTTTCTGCAGTGCATTGTGCCCCTGGTTTATCGAGACTGGAGAATGGCGATGACTTTTACCAAGCATACTGCCTGTAAACATTTTGTTAACAAGGCACATCTTGCACAGCCCTAGATCCCTTAAACCTTGATTCCATACAACACATGTTTCTGTGAGCTCAAGGTTGGGGCAAAGTTACAGATTAACAGCATCTCAGGGCAAAGCACTTGTTCAGGGTACAGGTCAAAATGGAGTTTCTTATGTCTTCCCTTTCTACATAGACACAGTAACAGTCTGATCTCTTTCTTTTCTCTACAGTAAAGCCCAATCGCCTCCGCTCAGCTCATCAGAAGAATCATGAATAAAAGTCAATTAGATCTTTAAGCTAAATTTGTTGTAATTTTGTATTTTGACAATATTCAGACTGTATATTCAACTGGTTACTTGATAGCAACTTGGAGAGCTCACACGTACCTCAAACTCAGAACAACAATGTGTCAGGTCACTGTTCTATAATTTTCTTTAATCTTTTATTGTGTTTTTTCAGGGTGTTACATTTATATCATTAAAAAACTATATCTCAATCTGTCCATTTTCTCTCTCCATTCTCACTGTTAATGCTGTAAATGCTCTAGTTCAGGCTGCCATCACATGTAGCCTGGATTGTTGCTAAGTCTTCCTTACTGGTCTCCTTGTATCCACTCTTGGCTACTTTCAACCTATTTTTTTTTTTCTAATTAGCCAAAGTCATCTTTTAAAAATATGAAATTTAGCTCTTTTAAGTATTAGTTGTATGACCTGAAAGACCTAGTGGTCCCTGGAAAGGAGTTTAAATTTTATTCCAAATGAAAAGGAAAGCTATTAAACAGTCTTGGGGGTAAGGAAGTCACATACAAAGACTCACACTTTCCAAGGTTTCCCTGACTGTTGTGTGGAAAATGGATTGTAGGGGAGCACTAGTGGAATCAGAGAGACTAATGAGGAGGCTTTAGCGGTAGTGCCTAAGAGAGGTGATGGAGGCTTGGGCTGAGGTAATAGCAGTGATGAGAGGTGGATGAATTCTAGAAATATCTTGTAGGTTTAATTGACAAGACTTGCTGATGGATAAGATGCAGAAAGTGAAGAAAAGAGAATAATAGAGAATTATGGATGGTGGGGAAAGAAATGAGTTAAAGAAAGCAATCAGAAATTTCATTTTGAGTATGTTAATTTTGAGATGCCTCCAATACATTCAAGTAGAAATTTGTAAGTAGGCACTTGTATAAATAAATCTGGAGCGGGCCGGGTGCGGTGGCTCACGCTTGTAATCCCAGCACTTTGGGAGGCTGAGGCGGGCGGATCACGAGGTCAGGAGATCGAAACCATCCTGGCTAACAGTGAAACCCTGTCTCTACTAAAAATACAAAAAATTAGCCAGCGTGGGGGTGGGCGCCTGTAGTCCCAGCTACTCGGGAGGCTGAGGCAGGAGAATGGCATGAACCCAGGAGGCGGAGCTTGCAGTGAGCCGAGATCACGCCCCTGCACTCCAGCCTGGGCGACAGAGCAAGACTCTGTCTCAAAAAAAATACAAAATAATAAATAAATAAATAAATAAATAAATAAATAAATAAAATAAAAAATAAAATAAATCTGGAGCTTAGCGAAGGAGTTTAGGATAATGAAATAAACTTGAGATTCAGCAGGATGATATTTCTAGCATAAAAATGGAAAAAGGAGATAATATAGGTAGAGAAATGGACACAGGAATGAGTCTAAGGAATGGCTACATTTATAGACTGAGTAACGGAGGAGGAGCCAGCAAAGTAAACTAAGCAGGAATTATCAGGGAAGTAGGAGAAAAACCAGGAGAATGAGGTATTGTAGAAGCCAAGAAATGACAGTGTTTTAAGAAAGAGGAAGTGCTGCTAATAGGTTGAGTAAACAGGACAGAAAAGTATCTGTTAGACTTGGCAACCCAGAGGTCAAGGATAATTTTGATATGAGGTATTATTACTATTATTTACCAATCATACCACATAAGTCTCCTGCCTAAAACCATTCAGTGGCTTCCCTTTGGCCTTATGATGCTGTTCAAAATACGTCCTATGCTTTTTAAACCACTCCACCCTGTGCCCAGTGCCTTGTCTCCTGACATCTGTCTCTGCAGAAATACTGGAATTCTTCCCGTTGCAGTTCTGGAAACATACTATGCTCTCTCTCCTCTCAATGTTCTCACGCAGGTTTGAACCAACAGTAACTTCTAGACTGTATGATATATGAAAAGCAGCACACTGTTGTGGTTAGGAGTGCAGTCTCTAGAGCCAGCCTGCGTGGGTTTGAATTCTTGCTTTTGCTTTTCTGTTTGTACAATCTTAGGTAAGTTCCTTTTCCTGCTTTTACTTTTCTCATTTATAAATTAGGGACATAAGAATACATATTTCGGGCCGAGCGTGGTGGCTCACACCTGTAATCCCAGCAGTGTTGGAGGCCAAGGCAGGCGGATCACGAGGTCAGGAGATCGAGACCATCCTGGCTAACACGGTGAAACCCCATCTCTACTAAAAATACAAAAAATTAGCCGAGTGGGGTGGCAGGAGCCTGTAGTCCCAGCTACTCGGGAGGCAGGAAAATGGCGTGAACCTGGGAGGCGGAGCTTGCAGTGAGCCGAGATTGCGCCACTGCACTCCAGCCTGGGCGACAAAGCGAGACTCAGTCTCAAAAACAAAAACAAAACACAAAAAAAGGAATACTTATTTCCGCCGGGCGCGGTGGCTCACGCCTGTAATCCCAGCACTTTGGGAGGCCGAGGCAGGCGGATCACAAGGTCAAGAGATCGAGACCATCCTGGCTAACACGGCGAAACCCCGTCTCTACTAAAAATACAAAAACAAAAAATTAGCCGGCGGCGGTCACCTGTAGTCCCGGCTACTCCGGAGGCTGAGGTGGAAGAATGGCGTGAACCAGGGAGGCGGAGCTTGCAGTGAGCCGAGATCACGCTACTGCGCTCCAGCCGGGGCGACAGAGAGAGACTGTCTCAAAAAACAAAACAAAACCAAAAAAAACTATTTCACAGAATTATTATTATAGGAAAAAAAGTTACATTCAAGAGAATGAAAATGACAAGATGTCAAACAACAGATGCTAAAAGATAATTGAATAATGCCTTCACAATTATGAAGGAAAATTATTTACCATCTACATTTCTGTATCCAGAAAAAAAATCAATTCTAAGGGCAAAATAAAAACATATTTTCAGACATGTAATCATTTAGAAAATTATGTCGCACATTACCTTTCTTAGGAAATTATTTGTGTATGTCCTCTTAAAAATAAAGGAATTAAACAAAAAAGGTGGGGCCAAGGAATACAAGAATTAGTGATTATAACAATTAAAAGTGATATAGGAAAATCTGAAAAACAGCTGTGTCTTAAATGACAATTAGTCCTAATTGGAACCAGAGGACAGAAAACTTTGAAAAGTTCCTAGGAAAAAATATGGAACCCAGAGATTTGATCATATTCCTAGACTTAAGGTGTTGGCTGATCATAACAGTGAAATAAATGCTGGTAGTGCAAAAAGTAAACAAGGGTAATAAGACACTCCAGCATAAACATAAAAGGTATATAATATAGTTATGCTACACTAGTTGAATTCGAAATAAATGGGATTTACATGGTTAAATCATAGTTTAAATTTAAATGACTATTTTTACTTCTAGAATTAATTTATAGACAAAGCATAGAAGGTTTGGTTATGATTATAGGATTAAATATAAGTGTTATTGTTATGGGCTGAATGTTTGGGTCATGTGTTGAAATCATAACCCCCAATTTGAAGGTATTAGGAGTTGGGGCCTTTGGGGGGTGATTAGGTCAAGAGGGGGTGGGGCTTTCATGAATGGGATTAGTGCCCTTATAAAAGAGGCCCCAGAGACCTCTCTGATATGGTTTGGCTGTGTCCCCACCCAAATCTCATCTTGAATTTTAGCTCTCATTAATTCTTACGTGTTGTGGGAAGGACCCAGTGGGAAATAATTTCATCATGGGGGTGGTTTCCTTCATACTATTCTTGTGGTAGTGAATAAGTCTCATAAAAGCTGATGGTTTTATAAGGGGAAACCCCTTTCGTTTGCCTCTCATCTTCTCTTGCCTGCTGCCATATATGACATGCCTTTTGCCTTCCACCATGATTGTGAGGCCTCTCCAGCCATGTGGAACTGTGAGTCCATTAAATGTCTTTTTCTTTATAAATTGCCAAGTCTTAGGTATGTCTTTATCAGCAGTGTGAATATGGACTAATACACTCTCTTTGCTTTCTGCCATTTGAGGGCACAGGAAAGTCTGCAATCTACAACCTGGAAAAAGGTTTTCACCAGACCCAACCATGCTGGCACTTGGATCTCAGACTTCCAGACTCCAGGACTGTGAGAAATAAATTCCTGTTGTTTAAAAGCCACCCAGCTCATGGTATTGTGTTATAGCAGCCTGAGCTAAGACAGAATCAACCATTTATTCTCTAAAATTTCAATTTTAGATGGCTGATGTTGGAAGGGAATAAAACTGATGGGAAAGACAGGGACATCAGCATCATCTGACAAAATGAAGAATGAAGAGATACTGCTATGATTTGAATGTGTCCTCCGAAATTCATGTGTTGGAAAGTTAATCTCCAGTCCAACTGTGTTGGGAGGTAGAGCCTTCTGAAGGGTTTATATTATGAGGGTGCAGTCCTTATGAATTGATTCATGCCACCATTAAAAGGGCTTTCAGGAGTGGGTTGGCTCCTTCTGCTTTTCTGCCATGTGAGGACTCAGCACTCCTCCTCTCCAGAGGTGTGGCGACAAGGTGCCATCTTTGAACCAGAGTCCAAACCTGCTAGCGTCTTGATATTGAACTTCCCAGCTTCCAGAACCATGAGAAATAAATTTCTGTTCCTTATACATTACCCAGTCTGTGGTATTTTGTTATAGTAGCACAAAATGTATTAAGATGGAGACTGTCTCTAGTTGCTGGCATTCATCAAAGGTGTTAGTTGCAAGCAATGGACGGTGACTTTGACTTACTAAGTAGAAAGACTACCAGAATTAGACTGGAAAGCTAACAATGAGAGTTTAGCTCTAGCAGAGCTATGAAAAAACAAGTTCAAGGCTGATTCTAAGAAAATACCCAAAAGCATGTTGCAGAACAGGTCTGATGATAAAAAGCCTTGGTGTTTTCCACTGACCACTAGAAGAAATGACCTCTGCTGCCCAAGCAGTTACACTTTTGTGCCAAGAACTTGATCTTACAACACTGGGAAACCACTACTCCTATTGTTGCTACCACCAAAAGTCTCACACCCACTGCCATCCACACACCTGTACAAATGGAATTTCCAGAAGAGCCTGTTTCTTTTCCCTCATGTTCATGTATGAATGAAACTTTGCATAGATTGCCAGAAACGAGGTCACATGCTTCCGTTATAGATGAAATGGAAATGGGACTTGGAGTTTGACTCAAATTGGAGAGGAAGGAGTCACATTAGTTTTTCCCCAAATATGATACTCAATAAGTTACTTGGAGGCAATGACAGATGTCTACTACATTGCAACAATTCATAAAAGTATATTATTTAAAGTTACAAGAATCATTTAAAGAGAGACTAAAATTATTGCAATATCATTTACTCCTTCCTCCTTCTGACAGCTTGAATCCAATTTATCAGGAAATTCTGTTGGCTTTATTTTCAAAATATATTCAGCAAATGACTCCTCAATGCTTCTACTGCTTTCACCTTCAACCAGCTACTGTAGTCTCTGCCCTAAATTATTGCAATAACTTCCTAGCTGGTCTCTCTGCTTCATGTTTTGTCCATTTACAGAATATTCAAACTCAGCAGCCAGAGAGATCTTTCAAGATGTAAGAAAGATCGTGTCATGTCTACCCTCAAAACCATGCAAAGATTTCACAGGCAACTTAGAGTAGAAACCTAAAGCTTTCCAAGAGCTTGCCGTGACTTCATGGTCTGCTGCTGTCTCCTCATCTCACCACTGTAACCTCATCTGCTCCTTCATTGGCTGTTCTCACCACTGTGGCCTCTTATTGGTCATCAGATAAGAGTGGCAAACTTTGTCCTTTATGTTGGTTGGTTCCTCTGGGGAAGAGCACTCTTCTCCCATATAGTTGCATGGCTACTCGCTCATACCTGCAAGAACTCTATTTAACACCATTCACATGGCCTTTAGTATTCCCAATCTCACATGCTGTGCTTTATCTTTTTTCTATAGCATGTATCACCCCTCTAACATACTATAATTTACTTAATTATGATGTTTATTTTCTGTCTCAAGAATGGGAATGATTTTGTCTTTTTTATTAGCTGGCATATCCAGGCACCTAGAAAATCTCCCTGGAATAGGAAAATAATAATTGTTAAATGAATGAGTGGATGGATGAGTGGATAACTGATATAAACATTTTTAGAGAAGAGTGGAGAAAGTTAGTTTACTTAAATCCTTGTTCATTGGACCAGAAAGCTAATAGGTGGAGTCTAAAATTGATCAATAAATATCAACTTATTATTTAGAATTATAGTAATAACTGCCAGAAGAGCTAAAAACAGAAATATTTTAAGATGATTACATCTGTTTTTAACAGGACTGTGAAGGAATAAGTGGGGCAGAGGACTGAGGATTTTTATTGTAAACCTTTCTGAACTCTAATTTATAAAACCATGTGTATGCAACACTTTGATGAAAACTTACTGTGTTTTTAATATAATCAATTAGCAAGGAAAATATAAGTAGATTATGTAAACAATTAAAAACACATAATAAGTAAATAAAAATACATAATAAAAATTTTATTATATTTTTCCTTATTAGAATTTACAATGAGAAATAGAAATTATGAATAATGAAAATAATAAAATGACTTCAATATTCTTTTAAAAAACTTGCTAAATTTATCGATTTTTTTGTAATGACAAATTTCAAGCAGAGAATGCATATACACAGGCATACCTCTTAGCTTTGTCAAATCTTAACGTTAAACTTATTCTTAGGTTCGTATTCTTTGGTTTGCCCTTTGGGTGATGTGACTCCCAAGCATGACACAGTTGATTCATGAGCTGAGAGGTTTGCTTCTGAAATATTGACAGATGACTCTACACATTCTTTAAAATAAATAAATATATATATATAGAGAGAGAGAGAGAGAGAGAGTATGCTAATTGCTGAAATCTCATAGTACTGGTTTTCACTTTTTAAAAATTATTTTTAAATTTTTATTTTTTATTTTCATAGATTTTTGGGGAACTGGTGGTGTTTGGTTACATGAATAAGTTCTTTAGTGGTGATTTCTGAGATTTTGATGCACCCATAACCCAAGCAGTATACACTTTACCCAGTGTGCAGTCTTTTGTGCCTCACCACCCTCCCACCCTTTCCTCCGAGTTCCCAAAGTCCATTGTATCATTCTTATGCCTTCACATCTTTATAGCTTAGCTCCCACTTATGATATATATATCACTATTTCTAAGCTTGTAGCTTAGCTCCCCCATATATATATATACATGAGATTATATATATATGTGTGTCTCATAATTTCTTTATCCACTCGTTGATTGATGGCCATTTGGGCTCGTTCCATATTTTTGCAATTGCAAATTGTGCTGCTATAAATATCTGTGTGCAAGTATCTGTTTTGAATAATGACTCCTTTTCCTCTGGGTAGGTACACAGTAGTGGGATTGCTGGATCAAATGGTAGTTCTACTTTTAGTTCTTTAAGGAATCTCTACACTGTTTTCCATAGTGGTTGTACTAGTTTACATTCCCATTAGCAGTGTAAAAGTGTTCTCTCTTCACTACAGCCCCACCAACATCTATTAGTTTCTGATTTTTGGATTATAGCCATTCTTGCAGGAGTAAGGTGGTATCGCATTGTGCTTTTCATTTGCAATTTCCCTGATCATTAGTGATGTTGAATATTTTTTCATATGTTTGTTGGTCATTTGTATATCTTCTTTTGAGAACTATCTTTTCATGTCCTTATCCCACTTTTTGATGGGATTGGTTTCTTCTTGCTAATTTGTTTGATTTCCTTGTAGATTCTGGATATTAGTCATTTGTGGGATGCATAGACGGTGAAGATTTTCTCCCACTCTGTGGATTGTCTTTTTACTCTGCTGATTGTTTCTTTTGCTGTGCAGAAGCTTTTTAGTTTAATTAAATCCCATCTATTTATCTTTGTTTTTGTTGCATTTGCTTTTTGGGTTCTTGGTCATAAAGCCTTTGCCTAAGCCAATGTCTAGAAGGCTTTTTTCCAAAGTTATCTTCTTGAATTTTTATGGTTTCAGGCCTTAGATTTAAGTCCTTGATCCATCTTGAGTGATTTTTGTATAAGGTGAGAGATGAGGATCTAGTTTCATTCTCTACATGTGGCTTGCCAATTATCCCAGCACTATTTGTTGAATAGGGTGTTCTTTCCCCACTTTATGTTTTTGTTTGCTTCGTTGAAGATAAGTAGGCTGTAAGTATCTGGCTTTATTTATGGGTTCCCTATTCTGTCCAGTTGGTCTATGTGTCTATTTTTATACCAGTACCGTGGTGTTTTGGTGACTATGGCTTTATAGTATAGTTTGAAGTCAGGTAGTGTGATGCCTCCAGATTTGTTCTTTTTTGCTTCATTTTGCTTTGGCTATGTGGGCTCTTTTTTGGTTCAATATGAATTTTAGGATTTTTTGTCTAGTTGTGTGAAGAATGATGGTACTATTTTGATGGGAATTGCATTGAATTTGTAGATTGCTCTTGGCAGTATGATCATTTTCACAATATTGTTTCCACCCATTCATGAGCATGAGATGTGTTTCAATTTGTGTCATCTATGATTTCTTTCAGCAGTGTTTTGTAGTTTTCCTTGTAGAAGTCTTTCACTTCCTTGGTTAGGTGTATTCCTAAGTATTTTATTTTACTTTTTGGCAGCCATTGTAAAAGGGGTTGAGCTCTTGATTTGATTCTTTGGTTGCTGTTGGTGTATAGCAGAGCTACTGACTTGTGTACATTAATTTTGTATTCTGAAACTTTGCTGAATTCATTTATCAGTCCTAGGAGCTTTTTTGGAGCAGTCTTCAGTGTTTTCTAGGTATACAATCATAACATCAGCAAACAGCGACAGTTTGACTTCCTCTTTACCAATTTGGAAGCTCTTTATTTCTTTCTGTTGTCTGACTGCTCTGGCTAGGAATTCTAGTACTATGCTGAATAGAAGTGGTGAGTGGGCATCCTTGTCTTATTCCAGTTCTCAGGGGGAAGGCTTTCAACGTTTCCACATTCAGTATTATGATGGCTGTGGGTTTGTCACAGATGGCTTTTATCACATTAAGCTATGTCCCTTCTATGCTGATTTTGCTGAAGGCTTTAATTATAAAGAGATTCTGGATTTTGTGAAATGCTTTTTCTGTGTCTATTGAGATGATCATGTGATTTTTGTTTTTAATTCTGTTTATGTGCTGTATCACATTTACTGACTTTTGTATGTTAAACCATCCATTCCTGCATCCCTGGTATGAAACTCACTTGATCATGGTGGATTATCTTTTTGATATGCTGTTGGATTTGGTTAGCTAGTATTTTGTTGAGGATTTTTGCATCTATGTTCATCAGAGATATTGATCTATAGTTTTCTTTTTTTTTTTGTCATGTCCTTTCCTGGTTTTGGTATTAGGGTGATACTGGCTTCATACGATGATTTAGGGAGGATTCCCTCTTTATCTTTGTGGATTAGTGTCAATAGGATTCGTACCAATTCTTCTTTGAATGTCTGATATAATTCAGCTGTGAATCCGTCTGGTCGCCCCTTTTTAAAATTTGTTTTGGTTGGCAATTTTTAAATTGCCATTTCAATCTCACTGCTTGTTATTGATCTGTTCAGAGTTTCTATATCTTCCTGGTTTAATCTAGGAGGGTTGTATATTTCCAGGGTTTTATCGATCTCCTCCAGGTTTTCTAGTTTATGCATGTAAAGGCATTCATAGTGGCCTTGTATGATCTTTTGTATTTCTGTGGTTTTGGTTGTAACATCTCTCATTTTGTTTCTAATTGAGGTTGTTTGGATCTTCTCTCTTCTTTTTTTGGTTAATCTCACTAATGGTCTATCAATTTTATTTATCTCTTCAAGGAACTAGCTTTTTGTTTCATTTATCTTTTGTATTTTTTTTTTGTTTCAATTTCATTTAGTTCTGCTCTGATCTTTGTTATTTCTCTTCTGCTGGGTTTGGGTTTGGCTTATTCTTATTTATATAGTTCCTTGAGGTGTGACCTTATATTGTCTATTCATGCTCTTTCAGACTTTTTGATGCATGCATTTAAGGCTATGAACTTTCCTCTTAGCACTGCCTTTGCTGTATCCCAGAGGGTTTGATAGGTTGCATCACTATTATCATTCAGTTCAAAGAAATTTAAATCTCCATCTTGATTTCATTGTTTACCCAATGATCATTCAGGAGTAGGTTACTTAATTTCCATGTATTTACATAAGTTCTGTAGGTTCCTTTTGATTTCCAATTTTATTCCACCATGGTCTGAGAGAGTACTTGATATAATTTCAATTTTCTTAAATTTATTGAGACTTGTTTTGTGGCCTTTTATGTTCTACGTTGGAGAACATTCCATGTGCTGATGAATAAAATGTATATTCTGCAGTTGTTGGGTAGAATGTTCTGTAAGTATCTGTTAAGTCTATTTGTTCTAGGGTATAGTTTAAATCCATTTTTTTGTTGACTTTCTGTCTTGATGACCTGTCTAATGCTATCAGTGGAGTATTGAATTCCCTACTATTATTGCATTGCTGTCTCTCATTTCTTAGGACTAGTAGTAATTGTTTTATAAATTTAGGAGCTCCAGTGTTAGGTGTATATATATTTAGGATTGTATCTTTTCCTGTTGGACAAGTCCTTTTATCATTATATAATGTTAATATATAATGTCTTTTTATATATAATGTTTTATATATAATGTTTGTCTTTTTAACTGCTGTGGCCTTAAAGTTTATTTTATCTGATATAAGAATACCTGCTCTGGCTCACTTTTGGTGTCCATTTGCATGGAATAATTTTTCCCACCCCCTTACCTTAAGTTTATGTGAATCCTTATGTGTTAAATGAGTCTCTTGAAGACAGCAGATACTCGGTTGGTGAATTCTTATCCATTCTGCCATTCTGTATCTTTTAAGTGGAGCGCTTTAACATTAGTATTGAGATGGTTGCTACACATTCTTGATAGTAAAGGTAACAGCACATGTGCTACTCTGGAAGGAATCTTATAAATTACAAGTAAACTAATTTTGCTGAATTTGACTAGGCAAAATAATGGTTCATATTTGTATTTCTGGATATTTTAATGTAATAATACATATCAGTTGAATCCTAAAGACAATTTTGTTTTTGGTAACTCAAAAATATGCATAGAATATATAAGACATATATATATATGTGTGTGTGTGTGTGTGAAAGAGTAAGATCTGAACATTCTTTTATAATGCTATGTACTCTTGTGCATAATTGAAAGTCAACTTATGACTCTGGAAATCTGTTCTTTATGTGTCAAGTTCATCCTTTGAGTAATAAATCTCAGTTGTTTCCATTGAAATTTGCAAGCTTATCTCTAATCTGTGATGTAGAATGCCATTTTGGTAAGAAATATGTAATAATCCTATTCTCACTTTACTGTAAGGTTCAAATTGCTCTCTGATGACTTTTAGAAACACTTCTCTTACCTGGTTATAATCTACCACTCAGTGAAGACAGTGAGTGTCAGCTGACTGACTTGGGGAACAAGAAAGCCACATTACTCTTGAATCTATCCTACTCACCAAATTAATGAGCTGTACTACCACCCGCCTCAGGGGAGAGTGTGTGATCAGCTCTCCTACTCCTGATGATGCTGTCATGGTGATGAATGGCTGAGAGATAGATTCTGGGGAAAGAAATCTAGTTTAGTCAAAAAAGAAGAGCATCGCCTGTTTTAATAAGAACAAAATTAGTATTGCCACCCTTAACCATTTTGACCAACTGTAATTCTTGAAAATATTAACAGGAAAATCTTAACAAGTTAACTCTTTCTACATGTTTATTGTCCTTGCTAATGACTGATTCAGAGAGACAGCCAGGTTTTAACCTGCCAGTCAAATATAGAATTTATATGAACAAAGAAGGTAGTTACTAAGCATAGTGGTCCTGTAGACTGTCCAGTGAGCTCTCAGCAGAAAAATATTAACATAAAATTATTGGGAATTATAATATTTGACCCAAGATTTTACTAAAGTTATATTAAGAACCAAAAATTTGGTTATGGAAATGAGAAAATGTTTATTTTCTTCATGTGGAATCCTTAATGCTTAATAATCACATTAATGCAACTATAAGATTTTTAACATTTACATTTTTTGCCAATTACAAAGCGCAAAGTTTAGGAATTATTTTTATTGAAATAGATGTAAGGACTCCATAGACAAAGATCTATAAAAATGTTTTCTTTTCTAAGCTTTTCATTTCCTGAGGAGAACACCAAGAAAACCAATCAGAATTAACATGAACTAACACAAGTTTTGCAAATATACATTGGTATAAGAGCACATTTTGCAATACTAGGTTCAAATTTCAACTTGTTAACAATGGTAAATTCTGCTTATTCCAACTCTCTTGTAGTTACACTTACACTCACACACACACACACACACACACTCTCTTCCTTATCCTCCTTTTCCTACTCTCCTCCTTCCTCTTCCTCCTCTCCTCCCTCCTGCTTTTGTCATTTTTGTCATTTTCTTGATAACTCAATAATTCAAAGTTCAGTTAGAGAATAATGGAGAAAAATAGGAGCAAATGTTTTAAAAAATAAGGCCTTTTTTCCGTTTTTTTTTTTTTTTTTTTTTTTTTTGGAGATGGAGTCTTGCTCTGTGGCCCAGGCTGGAGTGCAGTGGTGTGATCTTGGCTCACTGCAACCTCCGTCTCCTGGGTTCAAGCAATTCTCCAGTCTCAGCCTCCTGAGTAGCTGGGATTACAGGCATTCACCACCATGCCCTGCTAATTTTTTTGTATTTTTAATGGAGACATGGTTTCACCATGTTGGCCAGGCTGGTCTCAAACTCCTGACCTCAGTCTCCCAAAGTGCTGGGATTACAAACGTGAGCCACTGCGCCTGGCCTTTTTTTTTCAATGTTTTTCTTTAAGTCCAAATCTGTCTCACTGACAGAAATCACAATAAAATTTGGAATGGTACAAAACTTTCAGTTAGGAACTTTGACATATTTGTGGGCCTGAATTGTTTCAGTGCCCCCTTGGCATGTGTTCACAGTGGCACAGTATTTCTGGCTATTAGGTAAAGTATAAAATAATACTTTCTATAACCACTTAAAATTTTCTTATATCTTTATCAGTTTACTCAGGTATTTGGAGTCTCCCTGTTTAAAATACTATAAGTATTATTCAGTTTTTAAAAAAGAAAAAGGAAAAGAAAAAAACTAGTAGAACTTTCCTAAGACTTTATTATCCTGTGGGATAGATTGTTTCTGAAGTTAAATTCTCCTTCCTTGTTTCCCAACACCTCTAGTGGGATCTCTCTTAAAGGTGAGGTGACTAATCTTTTACCCTCGAAAAAAAATGATCATGTTAGTGAATGCTGACTCTGCCTTTCAGTTTCTTAGCCACAAATGTCATTTTGCTACGGTTTCTGAAGCCGTTGCTTTGACAGCTTCAAATTGTCTAGTACAGTGCACAGGAAGTTTTCTTGAATTATTGATAAATCTGCATAACTTGGGGAAGTAGAAAATGGCAACTCAGGAGAATTAACAGTTGTTCTAATTCTTTATTCAGGGATATGGCATTTTTACATGTGTTGCAGAGAAGGAAGATCTCATAACTAAGTAGCTCATTTTGTAGAAAGAGTACTTATTTATATATGGAGATACAAAGGACATTTGGATGGGAAATCTTATTCATCAATGTATGCCCTGGATACTCTGTACTTTACAGTGAGTGTTCAATAAATATTTATTGAACACTCACTATAAAGTACATTTGTTGAACAATATGGCTATCTCTCTCTATATATACATATATGCCTCTCTCTATATACAAATACTTATTGAACACTCACTATGAAGTACATTTGTTGAACAATATGGCTCTATCTATCCATATATATATATATATATATACATAGCTCTCTCTATATATAAATATATTGATAGAGAGCCATATTGCTTGTTTTCAATCTCAGCAGATCCCTAAAATTCAGTTTCAAGATATGATGTCAGCAAAAGGAATGTAGCTTGATCTAATGTTCAAGCTGTAAACTACCTCAACGTAGTAGTTAATAAGATGTCTGCAAAATATTGAGTATTACTGTAATTCTTTCAAATATTTAAAATATTCTTAAATATTCTTACATGAGGCTCTTTTGGCAATCTCATTCACAGTTTGAACAAATAATGTTACCAGCAATAATTAGAATACTGAAGTGTGTTAGTGTGTTTTCACACTGCTAGAAAGATACTACTTGAGACTGGGTAATTTATAAAGAGGTTTAATTGGCTCATAGTTCCACATGGCTGGGGAGGCCTCAGGAAACTTTCAATCATGGTGGAAGGTGAAGAGGAAGCAAGGACCTTCTTCACATGGAGGCAGGAAAGAGAAGAGTGAAAGTGCAGCAAAAACTGCCATTTATAAAATCATCATATCTCCTGAGAACTCCCTCACTATCGCAAGAACAGCATGGGGGGAGCCACCTCCATGATCCAATCGCCTCCCACCGAGTCCCTCCCTCCACATGTGAGAATTAAAATTCTAGATGAGATTTGGGTGGGGACACAGAGCCAAACCATATCATGAAGGTACCAACAATTTTCTTAATAGATGCATTCAGTTATATTTTAGAACAACATCAATCACTCATTGACTTTCTGATATGTGTTTTTGGAGCTGAAGGAAAAGCAATGGCTATAACAATTAAAGATATAGGAATTGAACATAACCAATGCTTATCTAATCTGTGCCCCAGCATCTGAAAATGACTATCATTCATATGTTTGGTAATTATGACTTAAGGCAATATTTTTATCACAGGCAAAATTTATATATGTGTACATTTCAATATCTGGATATACTATTACTCCCTTCCCCCATGTCACAAAGGTGAAGGTGGACATCATCCCCAGAAGGGAAAAAAAATCTGGTCAAGACGGTGATTTTGAACCTTTCTATGTATTACAACCACCTGGGAACTCATTAAAAATGTGGATTTCTGGAATCCTAGGACCAATCTCTGAAATTTTATAGTCTTGGAGTTTTGCAATGATAGTTTTAAAAAGCTTTTCAGATGAACTGATACAGACCATCTTTTGAGAAACATTGATACAAGGGACTACTTTTTTGCACAATGAAACAAGTAACAAGATAGATGAGTTTCTTTTATGTAGGTCTTATCAATGTGCTGTTTGGCATGTGTGTGTGCATACAGAAGGTTCACATGCATTCTTCCAATATCTAAAGATGATGTTATTAAGCCAATACCAGTTGTACAAGCACTTAGCATGATAGTGGTAGAATTTATGGTGGTTCAAAATCATATTATTGAATGTTTTGAATGTTCTTTATATATCTTATTTTTTGTTTTGTTTTTTTTTTTGAGATGGAGTCTCGCTCTGTTGCCCAGGCTGGAGTGCAGTGATGTGATCTCGGCTCACTGCAAGCTCCGCCTCCTGGGTTCATGCCATTCTCCTGCCTCAGCCTCCCAAGTAGCTGGGACTACAGGTGCCCACCACCACGCCTGGCTAATTTTTTGTATTTTTAGTAGAGACGGGGTTTCACCGTGTCAGCCAGGATGGTCTCGATCTCTGGACCTCGTGATCTGCCCACCTCAGCCTCCCAAAGTGTTGGAATTACAGGCGTGAACCACCGCACCCGGCCTATATATCTTATTCTTTATAACCCTCAGAGTACTTAGCTTTATGTCCCTTAACACTTTATATCACCTGGAGTACGTCATACAAAGTGTTAGCCATAAATAAGAACTCAATAAATATTAATTAGTAATGGTTCTTAACCTAGGTGGAACATCAAGATCGCCTGGAAAACATTGAAAAGCTATTAATGTCAAGGACACTCCCCAAACCAACAGAATCAGAATATCTGCAGATTGCGGTCTGGTACAGCCAGGGCTGAGAATCACTGAGCAATACCCTTTCCCTAGATCTCGAGTGTTACCAATTGCATACATTCCAAATCTATATGATTGGGTTTATGAGTGTATGTGTGTGTATGTGCACATGTGTTTGCGTGGGTTTTTTTTCCCCAAAATACACAATGACACATATATAAAACAGTATTTTTTTTCTTTTTCTTGGATGCATGAGGAAAGCTTTCTCCAATTTAGCCAAATATATATTTAAAGTAAAAATTTTGGTCCAGAAACCATGCCTTAGTTAACAGAATCTTAAAAGATCTTTCCTGAAATGCATACATTGTTTAAAATGAAATATACACCCTTCAATTTAGCATTTAAGAAATTAGAATTCATTTTCTTTTTCTTTTCTTTTTTTTTTTTTTTGAGATGGAGTCTTGCACTGTCACCCAGGCTGGAGTGCAGTGGCATGATCTCGGCTCACTGCAAGCTCCACCTCCCCGGTTCACGCCATTCTCCTGCCTCAGCCTCCCAAGTAGCTGGGACTACCAGCACCCGCCACCATGCCCGGCTAATTTTTTGTACTTTTAGTAGAGACGGGGTTTCATCGTGTTAGCCAGGATGGTCTCGACCTCCTGACCTCGTGATCCACCCGCCTCAGCCTCCCAAAGTCCTGGGATTACAGGGTGAGCCACCGGGCCCGGCCAGAATTCATTGTTCTAATAACTGACATAATAATTGAATGAGATGAGTTTACTGATGAAAATATGATGACGGATAAAAATAAATATTAAATTAAAAACACAATGAAATATCACTAGCAAAAATTCTGGGACTGGCATTCATTAAGCTAGCTTGAGTTACAATTGTTTGTTATTCCCATCTGTTCTGGGCACACCCACTAGAGTGGCCAAAAATAAAAAGACTGAAAATATCAACCATTGGTTTGGATGTGGAGCAACATTGCTGGTAAGAGACACAAAAGTGTACACATTGTAAAATCCAGAATACATAACACTAATTTATGGTGATAGAAACTACGTAGGATGAGGGAATTGGCTGGGAAGAAGCTTTCTAGGCTGATGAAATCTATATTTTGGTTAAACCAGTATACATGTTTGTCAAAAATAATCAGTTATAATCTGCACAAGTCTGTATAATATTTGTACCTTTTACTGTAAACAATCATATTTCAATATAGTACTCTTAGACATATTACATGAATCAAGTTCTAACTATTTTATAAAGTAAAAAAGTAATAATCTCCAAGATTTTAAGACTGGGGAAACCCCATACATCCATTTTCTCTTTTATAATCATATTGATTGGGCACTTTACATAATCTCATTTAATACTCTTAGAAATGATTTGTGTTAAATATCATTAAGCCTATTTTAGAGATGAGGAAACTAAGACTTGACAAATGTTCCAGGGGGCCATGAATTGGCTAGAAGGAGGAAGAAACGGAGCCCCTGATTTAACGGTCATGATATTTAGCAGCAGAGGTAGGCAGTAAATGTGATCCCTTGAGTACTCTCAGACAGGCTTAAAAACTTCAGGATATTTTTCTGCTTGGGTCTGCTGCCTAGGCCAGGTGTAAGATGTTGTAGGGCTGTAGGTTCCCTCTGAGGCTTTTGGATTTGGGGAGGGTTCAAGAAACCCTCATCTTGTTCTCACTAGGTCATATTATCAAAGGCTTAAGTCTTAGAACTGATTTTAAGTGTATGAAATTGCCTAAGTACTCCTGCAGAAGCAGCTTTTACATTTCGTCTGAATCTATCTGTTCCAATAGCACACTCACTCTGAAAGCAGAGACTTGCAAGAGGTGCTAAGTACACAGAAGGAACAAGTGGGACCGTCTACCATCTTATTTAAAATGACAAATTAAAATGGAAAACCAGTGTATTGACTTGTGTAACTGAGAAGTCTACTGGAGTCTGACTTCAGGCATGATAGAATCAAGGGTCAGGAATCTGTCTTCCTCCAACTTTCAGCTCTTCTTCCTGTGCATCATGTTGTTTTCAGGCAGGCTTCTCCAGTTCTATGGCCAAGAAGGCACTGAGGAGTTCTGGGGTTACAGTCTATTCTTTCTGGATGGTTCTAACAAAAGTCCTGAGGCCCACATTCATTGAGCTAGCTCAAATGACAATTATTTGTTATTCTCATCTATTTGGGGTATTTACTATTTTTCTCACTTCATCTTTTGGAAATGTGGAGGTACAGTTTGTCTCACTCCCCACTAGTTGCTATCACTTGGAAGACAGTCTGCTTGGCAATTATTATCATTTTGCTTTTTTCCCGTATACACTTTCTCATAATTAAGCTATGCAGCCACTTGGCAGTGAAAGGTGCTTTATTCATAATGACTAAATTACTAGATGTGCTTTATGAAGTGTTATTTTTTCATTAATGACTTTCCATTATTTCAGATTTTTAAAAATTTACTGAAACAATGAAATACAGCAAATATTGAGTTGTAAAGCATATAATTCTAAAGAGAACAGCTTGTACAAAAATAAGTAGATTCAATTTAGTGCCTTACTCACATAATCCTTATAGAAAATTTACTTACAATTTGCATTTGATACCCAGATTTTGATTAAAATGTTTGTTTCTCTTCAAGTGGATTCATTGTTATGTACCAGTGTATCATAGTTCATTGATTCTAGTTAATTGAACATAAAATGCTTTCTAACCTCACAGATGTGAAATGCTAAAAAAAGTTGCTTAGAAACGATGAAATGTTGTATTTGCAGATTCCACTGGATTTGTAATGCATGGGAATAACTCAATAAATATGTCTGGGGAAAGAAAGAAGGAAGGAGGAAGGGAAGGAGATTGTGGAGAGGGAGGAGTAGGAAGGGAGGAAAGTAAAAAAGAAGGCAGAAAAGAATAAACCATAGGCATAATTCTGAGGCTTTCTTGGTGGAAAATTTTTCCAACTTTTCTTTCCACGGATGGAAACTTTATTAGGTCAATAGCAATTTGGCTGCTCCCAAGTTAATGAAAATGAAGCCACTGAGTAGACATATGTGTATTTCCAGGCCTATGAACTCCTGCATGCTTTTCTTCCATGTGGATGGAAGGAAAAACAGATGTAGCTGCCTCTGGACTTCAGTGTAGGTGCTACACCATGCTGGTTCCTTTATACCCTTCAGATATTACTTTAAATGTCACTTCCTCAGAGAAGCATTCGTGGACTATCCTATCTACAGTATGTTCCTTCTTGTTATTTCCCCTTAGAGAAGCTTATCCTTTGTTCTCTTCAGACTGTCTACTTATCCCCATAGGGGGCTCATTAAGTAGGCTTAGAGTGTAACTCATTTCCAAAAGCATATATAATTTGACAGAGATATCAAAGATCAAAAAACATTTAAGAACCAAAGGAATTAAACCTATGTGCAAGTTTCAGATCGAAAAACAAACACATGCACTAACAGTTATTAACCTTAAAAATAGAAAACTCAAATTGTATCATTACTACATGATAGTAAATGAGAACAAAACTCTGTACCCAGGGCAACCAGTGAAGGAAACATGGAGGTCAACTTGACTTACCTACGTTTCCCTGGTGCTGTACTGCTACTAAGTTACATGTAAGATTATGTGATGCTAGCCCATCTTCTTACTTCTGGACAGGTTACTTTTAAACCAGGGCCAGAGAGATGAGCTGTATTCCTCTTAATATTTTATTAGAGAGGGTGAGAGCCTACCCTGCAAATTTAGGAACTCTTTATTAGACTAAATTCGAAGCCATATCTTTTGTAAATTTTTCATGTTTCACTTTAAGACACTTTATTAAACTGTCTTTACTGATGAAGGAGAGGGCTGAGTCTATTAGTACAAAAGTTTGTTCTCTTGCTATCACAGGACATTATATCTGGGAAAACACCCATGTAGTTTGTGATAGTGGGTACTTCTGTTCTCAACTTCAGTTCCACCATCTTTTCCTTTGCATCAGTTACAATCTGTCATCCTAGGTAAAACCTAGCTGGAAAACACTCCTGAAATTCTACCCCAAAGCTGCACTGCCTTTAGAACTAATTCATGAGGTATTGCCTTATCATAGTGTGAACATCTGTACATATAGCAACTGATTATCTCAATATGTGTTAAGAAACAAATGGGGTTATTGGCAGTTATTTTTGTATAGTTTATGTAAACATAATTTTAAAGAATCACGAACAAAAAAATACATAGACTAACCATAAAAGGAATTAAAATACTAGGTACTGAAAGTATAGAAGTAGATTCTAGCCCTCAGGGGCTAAACAATCAGCAGCAAAGATTCAGATGATATGATTATTCTGACTTAATATAATCTCTCTACATATTTATATTTCAAGACAGCATGATAACCTCCCTAATCATGTATTAATAATAAAGGTTTGGTTATGTAGCAACTATAGGCATGTATTTTTTTGAAAAAATTATACAGGAAATTAAAATTAACTGATATGACTTAGTTCATTTTCATGTTTTTTCCAGTCATCTCTATTTACATTATATTTTCAAACATCCTATTGTAAAATAGTGAAACATACCTGACTATAATCTTAGATAGGAGTCATAGGATGTAGACCTGATAAAATATTAATTTCATTTAATTTAGAACATAAAGAAGTAATATTTTTGTTATTTACTTGTCTTCAGAAAAAAGTTATTTTTTACCTCTCAATTTGAACAAGGAGAGGACAAATAAAAACGGAGGCTTAAACAGTTGCATATTTTGGTTGCTCAAATGGTACGTTATATTTATATATATATATACACATATATATAAAGTATTTTAGAAACATATATAAACACCTTTACAATAATTTAAAGGTTCTACAGATTAAACATATTTTACATAATAGGTAATAATTATGTAGTAATAAATAATACTGATTGGCAAACATAACAATATTGTCCAATTAGGATTGTTTGCAGTTTCCATGAAGTGGCATTCTACTGTTTGCCTTCTACCCCTTGAAAGAACAGATTATCCCATAAGCCTATAGATAAATATTGCCTGGCCTTCTCCAGAGCTTGAAGGCCTTATGAATTTAAAGGTTCTTGCCCTTACTTTTAAGGAAGAGGTAGCACTTCATGAAGTTTGTAATCGTATCTCTTACTTTCCCCCACAGGTTATCAAGCTTTGGAAATGACACTGTGTTAATTCTGGAAAATGTTGTTCCAGGTGCTCCTTCCTTTACACAATGCTAACATTTGCATGGAAAAGCTGGATGAGTGATTAAATAATTAAAATATCTCTATAATTTGAATCTTATCTAATGGTGAATTCCATGGCAGAATTATGGAGAATGTCTAGGCTGTTTATGATTAACGAGATTTGTTGTTATAGTGTAGAGCCTGCTTTCAGTATGTGTTTGGATTCGAAGTGGCATGATTCCAAATCTGGTTTTACTCACATCCTTCCTGCATTTTCAAATAGACTGAACATTAACACTGCAAGTGAATTGCTGAAGAAATAATTACTGAGGTATTTTAAAGCACACTTCTGCCATTAAGTGGAACTGAAAAAAAAAATGGAAGAGATATATGTTTTAAGCAATACAGGCTTAAGTATGAACAAAGAGGGTTCAAAAGATGAAAGCAGTACTAATGCAACTTTTCACTTTTTGTATTTTTTGGGATATACTTTTGGCTCTGTAGCCAAAGGATAGCCTCTCGATTTAACTATTAGGAAATACTAAAAGTAAACAGAAATACTTATAATCTTCCATTTTCTTTCCTATTAAGAAATAGACAATTGTTTCTAATGCTCAGACCTGAGTGGATCTGCTGCAACCCAAGACTGAACTGAGGAGCACAAAAGAGGGTATGTCAGAAGAGAGAGACAGAGAGAGAGAGAGACAGAGAGATGATACAGGACTCTGAAATCTTTACATTTAGCTTTGTGAAATCACAAGATTTTTGTAACATCTCTTCCAGGTAGACACATGCACACATACCAAATATTCCAAAGAAACCTATAATTTAAAAAATTATCTTTGGGATTTGATTATTGTATCACCACAGCTCTCTGTTAGCATAGATAATTGAGGGGTGCTTGTGAACACTCGTGACTGAAAATGCCACCATTGTTGAGGAAATTAGGTTCTGCGAAATGGCTTCATGGTTTGGCTCCACATTAAGGATGAGGTGTACAAGAATGAAAAGGGAAATAATTTCTGAATATATTTTCTTCATTGCTGTGACTTATTACTTACTGCATATTGGCCCTTTGGCTTTTATACTATAAAAAAACATAAGTTCGGTTATATTCTGCTGACCAAAGGAAATCATGACATAAACTGCTAGTTGTACTGTTTCTTTCCTGTTTTGCAACCAATATAAAATACTACATTTCTCTACATTAAAAATATACATAGTGAATTTAAATGCTTCCTCAGTTTAATAACCACTATAAAAATAGCCAGGAAAAGCCACTGGTGGTAATGCCACTATTTTTAACCATGAACTGTATTCTCAAAATACCATAACTAGATAATTGGGACATAGGAGAGTTGTCTTTCTGTGATTTTGAATTCTAGGGGTTTGATGTGAGAATGAAATTTAGGCCGATTTTATTGTTTTAATGGGAAGTTCATCTGCATGATCTATTAACAATGAAATGCAAGAGGCCATTAAAGGTGAAAAAGTAACTTCCTACTATTTTTCATGGGTGTTTTCAAAGTAAGATAAAGATTTATTTTCTGACTTTGTATAGTGACCACAGCCAGGGCCAGAGAAAAGTGATCTCCCTTGAGTTGCTTGCAGTCTGCACTCTGACTTCCTCCTCTTGGCCCAGTTGAGTCCAGACATTTCAACAGCTTGACTAAGCCTCATCACCAGTTAGCTGCCAAATTCAGTGGCTGCCAATACCACTAGTAGCTTTTTAAATACACCTGTTGCCAGCACTATGTTTGAGTCAAGAAGGCTAGACCTTTCTGGTCTACCCCAGTGGCTAAGCTCTCTTTCAAAGGAGAATTATTTTTAGTATTACTTCATCATTTTTCCTTAAGAAAATGTTTTTCTAGCAAGCTTCTCTCCTTACAGAGAAATTGCATTTACACTGATCCCAGTACATAACATCTCGTCTGGGTTAGCCTAGGGAGAAAGAGTAGTTTCAATAATTGATATTACCTGTGGGGCCAGCAAGATATATGAATAACAAAACATAAAAACTTGGTGTAACTGAGAGGTTTCAAGTGTAATAATCAAAAACCACTTACAGCAAAGTTAATCTGATAGTTAATGGTATGTATTGCGTGGTAATTAGGTATAAACACTAAGTACTTCATATAAAGGACTATAATTAATGTGTTTCATGAAGCCAAACAAGCATTTTTGGAGCAAGCTTGGTGGGGAGATGAATAGAAAAGCAGTTAAAGCTAGATTCTGTTCTAAAGATCCTGGACCACAGATCCTCTTTGGCCAGGTTTTTCTGCGTTTCCATTAGCATTTGCTCACAGCCAGGAGGCCAGTGGCCAGGAACAACTTTCCCTATCCACCACAAAGCTGATAAAAAGCTAAAGAGAAAAAGTGTGGTGGATTCAGTTCTGACAACCTTCCAATCTTTGAAACACTGTATGACTATTTAGCTGTAGCTTAGCAGTACTTTAAGGTGAAGAAATAGGACATATCAGAGTATTTCAATACTTTGGGCACTATATAGCCACTGATAAGGATTCTTCCTCAACAGTCTTTTCAGCTAGTAGGACTTCATGAGCTCATTTTGATCCATTTGACTATGAGTCAGTGTTCTCAAGGTGTATGTGTTTTGCTTTTACCAATGGAATATTTGGTCATAGATAAATCTGTAGTTTATTAAAAAACAAAAAACACCAAACTGGCTGGGCACAGTGGCTCACACCACTTTGGGAGGCTGAGGTGGGCAGACCATTCGAGTTCATGAGTTCGAGGCCAGCCTGGCCAACATGGTGAAACCCTGTCTGCACTAAAAATACAAACATTAGCCAGGTGTGGCGGCACATGCCTGTAATCCCAGCTACTCAAGAGGTTGAGGCAGGAGAATCACTTGAACCTGGGAGGTGGAAGTTGCAGTGAGCTGAGATCACGCCACTGCACTCCAGCCTGGGTGACAGAGCGAGAGGCTGTCTCCAAAAAAACAAAAAACAAAAAACAAAAAAAAAACCCAAAACAAACAGAAAAAAACCTTACACATACGTCTGGTCTGAGGTTGACATGTCTTTACCCTAAGGATATCTGGTTATTTTTTTCCTGCAATGTGTGCCTGTGTATGACGCCAGTGACACTGTTTCTATTGACTGACAGATTTGATTTGGTGTGACCTGATAAAATGATCTGGTTCAAATGCCAATTTCATTGGCTTTGTTCTTGCCTCCTTTCTTACCTGACATTCAATACATCAGCAAATCTTGTTTGCTCTTAGAAATGGAATCTCACCATTTTTACCACCTGCACTCTGGTCTGTCATCAATGTATTTTACCTGGATCATTACAATAGTCTTCTAACATCTAGTTGCTCTTAGGCTCAATCTGTTCTCCACAGTGCAGCTCTTCTCTCCCAACCCAAATCAGATTTGGTCACTCCTCCAATGGCTCTCCTTTTCATTCAGAATAAATTTTAAAGGTTACAAGATTCTACAACTATACCCTTCTTGTACCCTACTCCCTCTTCTGATTTAGTCAGCTGCTTTCCCACCGCTCACTGAATTCTAGCCTACACTGACCTCCTGCCTATTTCTCAAACATGCCAAGCCCACTTCCACTTAGGGTCTTTGCATTTGCTGATCCTTCTGTGTAAAATATTCTAACCCTGGGTAGCCAAATGGCTAATTTCTCACTTCCTTAGTTCTCTGCTCAAATGTCAGAGAGGCATTCCCAGACAAACATATTTAAAATAGCATCCTCCCTCCCCATGTCTCCCTACCCTGCTTTATTTTTCTATGACTCACCATCTGGCATAGTAGGTATTTATTGGCTTTTTTTTTTTTTTGGCCTTTCCGACTACAATATAAGCTCTATGACAGCAGGCACTGTATATCTCGGTGAGCTGTTGTATCCTCATTCCTTAGAACATTGCCTAGCCCATTTATGAATATTTGTTGAGCCACATGAATCAAGGCCTCCTTTTGAGATCGTGAACGTTTTCATTTATTTATTTATTTTTTTGAGACGGATTTTCGCTCTTTCACCCACGCTGGAGTGAAGTAACGCGATCTCTGCTCACTGCAACCTCCTCCCCGCCTCGGGTTCAAGCGATTCTTTTGCCTCAGCCTCCCCAGTAGCTGGGATTATAGACTCCTGCCACCACGCTCGGCTAGTTTTTGTATTTTTAGTAGAGACAGGGTTTCGCCATGTTGGCCAGGCTGGTCTCGAACTCCTGACCTCAGGTGATCACCCCCCCCCCCACTTGGCCTCCCAAAATGCTAGGCTTACAGCCATGAGCCACTGCGCCCGGCCATTTTTCTTTTTAAAAATAAACTTTCCAGATCTTAATTTCATGGCTTTAACATTTTAAATGTTTGAGGTATAATCTACTCATTCTTGGCTCTAATCTTTTTGTCAGGGAAGTTAAACTAGTGAGAGACCTATGAACAACAGCAACAATTTAATGAGCACGTCTTATATGCCAAGCTTTGTGGTTAAGCACTTTGCTTTATCTCACTTAATTCTAACTATGGTCCTAGAGGTTGGTATTACAACTAATCTCCTTTTACAGAGAGTTACTGAGACTTGGAGAGGTTAAATAACTTGCAGCCAGGTCACAAAATTAATCACTGAGTTGAGACGACAATTAAGGTATGGCCGACTCCATACTGCCTCCTAGCCGTCTCCTCGAGTAGTTCATGCCCTGTTAACTTAAGTCGTGAAGCTGCTGGTGTCAAAGCATTCCTTTTGCAGTTTCGTGTACTAGGGTTCTGGGTGATTTTGCACATATTTATTTCAAAGATCCTCCGTACCACACCAGGGAGTTTACCTTCTGGAATGTTGTTGAAGCCCCTGTCCTCTATGCTGGGACACTTTCATGCAACGTTTGCTTAGCCAGACTCAGGAAAACGCCTTTTTTTTTTTTTCTCATTTCCCTGCACTCCACATTAAACACAGAGGTAGTTTAAATCACCTGGTAAAAGAAGATGGGATCACAAACGCTGTGGTCCAGAAGGGAACATCAGTAAGTCGGTTCACCGCTTGCAAGTGGGGGCACTTACATATAAATGAAGAAAAAACAAGTTCTTAAAAAGCAGCCGACCCTGGGTTCTTAAAAAGCAGCCGGGGAAGAGGGCTCAGGGGACCGGACGCGGTGCCCCGCACCACGCTAGGCCTGACAACCGGAAGAGAGGGGCCAGGAGGGGCTCCTCCAGAGCGACTTCGGCTCCAGTAGGGAAACCGCCGAGGCTCCCCCAGCTCCAGGGAGCGCCGGGGACGCAGGCGGGAAGCCTCCATCGGGCAGCCGGCCTGGACTCACGACGCGGGGTGGGGCCGGCGCCCGCCCCGCCCCTCTCCTCGGGGATGCCGGGATGTTTACACTCCTGACAGCGGCGGCAGCAGGAGGAGGATCGGGAGTCGCGGGAGGATGGGCCGCCGCTAGGCTCGCACTCCGGACGCGCCTCGCAGTGCGCAGGGTGGGTGCCCCGCGCCTGCAGCGTCCGCCGGGGCGGCGCGGCGGGAGGTGGCCGACAGGCTCCGGGCCTCGCAGCCTCAGCCCCCGGCCCAGCGCGCTTTCCGACGGCGGCGCCGCGCCGAGCCACCCGCCCGCCCAAGGTCTCTCGCGGGCGGGAGAACGGAAAACTCCCAACTTCCTGGTGAGTCGCTGCCCAGGGTTCAGGCGCCCGGACCGGGCAGCTCCTGCCGGGAGGGGCCGCCTGCGGGAGTCGGGCCGGGAGAGGGAGGTCGGGACCGCGCGGGGCGGCCTCCGGGATACCCTCGCTCGGGGTAGGTGGGGCGGGGCGCGCTGCGCTCGAGGCGGATGGGGGTTTCGGTCTTGTTCGTTGGCAGCGGTGGGAGGGGGCGGCAGGAAACTTCATACCTGGCCCCGGCTCTAGAGGCCCGAGGCCGCCAAGGGCGCCGCGGTAACTAAGAAACTCCGTGGCCACGGCGGCGGCGGCAACAGGTCTTTGGTTTCGGGACCCGAGGAACTTAAGCGAAGTCCCGCCTTCCGGCGGATGCTCATTGGCGACGTCGGTTATTTATCTCTCGCGGATTGGTGAAGTCCGTCTGTCAGGATTCGGCAGCAGCCCGACTTAGGAAAGTGAAGTGCGCTGGGAGAGAGTGGGTGGTGGGAGCCGGCAGATAGGGGAGAATCCGAAGTGGCTTCAGAAGTACAGGGAGCGTGAGAGGTCTGTCGGAGAATGAACTTGGGAGAGACTCGGGATTACAAAATGTCGGAGAGAGGGATTGCGAGGCAATAGCGAACATTGCTGGTGATGGTGGCAATGGAAAAGAAATTGAAAACTGAGGCCAAAGTCAGAGAAGGGTAGCCAAAGGAAAACAGAGAAAAGTGACAAGACCGTATGACCGCAGAACAGTGTAAGGAAGCGAGCACAACCTAGAGGATGCTGCCTTGAGAGCTAAAGAACTTCTGTTGCCTCTGTTACACTGTAGGCCTTCACTCCTAAAACCGCAGCATCCTCTATTTAGTCTTGCACTGGGAGCGTACTGGGGTCGCGGAGAGATGATGTATCGTGTTCTCACCTTGCTGTAGTCCTCACTGGGGAGAAATGCTAAAAAATATACTTAGTTTACAGTAAGATACATGTTACTGTCCTTGCGCAATTCTGGTGACTGAACTGAAAATCAGAAATACACAGAAATAAAATGATTATTCTCCTTTGAGGTTACTGAGCTCAAGGATGCAATTGAAAACACCACATTTCCATAGTTTGTAGAGCCTAATGTACCCATCATAATGGGAACCACTGTTTCTAGTTCCTCCTCCAAGGAATTTACAGTTTCAAGGCTATGCACACTCCCTCCAGGCGACAGCAGTATGTCTTGTCAGGTTGCATTAGAGAATTAAAGTACAGAGTATGTGTATTATAAATATGTTCTGTTCAGGACCTTGAGCTGCTGGTGGTGTGGTCGAAGAATGGCATAGTCCTTGCACTCAAAAGCTACAGTATGTTTGGGACAACCGGTCAAACCCTGAAAACGGTGAACAGTAAAACAGGAGATACAGTTAACCCTCTAATGCTTTGTGGCAACTCTTGTTGAATGGCCGCTGAGTATTCTTGGTTTGTAACACTTGGTGATGGCCAAGTGCTCTTGAAACAGCTAACTTAAAATCTCAGCAGTTATTTTATTTCCAGAGGAAGGAATTCTCTCTCCCTCGGCGAGATCCAGTCCACAGCTTGCTTCACTCTTAGAACAGCGGCATCCTCTATTTGGTCTCGCACGGGGAACTTGCTGGGGTAGGGGAGAGGTGTTAGAGCTTTGAAAAAGCTTTGCCTCTCGGAGGAGTCAAAGGGGCAGTAACTGTATGGGGTGAGAGGAAGGCCTGCGAAATAAAAAGGCAAAGGAACCGTTTGAGGAGGCTAGTTGCCTTCTCGGGGCCGGTGTGTGTGCGGGGGTAGTGTTAAGGGGGAGGAAGGAGCCCGGGAGCCCGGAGGACCCTCCCGGAGGTGCGGGCCTGAAATTCCGCTGGGTGCCGGGAGGCTCCGCCCTCCGGAGTACTGACGGCCTTCGCAGCCAATGCGCAGCCAGGACCTCGCGTTCGGGAGGGCGGGTACTTCCTACTCCAGCCCTGGGCTCGGAGAAGGCCGCGTTAGTTCTTTTTCTAGGGATGTCTGCGGAAGGGGCGCCAGGCTGAGGGCCAGCCTGGAGAAAGAAAGAAAGGAAGGAAGGAAGGAAGGAGGAGGGGGGCTTCAGTTTTCCCTGAGCCATCCTAGGTGTCCCGTTTCGTGATTCAGCTGCACCTAGAACTTAACTACTACTGAAAGTTTATAGTAGATTAGAAGCGAAGTTGGTCAGCAGACTAAATATAGTCCATGTGACTGAGGCGGGTTTTACTCTGAAATTACCTGAAAATGAAAACCACTAAATGTCAGAATCTAAATCGTTAGGCGTTTTCACAACTTCTTGGGAATCTTTCCATGGTTAAAAATCTTACCAATTTAACAAGACTAACTTTATTTCTAAGCGTACAGACTCATTTTATAGTCTGAACTAGTATTTAGGTTTATTTATTTAGATAATACATGTAGCACCCACCATTGCTTTCCCCCTTTCATATTTTCCTGTCTGGACAATTTCGAGTTCATTTCCATCCCAGTAAAACAGCACTTACCCAAAGAATGAGGAAAGCACATATGGTATGATGGCAGTGTACTAGTAGAGGAGGGGAGATTTGATGCCTCTATAGCTAACATACCTGATTAATAAATTTAAAAAAAAATTGCATCGTAATGACCAGAAGTCCAGTGCAGTTACAGTTTGTGTAAATAAGTACTTAATCTCATAAGGACCTCATGCCCCAAATCTTTCCTGGTGCTTGCAGTTGATAGTTTTGGGCTCTGACTTACTGTAAACATTTAAGTATTCTTTTTTTTTCCCCTCAATTATTGCGCATTTACTGAAATATAGACTTCTTTTTTTCACTTAAATATGTGGTCTGAGATATCATTAGAGACTTTTACAGTGTTTCCAGAACTAAACACTATTTTCCTAGGAACTATCTGATGTTTTAAGAATGTACCTCTGTAGTATTACAAATGTCGCCACCATTCAGGGTACCTGAGAACTGGGCCTGAGAGCAGGGCCCAGTTAAGTGTTAGTGATTACGCACTTTTGGGGAAAAAAAAAGTAGGTAATTCCAAAATTTCTTTCAGGTTTTGTTTCCCTTGATTTTTTTTTTTTTTTAAATAGGCTTTGGTATTTTAAAAATGCACAGTGTAGTATTTAAAAAATACACAGTGTAGCTGCAGCTGCAGCTGCACAAAACAGCACTCTGTCCTCATTCCCGGTTTCATTCACATTTAAGTGTTTACCCCTTCGAATTTTTGTTGGAAAACTACGAGGGTAGGTATTTCAGTGCATCGTCTATAAAACATATTAAACTTAATGTACGACTTAAGGGTGTCTTGGAAATGCCATGTATGATTACTGTTTGCTCCGAATTGTTTTATCAGCACTTCATCAGGATTTATGTAAATATATAGCAAGATGTTTTAAGACGCATTTCTTTACCCTTTTGAGACTTTTTCAATTTAATTCTCCCCCCTCCACCCATTTTTGTAGGGAATATGGATGAATAACATTTGGTTACATAATTGTAATCAAATATATGCATTTGTATAATATAATGGCAGTTCAGAATTTTTAAATTGATACAATTCAATCTCAGAGTTATAAAACTTCTAAACTGCTGAATTCTCCTTTGGTAATTAATAGTTTGATTATTCCTAGGTGTTGTGTATTTTCACAAAATTTTTTTTATTCTGAAGAAAACACTTACAGAGTATATTTCATGCTTTTCAGTGGGCAGTGGGAATGAGAAGGACAGATGATCATGAAGCATTCCTTAATATTTTTGAGCAGGATAACTTCTTTTTTAACCTTTGTCAAAATAACTGCCCTGCCATACTATTTAGGTAATGAGGTTATACAATGAGTGGTTTTGTTGTAATAGCTATCAAAGTGTTAAGCGGAACAATATATAAATGAATAAAACTGATTTTAGTGGTCTATAAAAATTGAGAAATACGTGTTTTCTGTTACATAATGGAAATAGGCCTTTTTGTAAATCTTATTAGTAGTCTTCTGTTGGTAGTGGGTAAGGGCTACTTTTTCAATCCAGTCTGCTTTTTTATAGAATAGTGATTCACAATTTTTTTCTCTGAAGGATCACATGGTAAATATTTCTGGCTTTGTGAGCCCTGTGATTGCATCTGCTGCCATTGTAGCCAAATACAGTATCTGACCAAGTGGGCATAGGTGTGTTCAAATAAAGCTTTATTTATACAAATAGGTTGGTAGCTTTCCCCCACTCTAGAAAATAATACCAGAGGTCTAAATGTGGTGCTATGCCATTGATGTTTGGGTTGATTCGGAATTTTCCACAACAGCGTTTTATAATTATTTTTGTGCTTAGACTCTTGTGACAATTTGTTGATCTTCCACAGTTCCCTCAGAATAATACCCAGCTGTCCATTCCCAAATTTTGTGTTTCATTTCAGAGTTTGTCAGCATAAGAACCTCTTTTAGGTTTATCCATGTTTTCAGGTTTCTTCACCATTCTTTGCTTCTGGAGGATCCCACTCCTATCCTGTGACATTGAATGAATGCCTGTCTGTGGCTCCCTGCTTCTGACTAAAGCGACATAGAATCTAATGTCAGTCATTTGTCTTTACTAAATGAAAACTACTAGACAAAGAAACATACCAAAACTTACTCATATGTTTCTTTGTCTAGTAGTTTTTATTTTAAGCCTACTGGTATGACTACCTTTGTCTACTTTAGAGGGAATTTTTGACATAAGCAAGGGGTTGGGCAAATTTTTTTCTTTTTAGGAAACATTAACTTAGTCTTTCAAAAAAGACTCTCCCCCGCCCCAGTAAAAAATATTGGAAAGAGCCTGTGCTTTAGCAGAGGGCCTACAGTCAAGGTATGTTTGGCCTGGGGTAGAGGTACTTCTGACCTTTGCTCTGAAAAGAATTAGCTGTAGACTTACCTGGGTGTAGCTACTGAGTAGCATAGAGCAGAATGGAAAATGCAACAGCTTTGTGAAAAAATTACACAGTACACTTTCTCAGCTCTAGTCAGGAGTGGGTTTTGTGTGTGCTGGACTTTTGACCCCTTAGCCCTCGGGGAAGCCCAGGTAGGACCTGGGACAATCAGAATTCCTGGCTAGTTGCCACCAGCTACAAGCAGTCTCTTCTCTTTATCTGACCCTGCTGCACATATATTATCATTATCTGTGTTTACCATGATGTGGAAAAGACTAGGCAGAAAACTCCAGGGTTGTCATTGCCTACTTTATGACCTTGGTTGAGTTGCTCATTTTATTCAGACTGTAGTTGTCGCAACTCATAAAGTTGCCTTGAGGAGTAAATGAAAATACCTTTGTAAATGTATGGTAGCAGGCCCAGTGTTAGTTTCATTTCACTTACTTCTCTATTCTTAGGACCTTCAGGGGTGGGAAACACATCTCCTGTTGTCAGTTTGTTCTGATGACAGGCCCTGTCACCCACTCTGCCTTGGCCCAGTTTTGTCTTAATGGGCTGCTTCCCACTTCTGCCATTTCCACTTCCTCTGCTTGAATTCTCCTTTTCCTTTGCCCTGTGATTTCCATATTCAAAATTTAATGGTTCCTACATTTGAGTTAGTTTTTATGACTTTCTTTGGAGTGTGGGGAGAGCCAGCAAGCCATAGTTTCTCAGGCAGAAAAAGGCACAAGAGGCTTGGGGGGTTATATTATGGACTACAAATAATGTGAGTTGCAAAAAGATCTTTAAATACAGATTCAAAAAATTGGCAAAATTAAAAATGTTCTTCCTAGCATGCTTAAAATTGTTTTTTTAAATTGTTGAAATATTTCCCCTATATCCTTATATTTACCTAGGTGAATTACTATACATTTTATTATGGTTATAATCATAACAAAGACATATGTCCTTATATTATGGTTGGAAAAGTTGAATAGATGTGTTTATGAAAAATTGTTATACTTCTAAAATGTAATGAATTCCTAATCTTGTATTGCCTTTATATCTAACTGCTGGACCATATAGTAAAGTGATATGATACCGGCACAGTGGCTCATACTTGTAGTCTCAGCACTTTGGGAGGCCAAGGTGGGAAGATTGCTTGAGACCTGGAGTTCAAGACCAGCCTGATCAATATAGTGAGACCCTGTCACTACAAAAAATTTAAAAAAAATTAGTTGGGCTTGGTGGCACGCACCTGTAATCCCAGCTACTTGGGAGGCTAAGGCAGGAGGATTGCTTGGGCCTGGAGGATGGCTTGAGTCTAGGATTTCGAGGCTGCAGTGAGCTGTGATGATGCCACCGCACTCCCACCTGGTGACAGAGTGAGACCCTGTCTCTAAAAAAAATAAAAAAAAAATTAAAAAAAGAGACACCTAGAATAGGTCATTTGTTTTATGCAAATAGTATATCTTTATTCCAAACAGTTTATTTCTAGGTGTGGTTTGTTAGTCAATAAATACATGTAAATTGAAAGGTCTTATATAAGAAGATTTTTCTGGGGGGAGGATTGGTTTATGGAACGAATTATTTCTTATTTTTCATGGCAACCTACAAATTGACTTCCTTTGTTCTCATCACCGTCTTTGTTGTTAGAATATGTTTAGAGTAGTCTGGTGGTAGGTGTGGTATTCAGTGAAAACTGACATTTTTTTCCATTTTCAAAATGCATTTAAAATAAAGTTTTAATAATGTATTTACTGTTAAGAAATATTTTTTATTGTTGAATGACATATTGTTTTCACCTTCACTTTTATGGCTTTGAGTATTTACAATATCAGCTGTTGGCTGGGCACTGTGGCTCACACCTGTAATCCCAGCGCTTTGGAGGCCGAGGCTGAGCAGACTGCTTGAGCCCAGGAGTTTGAGACCAGCCTTGGAAACATGACAAAACCCCATCTTTACTAAAAATGCAACAACAACAACAACAACAAAAAATCAGCTGTCAGTAAAGATTGTCTTTAGTTACATAGTTCTCCCGTTTACTCCTCTAATCACTTTTTTTAAGTGGAAAGGAATTTGTTACTGAACATTTAATAGTATTTAATGGTTGTGAGGGAGTTTGAGCTTCCAGCAGAATGTCCCAGTACCAGGCCCCCAAGGGAGTTTCTGCCTCTTCTGTGATCAGAAGTCCACCGGTCTAGGGCCATACAGCCACTGCTCTGGTCAAGACACAGTTACAGTAAGAAAAATCCTGCTATTTGGGGGACCCTAGAACCATACCCTGCCTATTGTGGTCCAGGAAACAATGCTGTGGGCCCTAGCTCTATACAGGCATTATTCAGAGATATTGCAGGTTCTAGTCTAGACCACTGCAATAAAGTGAATCTTGCAATAAAGCGAGTCAGATGAATCTTTTGGTTTCCAAGTGCATATGGGAGTTAGAGTTACACTATACTGTAGTCTATACAGTGTGCAATAGCATTATGTCTAAAAAATATACATAATTAAAAAATATTTTATTGCCAAAAAATGCTAACGATCATCTGAACCTTCAGCAGTTCATAATATTTTTGCTGGTGGAGGGTCTTACCTCAATGTTGATGGCTGCTAAATGATTACGGTGACGGTCACTGAAGGCTGGTGGCTGTGTCGTTTTCTTAAAAGTAGACAACCATAAAGCTTGCCACATCAATTGACTCTTTCTTTCATGAAAAATTTCTCTGTAGCATATGATGCTGTTTGATAGCATTTTACCCAAAGTAGAAAATCTTGTACAATTGGAGTCAATCCTCTCAAACCCTGCTGCTGCTTAAAAGTTTATGGAATATTCTAAATCCTATGTTGTCATTTTAGCCATGTTCACAGCATTTTCATCAGGAGTAGATTCCGTCTTAAGACGCATTTTCTTTGCTCATTTATAAAAAGCGACTCCTCATCCATTGAAGTTTTATCATGGGATTGTAGCAATTCAGTTACATCTTCAGGCTTACTTTTAATTCTAGTTCTCTTGCTGTTTCCACCACATTTGTAGTGACTTCCTTCACTGAAATCTTGACTCCCTCAAAGTCGTCCATGAGGGTTGGAATCAACTTCTTCCAAACTCCTATTGACATTGATATTTTGACTTCCTCCCATGAATGACAATCGTTTTTAATGGCATCTAGAATGGTGAATCCTTTTCAGAAGGTTTTCAGTTTACTTTACCCAGATCTATCAGAGTGATCACTGTTTATGACAGCTATAGATTTAAGAAATGTATTTCGTATTCTTAGATAAGAAGACTTGAAAGTGGATTATTCCTTGATCCGTGGGCTGTAGAATGGATGTTGTGTCAGTAGGCATGAAAACAACATTAATCATCTTGTATATTTCCATCAGAGCTGTTGGTGACTAGGTACATTGTCAATTAGTAGTCATATTTTGAAAGAAATCTTTTTCTGAGCAGTCGGTCTCAACAGTGGGCTTAAAATACTCAAAAAACCATGCTGTAAACTGATGTGCTGTTGCCCAGGTTTTGTTTTTCCACTTATAGCACACAGGCAGAGTAGATTTAGCATAATTCTTAAGGGCCCTAGGATTTTCAGGGGATGCTAAATGAGCATTGGGTTCACCAGCTGCGTCAGCCCTTAACCAGAGCCTGTTCTTGAAGCTTTGAAGCCAGGCATTGACCTCTCTCTAGCTATAAAAGTCCTAGATGGCATCTTTTTCAAATAGAAGGCTGTTTTATCCATATTGGAAATCTGTTGTTTAGTGTAGCCACCTTTATCAATGATCTTAGCTAGATCTTCTGGATAACTTGCTGTAGCTTCTACTTCAGCAATTGCTGCTTCAACTTGCATTTTTATATGATAGAGATGACATATTTCCTTGGACTTCATGGACCAACCTCTGTTAACTCCATTTTTTCTTCTGCAGCTTCCTCACCACTCTCAGCCTTCACAGAGCTGAAGGGAGTTAGTGCCTTGCCCTGGATTAGACTTTGATTTAAGGAAATGTGACTGGTTTGATCTTCTATCCAGACCGCTAAAACTTTCTCTGTCTCAGCCGTAAGGCTGTTTCACTTTCTTATCATTGGTGTGTTCACTGAGTATCACTTTTTTCTTTTGTCTTTTTATACAGATGTTTTACTCAATTATAGAAAATTTTAAACACATTCAAAATAAACAAAATAGTGTAATAGACCAGCTCCGAGCTTCAGCAACCACTGATAATGTACCATTTTGGACTAGCACTTTTAATTTCCTTCAAGAACTTCTCTTTTGCATTCACAACTTGGCTGTTTGGCTCCAGAGGCCTAGCTTCTGAGCTACTAGCTTCTGACCTGTCTTGACCTTTGACATGCCTTTCTCACTAAGCTTAATCATTTCCAGCTTTTGATTTAAAGTGAGAGATGGGTGACTCTTTCTTTCACTCGAACACTTGAAGGCCATTGTAGGGTTATTAATTGGCTTAATTTTCATTATTGTTGTGTCTCAGGGAATAGTGAGGCCCAAGGAGAGGGAGAGAGATGGGAACGGCTGGTGCAGTGAAGCAGTCAGAACATTCACACACCATGTATCGTTAAGTTTACCGTTTTATTTGGACATGATTCATGGTGCCCCAAAACAAATACAGTAACATCAAAGATTGCTGATCACAGACCACCATAAAAGATATAATAATAGTGACATAGTTTGAATTATTGCAAGAATATCCAATATGTGACACAGAGATATGGAGTGAGCACATGCTATTGGAAAAATGACACTAACAGACTAACTTCACATAGGGTTGCCACAAACCTTCAGTTTATAAAAAACACAATGTGTGAAGCACAATAAAATGAGATATGCCTTCATTAGTTTTCTGTAACTGCTGTATCAAATTATTACAAACTAGATGGTATAAAACAACAAATTTATTCTGTCACCATTCTGCAGGCCAGAAGTCAGAAGTCAGGGTGTTGACAGTGCCGTGTTCTCTCTGAAGGCTTAAGGGAGAATGTGGCTCATGCCTTTCTCTTAGCTTCTGGTATTGGCAGCAATCCTTGTCTTTCCTTGGCTTGTGGATATATCACTCCATTCTCTGCCTCTGACATGCAGGTTCTTCCTATGTGTTTTCGCTTGTGTCTCTTCTCATAAGGACATCCTCATGACCTCACCTTTGCTGCCTATCACTCTTACACTTAAAATTCAACAAGCAAAATCTATGCTTTTCTATTCAGATTCTTTACTTAGAAAAGATTTTCAAATTTCTGATGTTTTTGGTCTTAACAGCAGATTTTAAGATTGTGCGGAGGTTGTGTCTGAGAGATAAAGGCACCCAAGGCATCTTATATGATATGCACTCATTAACATGATGATGATAATAACAGGAGAGAAAATGCCACTTCAAGCAAGGTGAAAGAAAATAGTACATCTAAGTGTTAGTTTTAGTTCCTTCTCAACCAAACGGTCCCTTGTTACTGGACTGCTTAGGCTGTGTACTGTTCTCACCATTTTTGGCATTTTTACAAAATTTCTCTCAACTGGGTGTGAAAGCTTACCACTTCCCTTGCTCCTGAGGTGTTTTTTTGCACAGGGGCAAAAGCTCTTTGCCTTGCCACTTAGAGATTTTGCCTCTAGTTACCATTACCTACCTGTAGTTCTCTATCTTGTTTCACAGCTCGACTGCACCAGACTTTTCTGTCTTGCATGTCTGGCCACGCTGGAAAGTGTTCAAGAACATTATGATGAGTAACCTGTTCCTTTTTCCATGACTGTCTTATTTCCATCTGGGACTTTGATAACAAGTGACAGGCACTTGAGTCCCATCTAACTTCCCTCCTTGTCAGTAGATACAAGCCTTTGCATTCAAGTGTTGCTCTTTATTCAAAAGCCTGTTTGGCAATTTTAAAACTGTTTTCTATCAGCGATTTGTTTTCACCTTTTAAAAAAATTTGGAGTTTATAAACAGCACAAGCCCTTGTTGTTTATGACCATTTCCCCTTCTCTTTATTTATTATAAGAAGATGCAGCTTGACATAGAAAGTTTTCAAATCGTGGGTCAAGTCCAGGTGTATTTTTTTATTTTTCAAATGCCAAACATAGGTTCTGACACTTAGTGTGAGCTAAATGTAATATATATGGAACTCAGTTTAAGAGTTGAGTGCCTGGCCTAGGGGAGAGTGATTTTGTGGTTAATGATTCAGATAATATAAGAAGCATGGGCTGTAATGATGTACCAACGGTATCTGGTTAGAAAATGTTGAGACTTTTGTCTCTTAGTGTGTGGTCCCTGGCAGGGCAGTACTACCATTCCTAGGCCTTTTTTGTTTGTGTTGTGGGTTGTCATCCCCAGAACGTCAGCATTTCCACATTTTCCAACTTGTGAACTTTGTGGGGTATTTGCATATGCATTTTGAGAATGTTTGAAAGATGATCCTGTTGACTGCACAGACTTGGTGTAAAGTCAGTTTCAAATTGAGGTGAGCCTTCTCTGAACTTGGGAGGCATACTTGCCTGAAATTTGAGGATAGACCGTGTGATCTTTGGAGCCTTCTGGCAGCTGTAAAATGAGTGACTCTGTGATTACATTCCCTTTATAGTTCATCTTTTTGTTTCTTTTTTTTCTTTCCATTTTCCAACTTGGTCTTATCAATCCACAGACCAAAGAAAGATAAATTTGGGAGTTGTTGGTAGGTAGCTGAAAGTGAATGAAATGATTACAATTAAAAAAGGGACCATAGCAGGAGTGAGAGAGAAAAACCTAGATGGCAGTGGCAATTTTAAGAGAGATGTAATGGCTGGAATAAAGTAGGAGGAAGAAAAGAAACCTTTAAAAACAAAGGAGAGGAGTATGCAGAACATATGGGAAAGGAATATGGGGAAGCAGCTTTCTGTAATGTTTACTCATTTGAAAAGATTATTCTGAGATTTCTCTGTATTATAAAATTAGTATATAGGTTGCATAGTTGATTCATGTGCATAATTTATAGTTTAAAAGTAAAGTGGTCAGTACATATGGCTTAGCTCTATGTGTTAGTTTTTAAAAAAATCTACATTGTTTTGAGTGTTTGGTTATTAATAGTTTATGGATATAACTGCTGCACAGTAGTAACTCCTTCATCTACTGGAAGGAAGGTCAATTTTTCAGTCATTAGAAATAGGTAGCTAAATGAGATGCTTCTTATTTTTGCTTGGAGGTGCCAGGTTTATTTGCCAACTTTCCACAGTTAGAAAGCACTTTGGATCACCACTGTCAGATATTTAGATTTCTTTTTGAGTCTGGAGGATTGTATTTCTTATCAAAACAAATATCCAAGTTTATGCTTTAAAAATATTTAAGTTTTTATTAATTGCAGAATATGAGAATAAAGGAACGACCAAATGCTGTACCATATTGCCTGACTCACTCTGCCACTAAATGGAGCCCCACTTGATCCTCACCTGGCTTTCTAGATTATTTATTTCCTGTATATTCCCCTACATTTTAGTCATATCTAACAACTTACTGGGTTTTTTTTTTTTTTTGGAAAATTTTGTACCCTTTCTGGCTTCTCCACTCTATGCTTTTCTCACCACTTTAAATGTCCATTTTCCATATGTCACTGTTCAATCTCAGTGCATTAAAATAATCTTTATCCTTTAAGGCCCTGCTCAAGTACTATACAAAAAAATACAAATAAACCTCTTTCTTCTGCTTCTTTAAGCCGTTAGTACTTATTGAGTCTTGTTGTAGTTATCTTAGCTTCCTCTCTGGAGCATAAGCTTCTGGAAGGTGTGAATCATGTCCTGTACAGATCTGTGTTTTCTGTAGGGCCTAGGACCATTCTTGTCAGAACTTGCCATTTAAAGAATGGCAGATGACTGCTTCCCAGAGACTACACTTGACAGGAGGTCTAGGCAGGTCCTAGCAGTAAGGGAATGCCCAGAACAATTGAGCTGTTGGTTTCAGGAAAGGTCTAGGATGAATGCCAGGCACACGTCTCTGCAAGGCCCACAGAACATGGTATGAAGGAGGTCTTATTGTTTGAAATAGGTAAAGGTCTAATCTGTGAATGGTCACTGTCAGGATATTCAGGGATCTAGTCTGAGATGCTTGGTTTTGTATCTGAATTCTGAATTCCAAGGTCTGAAAGATCTCAGAGTGGGGTGAGATAGGAATCAGGACTAGGAAAAACGAGTGTGTCAGACATGAACTTGGTGTGAGTGGGGAGGAGTGTGTGGAGACCAGACAGAGACTAGTTTGGCAATTAAGTCTAAGTTAGAGGCTCGAGCAACAGGGAATAAAGTGAGAGATAAGTCCTGGAGTTAAGATATGATATTAAAACATGACAGGCAGTTAGATTAAATTGACTTGAAGCTGATTTGCTAAGCTGTTGACTGAGTATACTTAAATTTCCTTTCCTTAGAGCCCAGTTCATTCCTAGTTCTAGGTAAGTCGTTTGGCTTTCTGTAAAGGGGTAGGAACCTTTTTATTCCTTAAAGGTATGACTATCTATTTGCCAATTAATTCCATGTTCCAAGGATCCCCTCATGGAGAAAATGTTGCACTGAGTTAAATAAGGAAATAACTGGACGAATACTTGAGATTATTCCCTTCATAAGAATAATTACTAATTGTGAATTGATGGTTTGAATACCATGCTAAAATGATTGAACCTCTTTTCTCTTGTGAAGTGATTGTGAAGTTACTTGTACCTTTATGTTTTTAAAATTTGATGATAATAGCAATAAAAGCTTTAGTGCTTTTATGATCTCTTTATTTGGTTTGTAGTTATGGCACATCAGAAACTCGCATCAAAATAGAATCAAGATTATTGTAAAAGGGACCTCAAACGTAGATTTCTTAAAAAAAAATGTTTTTTATTTTCAAGATGGAATCTTGCTGTGTTGCTCAGGCTGGTCTCAAACTCTTGGCCTCAAGCTGTCCTCCTCACCTTAGCCTCCTGAAGTGTTGAGATTACAGGCATGAGCCACTGCACCTGGCCAAAACATGTATTAAGAAAAGTTTGGTTTATGAGATATATGAAGGAATTAAGTTCAGACTTGAAAATTCATACTTCAGTGAGACTACAGTGTACTTAAAAATTACCAAGAAAAGGGCTTATGTCTTTTTTTAAATAAATAGAACCCTCTGTAATGTCTTCTTTCTTTTTTTCCCTTCAGATTTAAAATTGAGTTGAATTTATTTATGCTTTTTAATTTTTTTAAAGAAATGCTTCTCTAGCCAGTTCTAACTAGGTTTTTTCCTTGCTTAAAGTCCTTCAGTTACTGCCTTCAGAATAATTTCTAACCACTTAGTCTCTTAAAAATACTTTATGGGCCGGGTGCAGTGGCTCATGCCTGTAATCCCAGCACTTTGGGAGGCTGAGGTGGGTGGATCACGAGGTCAGGAGTTCGAGACCAGCCTGACCAACATGGTGAAACCCCATCTCTACTAAAAATACAAAAATTAGCTGGGCATGGTGGCGCACTCCTGTAATCCCAGCTACTCCAGAGGCTGAGGCAGGAGAATCGCTGGAACCCAGGAAGTGGAGGTTACAGTGAGCTGAGATTGTGCAACTGCACTCCAGCCTGGGCGACAGAGCAAGACTCCGTCTGAAAAAAAAAAAAAATCAAAAACCTTTATGATTTTGGCCTTGGCATTTTCCTCTGCTGCATCCCATGTTCCTGTCTTAGGGCACTGGTTGTAGTTCCCTAGTTATCCCATGATTGAGTCTGGAATGTCCCACCTCTTCTCCTTTGCCTGGTTAACTCCCACATGCCGTAAGACTCACCTTGAGTGTCTTCTCTACAAGGCCTGCCTGACCCTGACAGCTTGCTTGGATAATCCTGACATCCTTCCTGTGAACTCATGTAGTAGCAGTACCCAGTGATGGTGTCTGTCATCATACTTGCTTCCTTATATTGTAAAAGTCTGTTTCTGTATGTCTCCTCTGGGAATAACTTAAGCTATCGGAATTGCCTTAGTTCTTTTTGTATTCCCAGCAGCTCTGTGGTAGACATATCAGTAATGCTGAAAAACAAAACAAAACAAACAAAAACGAGTTAATGAATGAGCTGGAGAAGATAAAGAGACAGGAGTCTAGGTTAGCCCACAGTGTTTTGGCTGGGGTGTGGATTGGTGCTCTGAATAGACCATACCAGCACTCTTTTCTCCCTCCCCTTCTCTCTGAACTTTGAGTAGCTGTGACTTTTTATTAAAATGAAATGAAATAAAGAAACTAGAAACTTAACTTTCTTGCAGACTCTTTGGACACTTAATTTATGTCTAGGTGTTTCCTGCCTTGTTGAGGACAAGGATGTCTTTTCACCAAAGATAAAGAGCTCTGCTCTCTTCTTCCGTTGGAATATTTTCTAATTCTTTTTCAGTTTTGACTCTGTAGTTTTTCATAAGCAGTAGGAGCATGATCATGAGACTTAGGAGGAGCAAACTTTGTCCCAGTATAGTTTAAGAAATCTCATATCTTTATACAAAATATGTTTGCAGCTGAACTTTACATACCATCTTGGTGCTGAGACAGTCAGATAGGTCCTCCTGTGTGTATAGTGCCTACAAATCCCAGGAATATGAAAATTGTATAGATTCCTAGTTGCTGGCTAGAGAAGTGAGAGTTGAAATGTTCTAAGATATAAGGAAATGCAGGTTTTGCCTTAGTTATATATAAAGTTGTCATCATAGAGCCTAGTGCTGAAGAGCAAAGGAGAAGAAATATTAACCACATCAGCTTAGAATTTAGAGTCCTATTTAAGCAAAGAGTTTAGAATAACTCCCTCAATTCTTGATTAAATCTATATTGATCATAACTAAGTTAATAATAAGTAACAGTTTCTTTGTGTGGTGGTGAGAAGATGCATCTGTGATGCTGAATTTGGAATATCATGGGATATGTAGCTAACACTGTCTAATAGGCAATTGGTTATATATCTCATGCTCAGCAGAGAGGTCTGGCCTGGAGTAGAGCTCTGGTGTCATCAGTAGAGAGACTGATATATAGCAGCAGAGGAGTCTGTCTAAAGAAGGTGTGTTGGGGGCCTTGTCCATTCTTTCCCACTTAAAAGTGCAGTTTTTCGGATGTGGTGGCTCATGTCTATAATTCTACCACTTTGGGAGGCCGAAGTGGGAGGATTGCTTGAGACTGGGAGTTCAAGACCAGCATGAGCAACATAGGGAGACCCTGTCTCTACAAAAAATTAAAAAATTAGCTAGGTGTCATGGTATGTGCCTGTAGTCCCAGCTTCTTGGGAGGCTGAGCTGGGAGGATTGCTTGAGCAAAGGAGTTTGAGGTTATAGTGAGCTATGATTGTGCCACTATACTCTGGCCTGGGAGTCAAAGTGAGACTCTGTCTTTTAAAAAAAAAAAAAAAAAGGACAGCTTTTTTGAAAGGTAAATAAATGCCCAATGAATACTGGAGGAAAGTAAAATTTAACTTGTTATTTGCTGCCTGACTTAAGTATAATATGTGAGGTATTTTTCTTGTCAACATAAAATAATATCATTTCCATTCTTAATAAATCTGTTTTTAAAGCCTCTTAGTATAGACCATCTTTATGACACTTTAGCATTCTTTAGTTGGAATATGGATTTTCACAGATTCAGGTTTCTGAAAACAAAATTTAACTGCTGTCAATTATATAATTTCATTTTGAAAGCCTATAGTCAGTATTAATTAGATTTTCATTTATTTGGTCATATTTTTATATAAAAAACTTTATAATTAAAGTTTTTTTTATAGAACATCGTAGATAGCTTTATCAGCATAACATTATGTTATTCCTGCTTTTAATTTTTCTTATTCTTTGGATAGTATTTCCATAAAGTCATAGTTTTACATGTAAGTGTGCCAGAGAAAGTACATTTGTTTCTAGTATATGTTTATGTTTGTTAAAAGACATTCACACAGAGTTTGGCATGATTTTATAGTCTGTGCTCAAAAGAGCAAGAGAGAAATTGCAAGATAGTGCAGGTCAGAATTGAAATAATTTGGCAGAGTTTGGTGAGAAAGCTTGCTTAGCAGCTGCCTAGGTTAACTTTGCACCATCCATTCAAAGCATAGTTCAGTTCTGAGATATAAAAATATATAACCAATTAAATTTAGTTTCCCAGAGGTAAATTTTAAAATGTAAAATATAACTTTGATTTACCTTGTAAGTACATTGAAACATCTTGTTATTAAGTACAAGGATAGTTTTATATTTATGAGGCAGTGGCTTTTATATACTTCCTTTTTTCCTTCCTTTCTTAATTTTACGTTTTTGAAATCTTAATTTGCATTGACGTTTATGCTTGGTAAAAAAAAAAATCTCAAAGGTACAAGTATTATGCTTCGTTTCTTGTGTACGTGGGGAGGTGGGTAGGAGGGGGAGGAAGGCAGTGAGTTTTCCAAGAAGTAAAGTAACAGACTAAATTTCTGTTGCTAAACATCGATTGTGTCCTACTAACCTAATTATACATTAAATAGACTCTTGTTATGACTAACTCAGGTCCTAAGAATGCAGTCAGGGCCTAAGTGGGGCTTAGTGAAAAAGTTCATTGCAGAGGACATCAGAAGACCTGAGCTAGAGTCAGTCATTGCTTTACCACTGAGATCAGGGCCTCAGTTTCCTTGTCCAGTTTTCAGCAGCATCAAGAGGAATAATGGATAGGAAAGCATTGTGTTTTTTTTTGTTTTTGTTTTTTGTTGTTTTTTTTGGGGGGGGACAGGGTCTTGCTCTGTCACCCAGGCTGGAGCATTGTGGCAGGATCATGGCTCACTGCAGCCTCAACCTCCTGGGCTCAAGTGATCCTCCCACCTTACTGACCAAGTAGCTAGGACCACAGGTGTGAACCACCTTACTGGGCTAATATTTTAATTTTTTGTACAGATGGGGGTCTCATTGTGTTGTTTAGGCTGGTCTCAAACTCTGAGACTCAAGTGAGCCTCCCACCGTGGCTTCCCAAAGTTCTAGGATTACAGGCATGAGGCACTGTACCGTGCCTGTTAGGAAAGCTTTTAAAACTACTTTATGGTTTATTGTAAACTGTAGTATGTAAATAAGAGAGGATTTTGAAAGTTCAGGAATAATCAATGCATAGAACAGTGTCTGTAATAGAGTAGGTATGCAAAAAATATTTGTTAAATGAATAAATATGAGCAGTTGATAAGTCTTTCTATAAGGATTAAATGTAAAACCATGTGTTAATTTTGAAAATTCCATTAAATTTTTCTTTTATTTAAATGTGTTTTTCATTTTTTGTGTGTGATTTTTCTGTTATTGAGTACTTGTTACAGACCAAAGGCTTTTAAAAACAAATGACCTTACCATAAATAATTCATACTAATGAAAGTATTTCCAAGTACTAGCCTGTATTCCATAAGGCCTTATCAACTTCGTTATGATAAAATTCATACTATGAATTATTTAGTACAAGGAATTCAGTAGAATGTTTTTTAAATCTGGTTTTGAAGATGGGGCCAAGCTATTTATCTTAGCTCTTTAAATCAGTTTGGTTGTCATGATTTTTCTAGTATTACAGCTGAATGATTAGCTTAGTGAGCATGTGCTTTTGCCAGACTTTAGTTGTTGCTATGTGACTAACTGAATGACATATAAAAACATGAGGGGAATTTGTAATAGCATTCTGTGTCCACAGTTAACCTAAACAAATACAAAGTCTATCAAAAGCTTTTTGGACATACTTTAAAAGGGCCGAATAAGTATCATTTGTCTTTCACATGCTTGTAGGGAAACTCTTCGGTAAAGATAAGCAGAAGAAATAATACTATCTTGCATTTGTGTGCTGCTTAAAACTCTTGAGAACTGTTCTTCCAGCCATTCTTTTACAGTAGAAAGTGCCCTGATTTGATTTGTTGTTTCAGAGATAATGATGTGAGACCTTGCTCTGTCTTCTCATGCTATGTACTCATTATGAACCTTCCTTTAGAGGGGAGGGAACTGAGACACAGGGCGGATATGTTGTCTTTAATCGAAAGCAGGTGCTCATGTGAATTTAAACTAAGGTTTCCTGATGGTTAGACCTGTAGTCTTTTAATCTCTTGTTTTGTTTTCTAACTGTGTTTAGTTATTCAACAAATATTTATTGGATCTTCATGTGTGCCGAAGGTATAAAAATGAAGAGCAAATAGATTCAGCCCTTGAGTAGTAGTTGCTAATACATAGGTAATGGGTAGGGCCTAAGGTGGACAGACAACTGATTCATTTAAATACATGAGACAAATGCTTAAAATACGTATTTTAAAAAAGGCTACCTGAGTACCAAGCAAGGTTGACCAGGCTGACTAGCTGGGTTGAGTATTTCAGTATGATGCCATTGTCTGTGTCAGAGGCACATAGGTATTAAATAACTTGGCATTTGGAGGAAGTATAAGTGGTTCACATTAAGGCCAGAGTATGGTACTTATGTGGGGGAAAGTAGCTGGCAAGTAAGGAGTGAGGTTGAGGAGATTATGTTTTATTCATTAAAGAGTTTTAAGCAGGCTTATGACATAGATTTTCATCTTAGATTTATCATATATATATATATATAATGGGTATGTAGAATAAGAATTTCATTACTAACATCAGGAAGAGCAGTTAGTAGATTTTAATAGTAGCAAGGATCATGAGGGTCTGGGATAAACAGAGTGATGATGTTTGTGAGGCAGAATTAGTAGGAGTTGAGGACTTACGTAGAGGTAAGGGAGTAAAAGTTTCTGGTATGACCTAGGGACCGTAGGGGATGACGGATAACAATGTAGGGGGTGACTGGATGAAAATGCCATTCACTAAGAAAGGAAATACAGAGTAGAAACAGTTTAGAGTGTTCAAGATTTTAGACATGTTAGGTTTAGGATATTAGGCAGAAAGATGCAATATAATTGGAAATGAGATTCTGGAGCTACAGGTTTATAAATCGTCAGTATGTAGGAGGCAGGTTATGTCCAGCTGAAAATGTGTGATTATTGATTTAAATAACCAAGGGACTTACCATTAAAGGAAACTTAAACAAGAGAATCAGCAGACTTGTTTATTGATCACAGAGCAAAAGACTCATTTTGTGTAGAAACGATAAAAGTAGATAAAATAATTTCCTTATTATGCTCTTTATGTAGTGATTCACATTGCTAGCTTGATTTACTTCAAGCAAGTACTATATTAAGTAGTAGTAGGTAAACACACAGTTCTGAACCAATAATTGATGAAAGTAAATTACTGTTCTTCAGCCAAGAATTGGAAGGGATCAAAGTGTTCTCTTCAGTATCACAAAATGCCAGAAGTAATGGAACAATTACTTCAGAGACCTAACAAAATCAAAGCAGAGGATTGTGGCTAAAAAAGGGCATACACAGCCAAATTATTGTTCATGTATGATGGCAATAGAATTACTTTTTTTATTTTCAACGTTCAGAGACAATGTATCACATATGAGCTCTTCAAAAATTATTTGAAAATGTACTATTAAGAGTTTGGGAAAGGGACATGTTTGTACAAAATCATTGAGAAAAAGCATTGAAATGCTTTTTTTAAATGTAGAAGCAAGACTAAATACTTGTTTTGCAAGATGGGAAATAGTACAAAATGTCAGAATAACTTAAAAAGGGTATGGTTATAAAACTTATAATCTGAGAACTGGGAATGAAGTGTTGGGGGAAAGGGAAGAGTGATGGCATGATCAGTTCCTCAGCTAACCTCGGGTTGTGTGCCAGAAGAAGGATTTCAGTTTTACTTTGATAATGAACAAAAAGTCTGGTTAAAGGAGGCCTTTAAATAACTTGGAATCACCATTAGTGGAATTAAGATAAGAAAAGATATGTTTGTTTTCTAAATGGCTAGACAAAATCAAGCAAGCAAACATCGTCCATGTGGCAAGAGATGAAAAAAAATAGCACAGAAACATAAGAATTAAGAATATAAAAGACAAGTGTCAACAAAACAATTTGTATACAGTATATTAAATTTCCCTTTAAAAGGACTCAGATTAAAGAGAGATCCTCAACTATGTGCTGCTTTCAAAAGATATTCTTAGAACGAATCAACCTAGAAAGGTTAAAAATAAAAAGGTAGCCAAGATTTATAAGGAAAATACATCAGAAAACACAGAGGAGTAGCAATATAAATTTTAAAGTAGAGTTTAATGAAGAAAATCACTAAATAAGAGAAAGAACAACTTTATAAATCGACTCAAGCCCTAATAACTAATAGACTAATGACTATGGAAGAATTAAAGTAATATGAGCTGCCTTCCCACTTAGACTTATAGTCCTGTTTTTAACGTTTTTTACTTTTAAATCGAAATGAATAGGAATCTTTCAGTTCATGCTCTTGAGTTACTATATTAATATCAAAGCCTGCAAAAATTTGGCCCAAAGGATGATATGTTGGTCGAATATTGACCAGACTGTGTTCAACAGATTACCAGACTTTTCCAAGATAATAGAAATTCTGTAGGAGAATTTTGTGGCTAGACAAGTTTGGAAAAATCTGCATCGGGTACTCTTTTGGGGTTTACAGTGCACTTTAGTGTAATTGGATCCCTGAGAAGTCTTATAGCTAAGAAACCAACTTGACTTTATTTTGCCCAGTATTTTGCAGATTCATTTGTTCATGGACCCTCTCCCTGCCATTTTTTGTTGTTGTTGTTGTTGTTGTTGTTGTCATGGAATACAGATTAACAACTCCTGGAATTCTAGTGTTTTAAAGAGCAGAGTTTGAAGAGCACTTATGGTTGTAGATACACAAAGCTTCAATAAAATTAAAACTAATGGTACAGTTAAAGAGTCATCAGTCATGACCGATAAAGGTTTATCTGAGCATATAAAGATAATATAATGGAAGAGATCTAGCTATTTGATTCATTATCTCATTTGGTTCAGTAAGAAAATTTGTGAGATAAGCTTAGTAGAATAGAAAAGCATTTGATACCATTTGATACCCCCCCCCTTTTTTTTTTAAGGAAAAGCCTCTTAGAAAATTGAGACTGTCATTTGATATGGGATATGGTCAATATAAAAACATACTGTAATTTCATATGTTTGTCCTTATTTCTTCTCAACTGCTATAATTTAAACTCATTGAGTATAGGAAATATATTAATCTTTACATTTTCTGTTGCCAATTCTAATATAAGGCCTTGCATTTTTAGGCATTCTATATACTATAGTGATTTCTTAAATGAAAACATTATTTGGAAACCTATCCTCATGTAGTTTTCAAGTTACAGTGGATTTTAGGAAATTTGTGTGTTGTGTGTGTAAAACATTTTTTAAAAATGTAGAACATGCATGGCTTTTCAAAACTTAAATAGACATTCTTCATTATGGGCCTTTATGTTTGCTTTATTTTTTTATCCAGTAAGCCCTGAATTCTTAAGATGAATTTAAATTTGGTCTAACAGTTAAGTGACAGAGAATTCATACAGATTCTTGAACAGTAAGGTGGTATAATACTCTAAAAAAAGGATTATTTTTGGTGTACAGCAAGATGCATGAGGATGGCTCCAACAGAATAGAAGTGTTCATGTAGGAAAATCAAGGGACTTTAGGACCTGAGGCTGGGACAGACTCTCCAGGATGTGGTTGGATTTTGGGCTAAACAGTCTTTCTGTGGTCTTGAGGACTGCCTTTATAGTCTGTGAAACCCTATCCTTCAATTGTGGCTTTACAGAGTTTAAGAAAATTTTGTTCGTATGCAGATTTCTGCAGTCTTCCTGTTGCCAGGAAGAACCTACAGTTACACAGGAGTGTGTGTGTGTGTGTATGTATGTGTGTGTGTGTGTATGTGTGCAGACACGTGTGTGTAAACACACAAAGTAGACTGAACTTAAACCTGATTTATAGGAGTCAGGAAACCTGAGTTTCTTTGCTTTCTCCTTGTGTAATTTTGGTTAAGTTGTGTAACTTCTTTCTTTGGAGTTTCTTGTCTGTAATCTGGAAATTATTTCCCACTCACTCCACTGTGATGTTTTGAGAAGATATCTGTGGAAACTTTTTGAAAAGTACAAAATGATAAGTGTAAAATGTCAATAAAGCATATTGATGCTTATTTTGCTAGAAGAGTACATATAAACATAAAATTTAGAAACCTTAAAAATCACGGCCAGAGAGAATCATGATTTCTACACCTCCCTTTTTTTTTTTGGTGGGGGGGTGCTTCCAGTTAAAAGTAAGCATTCAGTTTGTACTAATATTTAAAAGCCTTTGCATCATAGAGAAAATTAATCAATAACGAAGTATCATAATTTAGAATCATTATTGTTACTAACATTTTATTCCTTATTCTAAAGTAATTTATTCAGGATGTGTGCTGAGACCTGTTGTTTTAACTGTATAGCTAGATGAAAATATGAGAGAAGAGGTTTGGATGAGGTTTCTTTCCTTTGTAACAGTTTGCTTGAGGAATGGGCAGGCTTTTCCTCACTTGACAGATGGTATAGGAAGGGCATTGAGAAGCTTGCATTTGCTTGGTGGTGATAGAGACAGGGCTAGAATTCATAATTTTTGTTGTTGTTATTTAACACATTTTCCCCCTTTGGGTACAACATTTTCTTGCTGATAATTTTGACCTTGTACTAATTTTTGATAATTATCATAATCTTTTAGGGAGGTAGTCCAATGATGTGTTGCTTTTGCTTGTGGAAGAATTGCAATGAGAACACACATGGAGTATTTTCAGTAAGAGGACATTTAATTTTTACTTTGAGAAAACAAATTCACAGCCTTATTAAATAAATTATGTTCATATAGTCATTTACTAAAAATAAAAGTGTGAATAAGTAATGGGCTTATAGCTCACACATTTTTTAATGTTGATTTCTAATAGGAAAAACTGTCTATAAAATGCTTTATAAAATGATGCCTTAAATATACATTCATAATATGATTGACTTATTTTCTAGTGTAAGAGAGATATCTATGTGGAAAAGGTCAAAATAGGACAAGTTATCAAACCAAGAAGGTCACCCATTTTCTATAGTTTTCCTATTAACTTTAAACACATGATAATCACCATGCTACTTTGATGAGATAACTAATTATAAATTGGACTCTTAGACCATAGTATCATCTTTAAATAGTTCAGAAAAACAGCAACAACAAATCCAGCAAACTAAGCATTATCTTAGTTTTTTTTGTTAGGTCAACCATATACTTGACATGTAACTCTAAGCAGATAAAAACTTCTTGGTGTTTTTGATTTCAAATTAATTGATCATTGACTTCTTTTCAATAGTGCCCTCTTCCATGAAGATTCTTCAGTAAGGGTGTCTTAGGAGTTAATCATGCATTACTAGTGAGGCTCTGCTCTGGGAGGTAACTAATGCATAGCATCCCAAAGTTCCTGTCAGTAAACTCTCAATGTATACAGCATGACTTGATTATTTATTTCACAAGACGTTAGAATTGAGTGAACTTTTGAGACTGGGTATCTATCATGGAATCTAACACCTTCACTTAGTATTTGAAGTAACTAAGACTCAGAGATTGATTACACATTACACAGAAAGTTATTGGTAAAGTGGGTTAAGACTTTTATCCTCTGTATCATATTCCAGTGCTTTTCCCCCCATGTTATTTATGTTTGTGAGAATCTCCTCAATAACAATGATAAGATTACTGAAATAAATAAACAACAACAAAAATACAAACTTCTAAACTTGTAATGTTGTATGACTTTTAGATTTCATGTAGTGCCATTACTGAAGAAATGATTATTTGAAAAATTTCACTGGATGATGGACTAATCTATGAACCCAATTTAAAATGTGTTTTGTTAACATTTGACAGAGTAAAGCAAATCATTTCTTTAAAAATGACATGTGAGGGTAAGTGGTTGAATTGAAGGAGAAACTTCATTAAACTTTGTCAGTTAATGAAATGATTTCATTTGTTAGGATTCTGTTTTTTCTTGTTTTAATAGAAAAAAGTGATATATATATATAATTTTAAAATGGCTTTATATACTTGATATGTTCAAATATGCGTAGATATTTTCAGGTTTACCTCTGTTGATGGAAATAAAGAGTGAAATAATAAAAAAGGTAGGCAACAGGTAGAAGTGAATAGCAGGGCATCAGAATAATCATCTTCTCAATAGTTGGCTGTAATGAATATTTTTTACTTCAAGATGGTAAATCCAAGAAGAATTAGAGATGTGGATAATGATGGTCAGCTTTCAGTTAGAAAGGTGTTCTTGCACATACATTAATAATGTTTTCACCATTCTTAATTTGTCTCTTTCATTTAGATCATATATTAAATATTAAGTAGGTCGACCTATTTTGGCTTCTGTGTCTAAATGGACAAGGGTGTTTTAATCTCTTAGGCCTTGAACTGGAGAGAGGGAGAATGGATGTGAATAAAAGTGTGTGTATGTGTGTGCGCATGTGAGAGAGAGAGATAGAGCTTTCCTGTTACAGCCCAAAACCATGATTATGGTTCACAACCTGGGGTTGGTTTTCTGGTTTGTATTCTTGCTGCCAGGCCTGTGGCCATTGATTTCTACATGTATGAAAAGTAATTAATCTGGAAAAAAATGCAGGGATTTTGGAATTATTTTTTGGAAACATTACTTATGTATTCTGGATTTTAGAAACTGTTACTTTCAAACTCTTTGTTCTTTGTTTTATTACGTGCTAACCATCTACTTATAATTTTTACATACTTTAATGGCTCAGTAAAATATAGTACAACTGATTACAGTTATTTGTTGTACTCTGAGAAGGCTTATTATGGGAAAAAAAACTGTGTTGGATATAATGGGAGATTCAGAGGAATCTACTACAGACTTTGTTGTTATGGACTTCATAATCCCGATTGATAGTAGTCATTAACAATATAAGAAAGGCCCTTAGTGCCACTAGAGTATACCATAGTATAGGCCTTCTACAGGAAGGGGATGTCTCCTTTGGTTTGAATGAGAACTCATGGAAGCATAGGGATTTGTGCTTGGCTTTGAGAGGAGGCCATTGTGGTAGGTGAAATTATAATAGGATTTCTGAAACTCAAAAATGGGCCAGTTTGGCAGAAATAAGTGGGGCATGAGGTTCTGATTCATTCTCTTTATAGCTGCCAAAATGGTGGTATTTGTGAAATGAAAAATCAACCCTATAACTCCCATCTGGAAAACCCGTCTTTAGAGGTTACATTGGTAGCCTGAAACTTCAGATTTTTCTTGATTTTTCATGTGGCGATGTCTCTGGAAGATGTTTCGGAATACTACTACTTCCACTAGGCCATGAGCTCTTTAATGGAACCATTCTGAGTACCTGCCTGGTTCAAAGGAGGAGTTTAGTAAATTTCCGTTGAATAGATAGGGGCCTGTAATTCCAGGCTAAGGAATTTATTGTAAAGATTGTGAAGAATCATCAGAAATGTTTTTTTAAAAAAGAATGATACAGTGAAAGATACAATGAAGGAGGTATTCTAGGATGATTTAATTGCAGCCAATTGAGTATTATGCATGCTGACCCTCTAAATATTATACTTTGAAATGTTTCTGACTTATAGTAAATAAACATTTTAGTTAATAATGTCCTAAACATGTGTGTTAGTCAGTTGATACAACAAATGTTCAAATTTCTGCTGCTTTTTTTTTGGACTCTAAATTAGCATTTAGAGGCAGCTTTTTACCAATGTTTTTTAAGTTTATCAAGATGAAACAGGGTTAAGCAGGCATTATATTTTCATTCATTCAGCAAATATTTGCATGCCTGCTATGTGCCTATGGTGTTCTGAGCACTGGAAACACAGTGGTGATAAATATAGCATGTGACTCGAGACGTTTTTAATGGTCTAATGTCATTCATAATTCTGAAGTGGTTCAAGAAACAGGTGAAGAAAATGTAAAAACAATTTTTTTTCTTTCCTTTATTCCGTTTTATCCTAACAAATATTGTAAGTGGATATCTTGGAATGTAGGTGCCTACCCTGGGCTTACTTGAACATTATGTATGTTGGTGGTATCTGGTCCATTTAATAGTTGGATGTTTACTTAACAACAGCTTTCTTTAAAATGATTTTATAATGAGATTTGTACATGCCAGATTTTAGAATTTTTGAAGAATGTTTTGTTATTACTGCTGTATAGTGTGAAAATAGTAATTTTTCACACCATATTAGCTACCCTCGTAGTATGCAAGGATTTGACTTTATTCACTGGGCAATTTTCACAAATGACAAACACATTATAAATAAATGTATGGAATGTTTCACCTATTCAGACACAAGAATCCTTTATAACAATTGGTTTATGACTCAGTGCGATTTTTCTTGAAGGGGTAGATTTACAGTTCTAAATATTATCTCTTCAGTTGATTAGCTTAACTTCCTGTCGATCTGTTTGACAGACAAATTTTACATGGCTATTGTTGGAAAATGTAGAATATATTTTTAATTTTAAATAGTCAAACTGCTTACATATTCATATAACTTTCATTTTTCTAGATCATTCAAAGATCTAGGGGATTTATGACTGATGTTTGATTTAATAATTCTTAAATGAAATTGATTTGTGTTTAAGGCATGTTTACCAAC